>NC_000005.10:64484807-65109807 GCF_000001405.40 Homo sapiens
GGATATAATCTCCTGGTGTGCCCTTTGCTAAGACCATTGGAAAAGTGCAGTGTTTAGGTGGCAGTGCTCCAATTTTCCCGGTATAGTCTGTCACGGCTTCCCTTGGCTAGGAAAAGGAAATCCCCCAACCCCTTGTGCTTCCTGGGTGAGGTGATGCTCCGCCCTGCTTTGGCTCACTGTCTGTGGGCTGCACCCACTTTCCAACCAGTCCCAATGAGATGAACTAGGTACCTCAGTTGGAAATGCAGAAATCACCCATCTTCTGTGTCGATCACGCTGGGAGCTGCAAACCAGAGCTGTTCCTATTTGGCCATCTTGGAACCAAATTGCAGGCCTTCTTTTATAGTGTGGGAAGTGGAATCCCATAACCTTAGCTCCCCCATTTCCCCACCAGAATCATATGGAGAGGAAGAAAATGAAAAGAATTGGTTCTGTTACCAGAAGCGGGAAGGCAGGCAGAAGAATTGGCTGCTTACTGTACCCGTGATTATGATACACAGCCTGGGTTGAAATTGCTGTTGCACACGTTCTCCTAGAGAGTGATTTATCCAGCTAAGGGCTTAAACTTTCACTTCTACCAGAAAGTCAGACATATATCTTGGCCCCTAATCTGTTTACTGAATTTTAGATGTGGTATATATAATTACCTGCAGGACTCTTTCCCTCAGAAATCTCATTATTACCTCAATTTAGCACATCTACATCCCACAAAACCAGCTTCTCCTCTAGCTTTTGATATTTCAGACAATCATTCTACCATTATTGAGCCTCCTAAATATAAAACCCTGGAGACATTCTTCATACCTCCTTTTCCCATTATTCCAAGTTCTTCCTTCATGTCTTTCACAACTCCCCCTTTCCTTTCCTACTGCTATCTTTAAATTCCAGACTCCATTATTTTACAGCAATAATCTTTCTCATTCTAATCTCGACTTTATTCATTCTATACACTAATGCCACATTAATCTTCTCAAAACATTGCTAGATTCACTTTCAAAATAAAAAATAATATCAATTTTCTCTATTATTTATAGGATGAAGTCCAAAATACTTAGCCTAGTATTTCAAGATCTGTTATAATCTGGCTCAAAACCACTTTTCTAATCTTCTTGATTATTTGCTTATATACACCTGCTGATCCTTCCAAACTGATATACTTGTCATTCCCCATGCATAGCATGTATATTTGAACCCTCCTCTTATGCATACTGATTCTCCTGCCTTGAATGCTTTCCTCATCCTTTTCTCCTTATCTAAAGTCCCATCTCTTTTCTTCAAGAGCCACATCAAATTTTATCTCTCCCCAAAGCCTTTCTTTACAGATTCAGCAACATGCTGGCTTTCTCCACTAAACTTTTGCAGCATTGTGGCCCACTACTCATTTTAGTAACAAAATGTGAGTCCTTTCCTTCCCCAACCATAGTCAAATACTGTGTATGCCACAAGCCAACTCATCTGTCTTCACTCCCAGCTCCCCAGACACTCCTGTCTAACGCAGGTAGTGCAAAAGAAATCCCCACACCTAAAACTAGTCTTGTTGCCAAAGGTGGCAAGCCGGGTGTAGATAAGCTTGTGTATCAATGAGGTCATTGAAATACACCCTTTCTCTGCTCCCAGGAGTGTTGGCATTGTTCACACCACTGAATTTCTGCTTCAGATTTTTCTTCAGGTTCTCCAGTTTCTTCTAAAAAATTGAGCCCAGCTCTAAATCTCATTCTACTGCTCTGTGACCTCAGAACCTTATTGAGCTCTTGTTAGCTTGATCCTCTATTCCCTTGTGTGCTGGGAGACTTACTCTCAACAAACTTCTCTCACAGATGCGTCTGACACACTATATATATAGCTTGCTATTTCTACTTCTGTTATAGTTAGTTCCTCTTAGGCAGGGATCTATCTTGTTTGTCTCTGTGTCCCCAGAAACTAGCACATAGTAGGTATATGCCATGTTTTTTAAAATAAACTTTTAATTTTTGAATAATTATAGATTTATGAAAAGAGTTGCAAAAATAGCACAGAGAGTTCCTATAATCCCTTTGCCCATCTTCCTTCAATGTTAACTTCTTATGTAACCATGATACACAGTTATCAAAACTAAAAAATTAATATTGGTATGGTACTATTAACCAATGGTACAGAATCCAGATTTCACAGATTATCCACAAATGTCCCTTTTCTGATCTAGGATCTAATCAAGGATACCACGTTAAATGTAATTATCTTGTCTGCTTGGTTTTCTCCAACCTTTGACAGTAAATCAAAATAGTCTTTCCTTGTTTTCAATGACGATGACTTTTGTCAAGAGCATTAGTTACAATTTTGGGGAATTTTCCTTAACATTAGTTTTCTCTGATGTTTCCTTTCCCTAATTTATTTATTTTTCTTAAATGATAAATAAAAATTATATATATTTATTGTGTAAAACAGGATGTTTTGAAATATGTATACCTTGTAGAATGGCTGAATCAAGCTAATTAGCAAATGTATTATCTTGCATACTTACCATTTTTGTGGTGAAAACTTAAAATCTACTCTCAGTGATTTTCAAGAATACAATGCATTATTAACTATAGTCAACATATTGCATAATAGAGCTCCTGAAATTCTTCTTCCTATCTAACTGTAATTTTGTACCCTTTGACCAACATCTTCCCAACACCACTTCCCCAACACCCAGGCCCTGGTAAACATATGAGTCATATTTTTTGAACCAAAGAAATCTCTGCTAAGTTAGACCTCTTTAGATATTTGTGCTAATATGAATCATGCCAATTTTGTCCAGTCTCTTTTAACATGGCAAAATGGACAGTCAGTTCCCCATCAAGGGTCAATTGTCCTTGTCCCAGTTCTGTCTAGACTCTGTTCCTCCTTTTCCTTATAAAGTCTCACAGTCAGCCATGATTTATGACAGTTAGAATTTTCTCTCTTAGATTCATGTCTGTTTGTATGGCTCTAAAGGTGGAAACTGTGTCATCTAATTTCTTAGACTCTCTATTGCATAGCCTAACACACTGAGTACACCAGACATTCAATAAAGTTTTGCTGATGTTGCTCTGGGTTAATTGTATGTCTTAGCCCATTTTGTGTTGCTACAAAGGAATGCCTGATATTGAATAGTTTATAAAGAAAAGAGGTTTCTTGAGCTCATTTTTCTGCAGCCTGTGAAGTTGAAGTGCACGGCCCTGGCTTCTGGTAAGGGGTTTTATGCTACATCACGCATGGCAGAGAAGGTAAAAATGGAAGTGAACATGTTAAAAGCAGGGGAAACCTGAGGAATATCCTGGCTTTGTAACAACCCACTCTTGTAGGAACTAGCTCATTCTCAAGATAACTGATCCAGTCTCCAGAGAGTGAGAACTCACTCACTACTGCTAGAACAGCACCAAGCCATTCACGAGGGATCCACCCTCATAGCCCAAATACCTCCCACTGGGTCTCATCTCCCAGCATCACCACACTAGGGATCAAATTTTAACATGAGGTTTGGTGGGGACAAACAAACCATATCTAAACCATAGCACTGTTTAACACTAAAATACATTTTAACACTGTAATGAATTCATTATAATCAATTGTCTTTTAGCCTTTTAATGAAGAATTATCTGTCAACCAATCATTTGATTCCTCATTTCTGATTTCTCAGTATATCCCTAGACTGATAGATTCAGATACTTCCCCTGGATGTCTAGTATTTCCCAATCTACTTATCCAGTAACTTTTCCATAATTTTTATTGAAGTTATAACTGGAGTAATAAGAAATATTCAATTTATGAAAAGGAGTTATTAGCTCTTTTAAATGCACACCAAAAAATTAAGTCATGATAAAGCCCTTTCCTTTTGAAATTTCTGTATTAATCAACCTTTATTTCTGTCCTATCTATTTATATCTCTTTTTAGTCCTGGTCTGAAGCTTATTTTAGAGCGAGTCAAGATGGGCAACTAGACACAGCTAAGAGGAACATCTCCCAATGAGAGAACGGGACATTAGGAAGACTGAGATCTTCAAAGGAAAGGCATTGAGAGTAGATGGAGGGAGGACACAGATGCTAAACTGAAAGGAGAGGAATCTGGGAACCCTGCATGAACCCTGGCTGCTGAACACCAGGATCCACTCCTGGCCCCCAGAAACTCCTGGGGAAGGGGTAAGTGGAATTGTTAAGGAGTGGCCCACTGTCGTTATGGACCTCCGGAATCCTAGCTGCAGGAGACAACACAACCCCCACTTGAGCTGGCAAGCAAAGCCGTTTAGAGTGGTGGCAGGGGCAGGACTCCAGCCTGTGTAGAGCCCAGAGGGTTTGGCATGGGAATGGCTGCAGTGGAACACAGCCAGGGATACCCTTTCCCCAAGGCTTGCCAAGATCTTGTAGGTGGCTTTAGCCTTTGGGTGACTGTCAGACCTGGACAGAGCAGGGAAGGCTTGCCTATGAGACAGGGCCAGTCCAATTTGAGTGACCTCCTGTCTGCTGGCCTCTTCTAGGTCCCCAGCCTGGCTATGCTCACTTTCAGTGCAGCCTCAGATGTCAAATCACAGTGCTTCCTGGGGGCCTGCATCATAGCTCCTTGGTCAGGAACTCATACCTAACCATTAGAGAGCTCCAGCAGACGGGCTTCTGCTGACAAGAACAGCCCACTCACAGCCTCATCCCACTGCAGCCTCCCCCACCATGTTCTGGCATGCCCTGACCATGGACGCTGTATTAGTCTGTTCTCATGCTGCTAATAAAGACATACCCAAGACTGAGTAATTTATAAAGGAAAGGTTTGATTGACTCACAGTTCCACATGGCTCCAGAGGTCTCACAATCATGGCGGAAGGCAAAGGAGGAGCAAAGTCACATCTTACATGGTGACAGGCAAGAGAGCTTGTGCATTTATAAAACCATCAGATCTCATGAGACTTATTCACTATCACGAGAACAGTATGTGGGAAACTGCCCCATGATTCAATTATCTCCACCTGGACCTGCCCCTGACACATGGGGATTATTACAATTCAAGATGAGATTTGGGTAGGGATACAGCCAAACCATATCATTACCACTTCACCAGCATGTGCACAGGAGTACCTTGCCTCCCCCCTCCCAACAGCAAACGTGTGCATGCACACCCCACCACCCCACTGCCATTGGAGTGAGCACACCCCATCACCCTGACCATCCCTGCCAGTGCTCCACCCCCCCTTAGGCATGGGCAGCCCTTCATGCTGCTGCCACTGCTGATGGCTCTAGTGCAAGCACAGACGCTTGAACCCTGCCCCTGCTGGTGTCACAACACTGCTGCAGGCACATACATGTGCATAGACACCACTGCCTCGCTTCTGCTGGCCCCCGACCCTAGCTGATGTGTGTGCAGCCCACTGCATGGCTGCAGCTGCTGGCATGCACAAGCAAGCATGGATTTTGCTGCCACTGCACGTACAAAGTGCTTTGGCTGGCATCTCCCATCAGAGTGTTGTGGTCAGTGGAAGAGAACACCTCAATCCTACCAGAAAAACAGGTTCCTAACTTTGAGAGGCCAGAGATCAAAGCTGCGGGCCTGATACCAGCCCCCCAGAGTTAGAGAATGCAGCCCAGGAATGCTGAGCTGAGTTTTGGCCCCCTGAAATCTTCCAGGATCAAAGTCAGTTGACTGAACCCACCTTATATGACAATCAAACCCCTAAGGACATTAAAGAAGATTAAAAACAAAAAACACCCATCCAAAAGACAAGAACTTCAAAGATTAAAGTGACATCAGCCCAGATGGATGAGAAAGAACCAGTGCAAGAACTCTGGCAACTCAAAAAGCCAGACCGTGTTCTTACCTCCAAATAACCACAGCAATGATTTGTAAGCAGGCTAAAATGGCTGAAATGACAGACACAGAATTCAGAATATGAATAGGAACAAAGATCATCAAGATTCAGGAAAAAGTGGAAACCCAATCCAAGGAATCTAGGGAATACGATCAAATAATACAGGAGCAGAAAGATGAAATAGCCATTTTAAAAAAAGAGCCAAACTGATCTGATAGAGCTGAAAAACACTACAAGAATTTCATAGTACAATCACAAATATTAACAGCAGAAATGACCATGCTGATGAAAGCATCTCAGAGCTTGAAGAGCGGTATTCCACATTAACTTAGTCCGACAAAATTTTTTAAAAAAAGAATAACAAAACCTCCAAGAAATATGGGATTATGTAAAGAGATCAAATCTACAACTCACTGGGGTCCTTGAAAGAGAGGGAGAGAAAGCAAGCAACTTGGGAAACATATTTGAGGATATCAGCCACAAAAATTTTCACAACCTCACTAGAAAGACCAACATTCATATTCAGGAAATGCAAAGAATCCCTGCGAGACACCAGGACACCATACAAGATGACCATCCCCAAGACCTACAGTCATCATATTCTTCAAGGTCACCATGAAGGAAAAAAAATACTAAAGGCAGCTATAGAGAAGAGGCAGGTCACCTACAAAGGGCACCCCATCAGGCTAACAGCAGACCTTTCAGCAGAAACCCTACAAGCCGGAAGAGATTGGGATTCAGTATTCAACATTCTTAAAGAAAAGAAACTCCAAGAATTTCATATCCAACCAAACTAAGTTTCATAAGTGAAGGAGAGATAAGATCGTTTTCAGACAAGCAATTGTTAAGGGAATTTATTACCACAAGACCTGCCTTACAGGAGATCCTCAAGAGAGTGCTAAATATGTAAACAAGAGACGTTTACCAGTCACCACAAAAACACACTTAAGTACATGACTATTGACACTATAACGTAACTACACAATCAAGTCTGCATAATAACCACTAAGAACACAATGATAGGACCAAATTTGCACATATCGATATTAACCTTAGACAACCTACAGAATGGGCGAAAATATTTGCAAACTATGCATCTGACAAAGGTCTGATATCCAGAACCTATAAGGAACTTAAAAAGCAAAAAAATGAACAACGCTATTAAAAACTGGGCAAAGGACATGGACACTTTTCAAAAGAAGACATGCATGCAGCCAACAAGCATATGAAAAAACGTTCAATATCATTAATTATTAGGAAAATGCAAATCAAAACCACAAAAAGATACCATCTCTCATCAGTCAGAATGGCTATTAATAAAAAGGCAAAAAATAACGGGTGCAGGCAAGGTTGTGGAGAAAAGAGAATGCTTATATGCTGTTGGTGGGAATGTCAATTAGTTCAGCAACTGTGGAAAGCAGTTTGGTGAGTTCTCAGAGAACTTAAAACGGAACCAGCATTCAAACCAGCAATTCCATTATCATGTATATACCCCAAGGAGTACAACTTGTTCTGCCATAAAGACACATGCACACATATGTTCACTGTAGCACTATTCACATGTAGCAAAGGCATGGAATCAACCTAAATGCCCATCAATGGTAGACTGAATAAAGAAAATGTGGTACATACACACCATAGAATACTCTGCAGCCATAAAAAGGAACAAGATCATGTCCTTTGCACAACATGGATGAGGCTGGAGGCCATTATCCTAAGCGAACTAATGCAGGAACAGAAAACCAAATACTGCATGTTCTCACTTAGAAATGGGAACTTAACATTGAGTATACATGGACAGAAAGAAACAAAAGACACTTGACCTACTTTGGAGGGTAGAGGTGGGTAGGAGGGTGATCAAAAAACTACCTACTAGGTTACCTACTATGCTTGTTAGCTGGGTAATGAAATAATCTGTACAATACACCCCCATGACATGCAATTTACCTATATTACATGTGTACTTGTGTACCCCTGAAAGTAAAATAAAAGTTAAAAAAGACAAAATACAGAACTGAATATGAAACATTTAAATTATACATTCTCTGAGGTCACATCCTATGTCTCTCATATAATCCTACCAGAAGTCTAAGCACATAGTAAAGGCATAATTTATTTATTTATTTATTTTTGAGACAGAGTCTCACTCTGTTGCTCAGGCTGGAGTGCAGTGGTGCAATCTTGGCCACCTCCCGGGTTCCAGCAATTCTCCTGCCTCAGCCTCCCAAGTAGCTGGGACTACAGGCACTGGCCACTGCGCAGGCTAATTTTTTGTATTTTTAGTAGAGACAGGGTTTCACCGTGTTAGCCAGGATGGTCTCAATCTCCTGATCTCATGATCTGCCCGCCTTGGCCTCCCAAAGTGCTGGAATTACAGGTGTGAGCCACTGCACCCACCACAACTTTTTAAATGAGCAAAAACTTAATAAAAACCAACATTGAGTAATATTATATGATTCCACTTATAGGAAGTACCTATAGGGGGCAAATTATAAGAACACAAAGTTACCAGGGCTGGGGGAGAAGAGAATGAGGAGTTATTTAATGGGCACAGAGTTTCTACTCGGAATGATAGAAAATGTTCTGGAAATGGTTAGTGGTGATGGGTGCACAACATTGTAAATGTACTTAACACCACTGAATTGTACACCTAACAATGGCTACGATGGTAAATTTTGTTATGTATATTTTACTACAATAAAAATTTAAATAAAAATAACAAATACTGAACTCTAGTTAATATGCATTCTGAAATATTTAAAGGGATATGTACTGATATACATATGCAATTTAAAGTGTACATAAAACAACTCAAGATGGATTGATGGATGGATAGATGGATAGGTATGTGATAAAGGAATTAAAGTATTAATGATAGAATCTGTACAAGTACTTATTATAAAATTTTTTCAACTTTTTTATATACCCAAAACTTTTTCTTATGACATATTAGAAAGAAACTAATATCATATTAGCAAACTTTAACTGAGAAATATTTTTAAAAGAAAGAGTGGAAAGATAATTACATGTCTAGTTGAAAAGATTGTATATTGCCAAGATTTTAATTACTCCCACATTAATTCATACATTTTACACAGTTTGGAATTTTGATTTTGAAAGTGATTCTGAATTTCATTTGAGAAATCAAGCATTAACCCCATCACAACAGAGGTATGTCATTATAATGTATTTGACATATATAGTACTATAGTTAAAACATCATGGCATTATGTAGCAATTAAAATATCATGGAATAGAAAAGATAACCTTAATTTACATGCTAGAATACCTATGAGCTTAATAAAAGATAAAAGAAATGCTAATTCTTTGGAGAAAGATGGATTTTTAAATGAATGTTGGAATAAAATCAAATAAGAACTTTACCTCACATCATCTCCCAAATTAAATTATAAATGGGTTAAAGAGTTTATTTTTTAAAATAGAGGCAGTTACTGCTTTAGGCAGTTATGATATACACAGATTTTACTTAACACAGCATTGTGAAAAGTTGAGAATGCCAGTATGAAAAACTAGAATAATGTATAATAAATAGTTAATTTATTTTCAGATGATGAAAACCATTCTACTAAGAGCAATCAAAGAAATCTAAAGGATAAGAATAGTATATTTGGCCACTGGAAAAAAAGCAAATTTCTATGTCTTCAAAAATGTTATAAACAACAGAAAAGAAAAATGTCAAAATTAGAAAAATACTTACAATACATCTGGCGGAAGGGTTACTATCCTTAATAGAGGCAGAGATCTTTTAAATCAGAAAACCAAAGCAAAAGGCCATAAGACTTCCACATATAAGTTGTCAAAGCATCAAAAGACAAGAAACTCATAAAAATCTCTCTCTCATTACTATGGAAAACTTTACACTAAAAATGAAATACGGCTGGGGGTGGTGGCTCACGTCTATAATTCCAGCACTTCAAGAGACCAAGGCGGTCAGATCACTTGAGCCCAGGAGTTCGAGACCAGCCTGGGCAACATGGCGAAACCACATCGCTACAAAAAATACAAAAATAGCAGAGCATGGTAGCCTGCACCTGTAGTCCCAGCTACTCGGAAGCCTGAGGTGGGAGGGTCGTTTGAACATGGGAGATCAAGGCTGCATTGAGCCATGATGGTGCCATTGCACTCCAGCCTTGGCGATGGAATGAGATCCCATCTCAACAGAAAAAAACTTACTTTTTTTGTTTATATTCACAAAGGTTTTAAAAAACACCTTCTCTGAGATAGTTTCATTAAATATGTTTCTCTCGTTTTGCCATTAAGGGTGATGCTGTGGTGAGCATCCTTATACATCTTGCATACCCTCTGATTATTTTCTCAGGATAATTATTCACATTGACGGTGTTTTCTTCTATTGATGATGTTTTATTCCTTATGTTGGTGGGTAAACACGTAAGAGTTGGTTACATAAATATCTTTTAAGATGTCAAAAATCATGTTGAATACATTAAAAGGTTTCTGAATGCAAAAAAAACAGAGAAAATGCATGAAAAATATACACAGTGACTGTCAACTGCATGACATGATTATAGATGATGTCTCTTTTCTTCTTTATAATTTTTCTTAATTTTCTAAGAGTTGAAGAATCATTTACAAAACAAGAGACACTAGGTTGACAGATTTGACCTGGATTTTATGTCAGCACCTGCTATAGTGCCTGGCATATATTTGATACTCATACACTTATTAAAACAACTTCATTGAGATATAATTTACACATCATACAATTCATGCATTTAAAATGTACAATTCAGTGGTTTTTAGTATATTCACAGATATGTTCAGCCATCTTCATAGTCAATTTTAGAACATATTCTTCACCTCATAAGGAAACTCTGTCCCCTTTGGCTATCGCTCCCCTATCCCCCCGTCTTCCACAGCCCTAAGTAAACACTAATCTATTTTCTGTCTCTACAGATTTGCCTATTCTGGTCATTACATTTAAATAGAATTATATAATATGTGATATTTTGTGGCTGGCTTCTTCCACTTACCTTAATGTTTTCAACATTCATCCATGTTGTAGCATATATCAATATTTCATTCTTTTTTGTGGCTGAATTTTATTCCATTGTATGAATATACAACATATTATCTATTTATCATCAGATGATTTATGTTTGGTTCTTTTTTACCTTTTGTATACCATGAACAATTCTGCCATAAACCTTTGTGTAAAAGTTAAAAAATAAAAATATACAAAAATAAAAGCTTATTTTAAATCATTTCTTTTGCTGATGTTGTCATATAAGGAATTATATCTGTCATTTAAACCATGAAGTTAACATAGATTATTAGCCTGGTTGTTTAACTTTAGAAGTAGTAGTTGGAGCCCTAATGTATTAGTTAGACATAATAATATGATACAATAAAGTTATTTATTTCAATCAGGTTATTACTAGAGACCACATTTTAGAGGTTAGTTTCAGTTATTTTGAAATAACAAAAATGATTGTGTACATCTTTCAAGAAAGGTGAAGGAATTAAATTACTTTTGCCTGGAAGGAAAAAACCTGAAAGGTGACCTGGATATGAATCTGTAAGGATACAAGAGTTAACGTAAAGAGGATAGTGGCCTCATTTTACCTATGGTCATGTAACAATTCAGTAGAGGTTGTGGTGGACTCTTCATTGGCAGTTTTGAAAGAGCCAGGGTACTGCAGCTGCATTTGCTGCCAAACTGGAATTCAGACACACTCTACTTCTGCCAGACTACCAGAACATCAGCTAAGTCCTTCCAACTTCCACAGAAATGGAGATGGGACAGAATGAGCCAAAGAGAAGGGACTGGTATCCATCCTAATCTGATGCTAAAACTTCCATCTCTCAGTCCCTTAGAAGAGCCCTGTTATTCCTCAATTCCCTTTGGGAGGAGAAACCCTAGATTCCCCACACCTTGGAGTTATTCTCTCTCCAACCTAGTTCTCTCCCCATTTCTATCAGGGGTAAAAGACTTACCTACACCACCGTTTTGAAAGTGCAATTTTTATTTTTAGTCACCTGTCTTACTTTAAGCCTGGCAACACATGCTATTTATTTCCCATCTTCACTAAGAAAGTGAAATGAAATTGCTCCAAAGAGAAATTTGAAATATATATAAATAAGAATGTCCTGACTTGTTGGATGCTAGAACAGGTTATTGAGAGGAATTGTAGAATGTTCTTTCAGAACCAACCTCAGAAAAAAACACAAACTCCCTAGCAGAAGACTCTGAATTTCCCTCATCACCCTCTGATGTATCAGAATTTCAAAAATTAGATAGAAAACTCAAGAGTTCTAATGCCTCAATCCCCAATGCCAGCTGATGGTGTTATTTTGTACTCCTTTGTTTGTTCAATTGATTATTTTATTAACATATCCTAAGGGCGTAGACACTTTAGACCTAGATTTTATTATCAGTGTTAAACTGAGACCAACAGCACTGAATTCCTGTTAGGGTCTTCTGGAAAGACTGTCCACAACTCCTTATTTGCAAAAAAAAAAAAAAAAATCAGTAAACTTCCATTCATTTGTACATTGGACCACTTCTTTCTTCTCTCAGCTGACATTGTTTTTCCTATAATTATGACTTATTAAAGCAATGTCTATCTTTGCTTATCTACTGGTTCCTTCCTTCTTTTTCAAACATGTCCTTTTGCACACACAGATCAGAACCTGCCATTCTGTGGGTATCACTCTGTCTCCTTCTTGCCCTTGTACTTGTGATCTCCGCCTGCTTCTTCCACTTTGCATCCTTATTGCTCACTTCTAATTTGGGTTTAGCTTCTTTTATTATTGAAAATACACAACTTTCCACAATGACCTCTTCCTGGCAAAAGATATTTTTCTAAATCCTCTTCTGCTTGATAGCTCTGGGGCAAATACAGCTCACTCCTTGAAAGTGACTCTGCCCTTTGCTTCTGGGTCACTGTATTCAGTGGATTCTTCCTGTCTTTCTCAGGCAGTCCCCGCTCCATCTCCACTGACTCATTATCGCATTCCACCTCCTATCTGTTGACATGCCTCAGGACTTAATCCTCACCCTCTGCCTTTTTTCCTCTCTGTACTACTCCTTCCTGGAAACACATTCATGCTCAAGATGTCATTGAACACTTTTTGTTTCTGACTTCACAATTTACATCTCTAGACCCAACCTGTCACCTAGTCTAATATTTTCAGTTGTCCAGTTCTGTCAGGGAAAGCTCCATTTTTATAATTTCTCAGATTAGGAAATTCAAATTCATCTTTTACTCTTTTATCTCATCCCTGTTCTATGTTTCCTAATTGGTGCAATTTATAAACTCACTCTTTCAAAGGTGGGCTGCATCCACTCAAGGCTACTGATGTGAGTAGGAGTTTGAGAGTCATAGTGGGTGGGAGGGTAGCATATGAGTGTGGGGAGTAGGGTGAGGGGGATGGATGGAAGCATTACCAAGTGTGATCCCATAGATATTCTCTGCTAAATCAAAATCAGTGAAAGCCTGTGAAGAGGAACTAGAAGGCTGAGAGATAAAAATATAGCATTGAAATAAAAAAAAATCAAGTTGGAACAAATTCAAAAGCTTAATGATGTTAAACTGGTCTTTCAACTGGCCAGTATGTAGGGAAATGGGTACTTTCATACATAGCCAGCATGAATGTAATTTGATACAACCATATTGGAAAGAAATTTCAGAATATCTCTTAAAAATGTAAATGCACATACTCTATGACCCAGCAATTTCACTTCTTTATATATACTTATGAAATATTGTATATACTCTCATATGAAGAAAAGAGCATGCTTAAGCATTTCATTGCAGTCTTGTTAATAATATTAAAACATTGGAAATCTAAATGTCCCAACTGGGGAATGGTTTAGTAAGTTATGATGTCTATTATTCTGGAATATTATGCAGAAGTACAAGATCGAGGTAGATGTCTATTAATATAGAAGCCTCTCCAAAGACTTAGTGTTAAGTAGAAAGAAACAATGTCCAGCGGCTGTGTGTCCGGCTCACACCTGTAATCCAGCACTTTGGGAGACTGAGGCAGGCAGATCGCTTGAGCTCAGGAATTCGAGACCAGCTTGGGCAACATGGTGAAACCCCATCTCTACTAAAAATACAAAAAATTAGCCAAGCATGGTGGCAAGTACCATGGTCCCAGCTACTCAAAAGGCTGAGGTGGGAGAATTGCTTGAGCCCCGGAGATGAAGGTTGTGGTGAGCCATGATCACACCACTGCATTCCAGCCTGGGTGACACGGTGAGACTCTGTCTCAAAAAAAAAAAAAAATGCATATTGTAGAATAACATACAATGTATGATTTCTATAAAAACATACACATAAATAAACAATACCAAAACTCTACATGTTTTTTCAGGAAGATATAAGTATACAATTATGTAACAGAAAATCTACATATAAAACCTTCCAGAAAGATTATTTTGGGGGAGCCAGGAGAGTACTGAGGCTGGAATGGTGCTCAAAAGGGACTTTATCCTTATCTGCAATTCAGTTGTTTTAAAACAAGGAAAAATATATATATGCATTAATTGTGTGGTTATTAGAGAGAGAGAGAGAAAAAAAAGCACAAAGAGGACTCAGATAATGAAGCAAAGGTAGAAAATGGAAGGCCAGAAATGAACCAGGGCACAGATGGGTCAAAGGACAGTTAAGGAACTGGTTCTGCAGACACATCCTGTCCACTGCAGTGTTCCTTCAACGTGTGTTTTAGCATATTTGGCAGGCCCAGAAGTGTCCTTAAAAGAACCAGGTTTTATTGGAAGAGTAGCCACTGCAGAAAGAGATGGTGAGGCCAGCAGAAGGAAACAGGGTAAGCAAAGCACAGGCTGACTAGTGTCTGGATATAGTGTAATGCAGGTTAGATTTAGGCCAGAGCTGTGGTTGGCTAGAAAGAATTCTAGTCAAATAGGTAAGAGGTCTCAGTAGAATTCATAGACAAAGTAGGCTGGAGGGCTTGACTAATGGGTATATGTCCTGGGTACATATCAGGTAGGAAGGAGTCTATAGAGTCAGGGCTAAATTCAAATTTCAGGGACCATTGTCAATGAGTTTTGTCATTTCCATGGGAAATTAAAATACCTGTTGCCTTTTACCTTAGCTAGTTCAGATTTTTTTCTAGTCAGTCCTGTGTTGAGATAATGTTCTGACCCTAAAACCCTCTGAAATTTCTCCCTGATTCTGACTCTCCTCCCAGCAGTCACATTCCTCTTCCACTTGGATTATTATAATAGCTCAGTAGATGGATTCACTGTCTCTTCATTCCAATGCATTCTACATATCACTGCCAAATCAGTTTTCTTAAAACATCACATGCCTCATTAGTTCACTTGAGAAATGGCAGTGGTCCTCTTTTGCCAATGGTCTATCCCAAACCAGCATCAGAATCAAACTCCTCTGTTTTACTCTAAAGGCTCTAAGTAATGTTAACCATGCCATTCTTAGTTACCATTAACTTCCACTCTACCCATAACTTCCATCAACATTTTCTCAAAACACTGGAGTTCAGCCTCCAGGTTCACTTCTGCAAAGCTGTAGTAAGTCAATAGTAGACATGAGATAAGTCCTTTGGGTATATCTATTCCCAGTGCAGCCTCAAATCATGTACATTATTGTCATCCAAAGAAAATTGTTAGGTTTTCTCTGCTGCTAATGTACTGTCCTTCTTCCTTTCCTAAACCAAAGGAACCAGATCATTTGTCCTGCTTTTGTGACCTCACCCACAACACTTTCACAATGGCCTCTCCTATTTATCTTCAATTCAGGTCTGACTCTTCATGCCCTCCATTCTTTACTCCCTTACTCCTGCTCTTAGCCAACCACTGAAAAGCTGTCCCACACTCCTCCACCTATCCCAATCCTGTATACATATACATCAATGCCTATCTCAGGTTCCATCTCTATCATGTAGCCTTTTCTAGTAACCTCAGCATACAGAGATTGATCTCATCTCTAAATTCCTGCAGTATTTATATGTAGCAGAAAGTAACACTATTACATATTTTATTGTTCTTAGTGGTTTCTTGTCTGTATATTTTATCTCCCAGGTATAAGTGCCTTAAAAAGAATTATATCTTTACTCTTATTATATCTTCTCTTTGTCATTAATGTAGTACCTTGCTCATAGTAAACATTCAATAAGTATTAGATGGATTGATTTGATGTATCCTATACTTTTTCACAATTATTCTTTACATATTATATTAATCAAGACTCTTTTGGTTGCAAGTGGTAGTAATCCAAATAAAACTGACTTAATTTGAAAGGAAATTTTTTGGTCCACCTAAATGAAATTGCAGGTATAGTTTGACTTAAGGCAGAGATGGATCTACAAACTCAAATAATATAATTAAGAATCAATATCTCTCCATCTCTCCATTCTGATCCTCTGGGTTAGATCTCAGGCAGTCTGTTGACTATGAATGGCAAAAATGGCCACCAGAAATTCCAGCTTTCATCTTACCAGTTTACCAACCCAATGGAAAGAAAAAAAACTAAATATTAGGTTGAAATATATAAAATTGCTATTTATGTAGGTCAAAATGGTTGAATAATGGCAATTTCATATCTTTCAACCTAATAGTTCCAGAAAAAGTCCCAATGCTAAAGTTCTTTGGTCCAACTTAGATTTCATAACCATTATTAAACCAGTCATTGTGGCCACTGAGATACAGTATTTGTATTGGTCAGTCCTGAATCATATGCCCATGCACAGAGCCATGTGGGCAAAAAGTGAGAGAGGACTGATTTCTCATAGGAAATTTAAGGTGCTATCATCAGAAAAGGGAGAATAAAAATTGAGCAAGCAAAACACTAGATGCCCATTATGCACACAAGAAACACTCCAAGGTTGAAATTTACCGTGAATTTCATGAAGCCTAAACTTCAGGGAACCTCACTTGCATAAGCTCCTTCTAAGACAATGTATCTCATCTTGTATTTAAATTTTTGTGTTCTTTTTCTTTAAGAGGGGCTCCCAAATTGTATAAGCTTCAAGACCAACAAAACCTGGATCTGTCCCTAACAAGAATACCCAAAAATATTTGTGAAATTAATAAATAAATGTTCCCAACATATTGCACCCTCTTATGCTTTTAGCAGAAAGAAACCATCTGTTAGATAGTTTATTCACTAAGTTCTTCAGAATAACTTTATCTCTTATCTTTTGACACTAACAAAAAAATAACTTGATCATGCCCTTCAGATCTCCCTAGCTTCTGGAATTCAGAATCTTAATGTATTTTTCTCTGCCTCTATCAGAGACCCACTCATGTAAGGGCCCCCCCTTTTTTTCACTTCTCTGAACTTTATTCCCAGATGAAACCTGCCTCCTACTATCACCTCTCATGAGAGGCCAATCCATTATGAAGTGTTCATTTCTGGGTCCCACTACGGTTCCCTACAGAACCAATTTGAAGAAACTCAGCAATTGCTCATATTCATTCTAAACTGATGTTCTCTGATGTTTCTTAAAATTTCAAATCAAAATGAATTCTCAAAACTATCACAGAGAGAACACAAAATGTAAGGTATATCTTATATTGGAGTGAATCTAGGATGTGACTCTTGTCAAAGCCATATACCTATAGGTGACCAATGATCAGGCATGTGCCAAAATCGGGTCTGGGTAATCAAAATATGTGCCTGTTGTTGAGATTTCCAACTACACTTTACCCTTCTACTTGGCAGTCAGACAGCCTCAGGAATGTAAATTCATGCAGTTTTGAATGTGGGGGAAGGTTAGGAAACTAAGCCTGCCTGCTGCTATTCTGATTACAGCATTTGTCGCTGGCTGGGAGAGACAGCTCTGAGATTGATGCTATTTTTCTCCCTTCTCAGGAAAATGGCTTGGGCTGTGTATCAGGGAAGGCCAAGGGGCACCTACGAGTGAAATTTCCGCTTAATCCCCCAGCAGGTTCCCAAGTCAGTAGTCTTTCAGACGTGGCATTGCATTTGACCTATTCATTCCATCCCCCACCCCTGCCCCCCAGCTCCTGCAAGAAATATGGCATAGAAATAGGGCAGTGCAATTATATTGCCTTTTTTTCTTTTAATTTGTTGAAATTGTCTCTAGGCAGAAGAAGGGAGGTGGGGGTTAGAAACCAGATGGTTGTAACTGGAGTAGAAACCTACTACTGAGTAGGTTTAAGACGCTCAAATCTGGTAGAAGTGGCTATTTCCTCACAGGAAAAGGGGATGAATCAACAGAGCCATGGAAAAAGATTTCCAGCAGACTGATCTCCAGTGTCCTATCCTCTTCAACCCATGTGCACACACATGTAAAAGGTAGCCCCTTTTCCCTTAGTTCTCCAAAGCACCACCAACAATGGGTTATAGCAGACTTTTCCTGAAAGTTGGGTGGAGAGTGCAGGGGTAAGCTAGTGACAGTGAAAGAGGTTTATAACACAGGACTTAAACCATCTACAAATGAATATTATCGATCCTTCTTTAAAGCCCCTCAGTCTCTCTGTTATCTTCCTCTTCATCATCCCAAGCATCCTCACCCCTCACAAAACCCCAGGCACCTGATGTGTTTTTCTGCTTCTCTCTTTACACGCGTTAAGTAGAAAGAAAATTGGGGCTGGGCACAGAGCCTCATGCCTGCAATCCCAGCACTTTGGGAGGCTGAGGCAGGCAGATCACCTGAGGTCAGGAGTTTGAGACCAGCCTGGCCAACATTGTGAAACCTTGTCTCTACTAAAAATACAAAAGTTAGCCGGGTGTGGTGGCACGTGCCTGTGGTCCACTCAGCTCAGGTTGTAGGAAGGGGTTCCTACAACCTCCTTCTCAGATTTGGTAATTCACTAGAATGACACAGCACTCAGGAAAGAGCTTTTCTTACTATTACCAGTCTATTCTAAAGAATACAACTCAGGAGCGGCCAACTCAGGCATGTCTGTGGAACTACTCAGAAGTCTGCACTACAGCCTGGGAAACAGAGTGAGACTCCGTAGAATGAACGAATGAACAAAAGAATGAAAGAAAGAGAGAGAGAAGGAAGAGAGAGAGGAAGGAAGGAAGGAAAAAAGGAAGGAAGGAAGGAAGGAAGGAAGGAAGGAAGGAGGGAAGGAAGGAAGGAAAAAAAGGAGGGAGGGAGGAAGGGAGGGGAGGTAATTGAGATTGCAGGAAAGAGAAAGGGTCAGGGAGCTGACTAAGCACTAACCTGTTATCTTCTTATATTTGGGGAGATTCAACCAGCAGAAGAGCCCTTTCTCTCAGTCTCTGGGACATCTAAACACCTGGAGGATAGCAGCACACCAAGGTCTGGGCCTGAGAGCTGATGCCTCCTTTCTCTAGTCTTTGATAGGGAAAACTCACTCTCAAGCTTGTGTGAAGTTCTGGTCAGGCGCAGTGGCTCACACCTGTAATCCCAGCACTTTGGCAGGTGAAGGTGTGTGGATTACTTGAGCTCAGGAGTTCAAGACCAGCCTGGGCAACATGGCAAAACTCTGTCTTTACAAAATATTAGGTGGCATGTGCCTGTAGTCTCAACTACTTGGGAGGCTGAAGTGGGAGGATCACCTGAGCCCAGGAAGTTGAGGCTGAAGTGAGCTCTCATGGTGTCACTAAATTCCAATCTGGGTGACGGAGCAAGACCCTGACTCAGAAAAAAAAAAAATGTAGCCAAATATCCACTCAGTGATCCATCTGTTAGGTTTTTTTTCCTTCCCACCCAAATACATGATGTCTTTTCCAATAGCACTTCTCCAACTCTCTAACACCAATTAGGTGGCCTACAACTCATTTCTGGCACTAACTACCCAGAGTTAACGTCAGATTTACAGGTTTAAGGGCTCAGTCCCACAAGACTGCCCTCATCTCAGAGGCCAGTCACAAGTATGGGATCCACAGGTTACCAACTCTTCTCTCCATCTTGGCGACAAATTCAGGGGTTCCTATAACCACCTTCTCAGATTTGGTAATTCACTAGAATGACTCACAGCACTCAGGAAAGAGCTTTACTTACTATTAGCAGTCTATTCTAAAGGATACAACTGAGGAGCAGCCAACTGGAAGAGAAACATAGGGCAAGGTATGGGAAAAGGACATGGAACTTCCATGCTCTTTCCTGGTGTACCACCCTTCCAGCACCTAGATGTCTTCCACAACCCAGAAGCTCCCCACACTCTATTGTTGTTTAGGAGTTTTACAGAGGTTTCTTTATGTAGGCATGATTGATTAAATAATTGGCCATTGGTGAGGAACGCAGTCACTAGCTCCTCTCCTATCCCCTGAGATTGGGGGATGAGGCTGAAAGTTGCAAGCAACTAATCAAGGCTTGGTCTTTCTGGTGACAAGATGGCTTATCATAATAACTCAGGCAATTTCTAAGGGTTTTAGGAGTTCTGCCCTAGGGACTGGGGACAAAGACCAAATAACTCTCTTATTATAGTACCCCATTATATTTACTTGTCTTGTAGAAAAGGTTGTAAAGCCACCCTCCTTAGGATATTAACCTTCCTGGCTATTTCAGGCTTTCTCTTTCTATGTACTCTCCATATCCCTTTAACAGACTGACCAGGAACCTCTAATCTGTTCTTATTAGGATTACTAATACATAACTAGTTTTCCTATGGGAGACCCCTTTATCTCCCTCTCCAAACAAATCATTCAGGAGAACAAGCATCCTTAGAGCCTTAGAGTTGAATGCCACAACACTCTCTCTTCCTCCCAGAAGAACCTTAGGAAGATGTCAGTGGGAAGGGTGAACTTAAATGGCTGAGGGCCTCACCCCCACTCCTTTCACACAAGAATCATCCCCGATTTTCTGGGCCACCTCTGTTGGCCTCTGGGTTACTGATATCCCATAAGTGAGAAGAAGGTCATTTTGAGTGTCCAGGGAGATCTCTTGGCTCTTATTTGTTCAAGTCTCCGGAAGGGAACTCTAGGAGCTGAGTCCTGAGACCCTGCAATGCAAGACCAAGAGCTTTACTACTTGAAATGGGATGGGGATGAGGCCCAATCTGAGTGAATGCCTCTGTGCATTCTGCCTCACTGGCTCTCCTCTTTCCCCCTCCATGAACAAGGACAAAATAAAAACAAAACAACTCAGGGAAACAAAGCTCTCCTTTTAGGTTATCAAGAGGTCTTCCATTTGGAGCAAAACCTCACTCCCTCCTGTGGCCCCTGTCTCAGTCTCAGTTGGTGAGGGCCTCAAGCCCACACTGGCTTATTTGAAATCCATGTTTAGGTCCCAGCATGTGGCATGTGCTCCACTCTGATGACACTTTTCGTTTCTAATAATAGAGCAGATGAAGTAATATTGCAATTGATGTTCCCGGGGATTTGATTGGATAAGTGCATAAACTGTGGAGGGGGAAGGGGGTTGCATGGACAGATCACATTAGTATTCCCGTCCTATCAATGTGCGGGCCCGCGAACAACGTCAGCCGGACCGATTCTCTGCGTCTGCCAGTCCCGCCACAGATTCATCTGGGATCTTCAAACAGACAAGCCCTTAGAGACGAGGGATCAAGGCAGCCGATTAGAGCCAATTGCTTGCTTTGGGGACGGCCAGTCCTTCCAGGCCTGGCGACAGTGGAGGGAGGGGAAAGACGAACCGAGTGCCGCTGCGGGAAGACACTGAAGCAAGAGCGACACCCCTTTCCGCCCCCCACCTTGCAGCGCAGGCTTTGAAAGCTGCTCCCCCACCTGAATGGAAACTCGGAACCGCCGGGCGGCGCGTTCCTTCTCGCCCAGCCTTGCAATCCATGCCGAGAGGAAGGCAGTGCGAGCCCGCGCCAGCGCCCAGCTCCCGGGACAGGGTCGGCAATGCTGCTGAGCAGAACTTGATCGCGCTCCTTCCTCGCTGCTAGTGGAAGCGATGCTGCACGGCACAGCTAGCGCTTCCCCGGCTCTCCTTCAAGCTGAAGGTTACCGACCCGCGCAGCCAGCCCCAGCACTGTGAGCTGCGCGCCTCAGGTCCGGGCTCCGGCTGCTTGGCGGCGGCGCCCAGGGCAACAACCGGGCCGCCCGCGCCGGGGCGCACTGCACCAGCGGCTTCGGCTTGGTGGATGTGTATGCATGAGTTCTGCACCGAATGGGCGCAAAAAGCGCCCCAGCCGGTCCACCCGCTCCTCGATCTTCCAGATCAGCAAGCCCCCGCTGCAGAGCGGAGATTGGGAGCGCAGGGGCAGCGGCTCCGAGAGCGCCCACAAAACCCAACGAGCCCTGGACGACTGCAAGATGGTGGGTGAAAACTGCGCCTCTTTTTTTTTTTTTTTAATTGAGAGGGGGTGGGGGGAGTCATGTATGTTAATCATTTGCCTGAGTGCCAGCCACTCCCCCACCCTCAGCTCCTCAATGCCGATCACGTGGCACATGCACTATTTTTAAATCTGCAGTCCCCCAAATTCAGGGTGACACCCTGGTCGTAATAACCCTGCAGAAAGAAGTGTGACAGCAAGGGTCTTGGGGATCAGCGGCTGTAGGTTGTGCCTGTACCCCCTCGAAGAATGGTGGATGCGAAAGACACAGTGAACTGGCTCGCTCACGGAGGAGGGAGGGATGAGGAGGTGGGGATGCTGCTTTCTGGGGACAGAGTAGCAAACAAACCCAAATACAGCGCACGGGGCGCTGCGGAGGGGTCGAAGGTTCCAGCGCAGAGGCTGTAGCTGGTCTTCCCGTCAGGCCGTCAGGCCGAGAGGTTCAGTGGCCCAGCAAAAGGTGAATGGTTTGCCTATTACACCCTACCTGTCGCCTCCCCCGCCCCTCCCGCCGTGCAACTTAAAAGCCATGTCCTAGCAGTAGGAGAGGGGACCGTCTATGTAGGAGTCCCCAGCATCATTCTCTGTTGGCCTGGGAGTGGCATGGTAGCGCTCCAAATATGCTCTCTTGCTCTTCAGAAACTGAGTCTGAAAGGGTGAGGGGAAGTAGGTCTGGAAATAGAGCTTCCATGGCCAGGCTTGCCTATGGAAATAAATACTTGCCTTGGACAAAGAGACTTGCCATTTTGGTGCCTTCTGCTTTAAACAATTCCTAGGTTCCTTAGCTGGAGATCTGGGGAGCTGACTCAGGGGTCAGTGAAAGCCCCTGTTTATGTACTCCGAAACAGGAAACTTTCTGATGAGAAATGTTTGGTAAAAAAAAAAAAACTCACTTCTTTTCCAGCTTGTCCAAGAGTTCAACACACAAGTGGCCCTGTACCGAGAGCTGGTCATTTCTATTGGGGATGTCTCGGTCAGCTGCCCCTCACTCCGGGCGGAAATGCACAAGACAAGAACCAAAGGCTGTGAAATGGCCCGTCAGGCACACCAAAAATTGGCTGCCATCTCAGGGTAGGAGACTCGGCATTATTTGGTAATCCATATACATGATGCATGGATGCTGACAGAATTTTATGGTAGTCAAGTCCTCAGACATGATCTCCACATATTTGAGATTTTAACCTTAAGATCGAAATTCTCTAGAGAGCTATACACAAACTATAGGCCAAACCATAATTTGAAGGCTGTGTCATTCTTGCATATATGTATATATATTTAGAAGATTTGGATCAAATGATTTTTTAAAAACTTAATTTTCAATACTCTGGCCACATTCTGGAATTTGGAGCATAAGATTTGGGGTGGATGGCTGGACATCAAACTGAAGTTAAATCATCTTGCCTCAAAATTATTTTGTCATCTGCTGCTGAACAAAAGGCCTGTGCTGTAGAGAAAAACTCTTTCCCAAATCCCAGATTTACTAAACTATTTATACCATGAGATAAATTCCTATGATACCGCCTAAAATAAAATCCCTAAAATAAGGTCTTAGATATAAATTACTCTCTTCACTGTGGTGATAGGAAGGGGTAAGTTTTAGCATAAGAACAGTTTTTAAAGATTGGGGAAATTCACATATCTCAATAAACCTAACATGATTTTGTCCCCCAAATTTTTATTTATTTTCATCAGATTTATCGTTTTTCTAGCCTGTATTAGGAGATAATTCAGTATGTGAAAACTTCTCTCTTGGGACCCTACCTACACTTTCTTTCATCTCTTAATATTGGGGAAAAAGTTAGCCATGGATTTTGTTAACAGTTCCTATTTTCAAGATAAGTACTTAGAGCAAGGAAACACAGGAATCCTTATACAAATACATCAATACATTAATTTAAGTGCTTTGTTCAGTCTGGATATAGTATTTACCTGTTTATCTATGTGAGTATAGCTTTATCGCAGCAGAAGTTCAAATTAGACTCACCTGATAATGTTACAAGCTGATCACTTGTAGGAAGTATATCTAATTTACCTATTTGAAAGAATCACTGTTTGCCATCTTTAATTCCAATAATATGTATAGTGATTATAAAGTTTATAAAGATTGGAAAGCCATATACTGCCTCTGTTAATAATTACTTTACATTTGACCACAGGCATTTTATATCATGAAAAATGATATGCTGTACTCATCTCCTTGAAGAGAGGGATAAACAAAATATGTTATAACCATATTTTATTTAGTAAAAATATTGAGAAGCCTTATCCTTTTCTGTTTTAACTCTTATACTATTCTTAACAAGAAGTAAATCCGGGAAATGGAGGGGAATTAAGTGGTTCAGGAGTTTGGTGAAGAAATACAGCTGTGATAAATCTCAGACAAGGAGAGAGACAGAAAAAAAAAATCAGAAATGTGAAGGAGCACTGGTAAATTTAGAAGTACAGATAAACAGTAATTCAAAAGGAAAAGCAGATTTAGGACAGGAAATTTTCTCTCAAGGCTAAGGAGTAGCAACTCTGTAAACTTTGTGTCCTAGATTATAGGATGGGATTGCATTTAGGATCCCTCTGAGTTGGAACTCAAAATGAGAACATGTTCTAATCAGAGATGGTGGGCTGGAGGAATGAACAAGGAGTTCGATTCAGTCTATTTTGCGACACACACAAAATTCAGGGTCTTCTGAAGGTTCAGGAAAGAAAAGGTCTGAAACTATTGACTAAAAGTTGAGTTTGGAGGATTTCAGGTGGATTTTTTTTTTCTTTGAGAGGTATTATAGCTATGTTACCCCGGCTGGTCTTAAACTTCTGCACTCAAGTAATCCTCCCGCCTCAGGCTCCAGAGTAGCTGGGACTACAAGAATGCACCATGGTACCTGGCTTGAGGTGGATTTTATTTACTCTGGTGTTTTTAGCTCTTTGCTACTTGTTTGCATGTTATCTGTGTGTTGATGTTAATGGGGGCAGTTTTATAAGAATTAGTGGGAAAATAAGATGTTCTTAGAGCCTTGCCAAAGGAAAACCAACTCCATAAAATATTCTAGGATAGAACTTGACACATTTCCCCCCTTACAATAATAATTAAATGCAATTTAACATTCGTTATAAAAAATGACAGCAATATAATTGAAGGAAATCCCTTTAGTTCCTCACCATCTGGGCTCCGTTAATGAAGGATGTGATTCCCTTTGGCGGAATTCCGTTTCTGATATCATTTGTTATGTGGGTTCTTGTTTCAAGCTTGATGTGAAGGCTGGTAGGGAGGCTGTAGGAGTCACTTTAAAGTTTGAAGCAGGAGTGAGAAAAGCAAAGGTTTTTGGCGAAATTTAGAGAGAAGAACTGGATTTCTTGCGCGCCCACTATTTGTCATCACAACCCAGCTATTTCCTTTCAGCTGAGGGAGGGATTATTATTCTTATTCTACAAATAGGTCTAGAGAGATTGAGGAACTTGCCCAAAGTCACACAGCTAAGAAGTGACACAGCTTTGATTCAGCCCCATGTTTGCATGCTTCTGATTTTCATGCTTTTTCCTCTATATAATGCTGCCATTCAAAAAGGTGTTACGTATAAAGGATACATGATAAAATATAAACTAACCTTAAAAAGAGTATGCCAACTGAAAGAAGCCAGCCACAAAACATCACATGTCATATGATTCCATTCATGTGAAATGCCCAGGAAAAGCAAATCTATAGAGACAGAAAGTAGATTAGTGGTTACCTAGGACTGGAGGCGAGAGCAGGTAGAGACTACAGATGAGCTCGAGAAATCTTTTTGGGATGATGGAAATGTTCCAGAATTGGACTATGGTGATGGTTATACAATACTGTATATTTACTAAAAGTCATTGAATTGTAACTAATAATGAGCTAATTTTATGGCATATAAAGTATACCTCAATAATTGTTTTTTAGAAAGGTATTGTCATCATCACCGTGATTAACACTTGGTTTTTTGTCAACTTTATTATTTTCTACATATGTAGCTTTTAATGAAGGGGTATGAGCTATAGGGTGGAGGAAAAGTAATACTTGGCTCCCCATGCATTCCTCAAGACACCTGCCTCATGGCTATTGCTTAAGCACCAATTCTTTGCTCTGTGTAGGAATACAAGTGTGGGAAAGGCAGGACTTGAAGGAGTAAGTGAATTTATTCATTTTCTACCAATACAGACTCCCACTTCCTGGTCTACCAGCTGGCTTTGGGGCCACAGGAGGTAGACAGGATTGAAGGTGGACAGGGTAAAAAGAAGATGAGGCAAGATAGAGAGGAAGAGGAAAAACAAGGAGTTAGCATTAAACAAGCCACTAATGCTACATACCTTTCATCCCTGACCAACTGAAACCCTCAAGGAATGGTGGAGCTCACGGGAGAAGAAAACTCAGACTATGTTTTTTCTAACTGGCCCTGTTTAAGAAGGCCATCTCCACAAATACAATCAACACGCTTTCTCAAATTGTGTTTGGATCAGCAGAGTTCAGGCACAGCCTTTTCTTTCAAAGGCATCAGATATCTGCATTCTGGACAGACCCAGCCAGGTGAATACAAAGTATCCTCTGACTGTCTTGATTTACTAAAGTTATGTCTTTACAACTCTGACCCTGTCCCAGACATTAAAGCTAAGAGGGGCCTTAAAGATCACTTGCAAGAATGGGCCTCAAACTTTTTTAGCAGCAAATCCTCCCTTCAATCTAAATGTAGAAAGCCATATTTATAAAGACAGTCGCAGTGGCATAACTCTGCACTGCTTGGGGTGTGTGTGTATGTGTCCACGTGCCTATCAGGAGTAGGTCAGGTCCTGCCTTTTGGACTTCCTTCTCAAAGTGACTTCTGAGACACTTCATAGAATCCCTAGGGCTCCATGGCACTTTATATTTGAGGAGTCTAAGATTCAGAGGATTTAAGTGACTTTTGAGGCAACTTGACAAAGAATACGTGAAGATTTTGGAGTCAGGCAGACCTGGAATGAGTGTCATCTTTTATGACCTTGATGGAATGCTTAGCTCTCTAAGTCACAATTCCTTCATCTGTAAGGATGAAGTCCTTCATGCCCATTCATGGGGTAGTTGAGAGAGTTAACTGAGCTAGGTATGTGAAGCAGGGACCACATGTCCAGACTGTCAATGGCACTGCCAGTCAGAGGCTGCTCTAAGACTGGGACTTGGATCTCATGCTCCCTGGTCTTGTACCTGTTCCATCAGCCACACCTGAGAATGAGGAGAGATGAGCACAGCATACAAGGTAGGAGTGGCCCCAGGAGCCAACATCCTCCAGCACACCTTGGGAGTTACTGCTATGGCTGGGGGGCTGGTGGTCAGGATTCTCTTTTTGCTGCTGTGCTTCTGTGGTGTCTGTGTTGGACTGAATCTTTCTCACACTGCTGCTTTTGGTTAATGGCTCTCAAGAGAATCTAAATGTAGAAAGATTTACTCCAGATCTTAAGTTTAAGTATGACAACATGAGAGACAGTAGAGTGTGATGGGAAAGAGCACTGATTCTAAATCAGATTAGACCAGGCTTTACCACTTGCTAAGGACATGGGTGAATTTGTATGCAGATTGATTCACAGAGTGGTTAGTGGTAGTCTGGTATCGTGGTTAAGTGCATAGACTTTGGGACCAGACTGGCAGTCTGGCTGTGCTGCTATTCACATGTAGTATGAAGTCGGGCAAAGATATTGTCTCTCCCTCTCTGCTTCAGTTTCCTCAACAGCAAAATGGAGTTAATGAATAATGGGACCAGAGTATATGGCATTGTGAGGATCAAGTACTTAGGAGACCGCAAGCATATAGTAAATGCTATTAAGTGCAAGTTAGTGGTAATATAATAAGACATTTAAAAATTCAGATTGCCGAGATACATTTATATAAAAAGTTAATCCATCAAATATTTTCCAAATAAATACTTTGGCTGGAATAAATCTTTGTTTACCTTGGTTTCTTATATTACATTCTGAGACATTTTCTAGGTGGAAGTTTCCCAGATGGCTATCAAAAAGCCTGTTCTGAGATACCATAAAAATTATATGGAGATATGAAGATTCAAAAGTAGTTAAGTTTAGAAATTTTTTACATAAATCAGCCTAGATTCTTCATATATCAAATAATATTTATAAAATCTTTTGGCCTAGTTCTGGTATAGGCTATATGTCATTGGACAAGTCTGTTAAATTCTCTGCACGCCAAAATGACAGTGTTACATTGAAGGACTTCTGAATCTCCTGGCTTCCTCATTCCATTATTCTACATTAATTCATAGAGAATCACATGGACCTTGTTTACAGAACTGAGCTATGAAAAAATAAATATCATGCAAGAAGTTTGATGATTGAATTCCGGAAATAATATGTTGAGATCCAAACCTAGTACATTCACAAGAAGAATCTTAATTTCCTATTGGCTTTCTAGAGCAATGTAACGAACATCCTAGAGGTCCAGAAGCACAGATTTCAGGTTTTTCCCTCCAGCAATGATTTTCCTGACCAACCAGACCTGTTTCTCTCCTTTTCTCCTTCTCTTTCCTCATGTTCTTTCCTTCTCTTCCTTCTCCTCCTCCTGCCTTTTTCTGGGGGGGTTGGGGTGGAGTCTGTTTTGGTTTTGATTTGTGTTTAATTTTTTTGCCCTGATTTTTTCGCCCTGATTTTTTCAGTCCCACTTCTAGTTGATTTCTTGTTCCTACCCTTGTTCTGTTTGCTAGGAAGTTAGGAGGTGGGAGAGTGAGATAAGGGAAAATAAAGAATTGCAGCTTAGTAATAGTCCTTTCAACACTTTGGCTGAGCCAGCAGCAACGATGTATGGTGATAAGAGTATGGAAGAAGAGCTCGGTGACCATGGAAGCAGCTCTCAGCCTTCTTTGATCCACACGGTGGAGGAGGCCTTATGTGGGCAGTGACAGCCTCTGCCGTTAGTAAAAGGGACCTGTGGTTGGCAGGCATGCCAGGCCACCCACTCTGTCTTTTCTTTTCTCTTCCTATTAAAGGTGTTTTGCTTTAAAATGTTTAGCTCTCACTGGTCAAATAGTGAAAGGCAAGTTATGTCTATACCAAAAGAATATACTATCCATAAAGATAACGATGGAAGAACAATTCAGTATTAGTTTGCTAAGGCCGCCATAACAAAGTGCCACAAACGGAGTGGCTTAAACAAAATAAATTTATTGTCTCACAGTTCTGGAGGCTGGAAATCTAAGGTCAAGGTGTCAGCAGGGTTGGTTCCCTCTGAGGGCTGTGAGGAAGTATCTGCTCCATGCTTCTCCTCTAGCTTCTGGTGGCTTGCTGTCTTTCACATTCTTCGGTTTGGTGAAGCATCTCTGCCTTCAGCTTCACATGGCCTTTTCCTTGTGTGTGCATCCATGTTCAAATTCCTCTTTTTTACAAGGACAGTAGTCATATTGAATTAGGGGCCAATTCTACTCCAGTATGAACTCATCCTAGCTTAATTATTTACACCTGCAATGACCCTTTTTCCAAAAACAAAGGTCACATTCTGAGGTACTGGGTGGTTAGGACTTAAACATATGAATTTGGTTGGGGGAAAGGGCACATAATTTAACCCATGATAAATTTCCTTGACCTATCTGCAGCTAAATACACACTTTGGGTTGTTTTGCCCCAACTAGAGGTGAGGTTTTACCTAGGACTTTCTGTATACTCTCTCCACACTTTCATACAAAGCCATCCCAGGGCCCAATGTTTAATCATCTGCAAGATCGTAACTCATGTAAGGGTAGAGTTTGTGACCATGGAATAGAATGTTTTCTGTATGAAATGGATTATTCACAAAGATACTGAGTCTCTAATACAGCTAGCACTTTTCTTTAATCAATTTAATTATATTATAAAGGTAAACCAAAACCCAGCTACAAGAAGGAATACTGGGGAGAGCTGGTGAGGCATCTAACAATCCACACCCGGGGTGTTCACTTTCCCTGGTGTGCATGAGAGAATTGAGCAGGTGGTGGCCCCTCAGTGGTGCTAATACTGTTGCTTAAGGACCATAAGCATACTCTGGAGCAAGGACAAGGTTCTAACTCACACCAGATTAAAGAAGAGTGCTATTATTAGCAACTTGACTAAATGTGATATGGCATCAAGACAAGTGTTCTCCCATTGCCTATTGAAGTTTAGCCACTTTATGTTTTGAACAGATTTAATGACTTTCACCTTGTTAGAGTCTTCTTAATAGATGTTCCAATTAGAGAGAAAATTAAATCTAAAACTAACTTTGGAAAAATTCCCCGTCACTTTATTATGCATACTCTGAAGTGCAAGAGACCAAGGCTGTTTCATTCATCTTTGCACCCTGAGTGGTAAGCTCAATGATGATATATTTGTCTTTTCTGTTCATTAAGTTTACTTGGTATTTTAAAATCTATTCTTAAAAGAAGCCATGTCTTGATACCAACTTTAGTAAGAATTGAGAGATTCGATTAGTTTACATCTTATTACATTTAACTATTATTATTTTCTGTTTTTAACTCTAAAACCAATATGTTGGTTTTTAAATAACAGAGGACTTGAAGAGCTTATATACCTAAGAGCAATTTGTGAGGCATAGGTGTTCATTATTAAAACAAATCAGCAGGCAGTGTGTATCTTAGGATTACTCATAAAGTAATTATATTTAATTTATGTTATTTGATAAAATAGTATCATAACATCTCTCTGCTTAGGGGCTTTACATTGAATTGTTAATAAATCAGTTACCATTGAGATCACCTTTTCAAACTGTTCTTTAAACTTCTAGGCCCTGAGAGTTTGGTTGTGTCTTATCCCAGAAAGACAACTACACAAAGCACAGCTCCAGAGCAGTATCTATACTGCCTGTTTATTTCCTTTGCTTTACAAGACATGACTTTAAAAAAGGTAAAACTTCATGAAAAACATTTAATTACTTGCCTATATGCATACACACACACACACACACACACATATAATGCACACACACAGAGTAAACTTATTTGTGAGATTGACTCTGGTTAGGATAAAGTATCTGAGCCTTTAAATAGAACTGATTTAGCAAATAATAATAATTATTATTATTATTTATTTTTAGAGATGAGGTCTCACTCTGCTGATACTGAACTCCTAGGCTCAAGCAATCATTGTGCATCAGCCTCCTGAGTAGCTGGGACTACAGGCATGCACTACCAGACACAGCTAATTTTTTAAAAACTTATTATAGAGACTGGGGTCTTGCTATATTGCCAAAGCTAGTCCTGAACTTCTGGCCTCAAGCAACACTCCCAGTTAAGCCTCCCAAAGTGCCAGGATTATAGGTGTGACTCACCGCTCTCGACCGAAATAAATGTTTTCAACCTAATAGAAGACTCTAGATACAATCAGGTTAACAAAAGTCAATTTAACATTTGCAGCTGTAGATACACAGTGAACTAATAAACTACACCAATCTGAGTTTGAGCACAAGGGGAAATATATACTAACCCAGAAGAAGCCAAAGCCCTCGTATTCTTCAGTCACTGAGAATATCTTGAAGTGCCCCCACCCCTATCCCATAAGGTACCAAGTCCTGTAGTGCTTTATCTTTTTCAGTGTCTATTGTGTCCCTTCTTTTTTCCCCATTTCTGTGGCCACCTGTTAGTTCACAGATGTATCCCCTCAGGCCATCAGCTGTTGTAGTACGTCCTAATCGGTCTCCTTGAGTTCAGTCTCTCACCTCTTCTCTTCAATTTATTCTCTAGATCCAGGCTAATCCTCCTCCTAAAACGCTCCTCTGATCTTGTCACTTCTTTGCTTTAAAACTTCTAAAGATTTCCTATTGCCTAAAGCAGTGTTTCTTCAAATTTGAAACTAGATTTCCTGTATCAGAATCATGTGGGTGGGATGTCCTCGGACCTGAAGAACCAAAACCTCTGGGGAGGTAAGGATAGGAAATCCAAATTTTTAACAAGCACCACTGCATCTCCCAGGAGATTGTTGAACATGCAACATATGAGGCCTACCTGCCTAGAATAGCGATTCTCAACCTGGGCTGCACATGGAAATCACCTGGGAAGCTTTAAAAATTTGCTGATGCTTGAGTTCCATCCCTAGAGTTTCTGATTTAATTGGTCTGGGATGCTGCCTGGGCATTGGGGTATTTTTAAAAGCTTCCCAAGTGTGCATCTGTATCAGAAAAGATTATACTTGGCTATATTTAACAGAAAATTCAAAGTAGCAATTGCTAAAGACACCAGGGTTTATTCTCGCCCAGAAAAAAAAAAAAAAAAAAAGTCCTAGGTTGGGCAATTCGGAACTGGTACAGTGGCTCCATGAAACCAGATGGTTCTGCACCCATTCTTTGTTTATGGCTTCTATCCTCAACCTCGCTTTATGAGGCAAGATGAGCACAGAATCTCAGCCATCAGTCCATGTTCCAGCATAGAAGGAGGAAGAAAAGAGGAAGGTCAAAAGGCCACCATGTCCAGATGGATCAGCTCTCCTTAATCAGTTTCAAACAAAACTTCCAGAACTGTATCATATGGTCACACCTAATTGCAAGCAAGACTTGGGAATACAGTCTTTTTTCATTGCCACCTTAAATAAAAAGGACTTCATTACTAAGGAAAAGGGAAAGAATGGATATTGGGAAACAACTAACGATCTCTGTCACAGTACCCAACCTATATTCCTGGATTTTTTACCACTTAACTTTTAAACACTCCACTTCCTCAAACTGGTCTACTTTTTATTCCTTAAGTGTGTGTAACAGAGTGACCCTATCCTATTCATCTACATATATGGTTTCTATATGTAAATCCATACTTGTTAACCAGTAAAAGAAAAACTTCACTCCTCTGCATGTCAAGGTCTTACCTGCACCTCATTATAGTCCACCATGCTCCTCACACTGAAAAGCAGAACAGGGGAAAGCGTCCAGAAAGGATTGAGAAAAAGATTTTGCTGCTTTTAAATGAACTCATGGAAAAGATATGAAGTTTAGAAACCACTGGGAAGGCAGGAAGTTAGGTGAGTTGGCTTTGAAAGGACTTAAGTATAATTTTCACAAGACAGGATGTGAAATGGGATAGAGCCTGCAAGGAGTATAGGTAGTGGCACTCAAGAAATTAATGTTTTAAAAAATCTACTTGAGATTGAGACTCTTTAAAAAATTTTTTTAAACCTCCTGTAAATAAACCAAAGAAAAAATTTCATCAAGGAGTTAAAATCTGATAAACTGTTATGAATAAAAGGTGGGAAGCAGCTAGAAAATGCAAGGAAGCAGGAAGGGTTTTCTGGAGATGGGGATAAACTGCAACATGATCTATGGTCAAGATCATAATGAGCTCATTAAGGGAAATTGGACTTGGAACTCATTATCCCATATAAACAATGTTATACATAGTACTTAGGTCATAAACAGTATTTAACCCATAATTTCCAAAATTATAAACCTTTTCATCATATATAACAGTATTTCCTATGGGAAAATAGATTCATGCCCAACTCCAGAAGTCATCTTTCTTTCTGGGAACGTATTCATAGTGCTCTTCTAGGTGCGGTAGATACAACAGCTTTGAACAAAATAAAGTCCTTGTATTCATGGTGTGTGTGGTGGTGGTGGCGGGGGTGGGGCTGGTGACTGAGAAGAAACAAACAAAAGAGAGTATTTCAGATAGTGATAAATGCAGTGAGGAAAATAAAACAAGATGATATTATTAAGGAATGACATATGCAGCGTGGGTAGTTATCTTCTGATAGGGTGGTCAAAAAGGCACCTCTGAGAAGGTAACATTTGAACTGAATATCTGACTCTGAGAAGGGACCAGTCCTATGATAATTTCAGAGAAAAGCATTTGAGGCAGCAACAACAGCAAGGTAAAGATCCTTGAAGACTGCATTATCGGTTTGGAATTATCTTCAGCTGGCAGTAACATAAGCCAGACATCAGTGACTTAAACATATAAAGGTGGCTTTTTCTCACATAATTAAACACCCAAAGTGGTAGGGATGGCAAACATTGGTTCATGATTGAAGAACATCATGACTGAGATTTCTGTAGTTCTCTGGGGCTTTTCCTCAAGGTCTCAATATTGATGTTGCAGCTCCAGAAATTGTATCTATGTTCCAGGCAAGTAGAAAGGGCAGAGAGCACAGACATAAGCCCATTAAATGTGGCCCTTCTTAAAAGAGTTTCTCAGAAGCCTCACACAGCAACTTCCTGAATGTCTCAGCAGCCAGGGCGGTGTCATGCAACTTCCCTGACTGCAAGTTTCATGATCTGATTTGCATACATCTCTCTCCATACCAGCTGTCTGCTGAGAACACAAATTTCCTAATCTATAAGCCAAAGTCATGCTTCCTGAGGCCTAGGACAGGATCTCTAGCAAGACTGGGGAGACCGGAAGAGTATGGAGCTTGGATGTGAGGAGTGAGGAAGAGGGGTGCTGGACTGGGAGAAAGAAGTAAAGGTAGATCCCTCAGCATCAACCTCTCCTTCCTCCTCATTTCCCTCTTAGTTCGTTTGTTCCTTTCATTAAACGTTGAACACGTATTATGGGCCAGACATTGTGCAAACCTCCAGAAGCATAAAGATGAATCAACATGGCCCTTGCCCCTGAGGAGCTTATCACCCAGCATCTGTATAAAGATAGACATTAAACAAATCATTGCAGAACAACAGAATCAACTCTGCAATAGAAATAGGCAGAGGATACAGTAGAGGAAGAGTAATCAGCTCTGCCTGACTGGGTGTAGCCAGGGAAAACGACTTCATAAAGGGATTGATGTCACCTGGGCTGAACTTTGAAGAGCAAATAGCAATGTCCTTTCTCTTTTAGTTATGCAGTCATAGCCTCCTGCCATAGGTAAGCCTCAGGAGACACTATTTGTCTGTTTTGAACCATGGGGAAAGAGAACTAGGAGTTTAAATGTGCTAAGAGCCAACTATGTGCTGTTCCCTTTGCACATATAATTCATGTTTAAATCATATTCATGATGAAATGAATAGGATTCATCTGAAATAACGTTTACCTACAACCTGGGAAGATACTGTTTTTAAAGGCTGGTATGTTGACTGGGAAGCACATTTACCTGCAAATAGCAGAGACCAACCTGTTCACAGAGTGGCCTCATCATAGAGCCAACTGTGTAGGTGGATGGGAGCTGAGATTATTTCACCAACTCAAGAATGTCAGGACTGATATCTTCATGATTCTTTTGCCTTTTCCCTACGGTTCCAAGATGTCGGTCCTGTCCAGAGCAAACAGGCTCCAGAGCTGTCTCTGGATTTTAGGTGAAGCTCACTTGGAAACTTTCTAGAGAACCCAAAATGTTAAGTATTTTTAAAATCTCCATTTTATAGTGAACTGAGGTTCTGAAAAGTTGAGATATCTGGTCAAGATGTTTGGTGGAGCTGGAGTTTGAACACTGGTCTCTCTGGTGCCAGAGTCTTTATTCTTGCCACCATATTGGGCTGTTTCCCGACAGACCCTTCTTTCTTGGACTGGCCACAGGATTGCTTTCCTTCTTTTCTACTGCCACAAACTATTATTTCCACTCAGAGTCTCCTTTCCCCTGGACACACTTCAGAACAAGGATCTCTTCAGCCAGCACACAGCCGATTTGAGGGTTTTTAAGGTTTCCTCAGCTACTAAGAGGAGGAAAACAGGCAGAAAGGAAAAAAATAACAAAATTATGGCCTTACTGAAGCTGCCAGTGGAATGTAAATGGATCTTGGCTCTGCATTCTTGAGGCCCCAGCACTTTTCTCTGGACCCCGAATTTTTCAGTCTTTCTTTCCCTATACCATATTTACTCACATCGCTTCATTTGGGGGCACCTTCTTTCCTGGTTGTTTAACTATGCAAGTCCTAGACATGACCCTATGGGATCAGACTCTGACCCAGGTCTGGGTAGGCTGAATTCTGGGTGTTTCAAGAATCGACCTACTTTTTCCCAGGGTAGGACATGTTAGCAGGGGCAGAACTCCCCATCACCACAATGGTGTTGGCCACCTGCTCCCCTTCAGGACCCCAATGAGCACAGGGGGTGAGGGTGGGGAATGGTAGGAAGTGCTGGAAGGGTTTGAAGGACAGACAGCCTCCCCCTGGGGTGACAGGGACACTCCTAAGGAAGTAACATTGAGGCTGGGAGAAAAGATGGGAAGAAGTCATAGGAAATGAGATCCGGGAGAGATTATCAGACCAATCTCAAAAACACTACGACTTAAAATACTGAAATCCCTTGTCAATAAATCCGCAAGAGCTCCTGTTCTCCCACAAATGGTGTTTAAAATCATCACGGTAATTATCTAAATTGCCTCCCTCATGAGATTTCTAGTTTCCAGCCAAAATGACTGATTGTTAGGGCTTCAGGCTCTGAGTTTTAGACTCTTTTATTCCCTTAGTGGGTCTAATTTTGAAGTGTTCCATTTTGGCATGGAATTCTTATTTCCAGTCTTGCCATCCACTCATTAAGCTGAGGAAATCTGTGAACTTGATGGGTTTTTTAAATTCTTTTTTATTTATTTTTTGAGATGGAGTCTTGCTCTGTCACCCAGTCTGGAATGCAGCGCCGTGGCCTTGGCTCACTGCAACCTCCGTCTCCCGGGTTCAAGGATTCTCCTGCCTCAGCCTCCCAAGTAGCTGGGACTACAGGCATGCGCCACCACACCCAGCTAATTTTTGTATTTTTAGTAGAGACGGGGTTTCACCATGTTGGCCAGGCTGGTCTCAAACTCCTGACCTCGGGTGATCCACCCACCTCGGCCTCCCAAAGTGCTGGGATTACAGGCATGAGCCACCGCGCCTGGCCTTTTGTGTCTTTTACATATTGTCAGTAAACAGATATTTTCTGATTTTTCATCTTTTATACCATATTCCTATTTTTCCATTACCATGAACAGTCCTATTTATCTTAGAATTAAAGAATAAACCATTTTCCCTTACCCTCGCCAAAATATTGCTGAGGTAGGAAAAGTTTAGGTAGCAATAGAAACCTATTGCTAAAATGGTCCTTGATATATAATAAGCACTTAATGTTTCTTGAATTGTGCATCAAAAACATTTTGCGTTTGTGTAATTTTTTTCTAATAAATGATTCTACTCCATTCTGTTCTATGCTGCTGTAACAAAATGTGGGTGGGAAGAAATGGATACATTCCTACAGAGTAAAAAGTAACTGGAAAACAAGTCAAAGACCAATCACCTTCAGACTCTTGTTCCTGTTCTTACAAGCACTTTATTAACTTCTACAAAAATCTATTTGTTTTGGTGTTGTGATAATCCTTATCTGGGTCCTGCTCAAAAATAGTGGCCAGTGTAGAAAGACCTCCCCTATGAGGACTACAACAGATTCTCTATCCTCAAGTGAGCTAGGTGAGGCAAATATAAACGGTCAGAATCTTTTTGTGACCATAATTTGGCAATGTGTAGTTCCAATGAGTACAGCTATCCTCTGCCTGGAAGAGAGAAATACTCACCCTACTGAATGGAAGGCTGAATGGAAGGTCTCTCCCCAAGTTGGGTCAGTTCCCTTGACCACAGCAGATGGCCAAAGACCCCAGTTTTCATCATTTTGAAAGAGTATAGCTGGGGTAGTCACCAGTGGACATTTGAGAAGCCTTATCTGTGTGCACACAGTCAGAAACCAGAACATGATTCAGCCCTCACTAAAGACTCTCTATATAGGGAAGAACATGATTTGAAGGAGATTGCTGTCTCCTCCAAACTGGGTGACTCCCATGCATGTCTTTCCACCATAAGTCACATTTTCTTACTATCTGAAGTTTGAGCTCAAATGGCTGCATCTGTTTGAGTACTGTACCATCATTGAATAATGAGGATTATTTTAGACCATAGCATGCACCATAATGCAAAATCACTTGGCAAATGTTCCTTCCATAAAACAAGCCATATCAACTGTTTCTATATTCATAGATTCAATCTTTTGTTTTCTGAGGATGAAATATGTTTTAAGCTACCAAATCTGTTCAGGCTCAGAGTGGTTTAAATTCTTCTCTAAGTTTTAGTATTAGGTTATTGCACAGCGCCATTGTAGATCTAATGTGAAAATGTGAAGCGAGTTCAGATATCTATTTAGGTGTAATCTTTCCAAAAGATATATGTGATCACACAGTTCATTCCAGGAAAGTCTTGCTTCACGTGTCAGCATTATAAAGGCATTCTCCATCTTCTGAGAGGGAAATTCTGTGGGATGTGAGGGGGAAAGAGGCAGGGAAGGAGAATGATTCAGCTGGAAAAGAAAAGAGAAAATGGGGAAGGAGGGCCGAACCAGTTCTTTGGGAACTATGCTGACTAAGGAGTGGGTACTGCCAGGAGATAAAGGAATGTAGTTGAAGGAAAATAAAAGGGACTATCCAGTCTTAGAGTTGGTGATTGGAGGGAGTGTGCATTTCAAGGTCTCCAAACCCAGGTCCAGCAGGGCCCCAGGTAGGTGAAGCAAAAAAGTAAAGTGGACACAGTGGGGCAGTGCTGTTGGGGTGAGCCCGTGCCCCTGGATCTGAAGCAGGCAGCTGCCACCCAGGCTTCATTGTTTGCTGATTCCCATGGGGAAATATTGGCCAAATGTGCCATTTTTTTTTGGTGTGGCTTTTTCTTAAGAGAATCTATGAATTCAAGTTTACATGTGAAATACCACTATTTTTATATGTTGGCCCATAGAAAAATTTGCTGACTAAAAGTGGCTCTCAGCCATTAGTGTCTACCTCTGTTAATTACCACCTGCTTGTTTGTTCAGAATATTTGTAGATTGTTGGATGTGAACAATTAAAGAAATGCCTGAGTGTTTTATCACTTCGAGTTTATATTAGTAACTGTGACCTTTATCACCTTCTTTCTTTGCTGCTTTCAGAATGGCACATTGTTGAGTGTTAAAACTTGTCAGTACCTGTCACATAATTAAAATAAAAAGAATACACCAAATATTGAGAAAAAAGGAAATATATTTTGGCTTTGAATTATTAATGAAGACCAAATCTTTTTAATTAGCCTTAGGAACATGTTACACCTTTCTGGAATTGAACATAAAGAAATTATCATATTTGTTAATTTGTTCTGAAGTCAAATTGCTTGAAAGACCCTCTCTTTTGCCAAGAAGACAAATGCAAATTATCATATGGCTCACATATTACTCTCTTGCATCAAACAGGAACCATCAATCTTATTATAATTAGGATCAAGACAAATAGCCTGTCAGGTATATAACAGAGTCTGAGGTCCACATGCATGCTAAATACTGGGCATACATATTTAACTTTACCTAAGTGAGACCCTAAGGGGAAAAAAACTTCTTAACCTACTTTCATGTTATTTATATGATTTAGTAGCTGGTAGGATTTAACTGTAAGAGAACACTGTATATGAAATATTGTCAGATGTCAATCTACACAAAAGAGTTATGGCCATTTCTAGACAACTATTTCTGAATTCCCAGCACAGTGTTCATTCTATCATCAGCTTTTTCTGCTTACAAGTGCGGAAACTATATCAAACATTTCCTTTCCAAAAGTTATTTTGTCCCTATTCTAAGACTCAAGATTTAATGTACCCCATCCATTTTTCTCCTGCCCTTTCCTTTCCCTCATCCAATAAAGTAGTCAAGTGAAAGGGAACTAAGGTGAAGGAGATTAGGGATCAAGAAATGTGGGTATTACCGCGGAGTGATGTCTAGGGAAGAAATGTGTGCATTTGAAGGGAAACTGGATCATATGACTAACACAGAGTTTCATTAAAACTCTAAGATCTGAGATTTCTATGAAAATTTAATTTTTTCCTCTATAATTTCTTCTAATTATAGATTCAACATCAACATTTTAAACATCACTATTATATTGCTAATGCAATTGAATTTTTCTGGGGCTTTTGAGGACAATTGAATCCCTAACTCCTAAACTTTCATGTCCTTTAAAAATTTTATTTTTATTATTGTATTAGCCCCCAAAGAGATAGTGCACATGAGCCCACCAATCAGTCTGCAACCACAGGCATCGCACGGCAACTTCAACCCTCCTCTCTCCCTCTCCTGCTTCAGCTGTCCCTTGTCCATGCCCACTGCCCACGAGGCCCCTTAGCACAACTTCCTTGCCATCATTCTGAAAAATCCAGGCACGGGGCTTGTCTTGAGGTGCTCTGAAAGCTTGCAGTCCCCAGAGTGGGTGGGTTATATAGTGAAATGTGAGTTGGCCTCTCCACCAATTCTATGCCATACTTGGTGGCCTGGGGCTTGAGAAAGTGCCACTCATAAACTTCATGTATTTCTTGTCACTTCTGCCTCTACTCCATCTCATCAAGGTTTGAGTTTATTCTAGGGTCCAGGTGGTAAACATACCACTCAACCCGCCATCATCCTCTGCCTTTTTCTAGGTCTGTTTCCCAGCCATTTCAACTTCCTCCCTCCTCCGGGGATGAAATAGAAGCCCCCAAGCAGATAGGCGTATGCAAATACTGGTGATGGAGGTAGAGATAGGAACAGAGCAAGTGATAAAGGAGGGAGGTGTTCTTAATGTAGGAGCGTCTCCACCCTAGCTCAGCAATCTAAGGCAAGGAATAACAGAAAGAACAGCTATTGGGACTGTATTCCTTCCTAGATGTCTTATGAAGTCCCTTACAGGGTTTTTGTTGTGGTTTTAGACTTCAACTTTAGAGCTAAAGGTGTGCTGTATCCTACTCCTTGATATCTTGGAGAATGAGAGGCTCCCAAGAGGCACAATTACCCTTTACTGAAAGGGTGGACCCCACTATGACTGTGGATATTCTAGTGATTTGCAAGATGTAATGTGCTTCCACCAAAATTATGTCATTTAATCCTTTCTAACACCTCTATGTGCTGGGAATTATTATCCCTGTTTTACATATGAGGAAACTGAAGCCCTGAGAGGTGAGGTGACTTGCCTTAGTCACACAGCTTGTGAGCAACTGAGTTGGAATGAGCAGCCAGATCTCCTGACTTCTAGCCCACGATCTTGCCCACGACCCCACAGGTGCCCCTCTCCAGCCATCCTGTTATTTATTGTGAAGAATTTCTGAGTAAGCAGAGCTAGGACCAAGCAGATTCTTCTATCACTTGTAAATGGACATCTATCTCCTCCATTTTTATTTCATCATTTATCTTCAATTGGTGTTCTGATGTATTATACAGACCTGAAGCATCCAGATCACAGGAAGGACAGCAGGAAGCCCCCAGGAGCAAATCCACCATAAGGGAGAAGGGAATCTAGCACTTTGCTGTAGTTTCTAATGTTACTGAACACCAGGGGTCCAGGCTAGGTCCTGATGCTCACTGCACAGAAAGCCAATCACTGAGACAATGAGTATTGACAAGGGAAGAAGGCTTTATTATATTACGGGTGACGTCAGCCAGAGAGACGAGAGCCAGATCTCAAATCCATTCCTTCTTCCTGACTAAACTTACGGGTTTATATAGCCGCAAAGGAAAACAGGAGGGGCAAGGAAAAGGAGTTGGTCAGCAGGCAGCAGGTGTGTTTCATTGTACAAATGTAAGTTTGCTTCAATTCTATTGGCATCTGGCTTGTTGGAAAACTGGGCCAGTTTCACTGAGAGAGTGGTACTCTGGGTATATCATGGCCCCAAACTCTTCTCAGCTCAGGCCCTGGAGTGGGAACCTGTGGGTATGAATTGAACTGCTGAATCACTAAATCCTAGAGCTTTGTGGGCCAATTAACTTTGCCTCCAGACACTTGTCTAAATAACTGGAAAACACAGAAGGCAGTCTTTTCCTAATTTGCAATCTCTGGCCTGAAAACATGGTGGGTGAGCACCATTTTCCCTAGCCTCAGCTTACAACCTATTTCCAACTTCCCTGCAACCAAAAAGGCACAATGAATGGCAGTGATGGCCAAGTCCTAGTCCGACTGATACCTCTGTAGGACAGTTAGGGCCTGAGGCTACAGATGATCAGGCCAGCTTACCATGGCAGTGAGCAACTAATGGAACCATTTAGACACCTACCATTATTTTACAGAAATTCAACCCTGGGGTTCCTGGAGATGCCTCAAGAGATGCTGCCACCAAGCAGGAGGGGCTCAGAGCCATGGAGATCTGTGTGTGAGCTAATGCTAAAGGGCTCTGTGGCTGTGAGTACAAATGGGAAAAGCCTGAGATACTCAAGCTGCAGCTCCTCATTTGCTCTCCAGCCCTTCCCCTCTACCACCTGTAAAGCAAACATTCAAAGCTTTCTTAAAACCTGAGCAGTTACATAAAGAAGCACTTCTCTTCCAATGTATTCTCCTGAATACACACTTGAAATTTCTCTTTCAAGACCAAATACCCCACGAAAATGGACCAAGAAGTTACCAGAGTAACATACTCGGGTCCAGTTAGCTCAAGAAAGAATAATTATAGGATGTTTTGAGAGACTGTATTATACCATTCCCTGTTTAACTTGCAGAAGCTAATGCTGAGAGGGTTCTAGGACAGCTCTCTGTGAAGTCTTGATTCCAGCAGCTGCCTGCCTGGTATAGAGCAGTGTGGCTCCTAATCCTGCAGCAAATTAGAGCCCCCAGGGAGTTTTTTAACAATACTGCTACCTGGGCTCCACCCCAGATCAATTAATTCAGAATGTCTGGAGGTGAAGCGAGGACATGATATATTTTTAAATCTCAGCAGGTGATTTGAGAATCTGCAGTAGGGATTGAGAACTACTGGTATGGAGGAAAGAGGCGAGGATTGATAATCAGAAGACCCCACTTAGAGTTTCTGCCAAGATTTCAGCTGGGTAATTTTGGTCAATTCCCTGACCACTCTTGGTTGCGGTTTTCATATCATTTCTAAGTTTCTTTTAGGCACAAAAATTTGTATGTATATTAAAGCATTGCTTATAACAGTAAAAAAAAAAAAAAAAAAAAAAAAAAAAAAAAAAAAGAGGAATGTTCTAAATATCCAACAGAGGATTAATTAAATAAATAACGCATACCCAGGTGCTAGAATACAGTACAAACATAAAAAATGACATTAAGTGAAACAGCAGATTATAAAATAGTTTTACTCTATGACCTCATTTTTGAAGCCAAATGAAAAAATTATGTAGATATGTATATAGTTGCAAGGATATACACCAAAATCTTTAGTTTTTCCTTTCCTGATGAATGACTTTCATTTTGTTCTTTTTACATGTCTGTTTTCTAAATATTCTGTGGTAAATACTAAGAGAGAGAAAAAATCTATCCACACATGTCAAACCTTGCATATCAGTCTGAAATATAGTTGTAGAAAATCTCAAAAATAATTATATCTCCATAGGTAGAGCTTTAGCTTTTATATTTATTACGAAGATATATGCAAAAACTGGCTGCTTTGCTTGTCCTCTAGGTTACCTACAAAAATGTACTAACCTTAGACTTGTTCATCTTCCTGATTTGAAGACCGAAGATCTAGGGAGAAGACGGAGAAGGCATTTCTCCTGCAGTATTTGTTCTGGGTCCTGGCGGGGCTGCCCTCATTTCATTGGAGAGAATAATGAGAGAGGAAGCAGAAGTGAGAAAGTCAGGAGGCCAGGGAGCCAGGAGAGAAGGCTCTTGATCCGTTTTTCTTCCCTAGAGCATCCTGTGATATTTTTTGCCTGGTGTATTGGTGGTTATGAAGATAAAATAAGAGACATCAGTGAAAAAGATTAGGTCACATTTAAGCACACAATTGTTCAATAAATTTTCATTCACTCACACATGCCGTAACAGCTACTTAACAAACATGTGACTTCAGAGAATTATCCCCTGTGAGCCTGAGTTTCCACCCCTGAAAAAGGAAGGATAGGCCGGGTGCAGTGGCTCAGGCCTGTAATCCCAGCACTTTGGGAGGCCGAGGTGGGCAGATCACCTGAGGTCAGGTGTTCGAGACCAGCCTGGCCAACATGGTGAAACCCCGTCTTTACTAAAATACAAAAATTAGCTGGGTGTGGTGATGCGAGCCTGTAATCCCAGCTACTCAGGAGGCTGCGGCAGGAGAATCGCTTGAACCCGGGAGGCAGAAGTTGCAGTGAGCCAAGATTGCACCATTGCACTCCAGCCTGGGCGACAGAGCAAGACTCCATCTCAAAAAAAAAAAAAAAAAAAAAAAAAAAGTGGGAGGGAGGATAATAATGGCACCAATTTCACTGGGTTGCCATGAGAATTAAATGATGTGATATAGGTAAGGAACTAAGCAAAACATAGAACACATAAGAAGTATTCAATACAGGCCAGCTATTATTATTATTACAACGTATTCCAATATTCCTTAACCAAAAATACTTGCGGCATTGATAACACTTTTATTGTAATTCAGAAAAAGAGAATTATAAAAACTTATAGATTTTAGCTTTAACAATCTGGGATAGAATAAAAATAGTTTGGGAGGTTATATTTTGATTAGAAAAATGTACTTTTTTGCCATTTTAATACCAAAAAAAGAGAATTATTTCAAGTGTTTAAAAATAGTCCAAGGTCTGACACCAAAAATAGAATATTTCATTTCAGAAAGAATGCCTTAGAGAAATGACGAGCTGCTGATAAAGGAAATGACTTTGGGTTTAAAGCAAGTATTTTTCTGTTATAAAAGTGATTAGGCCTTTAGAAATGTTTTCAAAATGATATAGAATATTCACCTCATATAATGACTGTATCTTGGCTTTTTGTCAGGCTCAAGATCCAAGAGAACCAGGACTGGGTACAGGAATGGGAGAAAAGAAACTCTAAGATATTGTTGGTTTCAGATCACAGGGTTTACTGAAATAAAAAGGTTATGAGAACAATACAAACCAGTGGTTACCAAGCTTGTGATGCCCATTGGAATCGCCTGGGGAGCCTAAAAAAATGCCAATGTCTGGGTCCTACCCTCAGAGATTCTGATTTTCTTGGTCTGGGGCATGGCCTGGGTTCCAGAATTTTTAAAATACCTCCAGGTGTTTCTGATATGCAGACAAGTTTGAGAACCACTGGCATAGACAAGGGATCTATTTGAACAAGTATAGCCTCCAAGAAGGGCTGTCTCCCTTTCTCTTTCACCAAGACAAGTGACCAGATTCTGGATCCTTGCTGTTCTAGCTTCATGTCATCTCCCATTCTCTGTATCTCTGCTTCAGTTTTCACAACCTTCCTTTAGTTGTGTTCCTGCATCACATGGCCAGAAAACTTCCATTTATGGCTACTTAAGAACCTCCACGGGCTGGACTTTTATACCAATTCTATACTTCTATACTTCAGGACTTCTATACCATTTCCATACCAGGTGACATCAATAAACCAGGAAAATATGTTTCAACCACATTAATTTTTAGTAGAAGCCAAAGTGTTCAGATGGTATCTTTGAAGGATCACCAGGTCAGGAGCTGTGGTCTGAACTGCTCTGTGTGCATGCACCCGTCATTAGGAGAGTGAGATAGTCGGGTCAAATGTAAACTTGGCTTTCAAATTGAGAAAAAAAACTTATCTACTCATCTTTACAACATACTTTAACTGTATTGCTCACATTGGAAGTAATGACATAGGGGCCTTTTAAAAACTAGAATTTGAAGCCAGAAGTATTTCATCTCCCAGGTTTATCTGAAAAAGAAAGTAGGAAATATGTAATGAATGTAGATTGCATACAAAATGAGATTATATAGAAGAGATATTATTGGCCTAGAATGACAAAAATAGCTTCAAGATTTAAAAGTGCTTTCGTGATAAAAATAATCTCACATTGTCCTTGGAACATACCTGTGTGATATTTTTATTCTTGTGTAATAGACGAGGAAATGAAGGCTCACAAAGATTAAGTGTCTTGCTCAAGGTCACAAAGGCAATAAATGCTAGTGTCAGTGCTTGAACTTATATCCCCCTGATTCAAAGGCCACTATACTTTCCACTGTGCCATGACTGGAAGTACAAATCATGTCTAAATGTGGTTCAAGTGTATTAGGTTATTTATAATTTTTGCTTTTCCCTTCATTTTACTTATAACTGCCAAGAATAGACTTAGCTCTGTTATTAATCAGTAATTCAGGAGATGTGTCAGTAGGGTTTTTTCTTTTTTTTTTGCAAGCAAGAGCAGGTGGCTCCAGATATATTTATTAAGTAGAATAATTTATTGGAATCATTATTCCAAATAATGCAAAGGGAACCATTATAATCACATGGGGAAACAAGAGAAAAGGGGTTGGAAAATGGACACAAACCAAGGAGAATGCACAGTCTACATAGCTGAGACAGGCTGGCCAGGATGTTGCCCTAGCCAACACCACTGATGGATGCTGCTGCCCTAAATGAATCCTAATTATCCCTTCCTCTTGGGTCAAACACTCCAGCTTCAAAGCTCTGGTACGAAAACCCAGTTGGTCATGTGCAGCTTCCTGGTTGCAGGGAGTAGGAGAGGAAATACTCTCCCCATGGAAAGACACTTCTTCTATAGTGGACATTGTACACCCTCAATACCATCAATAATGGGGAGTCCCTCAATAGGAAGAAGGATTGAATGTAAGACAACTAAAAAAATGGCTCCTGCAGAACAGTGTTTCAAAACTATACGTCCTTCTATTTTTCTGCAGTATTAGAAAATCTTGTAAGAGAGGCTTCCAAGGAAATTACAAGCTATTTTAAAAAGAATACTTTATTCAATCTTAATTTTAAAAATCTGTGGTAAATAACAGAGTCATTGGAGACTCAATCAATCTGCACACTGAGAAAAAAAAATACAAAACTTGCACCTGGGGAGTTTGTTGTTCGACATCTTCCAAATTAGGAGGTCTGTGGGATTACACTCATTCATTTTCTAATCTAGCTGCAGTCCGTGAAGAAGTCACCCCATGCAATAAGGTCACAGCCATTCTAGGGCACAGTATGGAAATATGCTCCTTATTCGTTTGTTCATTCATTCATTCACTCATTCATTGGTTCAGCCTACATTTATTATGCACTTTTCTGTGTCCTAGGCACTGAGGTTTCCAGCATCTGCTTCTGGGAAAATGAAGATAAAAATTCACAGATCCTGAAAAAAATCTTGTTTGTGCACATGTATGGTAGGCTTGTTCTCACATGATTTTGAGCGTATGTTGCTATGCAAGAATTAGAGAGAATTTTTCAAACAACATAGGGTATTTAGGTAATTTAGAGAACTCCTTTATTAATAACATTGGAGTAGCATATTTACTAATATGTTTAAACAATGTTAAAATTTTTCATCATCTTGGAAATTCCCCTCCTGCTCTATCCTTTAGTTTCCTACCTGCTAGTTTTTTTTTCCCCCTCTCTCTTTTGCTATGTGCATACAAGCACAAGTAAAGAATAAAAATTGCTCATTGCTTATCGGGAAGTGCTATTTTTAGACAGAATCTTAGGTCTTGAAAGATTTCGTTTCATAAGTCTTTTTGGCATGCTTACTGTCTTTCAGAAAATGAAAAAGAAGGTGCTCACCAAAGACAGATTTATACTTAAAGTTGGACTAATTTGGATGATAAAAACTGAACTGGAGCCGTATATGGGAAGAGCTAAACAATGACTTGATGTTATCATTGCTTAAATCTTTTTCTGAATAGTGCAAGCACCACCACAATTTGTTGTAATATCCTTTTTTTTTTTTTCCTGGAGCTGTACCTGGGTTGTATCAGCCCAGTGTCTGTTTTCATAAACCCAAACAGAAGAGCCCCGTAGAACAATGAGGCTTAATCTGCAAAGTGTAGAGAGGCAGAATAGGCTTTAGAAAGAGCATTTATTCTTAGGAGAAATTGTGTAAATACCGTTTCAAGTGTCAAAATAATAACCTTTTGTTTCTGGAAGTTGAATGTAGGAGCACCTATGTTTGCTTTTTTAGGTATTTGGAAAGCCATTTCCTTTTAAAAACAATAAGTAAAAAGAATGATGATCTAGTTTTCTACTTCCTGGTGAAAGTAAAAGCATCAGCTGCTAAAAACCTCTATAAATAATGAAACAAAAGTTTCTCTAAATTCTTCAGTTCCTGGAAACTACCCTTACATTTAGTACCCAAGTAAAATGACTTGAGCCCCCACCTCTCATATTATTTGTGGAGTCTGTTGCCCCCACACACCCCCAACCCCCTTTTCAGGCCATTCTTCTCTAGTGTATTTGGGTAGCGGAGGGCCTGTCCCACATTCACTGCTGAGTCAGCCCATGCTGCAGCCTGAATCCCTAGCATAATCACACTACCCCTTCAGTATTGTTTGCAGCTCTGTGCCTCTGGCCCACTTACCTCACAGCCTCATCAATATACACATACTGATTGGAATCTGGACTGCCACTCTTGTGCCTTCATTTCCGAGGGCATTGCTCACACCAGGCTGTTGTTACCAGTCCATCTCCCTTTCTGCCAAACAGCTTCTGGATGCCACCCCTGAGAACTCTTCCCTCTTGCTATGGCCCAGGTGATGACCATACCAGCTTCTCAGTTGGACCACCTAGGTAGTCCCTTCATTTCTTCCCTCTTGAGTGGACCTTCATCTTCCACCTGCATTCAGAAATTCTCTTCTCTTTGCTCCTGAAACATCTAGAGCTGAGAGAGACTGATGTGGTTGGTGATACTCAAACTCAGCCAGAATGAGTTAGGCCCTGTCCCTGTCTATACTAATGAATAAGAAGCTTTGAAGACTCTAATGCTAGATCTTCAGGTAAATGGCTCTATTTCCCAGACTACATGAGCTTTGGAAAGCATATTTCATGAGTTCCATAAATATCTCCCAGAACACGAGTTCTTAAGTTTTTCTGCATACTAAAATCACCTGTAAATCTTTAAAACTCCTAATGCTCAGGCCACGACCCACATCAATTGGGACCACCTGGGGGGTGGGATCGAAGCCCTGCCCCTGAGGTGATCCCAATGGACAAAAAAAGTTATGAACCCCTGCCCTAGAAAGTGGCAGGATGAGGAATTAAACATAAAGATCATCACCTCATATTTTTCTTCCATAAATAAAGTATGTACAAGAGACCCAGATTTTAACAACAATTTCACATACATTCAAAGCTTTATGCCTCTTTGTATTTTGATACAGTGAAGTAAAACTCCGTTAGAAGTTTAAACGTTATGCCAACCTTCTCCCTCCCCACCTCATGTCTATTTCTAAGCTACAACTATTTATTCTACAATTATTCCTTCAACAAAGATGTATTGAGTACCTACTATGTACCAGGCACTGGGGATACCCCAGGAAATAAAGCAGACATGACTTACACTTGTGAAATTTATTTCTGCCAGAGGGGACATATGATAAATAAGAAAGCAAATAAATAAACAAGATTATTACAAAAGTGGGATGTGTATAAGGACAGTAATAGAAAAAGGATAATATGAGAGCAAGTGTGCTGCATCTGTGGGTGGAGGAAAAGAGCAGCTGATTCAGGTACCCAGGAAAGTCCTTTTTGGGAAGATGACATTTGGGGTGAGATCTGAATGGTAAAGGAGCCAGCCATGCGAAGATCTGGGGCAGAGCATGCCAGGCAGAAGGAGGAGTGAATGCAAAGACCCTGAGGCAGGAACGAACTTGGCTAGTTCCAGAGCCTGACAGACTGGAGTGTGGTGAGAGGCAGGAAAGCAGGACAAGACAAGGTCAGGAAGGAGTTAGCAACCAGCCTGTCAGGGCCTCGCTAGGTCACAAGAAAGAGTGGATTTGATTTAAAATGCAGTGAAAAGCCACTGGAGGATGAGATTTATGTTTTTAAGATGTGTAAGAAAAGACTGTACAGGGCAATAGAGGAATTCGTCCCTTGGGTAATAGTTGCTTGTTTTAGAGGTAAGCAACTGTTTAGAGGTAAGACCAGCAGAATTTGCAGAAGGGTTGCAGCTTGGAGGGGCAGTGATGAGGATGAGGGAAAGGGGAGAATCAGAAACAAGTCGGTCTGAGTAACTGATTTGATGGTGGTGCTGTGCCATGAAACAGGGAGGTCTAGGTGAGGTACCCTTTGGCAGATGAGAGAGCAAAAAATCAAAAGCTGTGTTTGAACATAATAACTTGGTGATTCCTTTCAGCATCCATTAATACCCATTAAAAGATAATGTCCATTAGGACAAATCTGGAGCTCAAAAGAAAGGTCAGGGCTATAAATTTAAATATGGAAGGCACTGGCATAGAGGTGGTATTTAAAACTTTCGGACTGGATGAGTTCATGTAGGGAGATGATGTAGATAGAAAACAAAGGAGAGCTAGGGGCTGGGCACTGAGGTGCTCTCTTAAAACCTAGGAAGAAAAGGAAGATCCAGCAAAGGCGACTGAGTAGGGGCCAGGGATTTAGGGTGATAGGGCCCTGGGTGTCAAGAGAAAAACTGTCTCAGATGGAAGGTGAGACAGTTTTGCCAATGCTGCTGAAATGTCCAGTAAGATAAGGACAGAGGGACCAGTGAATTTTGTGAGAGAGGTTCTTGGTGACCTTGACATGAGCAGCCAGAGGAGCACTGGGAACAGAAGTCTGGATTGGAGGGCTGAAGAGAAAGTGAGATGTGAGGACGTGGAGGCAGTGGCTATTGGCCCATCTACCAAGAGCTTCTGCTCTTCATGGAAACATGTACTTATTCCCTATCCTGATCTAGACCTCTGAATATACAGATCTATTAAAGTATGCACATTTTTCTTCTTAAAGAACAAGTGTATACACTAGATGCCTGATCTCAGCTTAAATATACTCAGTGCATCCCGTGTTTGACCTAATGGCTACAAGAAACTTGAAACATGAATGAATGCTAAGGAGAGGATTAGCTCTGCTCTCACCCCATGCAGGAATAACTTCTGGAAAGATGCTCCCTCCCAGCCCCACCTCTTCAGCTAACCATCATAAATAATCAAAGAGAAAAATATATGATCCCCTTAAAATGCCTATAAAGAAAGAAAGAAAGGTTGATTATTAAATGACAGGAAAGGTTATCCAACATAGAGAGCTTCAATTTTAAGTAGCACAAAGTAACACTTTCTCACATTCCTATTCAACTTAAAACCTGAATAAATTCAAATAGCTTTTAGCTGAACTAGATTTTCACTCTCCTTCCATAGCAGACAGGAAGACATACATCCTCCTTTATGGAGATTAAATGGTCCTGCCAATATCTTTTAGATTATGACCTCAAGAAGCAACGGAATATTTGGCCAGTTATTGTCAAAGGAGCAGCTTAATATCAGCTTTGAAAAAGGTAAAAATCTACTTTATTGGAAGAAAGTCTTGGGAATCAAAATGGGTAACACAGAAAGTCTTGAAAAGACTTAGTTGTCTGGGGTGTCTATGTAGACAAGCCCTTGGGGGTACAATTGTGATGGAAATAAATTACTCTACAGGTGCCAATTTAAGTCTGTATTTTGCACAGAAGGATAATTTGTCACTCTCAAAGTCAAAATACAGTAGTCTTGCCCTGTGTAGCAGGACTTTCAGAACTGAAGTCCAGAAGTCTCTTTGGGTAGGTAATATCCTCATTAAACATCAAGGAACAGACAAAAAGTAGCTCATGATATTGGGGCAGGGCTGAGTTTGAAGACAGAAGCCCATAGCCGTACCAGTAAAGGGAAGATATTTCTGATTTCTGTAGACAAACTTCAACTGGGAGCAAGAGCTTGTGAGTACAGTGAGGAAGTGGAGAGCATATGGGAAATTCTGAGAGGGACTATGTGAGAAATCCAATGAGCATCAGATATCTCAGGTCAGGGAGCATAAAGAAAAAGAAATTATGTTAACTAGGGTGATTATGTTCCTTATGGTGTTTATTGTCGCACGCGTTCACAATAAAAAATCCAAATACCTTTAGTAACAGTAATAGTTGTTCTTATAGGATGAAAATCTTCATCCTATTTACATGTATCCCTGCAATTCAGTGTGCAAATCACAGACATTACTTTCAAAACAAAATGTATCAATAACATAGAATACCTACATTTCAGGTGCTAAAGGTATTCTTTTAACTGACCTTCACTTACGTGAGTCACTGGATTAAGGGAAACTTTCCATTCCCTCTGTGAAACCTATTGACTAATGCCTTGTTTAGCAAGCTACTTCTAGTACCAGATATGGACTTCTGACCCACCCATTCAGTTGTATGCTTACCAAGAGTCAGCTATGCTGGTTTCCAAACCTGTTTTTGCCACATTTTGATTAGGTGATTTGATGAAATAGGAGGGAAAAAAGAGCTGTTAACATAAAAATTAATTTGATGAGCTAGTAAGAAAAAAAAATGCTATCAAATTTGGTGTGGCCAAGGTAACTATAAAAGACTGTGACAAATAATCATAAAATTCCAGAATGATTCTGCACTAGGTGTGCATTGCAAGTATCTTCAAGTTTCTTCTAGACTTTAAAGAAATTAAAACTGGAAATTGGAGATGATGTTTTATGTGTCGCTTCTCAGCCTTTTGGCTAAGATCAAGTGGAGATGATGTATAATGAGTATGGTTCTTGCCAGATGAAGAACTCCAACCAGTGGATTCATACTCAAAGAGAAGGTCTTAGTCCAGGGGTGTCCAATCTTTTGGCTTCCCTGGGCCATGTTGAAAGAATTCTCTTGGGCCACACACAAAATATTAACACTAATGATAGCTGATGAGCTAAAAATAAAAATCGCAAAAATAAATCTCATAATGTTTTAAGAAAGTTTACAAATTTGTGTTGGGCCACATTCAAAGCCTTCCTGGGTCACTTGTAGCCCTTGTCCGCGGGTTACAAGCTTGGTTTAGGCTATCACCAGAAGACTGGTAGGTCAATGTATAATTATGTGTCTCAATTTAAAATAAGTTTAAGATATATAGTTAGCGTTGAATTTTTAACCACCCAATTACCTGTCTTGGTAAACTGGGTAGGAGAGTTTTTACTGTACCTGCTAGGGATGTTCACTTTGGGCTCTCTAAGCTTTACCTCTCCCCAGAAACTTGGCTAAAATCATGGTATTCAAGAGAAAGAGCCTAGGAATGTGAGTTTCTCTAAGTTCTATTCCTGGATCAAGACAGAGCCCCAGAAAGCTACATCATGGACCATTTTGCTTTAGATTATGATAGAAATTCCTTCACAGAGACATGATTTTAGTGTTAGACTCTTGACTTTCATTGATGATCCAGGGAAGAGTCTGTCATATGAAGAATATCTCTGCCTGCTCTGCTATGCTGCTAAAAGCATTCCATTATGCTATTCAAAGCCTGATAAATGAAGATCCATATGACAAACTTCTCTTAGTGCTAAAAATCTGCAGGCAGCCACATGGGAACACTGGGAAGAGTGGAAAAGACAGGAAAGAAAGAGGAAAGAACTCATAACCCTAGACAGAACTAATGTTTCATCCAAGTAAATAGAAAGCTCTTTTTTTAACCTCTTCTTTAACTTGTTTTCTTATGGATTTATGAATTTTAAAGTTGATAAACCTAAGAAGTATGCATTATTTTACCTACTTAGTGGAAACCATATACATAGCTAATTTTAATTAATATTATTATCAAAGATATGAATGCTTTTATAAAACAATCTTTAACTTTTTTCTGTCTCCCTAATTTTAAAAATTGGCTTAACTTACACACAATAAAATTCATTTTTTGTTGTACATTTCTATGAGTTTTGACAAATGTGTAGAGTTGTATAACCACTACCAACATCAAGATACAGAAGAGTTCCATCACCCCCAAAACATTCTCTCATGTTGCCACTTCATAGTCAATCCCTTCCCCTTTTCATAGCCCCGGCAAACTCTGATCTGTATTTTGTTCCTACTATTTTGTCTTTGTTTTGCCTTTGTTTTGTCTTTGTCAAAATATCATCTAAGCTAAATCAGAAGCATGTAGCCATTTTTTTTCCTTTTCTTTTCTTTTTTTTTTTCCTTTTCTTTTCTTTTTTTTTTTCCTTTTCTTTTTTTTTTTTTTTTTTTTTTTTTTTTGAGACAGACTCCTGCTCTGTCACCCAGGCTGGAGTGCAGTGGCACGATCTCAGCTCACTGCAACTTCTGCCCCCTGGGTTCAAGAGATTCTCCTACCTCAGCCTCCTGCGTAGCCGGGATTACAGGCACCCGCACCATGCCCAGCTAATTTTTGCATTGTTAGCAGAGATGAGGTTTCGCCAGGTTGGCCAGGCTGGTCTTGAACTCCTGACCTCAAGTGATCCACCCACCTTTGTTGGCCTCCCAAAGTGCTGGAATTACAGGCAACATGTAGCCTTTGAGTCTAGCTTCTTCCACTAGCCTAATTCATTTGAGATTCCACTCGATTCTACTTGAGATTCATCCACATTGTTGAATGCACATTCTTTTTTATTTGTTCTGTAGCATTCTGTTGTGCAGCTGTGCCCCAGTTTGTTTATCTATTCACTCTCAGTTGTTTCCAGTTTTAATGACATCTTCAGTACTACATATTGTTAGCTTTTGTTTGCTTTGCCCATTTTAAAAGTGTAGAGAGATATCTTGTGTTTTTAATTTGCGTTCCCCTAATGACTCGAGATGTGAAGAATCTGCTTATGTGCTATTTAGCATTCATCACCTTCTTAGTGAAGTGTCTGTTTAAGTCTTTGGCTTATTTTTCATTGGTTTGTTTGTTTTCTTACTATTGAGTTTTGAGAGTTCTTTATATATTCTGGATATGAGTCATTTGTCAGATATGTAATTTCATATTTTTTCCCAGTTTGAGATTTGTATTTTCATTTTCTTAACAGTGTTTTTCACAGAGCAAATTTTTAAAAATTTTGATAAACTAAAATTTACCAATTTTTGTCTATTATGGATTGTGCTTCTGGTGTCTTATTTAAGACCTCTTTGTCTAATCTAAGGCTACAAAGACTTTCTCTTATGTTTTCTTTTAGACGTTTTATAGTTTTTCCAGGTGCAGTGGTGCTGGCCTATAGTTCCAGCTACCCAGGAGGCTGAGGCAGAAAGCTTGCTTAAGCCCATTTCTGGGTTGTAGTTAACTATGCCTATCAGGTGTCTGTACTAAGTTTGGCATCAATATGGTGACCTCCCGGGACCTGACCACCAGGTTGCCTAAGGAGGGGTGAAACAGCCTAGGTTGTAAATGGAGCAGGTCAGAACTCCTGCGCTGATCATTAGTGGAATCGCACCTGTGAATAGCCACTGCATTTCACTCTGGGCAACATAGTGAAACCCTCTTTTAAAAAAAATTTAAAGTTTATTGTTGTATGTTTTACATTTGAGTTTGTGAACCCTTTTGAGCTAATTTTTGAACTAAGTATGATATGTAGGTTAAGTTCATATTTTAAAATATGAATGCCCAATGTTTCAGTATTATTTGTTGTTGAGGTTATCTGTTCTTCGTTCAACTGATTTGCACAATTTTTTTAAAAAATCAGTAAAATCTAGTTTTAATGAAGATTCTTTTTGATTTTAGAAAATTTTAAAAATTAAAGAGAGTAAAGCAGAAAAATATTACTTATAATATTATCTCCCAAAGAATAATCATTGATTATATTTTGATATTTTCTGTAGTTGATTTTTAAATTCCTTTATAGTTAAATAATATGCATTTTTACTGTAAAAATAATGTGTTTATTGCAGAAAGTTTAGAAATTACAGGGAAAATGCAAAGAATAAAATTAAAATTACATCCTCAAGTATATAATTTGTTGTTTTGTCTACATACATATTTTAATAAGATTGAACTCATGTTGTATGTACCACTTATAATCTTTTTTCATTTAACAGTATAATAAGTAATTTGCCATAACTTTGTTTTCTTTTTTTTAACCAACCAAACAAGCAGCAGTGAACTTCCCATATCTTTAAACTTGATAGACCATGTGTAGTGTTTTATGGACTATAATAAAATCTCCAATCATTTATCATTAATTTTCACTTTTTTCAATTATAAATATGTGTCAAATAATCCTACATAAAACTTTATAAATATGTCTGCTTTTTTCCTTGGTATAAATTTATAAAAGTAAAATACAAGTCAGAGAGTATTACTATATTGACCTCCAAAAAGATTATACTAATTTGTTTTCTTCAGTTCAAGTCCTCTGGGAACCAGACACTGAGATGAAATTAGAAATGCAAGATTATTATTGGGGGAACTCTTGTGAAGGATGAAGGGGAGAGAAAGCAGTGGGAAGACAGGATGGCTTTCATCAGGACAGACACTTGTGAAAGAACAGGCAGAAGAAAGGAGGGAGGGCTACAAAGAGCTGTGCAGCACAAAAAAAGCCTCAACCAGGCCAAGGGGAAGCCCCTGAGCAAAGATGACCTGCTAGAGGAGTCCTGCATTGAACAGAGTGACCCAGTTCTAGTGATATCACCATGCTTAGTCAGTGGCTAGTGATTCTGGAGAGCTCGGTGTTGGCATGAACGCTTTGGTGGGTGTGTTGGTCCATTCTTGCATTGCTATAAAGAAATACCTGAGACTGGATAATTTATAAAGAAAAGAGGTTTAATTGGCTCATGGTTCTGCAAGCCATATACGAAGCATAGTGCCAGCCTCTGCTTCTGCTGGTGACGGCCCCAGGAAGCTTACAATCATGGCAGAAGGCAAAGGAGAGCCAGCATGCCACATGACAAGAGTGGGAACAAGAGAGAGGGGAGGGGGAGGTCCCAGATGCTCTTCAACAACCAGATCTCATGGGAACTAACTGAGGGAGAACTCACTCATTACCAAGGGGATGGTGCTAAACCATTCATGAGGGATCCATTCCTATGATCCAATCACCTCCCACCAGATCCCACCTCCAATACTGGGAATCACATTTCAACATGAGGTCTGGAGGGACTAATATCCAAGCCAAGCCATATCAATGGGTCCCCAAAACGCAGCAGCTGTAGGTGGTGAGCTCACGTACCCTGCACAGCAGTTTCTCTCTTCCATGTCTGCCACATTCACTTCCTACCAGCAGTGGAGATGACAGCAACTGCATTCCAGGATCCTGGTCATCACCATAGGGTATTCTCATCATTCTTAAGTGTGGCCAATGTAATACACAGAAAATTGTATCTCATTTTTTCACTGAGTTTTCTTAATTAGAATGTAGTTGTACTTACAGTTATTTACACTTTGTATTTCTCCATTTGACAATTATTTGTTTATCACCTTTGCCATTTTCCTACAGTAGCATTATTTTTTTTCAGTGTTTTTTTTTACTCAGTGTACTAAATCCACCTCTGTCAAATACATTGCAAATACATTCCCCCAGTTTGTTCTTTGTCTACCAATCCTATCTCTGCTGGTTCTTCTTTTGATTTTTTTAAATTAATTAATTTGCTTAGAAAGAACTTCCCTAAGTAAAAATCAGAAATCATTTCATATATTTTCTATTCTAGTTTTTTTTACGATTTTTCCATCTTATTTTTTGTTCTAGTATATAATCTGAGGTACGAATCCGTGTATTTCTAGATATTAACGAATTTTCACAGCGCTATTTTTTAAAATAATCTATCCTCTCTCTGTCTGTTCTGACATGCTGCATTTGCCATCTTCTTATTCCTTATATATACTTCGTGTTAACGAAAGAGTTGAAAGTTTAGGGTAGACTTGTCAGTATCATACGTCTTACCCAACACCAGACTTTACTAATGATACAAAGGTACTGGCAAGAACCAACATGGAAGAGTTACTGAAGGTGCCTGAGTCTACCAGATGCAGCTCCCCAGAACTTCCCCTTGTCCTGCATTAGGACATGCTTTGGTTCAGAGTAACAGCTGAGTTCTGAACAATATGTGAACATGCTGTTTTTTAAAAAATGCCATTTTGGTTTGGGGGTTCCCAGTTTTATATTCCTTCAGTTAGATTAAAAATGCTTACAGGACTACCTCCCAATCTCTAGCCAGCCATGACCCATAAATCCATAAACTACCACTTTATTTATAATATGTAGTCTAGACAGATCAAGTCTATGCTGCCCAAAAACGTTATTTTAGATAGGGACTCTCTGGTATCTTTCCACTAGTTTAAAAGCCATAGCATGTTTACAAGGAGCCCTGGTTGAGGTCAACCATTTTCCCCAAGTAGGGAGGAAGGAGCCTCAGGGCTGCTGTTAACCCTTTGTGTTCCATGTGGACATGGCTTGATTTACCAGTAAAAGGAAACATTTTACATCTCATCCAGCCCAATGAATTGAATAATCTGAGCTCTATGTCTAGAATTCATCAGCATTTTATAGCACAGCATTTTCATCACAAGAATGGGCAAATAAGTAAATACGAAGTTATTAAGTACATGATGCTTGTCTCTTTTATATGCACTGTCTCCTTTTGGCCCCATACGACTCTGTGAAGTCAATGTTTGGGGAGAACTCCTTTACCCTCTTCCAGATATTTTCTTTCTTGTGGAAGTAGACTCATTAATGTCATATTTATGATCTTTTTGAGCCATACAAGGAGGCATATCTCCATCTTGAAAATGGCACGATATTGATAGTTCATATTTAAAAGTAAGTGCTTAGAGTATATATGATATATACAGGAATCTATCTACAAAAGAAAAATGGTGGAGTAATCACTCTGAGGACACTCATAGGAGACTTATGTTAGAAAAGACCTCTACTGGTAAAATATGACCATGTTATCTATATTTTGTGTATTGAGCCAGACTGTTGAATGTTGGGAGCTTACTTTTGTCAACATCAGCCAAGACAGAATCAAAAGTAGAACATTTCACTCTAAAGTAGACAAGATTCTTTTAGTTGCAAGTGACAGAAACTAATGCTGAATCGGCTTAGGCCAAAAAGAGAATTAATTGGTGCAAAAACCCCATGAAAGTGTTGAAACTAAATATGGGAAGGACAAGCATAAGGGTAACTTTCACAACTAACTGAATCCAGAACTTAAACACCATGAGGATTCTCTGTTTCTCATTTCTGTGACAGTTATCTCTCACTCAAGACAGCTCCCTCTACCTGGAGAAAAAAGTTTAAAAAAAAATCCCAGAAAAGAAACAGATTTGTGCCCATCTTTGGACTAATCCGTTAGGGGCAGGGGACAGATATTATGATTAACACAGCTTAAGTCCAATGTCCAGGTATAACCAATCACCTGTGGATAGGGTGGCAGGGTCATGCAAGAAAATGACAGGTTGTAGGAGCTGCATAAGTGGAGCAGGGAGAGTCATGTTCCCAGGGGCTGCTGTGCCCCAACAAAAGTGAAGGTTGAGTAGGGCTGGAGCAAGGGTGTCCACTCTATCTTCCCTATAAATAATGAAAAGAAAAGGGAAGGGCAGAGGCCATTAAACTGTAGACTTCAATCACTAACTTTAGAGCCTGAGGTCTAGTTTCTGTGGCCAAAATAAAATCCCTGGCATCTCTATACAACAGGTAGACTTTCAGCATTTTTTAAAAACTTTTCAATGGTTCCCTTTCCAGAAATGCCAAAAAGATGATGCTTTAGGCACCTTTGGATTTACCGATCTCTGTTAATAGCAGAGTTACATGTGTAAGTGAACTAATGATATTTGATATATAGTACTTTAGAAATGGTTAACTTACTCTTCATTCATTCAACAAATACTGAGCCAATGTGTCAGGCATTGTATTAAGCACCGGGGCACAAAAGTGAGCAAGACACAGTTCTTGCCTTCATAAAGCTTACGCTGCAGTGGGAGCAAAAGAAGCAAACAGGTGGTGAAAATACAGTATGATGTGTATCATCCTAGAAGATGTACTGGGATCTCACAGGGATGGTACTTAATGCTGGTTAGAGATTTTAGGGAGGATTTCCCAAAGAAAGTGATATAGATATCTAAGATGAGACTTGAAGATGTATAGGAGGCCAGGCATTGTGGCTCCTGTCTGTAATCCCAGCACATTGGGAGGCTGAGGCAGGAGGATTGCTTGAGACCAGGAGTTTGAGACCAGCCTGGGCAACATAGTGAGACCCTGTCTCTGAAAAAAAAAAAAAAATAGCCAAGGGTAGTGGTGCATGCCTATAGTCCTAGCCACCTGGGAAGCTGAGGCAGGAGGGTCACTTGAGCCCAGGAGTTCAAGGTTGCAGTAAGTTTTGATCATGTAACTGCACTCCAGCCGGGGCAACCAAGCGAGACCCTGTCTCTTAAGAAGAAGAAGAAAAAAAGACCATATACTAGTTGGTAAGGGAAAAGGAGTTGAAAAAAGTGTGATGACTAGAAGAAGAACATATACAAAGGCTCTGGGATGCAATAAATCATGGTATATTGAATCTAAGGCCGTAGTAATCAATGAGCAGAAGAAAATGACTAGGCTGAAGAGGTAAGCAGGAACCATGTTGTAAGACACATTAAAGAGTTGGCTTTTGGCCGGGCGTGGTGGCTCATGCCTGTAATCCCAGCACTTTGGGAGACCAAGGCAGGTAAATCACGAGGTCAGGAGATTGAGACCGTACTGGCCAACATGGCGAAAACCCCGTCTCTACTAAAAATACAAAAGTTAGCCGGGTGTGGTGGTGGGCACCTGTAGTCCCAGCTACTCAGGAGGCTGAGGCAGGAGAATAGCTTGAACCCAGGAAGAAGAGGTTGCAGTGAGCTGAAATCATGCCACTGCACTCCAGCCTGGGTGACAGAGTGAGACAATGTCTTTGAAAAAAAAAAAAAACTCATAGGTAGGAATTGAACAATGAGAACACATGGACACAGGAAGGGGAACATCACACACCGGGGCCTGTTGTGAGATGGGGGAGTGGGGAGGGATAGCATTAGGAGACATACCTGATGTTAAATGATGAGTTAATGGGTGCAGCACACCAACATGGCACATGTATAATATGTAACAAACCTGCACGTTGTGCACATGTACCCTAAAACTTAAAGTGTAATAATTAAAAAAAAAAAGAGTCGGCTTTTATCCTGAGGGCAATAGAGAACCATTGAAGAGTTTTAAGCAAAACAATAATATAATTAAATTTGCATCTTAGAAAGTTTACTCTAGCTATACTGTAGAGAATAAGTGAAAAGGGGGCAAAACTTAGGAGGATGCCTGCATAATTTATGTGGGCAGTGATGTGAACCTGAACTTCATTAGTGAGAGTAGAAAGAACCGGAGGAAATTAAGTATAATTCAAATGGTAGATTCAAAGTAGTTAACTGCATCTAAGAAAAGAAGGCAATAAATTAAAGATAACAGGATAACTCATTAAATTCCAGCTTGGTCACCTGAGTAAATGGGAATGCGATTCATTGAGCTAGGGCATATGAAAGGAGGTTTAGGGGTGAGATAATAATATGGAATTTGGGGAACTTGTGAGAAATCAAAGTGGAAATGCCTAATAGGCTGCTAGATAAATGGATCTGGACCTTGGTAAAGTGCTCTGGGCCGGAAATAAATGTTACAAGTATTAATGAAAGTAACCGGGTTTGAGACCAGCCTGACTAATATGGTGAAACCCCATCTCTGCTAAAAATACAAAAATTAGCCAGGCGTGGTGGTGTGCACCTGTAGTCCCAGCTACTCAGGAGGCTGAGACAGGAGAATTGTTTGAACCCTGGAGGGCGAGGTTGCGGTGAGCCAAGATCACGCCACTGCACTCCAGCCTGGGCGACAGAACAAGACTCTGTCTCAAAAACAAAACAAAACAAAACAAAACAAAAGTCTGACCAATAAGGTGAAACCCCTTCTCTACTAAAAATACAAAAATTAGCTGGGAATGGATGAGGTGGTCAGGGAGACTGTGTAATGTGAGATGAAGAGTGCTAGGGCAGAACCCTGAAGATCACCAAGATTAATGAACAGACAGAGATAAGACCCTGGAGACCAAGAAGCAGCACCCTGAGAGGTAGGAGTAAAACAACGAAAGACAGCGTCACAGAAGCAAGGAGTAGAGAATTTCAAGGAGGAGCAAGAGAGGTCAAAAGTGTGAAATGCTCCCAACAGGTGATAAAATAGCCGAAAACAGTCCCTTACATTTAATAGCAAGGATATTAGGGACCCTGAAAATGACCATTTCAGGGAAGGGAAGAGGACAGTGGTTGAAACAAGATGGGGAGGTGAGAATCAAAGAAGGTGAACTCAGACATCTTTGAAAGAACTTTGTCTCTAAAGGGAAGGAAAGATAGGCAGATACTGAGAAGGGACACAGATTAAGAATTTTTTTTTAACATGGGAGAAACTTGAATATATTTATTCCAACTTTCATGCAGTTAAAATCATCAGCAGTAGAATTTATTGTCTCTTATGAAATTAGCAGGATTTATGTACAGTAAAGCAAGTCAATGAACTAATCTATGTATATAGTTCATTTATTTCCTACATATGTATACACCTGTGTAGCCACCATTCAGACAAAAATGTAGAGCATTTCCAGCACCCCAGAAGGTTCCCTCATGCCCCTTCTCATCAACCTCAACCCCAAGAGGAATTCAACCTCAACCCCAATCAAAATTCTGACTTCCATCACCATACTTTTGCCAGTTCTTAAACTTCATGTAAAAGAAATCTTTCAGCATATCTGTGAGATTCATCCATGTGTTGCAAGTAGCAGTAGTTTTCTTCTTTATTACTGTATTTCATTGTATATATGTGTTACAATTTATCCATTTTTCTATTGAATGACATTTGAGTTGTTTCCAGTTTGGAGCTGTTGTGAAATAAGCTGCTATGAATATTCTTGTATATATCTTCTGATGGACAAAGATTTTCAGTTCTCTTAGGTAAATATCTAGAAACAAAATTCTGGAGCATAGGGTTGATATATATTTAACTCGAATAAATAAAGCTGAACAGTTTTTAAAGGGGTAGAATCAATTGCACTCCCTAAAGCAGTGTATGGAAATTCTTCTCACCAAAGCTTGGTGTTGTCTGTCTTTTTAATTTTAGCCTCTGGTGAGCAGACATTTTGAAATTCAGGTTTTCTGAGATTATAAACCACAGCTTCTCAGCTGGTACTTATAACAATTTCAAAGTTTCCTACCTTAAGTATTTCCCATCATTGGCTACCACCTTTCCAGTAAAACAAACCTAATATTAAAAACATGCAAACATAATTCAGGATATTTTATGAGAAATAAGTAATTTAATTATCCATTAAAGTTATCTAACTATAACATAATGATCAGAAAAATTCTGTCAGAAATAGTCTCACCCGTAATTTGAATAGGTAGGAAATATTATCATCTAATATATTAGAAAGAAGCAAATAGCTTCCATGATGATGGAAGTTTCTCATTGATGCATCTATTCCAATTTACATTTTGTATAAGTAGTAAGTTTAGAGGTAATGGTTCTCTTTCCTCTTCTCATTTTTATTTGAATGCTACATTTGAAGTTATCATTCACTATAATCAGAAGTATAGACTTACTTTGAAGAATGCTAATAGGCCTTTTGGGGAAAAATAATAAAATCAACTATTGACATAAAACTGACTACTGATTCTTCTATATTTTGAATCATGGTCTTTTCCTCTTTGATGAAGTTTCTGTTTGATGCAATATCTAAAACCTGACAAAGGAAATAAATATATGACAATTCATATAACATTATCCATAATTATTTACCGCAGCAATATAACTTATTATTATCTAACAATATAACTTATTGTTGCAGTAAATAAATATTTCTGTTAATATTATATACAATATTGTCAATATCATCAAATAATTTATTCAATTCTCACAAGTATCATGGTAAATATATTTAGAAATCTGTTTAAACGTTTCACCAAAATAAGATAAGTTACAGATTTAAGTATAAATTCTGAAGTATTAAAGTACTAGAAAATAATAGAGACACATATTTATACAATTGAGTCAGAAAGGCCTTTATAAAAGTGACACTGAAACCAGTGAACTTAACAAAAATGTTTGACACGTTTGCCTATATAATAATTTAAAATTTCTGTACGCAAGTTAAATTACACCACATAGAAACATAAATTCAAGATTTGAAGTATTTTACTGGACAACCAACCTGTTCTCTTTTTTATTTTTTTACTTTCTGAGATGGAGTCTCGCTCTGTCACCCAGGCTGGAGTGCAGTGGCGTGATCTCGGCTCACTGCAACCTCCGCCTCCTGGTTTCAAGCAATTCTGCCTCAGCCTCCTGAGCAGCTGGGATTACAGGCACCCACCACTACATCTGGCTAATTTTTGTATTTTTAGTAGAGACGGGGTTTCATCATGTTGGCCAGGCTGGTCTCGAACTTCTGACCTCAAGTGATCTGCCCACCTCGGCCTCCCAAGGTGCTGGGATTATAAGCATGAGCCACCACTCCTGGCCTTGTTCTTGTTTTTCTAAAAAAAGGCAAAGTCGAAAGCCCTTTCCTTTTTTTTTTTTTTTTACTAAGTACCCTAATTACTTCCCAAAGACCTCATCACTAAATACCATCACATTGTGGGTTAGGACTTCAACATATAAATTTGTCGGGGGACACAAGCTTTCAGTCACACACATTCCATTTTTGGCCTTCCAAAATTTGTATGCTTCTCTCACGCAAAATACATTCCATCCCAATAGCTCTGAAAGTCTTAACTCATTCCAGCATCACCTCTAAATTTTAAAGTCCAAGGTCTCATCTAAATAACACCTAAATCAGATATGAATGAGAGTTGAGGTATAATTCATCCTGAGGCAGAATTCCTCGCCAGCTATATATCTGTGAAAACAGACAAGTTATGTACTTCCAAAATACAATGATGTGGCAGACACAGGCTAGATATTCCCGTTGCAAAAGGGAGAGATAGATAGGAAAAAAGGAAGGGGTGACAGGTCCCAATCAAGTCCAAAGTTTAGCAAAACAAATTCCATTAGATGTTAAGGCTTGGGAATAATCCTCTCTGGTTCAATGCTCTGTCCTCCAGGTCAACTGGGTGGCAGAGTCAGCCTATGGCTCCAGGTGGGGGTCCTGCCCCCATGGCTCTGCCAAGCAGTTCTGCCCTCAAGGCTTCAGGCACAGGCCATCTGGCCTGTTGATACTGAGGCAGTGGCCTTGAAATTTCTGAATCACCTTCAGGGTCATTTTTTCTTCTTCTTGAAGAATATCACACATGGCTGAATAGCTTGATCATTCCCTCCTGTCAAGTCTGAAAAGTCTGACAGCTTTCCTTCATTTTGTCCTGTCTCCATCCCCTTCTGTTCAAACTGGCAGTGCTTCTGCTCATATAATCCCATAAGCTCTTTATCAAGTGATGGTCCAGCCACACCCTTGGTGTTCTCTTCAGAACAAGCTTTCTCATTATTTTTTATAATATGGGTAGGCTGAGAATTTTCCAAATCCTCAAGTTCTGGTTTCTTTTTGCTAAACAATTCCTTCTTCAATTCATCTCTCTTCTTTTACATTTTACTGTAAGCACTCAGAGGAGCCAAGTCACTCCTTCAACACTTAGAAATCTTTTCAGCTAAATACCCAATGTCATCGCTTGGTAGTTCTACCTTCCACAAAACACGAGAAAACAGTTCAGCCAAGTTTTTTGTTACTTTATAACAAGGATCATCTTTCCTGCAGTTTCCAAAATATGTTCCTCATTTCTGTCTGATACCTTACCAGAATCACCCTTAACCTCCATTTCTGGCATGTACATTGAAACTCTTCCAGCCTCTACCCATTACCCAGTTCCAAAGCCACTTCCACATGTTTAGGTATTTGTTATAGCAGTCTGCTCTGACTGCCATAACAAAATACCACAGACCAGGTGGCTTAAACAACAGACACTGATTTTCTCACAGTTATGAAAGCTGAACATTCAAGATCAGGATGCCAGCATAGTTGAGAGCCAGGGCTCTTTTCCTGGCTTGCAGATGGCCACTATCTCACTGTATTCTCACTTGGCAGAGTGAAAGAGAGAACAAGCTTTCTGATGTCTCTTTTTCTAAAGGCACTAACCCCTCAGACTAGGGCCCCACCCTTATGACCTCATCTAACCCTCATCTAAATACCCCATCTCCAAATACCATCATCACATTGACAGTTACAGCTTTAACATATGAATTTGGTGAGGGGATTCAGGCCATAATGTAGAATATTTCTCACTTTGTAAAACAAATGCATTTTTTTAATTTTATTATTATTATACTTTAAGTTTTAGGGTACATGTGCACAATGTGCAGGTTTGTTACATATGTATACATGTGCTATGTTGGTGTGCTGCACCCATTAACTCATCATTTAGCATTAGGTATATCTCCTAATGCTATCCCTCCCCCCTCCCCCAACCCTGCAACAGTCCCCAGTGTGTGATGTTCCCCTTCCTGTGTCCATGTGTTCTCATTGTTCAATTCCCATCTATGAGTGAGAACATGCGGTGTTTGGTTTTTTGTCCTTGCGATAGTTTGCTAAGAATGATGGTTTCCAGTTTCATCCATGTCCTTACAAAGGACATGAACTCATCATTTTTTATGGCTGCATAGTATTCCATGGTGTATATGTGCTGCATTTTCTTAATATATTAAAAATGAAGTGTTCAAAATTATATAAATATTATTTTCTAAAGCTTTTAAACCAGAATACAATCATAGCAGCAATTACCCATATTGAATGCTGGCTCAACTGAGGTTTCATTTCCTTGAAACACAAGTCATTTCTACCTACTCTCTGTATTGGGTTTTCTGCTTATTTGTCACCCATATTCAAGAATGTTCCCCCTTCTGCCAACACAGTGTTAAAACAGACAAAGATTACTGTCTATAGAAGCATCCTGTGTCTTAAGGATTTTTTTTATTTTTTTATTTATTTTTTATTTTATTTTTTTTTTTTTGAGATGGAGTCTCACTCTGTCTCCCAGCCTGGAGTGCAGTGGCGCAATCTTGGCTCACTGCAACCTCTGCCTCCCCAATTCAAGCAATTCTCCTGCCTCAGCCTCCCGAGTGGCTGGGATTACAGATGTGTGCCATGACGCCTGCTTAATTTTTGTATTTTTAGTAGAGACAGGGTTTCACCATTTTGGCCAGGCTGGTCTCAAACTCCTAACCTCAAGCCATCAGCCGGCCTTAGCCTCCTAAATTGTGTGTCTTAAGGATTTTTATGGGAGTCACCCTATATTAAGACTATAGAGTGTGCTTCAATTCATCTTTAGACATCAAGTATTTAGAAAAAATATTTCAAATCAGCACTTGACTATTAAGACCAAAGGGATTATTCTAAAGAGCTTCTGGCCGTTTTTAGGTCTGGAAAACACAGCATGTTTTTCTGCATTTTGTTGAAATTTCTTTCTTTCCTTTTATTATATGTTAAGCAGTTATTAATAATTACTTTGTCCATTATATATTAGTATTCTATTCTTTATAGCTAATCTAAAATCTTTTACTTTTTAAATTTTAAGATCACTTTTCAATTGTTCCAATTACATATCATCTGGTTCATATATAGTTTCTTCTAAAAATATATTTGTTCAGCTGACATCCTTACAGTAAGTTCATCAGTATACTAAAAACAGAAGCAGGTTAGCTTGACAACTGCATGTTTGATACCTTATAAACTGGATTAGAATTTGTATTAGAAGCTGGATATGTGCCTTTATCAAAATTTTTGAAAAAATAAGGCATCTCTTCACTTTTTATCTGCATAACTAACTTTCCTTATTTTCAAGGTATATTTTAAAGTGTATTCAACACTCAATAAAATATGTCTTTTGATGATCACAAATGGTGATAATGTGGTCTAATGTAAACAGTCTAGAAAAATTTATCCCCTAAATAACATCTCCTAAAATGGTATTTTAAACTGTATCTATTAGAAAAAATTTCTGTTCTTATTTTCAGAAATGGTTACTCTTTTTTCTTCTCCCAATTCTGATTATTTTTTCCAAAGTCAGTAATATTTTCTAAATAGCTTTCCAAAACTTAGTCAGTTTTTAGACTATCTTAACTACTTCTGACATTTTCTTAATTATTTAACTTATGAAGTAGAAAGTATCTTATTGAATTTGAGGGAATACTCTTTTCTTTTTCTTGTTTTCTTTCATCTTTGTACTAATTTCTCAACAAAGGAGAATTAGAACTGACTCGACATACCTAACATATCTTCATTTTGAATTGCCTCTATACATGAAATAAGTGTTTGTCCTGATTTGACATAATCTGGAATGAGAATTTCCACTCTGCATCATCAACTTTTATCACCTGGGTCTGAATTTAGATTGTGGCTTTCTGGCCTTGTAAATGTTGCTATTTTCTTTCCATGGTGTCTATTGACTATTTTGTCAATTTAGAGGCTTTTGATTCTGTTTTGTTTTGTTTGAGACAGGGTCTTGCTATGTTGCCCAGGCTGGTCTCAAACTCCTGGGCTCAAGTAACCCTCCTGCCTCAGCCTCCCAAGTAGTTGATTCTGTTTTGAAGTAACATGGGACAGTTGCAAAAGCCCAGATAATTTGAAATCAGGATGTTTTTGTTTCACAGTCTTGTGCTGTCCAAAAGAAAATAAATTATCCGGACTTACTTCTTTTCTTCCTCCCTTAATAATGGCTTCCATGGGAGAATCAATGTCAGATTTGCACCTACAACCTATAACACTTAAATGTCAGTCCTTATTAATGAACCTCTAGTATTCTTGTTTTTTAGCCTGCCTTTTATTTTTGGAGCTTTATAGTTAATCTTTCAGATGACTTAGTGTAACTTGAATCTGTAGGACTTCCTTCCTTTCTTTCTTTCTTTTTTTTTTTTTTTTTTTGAAACGGAGTCTCACTCTGTCACCCAGGCTGGAGTGCAGTGGCATGATCTTGGCTCACTGCAACCTCTGTCTCTCAGGTTCAAACAATTCTCCTGCCTCAGCCTCCTGAGTAGCTGGGATTACAGGCATGTGCCACTACACCCAGCTAGTTTTTGTATTTTTGTAAAGATGGGGTTTCACCACATTGGCCAGGCTGGTCTTGAATGCCTGACCTCAGGTGATCCACCTGCCTCGGTCTCCCAAAGTGCTAGGATTACAAGCGTGAGACACCATGCCCAGCCCCTTCCTTTCTTCCTTTATTCTTTTCTACATTCTTTCTTTCTTTTCTTTCAAAATGACACTTTTTTTTTCAAAATGTCAGCCAACATTTTGATAGCATGCTTGCACCCAATGTTTAGTGTAGTAGAAAGAGCCTAGGCTTTGGGGTTACAGTACCAATCCTAGGCTTCATAGTTCTATGACCCCTGAGAATTAACCAAGTCTCAGTTTCCTCATCTTTAAAATATTAATAATATCTATACATCATAAGGTCTGTGTAAGATTGAGTGAGATAATGTATCTATTTCTGGCAAGACACTGGTTAAATAACCCTAAAACAAACAAGATAGTTAAGTTGTACAATGTATACAAACACCCTCTTAAATGTATAACTAAGCTCACAGGAAAGGAAGAGAAATCTTCAGGGTCAAAAATGAATAGGGAACAAAAAGTGAGTTGAAAGGCAGCATGGTCTGATACTATGGCTTCCCTGAGGGAGTTCGTTGACTCCATTAAAAAGGGGCTTGTAGTTAGAAGATCATATGGGAGCAGGAATTAGAACTGAGATATACACATAAAGTCATTTGCTGGATATCTGCTCTTTGACCCTCCAAATCTGCTCTTTGCCCTTCTCCACCCTATATCATCCCACTCCCTTATCCTCTGGATTTCAGTTTGGCTTGGTCAATCGGGAACTCTGGCAGGACATTGGAAGGAAGGAGAAGAGTTAAGCCAGGGTATTTATTCTCCCGTTTCCCTCTCTATAAGGTTATTTTGAACTGTCTCCCATAACTTCAGGTCACTGTTCTACACAAGGAGGCCTGCACTATACAACTGTTTCTCCTTTCAGGTGCCAGGAACCTCTTCCTCCTCTCATCCTTCGTAGTGACAGCACCATACAGCCAACCTCAAATTCCTTGGTGTTTCTGTTTGCCACCCATACCTTTGTAATTACTCCCTGTGTAAAGAGATGCTCTTCAAATCATCCATTTGTCTCCTGTTACAATTCTGATTCAAGCCAGGATTTTCAAAGGGCTACATGCTTAGTGAAGAGGTAGGGAAAATGTACCACCAGCCCAAGAAGATAACTAGGATGTTTGCTTGACTTGGCATCCTAAGAATCATGACTATGCTGTTGTTATAGTCCAAAAGCAATACATCTCGGGAATCTACAGATAAAGTCTGCTGAATATGAGATCACAAGTTAAATTGTAAAACACACAAGGAAAGAATCTAGCAAAGGTGAAAGTGAACATGCAAAGTCAACAGCAGGATTTAATCCTTCAAGTGCTTTAGTTAATACCATTACCTGTTAATGACTTAGAATAAATATGTCAAATTATTAAAGACACAAGAGAAGAGTTGAAAACATGAGACAAAAGAGTATGTAAAAAGACCAAGCATACTTGGAAAATAACTCGTATAAATTCTAAAAATGAATATATATATACAAAATATATGATTATTAAAATTAAAACCTAATGGGTATATTATATACAGCTAAAAAAGGTAAACTGGAAGATGGATCTGAAGAAAATGCAACAGAGAAATGTAAAGATATAGAAAATATAAAAAGGGATTAAGAAGACATGAAGACCAGAATGAGAAGATCCAACATATTTCTAATAAGAGTTTCAGAACAGGAAAATAGACAATGGAATGATACCACAAAATACTAAGGACAAAGGAAGTTTTTAAAAGCAACAGGAGAGAAAAGACATTTCCTACAGAGGAACTACAATACAATTAAGCTTGAAGTGAGTCTCTCCACAACAAAAATAGAAGCCAGATGACAACAGAATAAAATGTTTAGCAGATTACAGCCAATGAACACCTTGCCACACTTCGCAATTGGCTGTTTTCTTATGAACTAAAGGAGCTCATCACATTTTAGACAAACATATTTGTCTGTTTTACTCAATGTGTATTTGTTTTGTTTCAATAGTAGTTTATTTTTTACATAGTTGAACCTGTTGATCTTGACTAAAGTTTTTTTAACCTTCAAACAAGAAACTTTAAGTAAAAATGCAAAAATGTTTTAATGCTTACTGAAAAATACAATGGGGGAAACTGCACTGAAATTCTAGGGGATATAAATTAGAAAGAAATTAAGGAGTATATAAAATTAGTAGGAACTATTGCCAGAGAAAAAGAAAATGATTACCTGGGATTTATAGCAAGGACTTGAGCTGAAAATGGACAAAGGGTATGAACAGACAATTGAAATAAACAAACACAAGGAAAAATATTCAACTGTGTTAATAGTTGAAAAAGCACATGGTAAAACAAGAAATTGAATTTCACACATTGTAAATTAACAAAATGTCAAAATTTAAAAACATTCAGTTCTGGTAATTCTGTGGTAAAATTGGTACACATATGCTACACAATGCTAGAAACATTGAAGTTTAAATTTACATAATTTAAATTTGAAATTCAGTTTCTTAGTCCACCAGCCCATTTTAAGTATTCCTTAGCCACATGAAGCTAGTGGCTACCATATTGCTCAGCACAGGAAAATATTTCCATCATCGCAGGAAATTCTGTCGATTTGTGCTGCTCTAGAGAATAGGTGTAGAAGTAGAGTTGATGGGTTGTTGATATGTACAGCTTCCATTCTGCTTGATACTTTAAATTGTTCCTCAATGATTATATCAATTTACTCTTCCATCAATCGGTACATTGCTTCACCTCCTCTTAAACACTTGCTATTTTTGTGTTTTTATTTTTCTTAATCTAATGGGTATCAAATGATATATCTCACTGAATTAAATTTGCACTTTCCTGATTACTAATGAGGCTGAGTATTTTTATGTCATTATTAACCTTTCATATTTCCTTTTCTGTGAGTTTCCTATTTATGTTTTTCCACAGTGGTTGAAATGATTTAAAGTGGAAATGATTTAAAGTGGAAAAATGTTTATGATATCGTGATAAGTAAAAAAAAAAAAAAAGCAATCTTCCCCAGCCACACACACACACACACACACACACACACACACACACACACACAAAATTGGCTTCCAGTGATTTTAACGGAGTAAAAGAAAATGTCCAGATGGTTAGTTTGGAAAATTTGTTACAATTTTTAACTTAGATACATTAAGATAGTGATATTTGGGGAAATTTACTTTTTATCTAAAAATGACTTTAATGTCGCCATAATACTGTTTTCTCATCTTCAAAGAGCAAAAAATATATAGTTTTGCTTGAGGTTTGGGAAAATTGCCCTACCACTTCTTAGCCTTTGTTTTTTAAGTCTTTCTCCTGGCTCCATGTAGACTGGGTGATTATTTTTCTTTATCCCTGCTATTATTTTTATTTGACATTATCCCTTTCTGGTAGAACACTGTGTGCTTGACCTAAAAAAAAAAAATCTCTGTGTGTGTGTGCCTCTGTGTGTGTAAAAGAAAGAATAGAGTGCTGAGAGAAGAAAGGCATTTTGAGATTTGTATCTTTAATTAGACAACATGTTTAAATTGTAAAGGAGACTGCTTTTCATAATTCTTACTAGAGGGAAATGAATTAGTGCACATCACTTGGAGACTTCACTTATTCATATTTTGGAAATGTAACTTAAGTCCACACTGGTACTTGTATTTCTAAGCAGTCAACTTGGAAAATAAATGACATTCTTAAAAAGTGGAACTGCACTGCTTAAAACAACAAACAAAACAAAAACTGTAATGTAAAAACTAAAAAGAAAATACTTCCTGCTCACCTAAATTCTTGGGAAAGAATGGGCTGTATTCTGTAAGATGTTTCACTACAGCACTAGCAGCCAGCATGTGTAAACTTCCACTGGAGAAATGTAGTTATGCTCCCCAACGTACCCAAGCAGATTTGTCCTGATGGGTCCTTTCCTTCTGTCATATTGTCAGCCAGTTTTCCTGGTATTACTCTTTCATTTTCTGCCTGGACCAACTTTCCTAATATCCCTCCCACTCTCTAATGAACGATGTTTTCCATCCTGATACAAGTGCTCTTTGCAGCAGGTTCAGACAGCCCAGCCAGGATACCCAAGACAGACAAGAGCTGTCTTTCTACTTTTTTGCTGAGACTTCAGGTCCCAGCGGAGGCTGCAGCCTGACATCCTTCAAGCACTTTTTATCAGCTGTAGGCATATTGGATATCTGTTATGGATCTCTGGAATTTTAGTGATGTGAGCAGGAACATGACTTTGTGTATCCCCTGCCTTTCCCAGTTGCTTTTAAATGAACACCACTGTAAGTGATGTATTTAGGACAGGAGGCAGAAAGCCTCTGAGTTTATCACTTTTGACTTTGCCCTTGCCCTTGCCTAGAACATTGCCCCTTTCTGGTAATCTCACCATTTGGGACTCTTTGTTAACTCTTATGCTAATTTGTAAAGTGGGTGTTGCTGCCTTTTCTTTGATTCGTAATAAGATGTCAGTTCATATTAAGACTGCTGTGACATGAGTTCAAGGACAAGAAATGAAGGAAGGCCAAAATGAAGCAAAACTTTTTAAACAAGACACTTTTAAAATTAGGATAAAACCTTGCACAGTAAAACCTGGAGTGCAAACCAAATAGGATTTGCAATCTGAATGCACACCCTCCAGGAGGCCTCCTGGAATAATCTGCCAAGCAATGCTTGGCTTCTCAGGGGTGCCTGTCATGTGGGATGCCATATCACTGTGGGCCTGGAGCCTCCCATGGTCTTCCATCTGCTTAACTTTGAGCTAAGGTGTGTGTTTGGATCTACTTACTAAGATTTTTCTAGTTATCCTGAATGGCATCTGAAAACATTTTTCTCTCCACGTGTTGTCTTGGAATGTGGTTTGTTGCAGGAAGTCAGGGACCCCGAACAGAGGGACCTGCTGAAGCTGTGACAGAAGAACATAAATTGTGAAGATTTCATGGACATTTGTTAGTTCTCCAAATTAATACTTTTATAATTTCTCACACCTGTCTTTACTGCAATCTCTGAACATAAATTATAAAGATTTCATTGACATCTTATCATTTCCCCAATCAATACCCTTATAATTTCCTATGCCTGTCTTTACTTTAATCTCTTAATCCCGTCACCTTCATAAGCTGAGGATGTATGTCACCTCAAAACCCTGTGATTATTGCATTAACTGCACAAATTTTTCGTAAAGCCTGTGTTTTTGAACAATATGAAATCTGGGCACCTTGAAAAAAGAACAGAATAATAGCAATGTTCAGGGAACAAGGGAGATAACCATTAGGTTTGACTGCCTGGGAGCTAGGCAGGACACAGCCATATTTCCCTTATTACTGAAAATGGGTAAGAGAAATATCACTGAATTCTTTCCCCAGTAAGGAATATTAATAATTAACAGCCCTGGGAAAAGAATGCATTCCCAGGGGAGGCCTCTAAAATGGCCACTCTGAGGGTATCTGCCTTATGCAGTTGCAGATAAGGGATGAAACATGCCCTGGCCTCCTGCAGCGCCCCCAGGCTTGCTAGGATTAGGAAATTCCAGCCTGGAGAATTCTAGTCAGACCAGTTCTCTGCTCTTGAACCCTGTTAAGATGTTTATCAATGACAATGCGTGCACAGCGGGACACGGAACTTCATTAGTAATTCTAGTTTTGCCCTGACCTTGTGATCTTGCCCTGACCTTCTGCCTTGTGACCTTTTGTTGCTCTTGAAGCATGTGATCTCTGTGACCCATACCCTATTCATACACTCCCTCCCCTTTGAAAATTGCTAGTAAAAACTTGCTACTTTTACAACTCTGGGGCATCACAGAACCTGCTGACATGTGATGTCTCCCCCAGACACCCAGCTTTAAAATTTCTCTCTTTTGTACTCTTTCCCTTTATTTCTCAGAGCGGCCGACACTTATGGAAAATAGAAAAGAACCTATGTTGAAATATTGGGGACTGGTTCCCCCGATAGTGGTTGGATGTTTACTGACACTACTCTTTTGGTTTGTGGAATTAGCTCTATGGCTGTATGTTATATTTGGGGGAACCCTATCAGGTTGCCTGCTTTAAATATCAACCTTACCACTGGCATGTCAACATTATTACTTATTTCCTTTGGATGTTGGGGTGCTAGGTGCCTTCTCATCTTCAGCATTTTCTTAAATGTAAATATCTCTGCTGGCATGTTGTATTATTTCAGGCTAACACCTTAGCCAATGTTATAGACAGAAAATAAAAGCAGAACAGGACCCAGGAATAATGGAAGGGATCAGAGGAAGGAGGAGGACTATAAGAAAATTAGGAAGAAAAGGGAAAGAGGAAGTTCTAGTGGAAGAAATGAAAAAAGGCAAAACAAGCTTTACCGATGCAGTACATTTGCCAGGTGCTGAGCATCCTTCCAATAGTTACATTTTATTTTAATACTGTGTTGTTCCATTGACATATATGTGCATTTATTTGGTATTTACCAAATCAAACATACATGTGGGATTTTAAAAAAATAACTTGTCCACTAAAAGTGTAATGAAAGGCCCTCCTCAAACTAGTTGGTCAAAATCCTGGAAAAACACTCATTTTAGACAAGCACTGAATGGATAAAGGTTTACTGGAAGTAACTGTCATGTTTCAGAAATCATTATTTGAGATACCTGAATTCTAATCAGTCTAAATTAAGCCATATTACATAGCATGTTCATCATTTAATAAGGCACTACATATGTCACACTGGCTGTTTCCTGCAAATAACTCAAACCATGAAATGCCTACTTATAATATCAAACTTTAACCTTATGGTACTTTCTCTATATCTAGCATTTAAAAACAATTTTGTTTTAATGTGTTTACAGACATATGGTTGTAACAGACTAACCCAGTGGTTTTCAAGGTATGGTTCCTGGATCAGCTGGGAACTTAACACAAATCAAATGATCAGGCCCCACCCCTGACCCACTGAATTGGAAACTCTAGGGATAGAGCCCTGCATTCTGTGGTTTAAACCCTCCAAGTGATTCTGATGCACATTAAAGTTTGAGAACCTCCAAGCTGAGTCTGTGGGCTTCAAAGTGAAGTTGTGCAAGATGACCTGAAAGAAAATATCGTAACTTTCTTATTACGTACTCCTTTCCTAATTTCTATTTTTTGTATTTAAAAATATGTCTAATAGTTAATATCATTGTATATATATATATATATATAATCTATCAACAAGTACATATTGTACACTAGAAGTGCATGCTTAATTTTTTATTTATAGAAATGCATGATATACAAAATTTGAAGACCACTTGTCTCAGCATAATATTTGAAAGCTCTTATTTTGTAAATCCAACTGAGCCATTAGTCACTAACAATGTCATATATTTGCATTAATAATCTTCTCACTTCTAAAATGCTTTGCAAATAATTTTCAGTACTCATTTCCACCCTTATGCAGAGAAGTCTCACATTCCCAGTAAAATGATAAGAAGAGGCCATTGCATTGCATCCTGACTCTTGTCTCTCCTTGGGAAAAAGAGAGAATAATGACAGTCCATGAACAGCACTGATGCCACCTTCCCATTTTTCCCTTAATGCATTCATTTTTGTGTGTGCAGAAAAGAGCACAAAAAGTTAGAGAGGGTTCTATGCCCAGTTCTTGCCATATCCTTTTCCCATTCTCATTGCTCTGCTTGGATGCTGGGACCCCTGCGGGGCAAGAGCACCCTGTTCTTGTTTGCAGTTTTCCCCATACCCCCACATACACTAGCTTACACTAGCCTGATGGTCCTCCTGTGCTAGACATGTACACCTCCTTTGTGTTATGTGTTCCTCTGAGCTAGGCAGAAAATAACATTGTACACTTATTATAGGAAAAGTTGAAGAACTAGGAGTAGGGCCAACTTTTAAGCCACAATAATTTAGGGGCTCAACAAAGAAAAAATATAAAATGATTATTTCATTCCTAGCACAATATTTTATAAAATGTATGCTCTCAATAACTATGCCTGGGATGAATAAACAAACATATAAATATAGTTCCAGTCCTGAGCACTCTGCCCTGGTAATGGTATGTACCGGCTAAAATCATAAATGTGGGTTTGAGTCCTATCACTGTGTTTACTCTTTCGATGACCTTCAGCAACTTTCACAACCTCTCTCAAGCCTCATTTCCCTCAATCTGTAAACTGAGGATAGGGATAGCAACTACCTCATAGACTCATTGTGAGAATTAAATGGGATGTAAGTGCTTAGCATGGTGTCTGGCACACAGTAAACTCCCAATAAACATTATTATATTTTGCTAATGCTGAATTGAATGCCAAGAAATAATAAAAGCATGTTCCTAATCTCAAGTTCTTTGTCAGTGAAGCTCACCAAGCTTTTTTCCCTCACTAAATGATCTTACATAATTTATGCCACTTTGAAAATCAAAAGTAATGTCTCTATTGGAGAGACTAACCTAAACGTTTGCTAATCACTATCTCCTCCTGCCCATATGTCTGTCTGCCTGAAGAGCTATTTCCGTTCTTGAGCTAACCATTGGCAGTGGTGCAGAGTCCTTTCATTCTGTTTCACCTAATGGTGCATTATAATTCATCATTAAGAAAGAAAGAAAAAATTATATGTAGGTCTCCACGGTGGAGCCATTTAGTTGAAAACTTGTTGGCAATAAAATGATACTACATCAAGGAAGGAAATAAAGGACTGCAAGTTTTCTATCACTATTCAGAAAAATCAATTTGTGTTAGAGGAGACTTTACAATAGGTTATCATCAAATGAAAACAACATAGGATAATAATGGGAGTCTTCATGAACTCTTAGGAAAGGACTCCAGAAAATGTAATGCTTTTCTTTTTTTCCCCAATTTCATCCTTTTTTGAATAGCAGGGACTCAATAAATAATATTTGAATCAGTAAGAAGAAAGCCTGTAACAAAGATATAAGGTTCTCTAGGCATAATGTACAGAATTGCCTCCCTGGAACACATCCTCCATTCATTTCTGCTTGTTATGACCTTATATTTTCCATATATTATTTCACTTAAACCTTTTTGACAATGCTATGAAGTGTTATTATACTGATTTGAGGCACTGAGAGATTAAGGAACTTGCCCAAAATCACACACTTGTAAGTAATGAAATTAAGATAGAAACCCAGGGAGGGCTTTCTGACTCTGGAGCATTTATGCTTCATGTGGAGGCTAGAAGGTGGCCTTCATGTCAATATTCTTTCCTCTTTTTGAGGAAGTGTGAACTCCCACAGTCAAGTGGACTCTCCTCCCCCAGCACTGTTGTTGCTTTCCTTCACCAGTGTGAACACTCTGAAGTTACTAGCCTTGTCCCTTTGAAAACAGTACCTGTACCACAGGGACCCAAATCCATGGCCCATCCAGCACAACACCGTTTCCAACAGTGAAACCAGGTGAGCTGGTGGGTGAGCAGGACTGGGCATCTTCCACACCGTCAGCCTTGAAAGTTCAGTTTGATCCATTTCAACAAACATGGATGGAGAGCCTTTAATGAGCCAGGCAGTAAGCTAGGTGCTAGGGAAAGCCAGATAATGAGTAAAACTTCCTGTTCCTAGGGATATTGTAACCTAAGGATCTGTATCTGATAGAAAACACATTTTCTAAGAATGTTGCCCCTCCCTCTCACACTCCCTTCCTGTCTCCCCAGCTGCTCCTTTTTCCTGCTTGCACCCTCTCCCTGGATCCTGATGAAAAGTCACTTTGGAAGTCTAGCATTGGCACACCTGTGATTTTAAATCTAGGATGATACATTCCTTGATTACTTTAAAGGGTAGAAAGGGAAAGTAGGGTTAACTACTCAAAACCCTAGTGTATTATAGATAAAGATCTCTCATTTATGAATTAATCTTTGAACGCATTTATACTTTGAGCCTGGACAATCTGGTATGGTTTCTTAAATTCATCAACTGCTTTTTCAAATAGCAATGTTATGAATTGAATTGTATGTCCCCCAAATTCATATGTTGAAGTCTTAGCCCTTATTTGGAATGTGACCTTATTTGGAAATAAGGTCATTGCTGATATAATTTGTTAAGATGAAATCTTACTGGAGTAGAGTGGGCCTCTAATCCATCATGACTGATATCCTTATCAAAAAGGGAAATGTGGACATGCACACACAGAGAAAGCTCTGTGTAGGTGAAAGCAGAGGTTAGGATGATGCTTTTATAAGCCAGAGAACTTCAGTGATTGCCAGAAAACTAACAGATGCTAGGTAGAAGCACAGAGCAGTTTCTTCCTCACAGCCCTCAGTAGGAGCCAACCCTGCTGACACCTTCATCTTGAACTTCCAGCCTCCAGAGCTGTGAGACAGTATATTTCTGATTAAGCCACCTAGTTTGTGGTAATTTGTCATGGCAGCCCTAGCAAGCTAATACACAATACGATTACTTTCTTCTAAGTGTGTTTATTTTGAAACTAAAAGGAATTCTTGGAGTTTCAAAAATAAGTCTGTCGTGTTTCTTTGACATCCTTCAAGATAATATTAACTTGGATTTTAGGGCTTCACAGCCTGTGTCTTTTTAGTCTAAACATTTCTGCACTTCTTTTATTTGTAATTGTGTGTTTTTCTCCCATTTTTTCCTTCACAGAGAAGTCCATCAATGCACTTCACCTGAAGGGTATTAAACATCAGCTTCACTGTTGTGTTAGTGTTAGCATCACTCTCTAGTCAAAAGAGTTAACTCCCTATCTCTTAACATTGAATAGGAGAATTAAGTTAGCCAAGATTGAAGTGGTTATTTTAAAGCAAATGACCTAGAAAAAACTTCAGTCATCTAGTCTACAATGCTACCATACTCTTAATACAGTTCCATATACCACCCTGCCACTGGTCATGTTCTGCCTCACTCTGCCCACAAACACTGCAGTTAATTCAGTAACTGCCATTGGGGAAGTATTTCCAAAGTTCTATTTTTAGAGGAACTGAAGCCAACTACACAGTTTCAAGGATCTTTGCTGGTTTTCTTTAATATGCTTCTTGGTTAAGTGATAAACTGAATTTTTGCTTCTTGGAATAAGATCAGAAGGCTTATTTTGCTATATTTCAAATATGTGGCTTATTTCATGATTTGGGCTCTTGTTTGTTGAAGAACTTTTGAAGCTTTTTAATAATTATTTTCAGTTATAATTCACGATTTATGAGAAGGGTACAGATTGTGATGAACTTTTTATACACCCTTAAGTAATTAACAAGTCTTAATCTCCAATTTTATGTTTCATATCAAAGAAAGCGTTTTTATTGAGGAAATTCTACTCCACTAAAATTGATGCAAGCATTTGCTGCCTGCAGACTTACCTCCTAAAATGTGGTTGTTTGGTAAGCTCACTTTGCAGACTGTTATATATCCTAATTCCTTGCGCTGTAAGCCAGCACTAGCAAATCTAGATACAGCAGAAGCCACGCTGATACAGTCAATATGTGAAGCAGTCTGGGCGGGGGTCTCTGGAGAACTGGGGAGCTTCTGCTTGTCTAAAAGGGTGGCTATTCCTCAGAAACAGTTAAGTGCTGCCACTCCAGAGCAGGCCTGTTGCCATCATCTTCTGACATTAAGAAACACAGGAAATCCAGATTGTTGTGTGAATTCATGAACAAAAGATTGACCACTGCAAGCCAAATGAAACAAGTTTGTGGCCACATTTGGACCACATGCCACTAGTATGCAATCTCTGCATCAAACTATTATGAGTAAAGAAGAAACTTGGACAAGCATCTGAATGCATTAATCTTTTTCCGTACATAACCATACTGGAGACTTTATTATGAATAACTTCACTCATCACAACAACACTATCAGCTAGGCACTGTTATCCTCAATTTATAGATAAGAAAACTAAGACTCAGGAGGCTAATTCACTTAGAAAGGGTAAGCTAATAGGTGGTATGTTGTTAGGTAAAAAAGTGAACTCCAGTGTAATACATATATTATATGCTGCTTACTTGCTCTCTCTTTCTCTCTCTATATACACATATATATTTGCCTGTGTATATGTATATTCATATACTTATTTTTTAATCTGCAAGGAAATATACAAAAATGTTAGGATGTTTACTTCTGGCATAAATCATCTTTTCCCCTTTCTACGTATCTGCATAAAAGTTCTGTTTATACGTATTATTTTTTATAAAATAGTTTTTTTTAAAAAAAAGAAGGCTTCAGGAAAATAAACCCTCAAGAAGCCAATCTCTAGTGATGAAATGGAACTGATGAGGTAGAACCAGCACCGTAACCCCAGCCTTCCAACTTCTCACACCACATAGGCACTGCTTTTAAAGCCACCTTGGAATTGTTTTATTTCGTAGGTACCAGACAACATGTTAAGGGTTGGGGATTACAGAGATACATAAGATAAACTTTTTTTTAACTCAAAGAGTTTACAGTCCAGTGAAGAAACTCATGGTGGAAGATGATATTTTCCATGTATATAGATACTGGCCTCTTCTGTTTGCATAAAGCATGGGCCTTTTTGTAGAAAATAGATTTTACATCTGTCTAGATATATACATCTCATATTGGCATGAAGTGTCATTTTTGACAATTATGCAAAAAAATGGAAATTATCATTGCATGCCAGTGAAAAGACAATAACACTCCAGGATCCAATTAGATATAATGTGTACAGAATCCCCAGTGTTGGGTAGGAGTCTGAAGCTGAAAAAGACTGCAAAAGGCTGGGGAAGAAAGCTCTAACTATCCTCTAAATTCATCATATCAACTAAAGCATGAAACAGAGCTAAGCTGGCAGCCCTGGGTCTCTGGCACATAGTAGAAGCTCTCTGTTTTTGCTATTATTATTATTAGTATGATAAACAGATGCCAACTTACTACCCTCTTCCTAAACCCTCCTCAAAGAGCTGTTGACAGCTGATGTGATACCCTGGTTCTTGTTTTCTTAGTTTAAAATAATTTAAACGAGGGGCACACAGCAAGGGAAATGCAGCATAGAGTAATTTATTGCAAAAGAAAAAGAACATCTTGTAAGTTAGGTGCAGAATAGACAGTACACCCTGAGAGAGAGAGAATTCAGGGCAGGCTGCTTGTAAAAGCGAGACAGCAAAGACTGGCACTAGGGAGACTGCTTTACAGGAGTCTTACATGATTATTCATTAGGAGGTGGGATGAGATGTTACTAGTAAGCATGTTCTGGGTGGTCCTCTGGGTGCACATGCACAGCAGCTATACATGCTTGTTCATACGTTGCATGTCTCATTAGCATCTTAAATCTCCACCCAGGGGAGGTTTTCTTTACTATTAAAATGAGCAAAAGGTCAGTTTGAGGACAAGTAAAATTGAAGTCTACATGCTCTCAGTAGGGGAAATTCCCTACTCAAGATAGCTTTGCTTGAATGAGCTCAATTACAGTGGGAATGCTGGGGTTTATTGTGTAGACTGTATGGTCACCACGGTTGCTGGGTTCTGAGAACATGGTCACTGCCTTTGCTACCTATCCTGCTTCAGAGCCTTTCAAGTCTAATCCTTTTGTGAGTCTAAAAACTGGGATTTCAGGCCTGTGTGGTCCATGTTTGGGGGCCCTTATGGTCTTTCTGTCACCCTGTGGCCCATCGCTTTAGATAAACTGTCTCAAGCAAAGCTATCTTCAGTAGGGAATTTCCCCTACTGAGAACAGATACACTTTAATTTTACCTGTCCTCAAACGGACCTTTTGCTCATTTTCATAGTAAAAATAAACCTCCCCTGGGTGGAGATTTGAGATGCTAATGAGACATGCAACGTATGAACAAGCATGCACAGCTACTGCGCATGTGCACCCAGAGGACCACCCAGAACATTCTTATTAGTATGTAGTGTGGACCACTAATGCGGTCCATGTTTGGGGGCCCTTATTGTCTTTCTGTCACCCTGTGGGCAATCACTTTAGATAAACAGCCTCTCACATGGAAGAGGAGTCCGTTTGGAACTGGCAAACACATGGATTCAACAATCGGGTATTCTATAACTATACAACTTGTCATAATTAATTATTAAAATATTGATCAACATGTTGTGCTGTTACAGTTAAATGAGATGATAGAATAATGTCTTCTTTAAATTAAAATCTCTCTTTTGTAAATCCTCAGTCATCAAGCAAATACCCACTCCCTAGATTCTACAATTAACATTTTACGATACTTGCTTTATTACATATCTACCTGTCTGTTTATCCCTCTGTCCAGCCAGCAATCCATATTATTTTTCTCAAGTTTCAGACATCGGGATCAATTGAATAATTTAAACATAGTCAGCCCAGTTACCTCAGGTTGTTTTAAAGCTGTGTCATTGTTTTTGGCAATATTGATTCCATAAAACCTGTAGCTTTATTGAAGAGAAATACAGCATCACTAACTTAATGACATAATTAAGAATGAAAAGCTAAATACTATTTAAATAAGTCAACAGTTTAATGTATTGACCCCTAAAATTCCAGTGGGTAAATGCAGGAATTAACTGCATACTGCAATGAATGACCCATACTTTCGATATAATGAAAATTAACAAGTTGATTTCTTTCCAGTATAACACATGATAATTGAATGATAATTGACCTTTGAAGAGCATTGATATCAGGTGAAAATAGTAAGCATCAGAGGCTGAAAATCTTGATTTTAGATGCAAAAATATTTTGCAGATTAAAATGTGGAAACCTGTATGTTTCTTTAATTCAAGTATATGTAGCTCTCTTTTAAAATAATATATAGATATAAATAGTTTTAAAATACATATATATATCTTTACATACAAATATATTTAAATAAATACCTTTAAAAATAAACTAATCCTAGCTATATTCGTGGAGAAGGGCTGTGTTCTAGCCATGTAATCCATGGTACTGATTTTCATCCCAGCAGAGACTGAAGAATTCAGCACTCAGACTCTATCAGTCGCAGGCCTGTCTCTGCTAGCTCTGAGAATCACAAGACCTTATAAGACTAAGACCTAAAGAGCTGTTTGCCCAACCGGAAACCATAAAGAGGACAACATTAAGAGAATCAAAGGGAAAAATGGAGAGGCCAAGAGACTCTCAAGCCAAAAAGTGTAGGAAGGTGGAGGAAGAGGCCAAGACAGAATAATAAAGACATTTTATTTTAAAGATTTAAGAAATGGTGCCTTGTACATATTAGTTTTCTCCTTGCCAATAAGCATGAGTTCTTGGAGTGATACTCCTGTCATGAAAACACAAAGTCATGATGTTATCGACCATTAACTCCTTCAACCACCAATGCCCTGAGAAATGCCTAGACCGCCCCTTCAGAATTGCCCCAAATGTCACCGCTTATTCCCAACTTTCCCCAGTATTGCATTAAACAGTTACATTTAAGATGAATAAAAGATGACTTACAATTTAATAGTAGTATTTTTAGTCTTATTTCATTATAAGCATCGAAGGTCAGGGAACTGATGGTTATTGTTTTTTTTTTTTTTTAGTGTTTAAATGTTTAAATATAGTTTTTACTTTTTAAATGAAAAAAAAAAGTGAATAAAGTGCTTAGTAATGCTACCCATTATTTATCAACTCTCCCAACCGGGTCATGGGAAATGGCAAAGGTGCTGGTCGAAGGCAAGCAAGGGACGCAAGGGACAACACGGAGATGGTCACCGGAATATCGCTAGAAACTGTAAAAGGTGCTGGCCCCTCTGAGGCCTGTTGCTTTATATATAGGTCCCCAAAGTAGCCACCAAAAGAAAATTCCATTGCACTTCAGGTTCCCCTTTACTTTCAAAAGTCAAGTTTTATTTCTGACTGAACCTGAATAGCTCCAGGGCAGAGTTTGATCTCAGCTCATGTTCAATGGTGAGGAAGTCACAGAGCCAGCCATATGTTCCCATGAAACAACATGCTGTGAAGAGAGGGGAATTACTGCAATTATTCTTCAAAGGCTCCTGGTGGAATCACACTTGCTAAGGCTCTCTATGAACAAAAAAAAACAACAACACACGTTTCCACCTAAAGCACAAGTTTCATAAAAACTCACTGGAGCATTTTTCTCCATCAGAAAAATGGAGACAAGACTCAACTATAATATGTATAGGTGCCTTGAAAAATGTCTTATTTCTATTTTTCTGATTAACTGGGCTTCTTTTTTTTTAATTGTAGTACTCATTTTGGTATGAAATAGTGTAGTTGTTCAGTAGGTATCTGGCATCTGTTCTGTATTTATGAGAGTCTGTAATTACCTTTAAGAATTTGAAACCAAAATTAATAACTGGGTTTACACACACATTTGTATCTTCCCTGCCCCCAACTATCCAATGATTACGTAGATGTATGGGACCACCTTAAGAAAGCTCCCTCACTGAAGTCATATGAAGACTAAGCACTGAAGCTGTCACTGAGGTTGGCACTGAATTAGGGTGTATCCTTGTAAATGGAATCCATTTGAGAGGAACCAGTGGGCATATTTGAAGAGAGGTCCTGGAGCTCACTCTCCTTGGAGAAGTCATTTAATCCCTTTTCTTCCTATTTGCTCTAAAAAATAAAGCAAATGATACCATCCCCTTCCCTCATCCTGTTTTGGCTTCCTGGGTCTTTCCTTGCCACTTGGCATAATAGCCAACAACAGAATTGATTCCAAAAAGAGAAACTTAGATATATTTGTTGTGACAGGAGTTCTGTTTCCATTTCTGCTAGCTGACAAACCCCGAGTGTTTATCTGTCATCACTAAATTATGTAAAATGCTGAGTGATTGTCAATGAGGTCACACTTTTTTTTCCTCAGCCTAATGGCATATTTATTTAAGCAAAGTCCATATTAGGGAACTGTAAAGCAAATACAGACTTTTATAGAATAGCAGATAATTATAAGTAAAGACTATATTCAAGCAGAAGGCTAAGTAAACACAAGTTTGATATGCTAAAAGGGATTGCAGCCAACTTCTTACCATCCTTTGCCTTTTATACTTGCTTTCCCACACATGATTTCATTTGATCCTTGCAGCAACCTTGAGATACTTCATATAGGTGTTATTCCAATTTTACAGCTGAGGAAACTGAGTCTCGGAGAAGTTAGTTTTCCTAAGATTGCAATTCTAAGGAGCAAACCTATATTTAAATCTAAGTTTTCTAACTCCAAGATTCAATTTTCCTTTCATTATGTCTCACTCCATTCAACTAAATACATAAATCATTACATTAGGGACAGACCATTAAAATAACAAACATTTTGCTGTTTTTTTAAAAAGCTATTAGCAGCTACACAGGTCTCCAAAGTCTGGCAACCTCAGCAAAAGTGCAGACAGATGCAGGGCCAAGACATTTCGTAACTAAAATCCCCAGTGTGTTAACTCCTAAACTTGACCTTACCAATTATAAAACCTCCCAGTGGTTTTGATTAATTTATCCCATGTAATTATTTAGGGAAATGTAAATCCTCAGTCATCAAATAAATACCCACTCCCTAGATTCTACAATTAACATTTTACGATATTTGCTTTATTACATATCTACCTGTCTATCCCTCTGTGCAACCAGCAATCCATATTATTTTTCTGAACCTGCAGACATCAGTAAACTTTACTCATAAACAATTCAGCATACATAGCATTAACTTAGTTCAATATTTGCTTTTGGGTTTTTTTTAAGTAAAATTTGCATGTAATCAAATGCAAATCTTAAGTGTACCATTCGATACATTTTGCCAAATGTATACACCCGTGTAACTAAACCTCCATCTAGATATAGAATATCACCCTCACCCCAGAAAGTTCACTTATGCCCCTTCTCAGTCAATTCCCCACCTCTGTTCTAATATTTACCATCAGTTTTACCTGTTCTAGAGCCTCATATGAATGAAATCATACAGTATTTATTCTTTTGTGTAAGGATTTTCTCATTCAAGATAAGGCTTTTGTGATTTATCTATGTTGTTTTGAGGATCAGGAGTTAGCTTCTTTTAATTGTTGAGTATTATTCTATTGTAGAAGTGTACTAATTTCTTTAACCATTTTTCTCTTGACAGACACCTGGGCTGTTTCCACTTTGGGGTTAATCTAAATAAAATACCATGAATATTCTTGTAGAACTCTATTTGTGAATATGTTTTTATTTCTCTTGGCCAAATACCTAGAAATGGAATCCAGGTCATAGGATGGGTATATGTTTAGCTTTATAAGAAACTTCCAGAACTTTTTTGAAAGGAGTTGTAGACCACTTAATTCCCACGAACAATGTATGAGCATTTCTGTTGCTCCACATCACCACCAACATTGGGCATTATGAGTCTTTTTTACAGTTAGCCATTCTGGTAAGCCTTTGTCATATTACTTTTTGAACCACAAAATAAGAATATTCACAATAGAGAGAGTTTCCATTATCAAGAGGCAACTTAGGCAAAATCTGTATTCATGTCATCCTCCTCCTACAGCAGTTCAGTTTTCCTAAGCTATATGATTTAGTCATTAAATCCTGATCTGTAAGGAGTTAGTTGAGAGCAGATTTATAATTTGGTCATTATTTTAAATGTTTTTGGATTCATCTTGAACTCTAAAGCACTGAAATTTTGTAGAAGTTAATTCTTAGGGTTTTTTCTATCAATACTAAGGCTTTGAAATTAATCAAAATGGTTAAGCTCTTGACTTACACTCAATAGAAAAAATAAATAATCACAATCTAGTCGCTAACTCATAAAACATATTTGACTGAATTAAATGAATCACCCCCAGGGGTGACTCTCATAGACCTAAACTCTGATTAATTAGAGTGAAACGTGTTAGACTAAACATAAGTAACATGTGGTAAAGTTACCTCTAAGTTAAGTTACTTCCAATTCCTGTAGGAATTACACAGGTCCAATTTCATTTTAATATAAATGTTTCCTAAGGTTTTGTAATTTATCCCTAGGAAGTTTCCAGCTTTTAAATTGCTGTTTTCTTAGCTCTTCTTTCATTCTCCATGTTTCAGCTCTTACTCATTTGTTATGAAAATAACGCAAATGCTCTTAATGTTTCCCAAAAATGTATTTCAGTTCACTGCTTATAACATCAGACATATTATAACTCATTTGACAACTTGCATTTCAATGAACTTTCAGTAATCACTAACAGTAATAAATCTTAAAGCTCTAAAGAGGAAGAAATAAATTGTACAAGGCCTGAAGTTAATGTAACTTAGTCTAGGCATCATGAAACTCTAACATAAAAGATACCTTAGCTTTTCCACTTTTCTTTAAATAGTTCCTTTCTTTCTCTATATTTCAATTTCCCAAGACATTAAAGGACAATATATGAGTGTATATGTGACTTTGTTAACCAGAAGATTTATGATGCAACCTTAGCATCAATTAATTTTTGTTAGGCAGATGGGATTTCTGGTGGCACCTATTCAGTTCTTCTTGCAACAAGTTTGAGAATCTCTGTAGGTTACAGAGGCATTTGGGAGATGGCACCCAAAGCAATGTTTTGAATTAGGCATTTTAATCTGTTTTGACTTGCCTTTTCTTTTTTTTTTTAATTTTATTATTATTATACTTTAAGTTTTAGGGTACATGTGCATAATGTGCAGGTTTGTTACATATGTATACATGTGCCATGCTGGTGTGCTGCACCCATTAACTCGTCATTTAGCATTAGGTATATCTCCTAATGCTATCCCTCCCCCCTCCCCCCACCCCACAACAGTCCCCAGAGTGTGATGTTCCCCTTCTTGTGTCCATGTTTTCTCATTGTTCAATTCCCACCTATGAGTGAGAACATACGGTGTTTGGTTTTTTGTTCTTGTGATAGTTTACTGAGAATGATGATTTCCAATTTCATCCATGCCCCTACAAAGGACATGAACTCATCATTTTTTATGGCTTCATAGTATTCCATGGTGTTTATGAGCCACATTTTCTTAATCCAGTCTATCATTGTTGGACATTTGGGTTGGTTCCATGACTTGCCTTTTCTCAGAAGCACCTAATACATTGCTTTACCTCTCTTTTTCTAGCTGTAAAATAATAAACTAAATATACTGGTTCTTAAAATATGTTAATATGGTAGTCATTTGTTTAAATTACATAAAATGTCATCCATATATGAAGTTTGCGTATTTTTGGAGCTAAGCCCCACTAGGCACATATTTTGTACTTCCGAAAATAAGAATGTTCCATGGCTTGGATGCTACTGTACTGGCTAATTGTCCCACTCATAAAATGTACAATACATACAACAGATTTTTAAAAGGTTTTAAAGGTTTTAAAAAAAAAATCTGCATATGAGTGTTCAGCATCACATACACTAAAATTGAAATGATACAGAAAAGATTAGCATGGCCCCTAAGCAAGGATGACATGCAAATTTGTGAAGCATTATATTTATATTGTTCAAAGTTACAGTTAGATAGAAGGAGTAAGTTCTGGTGTTCTATTGCACAGTAAGTAGCATGACTATAGTTAACCATAATGTATTTTATATTTCAAAATAGCTAGAACAGAGTATTCTGAATGTTCTCACCACAAATAAATGATAAATATTTGAGGTAATAGATCTGTCAACTACTCTGATTTAATCATTATACAATATATACATGTATCAAAACATCACACTATATACCATAATATGTACAATTATTATGTGTCCATTAAAAATAAAATAAAATTTTAAAAAATATCTGCCTATGAGCCACCAGGGCCAATGTTGTATGTAGGTGAAAATAGGCAGCTGATGTTGGGATGATGAACCAGCATAGAAAAGACCTGTCTGCCTTAAAATATTTTCCCTTTACCCTCCTTTTAGATTAAGACATTATCTTCAGATTTTGCTCTGAAAATAAATGTATTAGTAGATAATATACAAGGATCAATTTTTATTACATGAACCATTAATGCCCATTATCTGTTCAGAATCTAGCAGGTCCATGAGGGAATAGGACACAGTCAGAGACTGTGAAAGCTGAAGACGAGATGAAATAATCAGAGGGGTGTGTATGTGTGTGTGTGTGTCTGGGTGTATGTGTCTGGGTGTGTGTATGTCTGGGTATGTCTGAGTGGGGTGGGATGGGAGAAACGGAGGACAGCTTGAGAGTGGAAGGCATCTATGGGAGGATGCTCTGAAAAAAACCCCGATATTTTCCCCAGAGATACTTTTGCTTCCTATGTTGGCCTAAGGTGGCACCCACGAGACACAAATGAGAAAATAACACCTTTCAATTTTCAGATAGAGCCAAATTTTGTGTGCAGGCTCTTTTGAGGTACTTTATTCTGTCTGACACAGTTAAGAACATGTGCAGGCATCACTGATGCTGAGGCTAAGAATTTTGCATTTTCTTGTGTTATATAAGCCATATGGTTAGATCAACTCTTGCTCATCGACTAAATAAGTATTGAAAATGAAAAGTAATTATCATTGTAATGTGCTGTGTACACACAAATTCTCTTTAGTGTGATTCCAGAACTTGAAGCCATTATTTTTATCTAATAATTACCTCCTGATATATTGCCACTGACCCACATTACAAAGAAACCAAATCCAAATGCTATATTTAAAAATCAGATTTCATTGCATTTTAAATTAATAGCGATGGAAGTAAAGTTAACTCATTAAGACATTTGATAGAGTTCACTTTTAGGCTTTCTTTTATTTCTAATCTATCTCTAAACTTTATCCCTTTTATTTGATTTGTTTTATTCAACACATGCTATTTTAGTTGCATATAAAATAAAGTATTATTTTATCAACTAGTTTTTTTCCCCTTAATCAAAAACAAAAGTGATTGCTCCATGTTTTATCATTTATATATGTTTTATCATATTTAATAGAGAAATACACAGGACTTTAGAATAAATTTTAGAGCATAAGTTCAGTGTTTATTTAGCTTTAGATTGTTAAGTATAATTATTAGAATTTTATTACTTTTTTCCATGAAATTTTAATTTTTTCATTAAAAACATTTGGTCTTTCATAAATTAGCCACAGCAAACAATAAAGGAAGAATCTTTAGACTGAGACAAAAAACCTTGATAAAAATAATTTGTAAATTGCTCTCTAATCACATTATACTAGGGCCCTAATATTAAAGAGCTGTCTTACAACTGGTAATTGAATTGCTCTTGTCAGTTTCTCTAAAAACAAGGGTTTTTAATCTCTTCTTGCAGGCTAGGAGATTCTTATGGTTTTTGGAAATTTGTTCCAACAGCTCAATTGAAGATGTCTGATATTTTCAATTATGTAAAGCATTTATGATTTTAAGCTCCCGGCAGAACTCTGCTGCTGAAGGGGAAAAAAATTAAGAACTGTTAGTCAGAAAGAGACTTACATAAGAACTGTCACATTGGTCATTGGTTTGAAAGCAGGAAGTCCTATATTTTAGGATCAAGGCTTTAAGGAATCTTTATTGAGCATTTTTCCCTCTCGGAGCTGAGACAAATGGCTGATGAGTGAAATCTTGAGAATGTTCACAGCTTTTCTCTTTCATTCTGTTGCAGCCCGGAAGATGGTGAGATCCATCCAGAAATCTGTCGGCTTTACATCCAGCTGCAGTGCTGCTTAGAAATGTATACCACAGAGATGCTAAAATCCATATGTCTGCTGGGGTCTCTTCAGTTTCATCGAAAAGGTATCTACATTTAATATTGCCGGAAACACTGAGGAATGTTGAACAAAAGCTAATCTTTGGCAAAGTGTCCGTATATACCATATCATATGCCTATCTATATGCAATTACGATGAATTTAAATGTTCAGGAAATGCTTGCTATATAAATGAATAAGAAGTCTATATCAGTACTATTAAGTGTGTACTAACACTGATTGTTTTGAACAGAAATTAGGGCAGCAACAGTTCTCAAATTTATTATTTTAGCTGTTGTGAATATGACTTTTGTTAGATTCAGCATAAACAGCAAGGTATGTAGTGATTTCACTAGGGGAGTAAATGCTATCCAAGAGTGCTATTTTCCTAAATGAATTAAGTTGCAAGAAACAAATTACATAGTGTCCCAAAGATTTAAAAATAGAGGGAACTCCATAAATAACAGGGAGGTTAGTAATAGATAACCTCATTCTCTGGCTTAAACCATAAAGGAAATAAATTGGCTCAAAGGATTGTACCCTCCAGAGGTTAGTCATGGCTTCAGCATGATTTCATTAGACTTCCAGCTCCCATTCTGAATGATGCTCTGCCTTCTGGGTGTTGGCTTTACCCTCGAGCTGGCTTCCCTCACATTAGCAAACTGCAGCAGTTGCAGTGAACACATCTGCACACCACACTGTCCTCTAAGAGAGAGAACTTCTCCCAGCTACGGAGAAAAAGTTGTGAACTTCATTCTGTTTGGACCAGGCTTATGCCTAAACCAATCACTGTAGATAGCGGGGAGGAATTCCATTGACTGGTTAAGGGCAATCAAGGCCCATTCCTGGAGCTAGAGGGTGGAGTCAGCCCCACCCAACCAGTGGATATTCTGTGGTGGGAGAGTGTGGAATGGGAAGGATGTCACAGAGGAAGCCAAAAGTATCCATCACCAGAAGACTCAACCTGTATTTTCTTCATTAATTCATTGAACAATAATTTATTGGGAACTTCTAGAATACAGTGTTTTTGTGCTTGAGCTCAGAAGAATGGTAGAGCATAGGCTGTGCATAGAAGGTAATCCTTGCCTATGATTTAAATTCAGAGATAGAAAAGGCCAGAGAACTTAGAAATACTCAGGGAAAAGTTTAGGGTTCTGAAGGTAGGGTTCAGTTACGGAAGGAAAAAGAAAGATATTTCATATGAGGAAGCAATTAAAGGAAAGATTTAAAAATCAAATAAGCATTGCAATTTGGAGGAAACTAAAGGACATGATGAAGTACTTGTAAAAACCAAATCTTGGCCAGGCACGGTGGCTCACGCCTGTAATCCCAGCGCTTTGGGAGGCTGAGGCGGGCAGATCACGAGGTCAGGAGATTGAGACCATCCTGGCTAACACGGTGAAACCCAGTCTCTACTAAAAATACAAAAACAAAATTAGCCAGGCTTGGTGGGGGGCGCCTGTAATCCCAGCTATTCAGGAGGCTGAGGCAGGAGAATGGCATGAACCTGGGAGGCGGAGCTTGCAGTGAGCCAAGATCCGGCCACTGCATTCCAGCCTGGGTGACAGTGAGACTCCATCTCGAAAAAAAAATAAAAAATCTTGTGTACACATATACATATGCACACAGGTGAACTAAAAACAAGATCCTACTACATTGCTCCAGAGACAGGAGAACATTTTTCCCAGTATGTGAATATTATATCTTTCTCCTTTTGCCTTCTGAAGGCTGATTTTGCAAGGGTTTCCATCTTTACTTCTGTTATTAATATAAGAGAGATTAGCTCCTTGATACTCCTAATGCCTGATCAGGAAATTGAATACTTATGACATCCAAACTGATGTCATTGGCCTGATGTCTTTCTCTCTCTGTCTCTCTCTGACACATACACACACACAAACATGTACATGCATTCACACATAAACACGCATACAGAGTAGTATTTTCATTCTTTTTAGTGACCGAGTAGACAAGGGATAGGTAGTTTTATTCCCAGGTCTGCATTGGCTGCACCTGCAGGATTTCATGCCTTGTTGCCACTGGAATGTTCCTTGCTGATGGCATGTCCTTAACACCTGGTGATCTCTACTCCTAGTCCTGCTGTAGCTCCTCGATTTGCCACCTGGTCTCCTTCTGCCATCCACTCTTACTTTTTGTCTTTTCAGAACTGATTTTTGAAAAGGCAACAACAACTCTTCTCTGCTAGCTATCTGTTTATAAATAAAGGGGATTTCCCCATCCAGACTGCTTTCTTGTTGCATTTGGTCATTTCACGCAAATGAAATGCAGTCACCTCTTAACTGAGCAGCTCATTTGGTCTTCACTGCCTCCTGTCTTCACTGTCAGTTTCTGCTCTGCTTCCTTCTCTGCCTATTTTTAAAAAATAATCAGAAAAACTGCTGCCCCCTGCTCTAGTGCCTAAACTTCTGTGTACAACTCGTAAAAAGAAAATACCTGATAGTACCTTTGATTTCTCCCCTATGTAGGATTAAGTGTCCACTTGGATTTCTATCTTCTAAAATCATTATTAGTTAAAGTGTAATCCTTAGAAAACCTGCTTCACAATTATCCAGGATGCTGGATAAACATGCAGATGCCTGGATCCTATCCAAGGACCTACTGAATTCAAATCTCTGAGGGCACTCCAGGTGATTCTGAAACACATTGAGGATTAAGAACTGCTCCTCTACCCTTTGAGACCAAAAAAATGTAAATCACACCCCACCCTCCGTATAAATAAAAGGAAAAACTTCCAAGCCCTTACCATGCCATTCTGCTTTGCTACTGTCTACTCCCCTAAGTGTACACTTTCAATGTGGCTTTATGCGTTCTTTCTCCCCCATGCTGATGAAAAGCAAATACAAAAGGAGTAGGTGCCTGTGATGAATGTGATCTGTGTGATGGCTCATACAGTGCATTGTCTCCATGAACTGAGGATGTGACCACTGAAATAGGCAGTGGTTCTCAAAGTGCAGTCCCTGAACTAACAGCATTGATGTCCAAATCATTTGTTAGAATTGCAAATTCTTAGTCCTCACCCTAGACATACCAAATCAGAAATGCCTCTAAAGTTACTTTTTTTACTGCTGGAAAAAAATAAAACAACAAGTCATTGAGATATTTCTTCAACTGAATATATGTATAACCCCTGATCACCATCTGTAGCCAGCAAACCATAATTCTTTACTCTTTTTGGAAGTATGCATGTACCCTACACTCCTGGCAAGTCTCTTGTGTTTCCAGAATGCAAGTCCAAGAACTAGCTGTCCTATAGACTGTTACTTTTCTCTTGGTACCAGTAGAGTTAAGGCAATGAGGAGGAGGAGACTGCTTTATTGGTGAGAAATTCTCAATTAAGTTAGGAGTAAAGAAAATAGTAACATGTAGGCTTGAGAAATATATTGAAGGCTGGGCACGATGGCTCATGTATGTAATCCCAGCACTATGGGAGGCTGAGGTGGGCGGATCACGAGGTCAGGAGTTCAAGACCAGCCTGACCAACATGGTGAAACCCCATCTCTACTAAAAATACAAAAATTAGCTGGGTGTGGTGGCATGTGCCTGTAATCCCAGCTACTCAGGAGACTGAAGCAGTAGCATCACTTGAACCCAGGAGGCAGAGGTTGCAGTGAGCCGAGATCATACCACTGCACTCCAGCCTGGGCAACAGAGCAAGACTCCATCTCAAAAAAAAAAAAAAAAAAAAAAAAAGGAAAGAAAAGAAAAGAAATATATTGAAGGTGGAGATAAGCCACTAGCAGTAAGCATGAAAGAAAATATCATTAAACCAGAGAAAATAAAGCACTAGCAAACATATGCATGAAAATATATACTAGACAAATTTCCTGAAAATTTGTGGAATGACAAATAAAATATTAGCTTTTGGGGAGGGGTGATTACATTAAAGAAATCATTTTTTAATTTTTTAGTTACACATTTGTATGATACATCCTTTCTATTTCTTTATTCTCACCATTAATTTCTTTATTACACCTAAGGGATTAACACTATATTAATACTTTGGACTCCTGGCTTGTTTGTATTGTGTGCTAATTCATATTCCCACCATCAAGACAGCATAGAAAATGTCAGCTGGTGCCACTAGGTTTTGTTCTTTCTTTGATAACATTGGAAACCGTAGAGCAACCTGTCTGCCCAGGAACCTCTAGTTAATACACAAGTATATGACTCTTTGGGAGGCTGTGGTTAAAAGAATAAGAATACTTGGTTCCAGTGACCATGAATAGCCAGAAATGAGTTGAGGAAGAGATAGGTCCATAGACCACAACCCAAGAGTATTAAACTATAACAGAAGAGTTAGACAAATTAAGAGACATAACATGTGTCTTAGAACCCTTGAAGCTTGGAGCACCTACTCATAAAAGTAGACAGAGAGGAGTCAGGAAGCCTTACTGCCTATAAGAAGTGAGAAACCTTACTACTTACTACCATCGGAGAGAAAGGCAGACAAATGTTTCATCTTCATAAAAATAAGAAATGGGGAAGGAATGGGGAGCAAGGCTATGCTAATATGACTTAAGGCCCTGAGTCAAGATGCATGATTAAGGAAAAGTATGTATAGGCTCAAAATGAGCAGTGGATTAAGAATTGAAATGTAGGTAATTCCAAATTTCAGGCAAGGTGGTGGAGGTAGCAGGAGAAAGCATGGATCAAGAAATTAGTCTCCTTCCCCCCAGAACTGATATAAATCCATATAAATATATAGGTATATAAAATATAAATATAAATATATTTATTTAATTTTATATGTCATATCTTAGCAAAAATGACCATTTACCCAATGGAAAGAAGTCTGTTTACTGAGATTTAAGATGCCAGACTAGTTTTTACAAGATAATGTACTCGTAACCAAACAGTGGTACCACTGGTGTGGCCTCAGGTTAAGTATTGAGCCTGTCTGGATGAACTCACTAAATGCCTTCCTTTGAGAAATAAAATAGTCCCCAGAGTTTTAGGGGAATTTTGGCTCACATTCTAATCTAACACTTGAAATCTCTTTCTGCATAGAATCTCTATCTGGTTTGTTTCTTTTAATGCTATAATAAAAACTGGAGGCCAGGTGTGGTGGATCATACCTGCAATCCTAGCACTTTGAGAGGCTGAGGCAGGAGGATCACTTGAGCCCAGGAATTTGAGACCAGCCTGGGCAACATGGTGAGACCCTGTCTCTACAAAAAATACAAAAATTAGCCAGGTGTGGTGGTGCATACCTGTAGTCCCAGCTACTTGGGAGGCTGAGGTGGGAGGATTGCTTGAGGTGGGATGCAGAGACTGTAGCGAGCCAAGATCACACCACTGCACACCAGCCTGGGTGGCACAGCAAGACCCCATCTCAAAATATACATAAAATAAAAACTGCTATTTTAATCCATTATGCAAGCCAAACTCTTTTCCCTCTGTGTGAGTGCTAAAAGTTTGCCATTCCCCTCTTCTTCAGCTTTGCTTTTCCATCAAGGAAAAATAAAAGGGATTGCAACTGAGTCACTAAATATGAGAGTCTCTAGTCAATTTTTCATTAGGATGAGATACTGAAGCCAAACTGTTTCATTTATCTATACATTTAATTTGTTTTTATGTCTATCTACCTCCCTGGCTGCCACCAGAAGTTCAGATAGAATTATGTACCTCACTTAGTTGTACTCTTGTATTGAGTAGTCAGGACATGAGTTTACTCTTTGGAGAGAAGGGGCACACAAGGCCACTGCAGGGGTTAAGAATATAGTTTCTTTCTGGGAAAAACAAGCTACAAATAACTTTAAATCTCCTGCAGTGAACTTGAATTTAGTAATGAAGATTTTCCTTCTCTCCCAATTAAGCAACTTCTAACTGTCTTTCTAGTCCTTAACAATATCTTCAATGGATTTTCATGTTTATTTCATGCACCATGCTTCTGAATTTTTGCTGTCTCATAAGTCTGATTGGTACAATCTACTTGGAAATCTTTTTTACTTTGCAAGATGATCCTATTGCCAAAGAAATGAAGAAAAACATTACTAAAGTGTTTTTCTTTTTTTATGGCCAACAACATGAAAGTAAAGTACAGTAACGTGAGGTAAAATCTACATATAATAAGGGCTACTGAGTTATATCAGATAGAGAGTGGCTCTGAAAAACTTTGTTTGTTTTAAGAAGGTGACAGATGGGAATAATTTTAGTCATCTTGTAGTTTCATATTCTAACACTTTAAGTTATAGATTGAAGCATTACTTGACAAAGTCTAATTTCTATGTTTATGGTGAAAAATAGTTGTTCTCACTTCTTCACAGTTAGTTAGGTAGGAAATCTTTTCCCATTACTGAGTCCATGTATCACATTGACCCTTAATGCCTGTTTTCTGCCACCAGATGAAAAGAGATTGCAGGTTTCACTCACTTCGTTGGCAGAAAGTGGAGCCAGGTTTCCAAGGGAATTGAATGATCCTGCCATTTTGACCATGGCTTTCCTCTCTCTTGCTTTCTTTTCCCAATTCAATCAGTTGTGGCAACAGCCCCATTCTGAAAAGAGCAGAGATGACAGAACACTCCAGTCCAGCTCCCCTTCACATGTGAACCTGCCCTTTCTATTTTTGTTCTCATTTTACCTTGCTCTGTCAGTGGTCCCCTCTGACTCTGCTTGTCCTCTCTGCCATAGCTTACAGCAAAATTGTCCCCAGGTCCTTTGAAGGTATACCATCCTCCCTTCCTCTCCCAAAGATAAGATGGGTTCTTTCCCCTAAAATGTGCTACCATGGTAAATACAGAGATAAAATATGCAGAGGAGATGTAATCACAAAAGGGAAAGAATAGAGAAATGTTAAAAGTTGAAAAATCTTAATTCAGAATCTGCTGGGAGCTAAGAGCTCAAGATGCACTAATGAGAAATTAATGAACCATCTTCCAGCAAAATACAGGATGAACTCAAGACAAAGAATAAAATATGAGCAGTAAAAACTCCAGTGTATTCAGCATCATATTAAGAAATATAAAGGAGGTGATCCACATCAATAAAAGAAGCCAGCAAAATAAAGACAGAAATAGAATATAGCTGCCTTATTTCCTAATGGAATGAGGCAATTGATACTAAAATAGAACAATGGATTAGAAGAAATAAAGCAGAATAAATCTTAGACATGATTCAAATCCTAAGTGGAAACATGCATTCATTCTTTGAAGAAATATTTGTTATCTATCATATGTAAGGCACTGTTCTGGGTGGTGAGAGACTGCAGTGATTAAGACTGAAGAGGTAGGCCAGGCGCAGTGGCTCACTCCTGTAATCCCAGTACTTTGGGAGGCCGAGGCAGGCAGATCGCTTGAGGTCAGGAGTTCCAGACCAGCCCGGCCGACGTGGTGAAACCCTTGTCTCTAGTAAAAATACAAAAATTAGCCAGGTGTGGTGGTGGGTGCCTGTAATCCCAGCTACTCAGGATACTGAGGCAGGAGAATTGCTTGAGCCCAGGAGGCAGAGGTTGCAGTGAGCCGAGATGACGCCACTGCACTCCAGCCTGGGCGACAGAGCAAGACTCCATCTCCCCAGAAATGAAAAAGACTGAACAGGTTTCTGTTTCTTGTGAAATATATATTCTAAGGCAAAGGGAGAGAGGAGAAAGAGAGACAGACAGAGCAGAGGTAGGGGGAGGGAGAAGAAAGAGAGGAGGGGAAAAGAAAGAACAGAAATAAACAACTTTTCTAAAAGTTCCAAATACTAATAAGTGCAATGAAAATAATTGAAATAGAATGGATGATGATGTAATAGAAAGTGACTGGGTGGCTACTTTGGAAGGGCTGGTCAAAGTTCTCTAAGGAGATAAAATTTAACCTGAGACTTGAACGACAAGAAGGAAACAATTTCATGAACATTCGTATTACCAATGACCAGAATAAGCATGTAGTGTTTGAAGAATATAAACATAACTAACTTCTGAAATCCAAGGATAATCTAAAGCCTTCTTCTACTCTATCTCCATGTCTTCATATACCAGTGAGTAGGACACTATTTGTCACCTTTAGTCAATGTAGATGTTGGCTGAAGAATAGGATAATAGCAATGACAATAGCTTCCACTTACTGTGTACCTTCTACTTGCCAGGTGCATTATACACATTATCTTATTTTATCCTCAAGTATATTTTCCCCATTTTACACATGAGGAACTCAAAGCTCAATGAGGTAAGTTGCCCAAGGTCACATAGCACATTTATCTCACTACAAAGTTTGTGGTTGTTCCACTGCACTAGACCATTCTTACTAAGCTACATTGGAGAAGGGCAGGAGGGCATATCAAATGGAGAAATAAAGGATAGTAGCACAGTTAGCTGAATTCTATCTTATTTAATGATTAGTGAGCATATTTCAAAACCATGCTTAATAGCTAAAATCCATTGTATATTTAGTTTCTTACCAAAATAACACTAAGTTGGGAGAGGTATTTTCAAGGGTGGAGAGAATTTTAACTCCATATATCATCTTATTTACAAAATATGTAAAATGGGTGAAAAAGTTTAATTCTAAGAAACTATTACATATAGTAAAAGTAAATAAATAAAATGAAACATTCACGTGATCCAAAAGGCATAGGAGTTAGCCCTGACACCCAGTATGGAAAAGTCTGAATTAATTAACTGTAGAGTGAATACATCTTAGACACTGTGCTGCTCTATGTTAGGGGCTGGAAAGGGAGCACTCAGAGCCCCATAAGGATATCCTTTGAACGTATCTTCTATTGTTTGCTCTTCTCCTGTGTTCCAAGGGGGCTCTGTGCTTCTTACACAGCTACTTGGCACTACCATGAAGGCTGCTACTCTGGGGGCTGTGGCAGTGCCACAAGGAGCACAGAAGAGGCCAAAGGGCAGTAGGAGAAGGGGATGGTTTTGTATCTCTTCTGAACTGGAAAATGTTTATCTCCCAGTACATGGGAAGAATGGAGCTCCGGGTATGGCATAATTATTATTTTTTGCCATGTGTTTTATGGCCCTAAGAATATCTTCTTACCACAGTGTGGAAAAACCTTTGAAACTGCTTTTTAATATGGGTAAATGACTAACTGAATTAATATAATTTATTTCTATTTAAGTTACATGCTTTTTAGAAACACAAGAGAGTAAAAGTGGATTACTTTAAAAAACAGCCTATACTTCCCCAGTCCTTTTCACAGTGCACGGAGTTAAAAAGCACCTAGCAGTTATGAAAATGCATGAGAATTAGTATAACTGTTTGGATTCATAAGCATCCGTGAATCTAATGTAAGCCATGTTCATTTTGTTGTTCGCATTCAGTCAGTATGAAAACTGCCCTGCAAGCCTGTTCAGTGCATAGTGTCATAGCAGGTAATGTGTCAGGAGCACAAAGGATGTAGGAAATTTACTCCTGCCACCAAGGAAGTGATAGGGCACTGATACAGTATTATCCCAGAGAAGATTGGTTTATTCTGTTTTGATTCCTGGAGAAATTTACTCAAATGGATAAATTCACTTTACTGGACAACAGAGACCAAACTAAGGACATCCAAAAAGATATTATCTATGGCAGTGCCTTCCATTGTCACTGGCAAGCTGAAGACAGGCAGGAAAGCAAGAAGGAATGGAAGGGGCAAAGAAAAGAGGAGTGGGGAAAACACGAGTGGAGGAGAAAGGATGGGAGAAATAAGAGATGAGAAGGAAAGGGGTCTCTAGAGTGGGTGTGATAAAGGACTCCCAGCCCACTCCTCTGGTGCCTGTGCCAAGGACTCCTAAAGCTGCGAGTGCTCTATTGCACCCCTGAGACTGCCCCACAATCAGATGTGTTTTTGTTTCTCGTGAATGACCGGCAATTTCTCACGAATATAAGAATAACCAACCTTTCAATTTGTTATGTGCTTCATGGGTGGCTTCCCTTAAATTTTCCTCAAACATGCCTATTACATTATCCATAAACAAGCTAAAAATACATAGAAATCCCCAAGGAGCTGAAGGCTAAAAGCTTTGCAAGACTTTAAGGAAAGTGGCCAAGTTTTTGATGTCCTAGTTCTAAACAGTGATGCAACCAGCATGGTATGATTTTAAGGTGCTCTAAGGGTTCTCTTCCTCCCCTACCCCATCCCCTCCTGAGCAAATATTTGTTCACCGAGGCCTGAAATGGATTTTTCAGGGGACAGAGTTTTTCATTTCATAATAAGAAATGATTTTAAATGTACAACAACTCCCTTGGGCAAAGCAAAACATTGACATGAAGTCACCATTTGGAAGCACATGTTGGCCTCTTTTCCAAGAAGAAGGCAAGGAGCCCACCTGATATGTGAAAACAAGTACTGAATTCTGAGGATAACCTGCCAAAGGGGGTGATGCTGGGGATGAAGAACTCAAATTGGCCACTTTCCAGGTTTGGATGGCTCTGCTGACTCCTTAACGTGGCTCAGAAGAATATCTATGAACTGACCCTGAAAACCTCTCCAGTCTCATATCTCACCAGTAATCCCCACCTCGCCTGCCCTTATACCCTGCCCTACCCCACTTGAATCATCTTGAACTACTTTGAGGAACATCAACTTGCAAGTTCCTTCCAGTTTTTTCCTCTGCCTTGGACATATGACCCATCCTACCTCACCCTACCCCTGTCCCTTTCACTTGGCTCATCCCTATACTTTCTTTGGGTCATAACTTAGATAACTTATGAAGGTCATAACTTTCTTCAGATTTTCCTGACCCTCCAAGCCTGGGCCAATGCCCACTCAATGTGTCCCTCAAGCATTTCCATGACACTAATAATGGCATATGTTACATTGAGAGGTGGTTGCCTGGTTTCTTACCTATTGTCCTCTCTAGACTTTGATCACCATGAGTATGTTCACCGTTGTATTCCTAGCACCTAGCAGAGTGCCTCAGGCAGAGTAAAGTTTCAATTAATGGTTATTGAATAAGTGAATAAATTGCTTTAGTTCTGTATCTATTGTCAAAACAAAGAGAGTATAATTAGAGGAAAAGTTTATCCAGAGATGTTGGACTGAACTTACCCATATATTTTCCTTCCTGGTGCAAATCCACTGAAATAATGGAAAAACATGTAATGAAAGGAATAAATCCATACTAGTTCATGTATTTGTCAGGGTAGGGTAACTACTGTATGAGACAATACCAAATCTCAGTGGATTAGAACAATAAAAGTTCATTATTCACTGATGGCATAGTCCAATGCCAGAGCTGGGTAGAGTGGGCAGTGTTGCTCTTTCCATTCTCTGCATTCATCAAATGGTCAGGGGGAAAACAAGGAAAACCTGAGCGATCGTATAGGAGGACTTTTAGGGGCCAGTCTGGAAGAGGTGTACATCACTCCTGATCAGAGTCCATTGGCCATAGCTCTGTCACACAGCCATTTCTAATAGTAAGAGGAAAAGAAAATAGAGAATGACAAACACAAAACAGTCTCCCACAACCTTGAAAAACAAGGAAGGATGACTTCAACAAACTAGAAATTTTGAGAAATCTGTCAAAGCTAAAAAGCAATTGGGATTAGACTGGTGAAAATAAAACAGAGGAAACCCTAGCAGATAAGAAACTCAAGAAGAAATTCAAGCAGGAGAAATTTTCTGTGAAAATGAGGTCAATTCCAGAGATTCTTCAAACTCAGAGTCCACAAATATAAATCATGGGAAAGATTGCTGGAACTGCTGTCAGGAAAATTAATGCTCAAAATTGCATTAAGGAAAAGCTGGGCTACCCCACACTGAGCAGCAGAGACTATCAGTGCTTGCCCCAGGAGGACACTTTGTGCTAAGTGTCAGGACTGAGCAGCAAAGCAGGAAAGAGTATAAAATAAATCTGAGCCTCCATAAGGACAGCTGCAGAAGAAAAAGAAAGTGAGCACATGACTACAGTGCTTTTTCCAGACTAAATTGCTCAGTATATCTCTCTGGAATAGGGGTTGTAAACAGGAAACTTAGAGCAGGCACAGGGCCAAAAACAGGCAGGGTACCCAGGTACCCATTGGAGATGGCAAACTCTCACACCTAGAAGAAATGCTTTTGACACATATTATCCAGCCCTTTTTGACACACCCCCTTCTCCATCATCATCAGAAGGAGGACACTGTTATTAATAGACAGACAGAGGTCCTGAAAAACAAATTTGAACAGACATCCAGGAATGACAAGATTTTTAAGGAAAACAAACACTATAAAAAGGAGATACCAAATATAACAAATGATTAATACTTGAAGAACAAATGTTAAAAGTGATAAAAAATTTAAAATATATGTGATCAATATATGCAAAGAGATTTATGAGTCTGCATATTCATAAAACAATTTTTGTCTGCAACATAAAGGAAGCAGCCAGATTTGTTGGAAGTAAAAATGTTATCAATCAAATAAAAATAGATGGGTTAATTAGTGTTGGGAGACAATTCTCCATTGGTCTCTCACATTCGGCACATCTTGCAAAATGGGGCACTGACTGCCCTTTGTTTTACCCTATCTTCTCAAGGATGTTTATTTAGGAAATGCCTTGGAAAACAGAGACAGTGTTTCTTCCAGAGCAAGGCATACTTCCTATTCAGTATAATGAAAATGTTTCCCTCTTCAGCAAAGGGCAGACATGCTTATAAAAGACACAGAATCCCTAAGCTCAGGGTTCTCCCCTCCTGTCACGCAGCCCACTGTGTGTACAGGTAGTGTTTGGCCCTTTTGCTCCTCACTGTGGGAATTAGGACTCAAAAAAACCAGCACAAATGCTAATCCTCTTGCTACTCCTATTCTGTGAGTAATAAACTACCTTTGTATCTGACCGAGAAATCTCATGTCTTCTTCCAGTATCCATGAAACTACAATAGGCTAATTTGCAAGTAAGGTAAAATCTCAAACTTTTCACAGTTCTTAACATTATCATAATGGAAATACTGAGAGCCCAAAATGGTGGACTGAAAGATGAAGTCAAGGTATTCTCCCAGAATTCAGCCCAAAAAATCATTTGAGTATGGAGAGTACTTAAAAAAATGTGAAAGACTGAGCCAGAGACTCCAATATAAAATAGCAATTCGGAAAGAACAGAGAGAATTGAGAGAAATTGATAATCAAGAAAAATAGAAAACAATTCCCCAACCCTAAAAAAAAAATAAATATCTAAAGTTAAAATATTAGAGTATCTCAATGAATCGCTTTGTAGATTACTTAATAGTTACTGAGGGATGGGTAGGTACGGTGGCTCATGCATGTAATCCCAGCACTTTGGGAGGCCAAGGTGGGTGGATCACTTAGGGCCAGGAGTTCAGACCAGCATGGCCAACCTGGCCAAATCATGTTTCTACTAAAAATACAAAAAAAATTCCGGGCATGGTGGTACACACCTGTAATCCCAGCTACTCGGGTAGGTGAGACACAAGAATTGCTTGAACCTGGGACGCAGAGGTTGCAGTGAGCTGAGATCACAACATTGCACTCCAGACTGGGCAACAGAGACAGACTCTGTCTCAAAAAAAAACAAAAAAAAAAGTTACAGAGGGGAAAAGGATGCGTCTACAATGGTACAAGCTGGCAGAAACCACATTAAACAAATGATTGATAATACTTAGCATCATGAATAAGACAAACTGACTCACATTCTTTCTGGTGTGATGCACTAAGGACACAGTATCACCCCTATAATATTCTTGCCAAAAAAATGTTTATTCTGAATCTAGGCATGTGGGACCCATCAGACAAATCCAAATGGAAGGTCATTATATAAAACAACTAACCTGAACTCTTCATTCAAAAATATTCATGACATTGAAAATGAAAAAGGCAAGGATGCTGTTCTAGATTAAAAGAATATAAAGTAACATGACAGGCCATGCACAGTGGCTCATGCCTGTAATTCCAGCACTTTGGGAGGCTGAGGTGGGAGAACTGCCTGAGGCCAGGATCAGTTTGAGCAACACAGTAAGACCCCATTTCTACAAAAAATAAAAACAAATTAGCCAGGCATGGTCTTGTATTCCTATAGTCCCAGCTATTGGGAGGCTAAGGAGAGAGGATCACATAAGCCCAGGAGTTCAAGGCTGCAGTGAGCTATTATCATCACTGCACTCTAGCCTGGGCAACAGAGCGAGACCCTGACTCAAAAAAAAAAAAAAAAGACACAACAAGTAAATGCACTGCATAGTCCTTAAATGGATCCCTCAATTTAAAAAGAAATGATAAAGTATTTTATTGAAACCATTGGGGAAATTTAAATATAGACTATATATTAAATAATAGTATAGAATCAAATTGTATTGAATCATATTTAATCAAAGTTAAAAAAAATTGGTGCATCCCTAGGTATAGATAAAAGAGAAGAGAACAGTGTCATACCAGTTATTAGAAAAACTTAGTTTGAACATGAATTTATATATCCAGCCAGTTAGAATCTAAGTGTGAGCACCAAGAGGGAGAGAGAGAGAGAGAGAAGAAAATCTATTTTCGGTCATATAAAAACTAACGAATTTTGCATTCCACAGATCTCCTCTGAAATAATTAGTCAAGGATATGCTCCCAAAAATGAAAACTGAATTCAAAAAAGAAGAAGATATGTTTGAAATCCAAGAAAAAGTGGTATACAAAGAAATCAGGAGCCATAAATAAACAGCATTAGGGTATGAAACAGTTCCAAGAGAAAACTGCATTCAACTTTATGCTATTAAAAATGTATTCTGTGGATTGTTTTCTAGGACGAATGAATTATCAAAATTAATGTAAGAAGAGAAAACATTTTAAATAAACCATTAAACCCAGACAATACTTAAAAAATAATCAATGATTCATGCTTTAATAAAAGTCAAAGTCTTACATGATAGTAATTTATAGTTTCCTTTGCAGTGGATTCAAAATTTCAAAATTCAAAAATGTCAGTGGAAAAAGTACAGTGAAGGAGAACTTTCTGTACTGAATACTAAAAACATAATAATTAAAATATCATGGAATTGCCACAAGGATAAACAAATAAATATAAAATAAAACAGTATATCCAGAAATAAACCCACATTTATGTAGGAACTTAATATATTAGAAAGAGCAAAGTCAACAGAAAAGTCATTAAATGCTGTTGGGGCAATTGGCTCTTCATTTGAGCTAAAAATTTAGATTATTATACCATACCACATACAAAAGTAAATTACAGATGAATTATAGAACTGAACATTTCAAAACTGTGCAAGTATTAGAAGAAAATATAGGCAAGGCACAGTACTAAAAGACATAAAAGATGAACAGCTTTGACTATACAAATTTAACTTTTGACAAAATACATTACAAACAAAATTAAAAGACATAATAGAGTAAGAGATATAAGCAGTATATACAGCAAATGATCAGTATCCATTATATGGAGAGAACCCCTACAAATCAATAAGAAACCCAACCCATTGTTTAAATGGGCAAATTACACAAATAGAAAATGTAAAGAAGAAACACAAGTGGTCAATTAAACATAGGAAAATAAATGTTTACCTATGTAACAAACCTGCACCTATACCCCTGAACTTAAAAGTGTTTTTAAAAAGAAAGTAAAAAACAAAAAAAGAAAAGAAGTTTAACCTCGGTAGTAATAAAGGAAAAGAAAAATAAAAATAAAAGTGCAATGAGATTCTATTTCTCCCCATTAGATTAGCAAAAATTAATGTTGATAATATGAAGTGCTGGGAAAGGGGTGGGGAAATGGGCCCTCTGGTTTACCACTGGTGGACGTAAAGTGTAAATTAGCATAGCCTTTTCAGAGGCCAATTTGGCAATATATATTAAAATTTAAAATGTGCATACATATACTTTATCTCAGTATTCTGCCTCAAAGGATCTGTTTTACATAAATATTGGCATATTGTGGAAAAAGAGAACAATTAAAACCTAAATTCTTTATTATGGAATACTGCCCATCCATTAGAAAGCATTCCATCAATTAAAATGCACTAACAGGAAAATATCTCTAAGCTGGACTACAGTAGCAAAGTAAGTTGTATAACAACATATATAGTATAATTACATTTTTTAATGCTGTATATCTATTGAGATACTACTGTGTGTAAGCCTTGGTCTTTGGTAGTAGACTTATAGAATTGAAGAAAACAGATAAAATTATTGGCCTTACAAAGATTACCTATGAAGTTTGGAGATGAGAGATGAGTGTGGGGCTGGGAACAGCAAACAATAAACTAGTAAGCAAATACATAAGCAAGATCATTTCTGATAGTGGACCTTTCTATGAAGGCCATAAACATGTAATGTGGTGGAGAAGAATCCTAACATAAAGTCGGTACTATCGGTAAATGAGAGCAATTATAATCCACTTGCAGAGTAAACTTGACACCACATACATTCTGGAATTGAAAACCCCTTAAATTCATATTGATCTTTTCTGTCTTTTAAGACATGTTAGCTAAAGAAGATACCATATCAAACTTCTGCAGGGATTTTGTGAGCTGACAGAAAGCCCTAAACTGAGGGCCAACATTCACGGTTTCCATTCTGGTTCAGCTACATTAGCAGAATTAGATCTAAAAGTCACCAAAAATAGGAAAAGTAGGTTATTACCTGCCTTTACAAGCCCATAGGGCTGTTTCAGGATCTTTGAAATCTTTAAAATGATGTTTTACTTTGAAAAAGTTATGGAAGGGCATTTGTCTTGTAAGCAGCAGAATAATCACAGGTATTAAGTATAATCAAAAGTGTTGTCAACTAGATCCCATTTATGGCTTTGCATGTAAAAGGTGTGATATGGAGGAGGTGGAGAGAGGACTCCAACAAGGAACATCACATTTCCTGGTGTCCTCCCTTGTCCCCATTGGAATAAAAGCTTCAGGCTCTATAGTCTGGACCTCAGGACAAGGAATAATATGGCCCCAAAGCTAGACAAAGCCCATAAACCAGAGAATTCTGGTGAATCTTCTTCCCCTCCTCCTCTGTGATGCCCAAACCATACTCCATTCACCAAGGCATTTCGAACCCACAGGAGTGTAACAGAGGCCTTCAGGTTTTGAAAAGCAGAGGACTGTTTTGGGAGAGTCCTCATTTTGCTGCTTCCCCTCATCTCAGCTACCCCTGCTCAGACTCACATCCTAAGGCTGACCCTGCCTAGAGATACATGACTGGTAGACTGACTGCACTTGCCACACTCTGCCAAGAGGCAAAATGCAAATGCTTTTAAGAGGTCAATGCCCTCCAACTGTGAAATGGTAATGTGCTAAATTATGTGCTTAATTAATTTCCCCCCAAGAGCATACCATAAAATTGGAAAAACAATTCCTCAGGCAAGTCCCATCACCCAGGATCAATGCACATAAAGTACACAGGAAAGGATCAAAGTTTCTCATGAGTCAATGTGTGCATGTGCTCTGGCTGAATATTCCGAGTTCCACTATAGGTTCCACTATAGGTTGGTGAAAGGCATACAACCAATTAAATTGCTTTGCTCTTTCTCCTTCTGTTGTTACCACATGGGTTAGAAACTTCAGGGATGAGATTTTTGCTACTTCCCTCCAGCAGGAATCCAAGGAAAAAACTTCCTGTTAGATTTTACCATGAGCAGCCATCCTCTTCACAAGTTTGTAGGTTTTATTTTTTATTAGTTTTCTTGTTAATGCAAAACAATCACAGCAGGATTAGGGAAACTGAGCTAAAAGGTTAGGTGATATAGCCACTACCTCATGAATATTCAGTGATATGGGCTGTAACAATTACTTAACAACTAGTCTGGAGTTATATCTGCATGACAAAAATAAAACTGGATAAAGGAGGCAAAAACACTATATATAATAGCTACCCTTTTTTCCAGACTACATAATGTTATACAACAGCTTTGTAATTATTTGTATAATGTTTTTATTGTTTAACTCCAGCACTGTAAGCTCCATGAGACAGAGACTTTCTTTCACCTCCATATCTCTAGCATGAATCCCAGTGCTGGTAGCTGACACTCAAGATATATTTGTAAATGAGTGAATGAATGAGTGAGTGAATGAATGAACAAATGACTAAGCCAGGTTTAAAACCCAGTTCTCGGGCCTACTTGACCATTTCCATGATACTAGGATACCCCCCTATGGATGCACAGATTTTCAAGAAAGAATAAAAGACATTAAGAGATTGTGCCTAGGCCATACGACATAACCTCCCACTTAATTTCATATAAATTTATGGCTGAACCAGTTTGGAGATTTGTTTCCAGAAAGTACTGATTTATTCAGTTGAGATCAATCATGGTAAATACAAGTCTTAGTGGGTAGGTAGTGCATTGCTGTGGACGGCTACCTACTACATGGCATTCACATTTGAGTTGACGGTGTTTTATGGTCTCAGCGGTGTAAGGCTGGATCAAGGTCAGGCTTTCTCCTCATAGAAGGATGTGTTGAAGGAGGTTGGAGAGCCAAGGAATTGGAAGACACCTGCATGATCCCTGCTGCATGCTGAGAGGGCCAGTGTCTAGAATCAGAGAAAACAGCAGGAGCTCTCATTCTTTCTGCTGGGTGTCACCTGCTCCTGGCCCTTTTACCTGCTCCTGCATCTAAGCACCAAAAGCCAGTAGGTTTCACAAGCTAAATCCCCCCTCCTGAGCTAACTTAATCTAATTCACTAAGAATGGGTTATAAAACACCAATACTCTATCAAAGACAGGGGCTTTAATATTATCTTGATCTTTAGGTTGCATTGACCTCAAACTGTCTTTCCCGGAATGTTGTGAAAACATGCTATACACACAAACACACATACTCATACATGTATATACCTAATTATTTTATTACTCAGAAAGCTATTAGGGTTAATGGAACATTTGACTCAAAGCATAGCCAACCTTAGCACTGACATCCTGCATATAGAACCTGCCTTTATGATTTCTTTTTCCTCTTCTCTTTACCAACACCCTCCCTCCCTTAGGAAAGGAACCTGGCGGGGGAACCAAGAGTTTGGATTGCAAAATTGAGGAGAGTGCTGAAACACCTGCCCTAGAAGACTCCTCATCATCCCCCGTAGATAGTCAGCAACATTCCTGGCAGGTTTCCACAGACATTGAGAACACTGAAAGGTAAGTGGGAAGTTACCCTGAATAGACTGCCAATCCTCCTCCCGTTAATGTTCTTAGGGGCCACAGAGAGACGAGGTTTTCTAGTTCAGATTCAGAAACAGAGCTTTCTTTGGTATGCCAGAGGAGCATAGTGCTGTCAGGGACCCTGGAGACTGCCTAATCTGCAGACAAGAAAACTGAGACAAGAGAGGGTAAGCAGTCCAAATCCTGCAGAGGAACACTAGCAACACCCACAGTAGGCACAGGCTCCCAGGCCTCTGCTTCTCCCACTCCAACACATTGCATCTCCATGGAAAATGAGAACAGTGTGCTGCCTTGGAGGGGAAAAAGTCTACATGCTGTCACAGTTCACCTACTGGGCTGGTACCCAAAATTCCCATTTGTTTAAGGGAGAAAATCCAAAATTACACAAAGATGCCTCCAGTAAAGTCTCGGGTTTCAGGTATATGGAACAGCCTGCTTAGCTGCCATTTAGGGGCTGAGCATTCTGTCCAGTTCACAAAGGGCTTCTCCCAGGGCCCCCTTCTCTTACTCTCCACAAGGTGGCTGATGGCCCCTCAGTGGTCAAAGCAAGTTAATGCATTTTCTTAACTTCAGTAGCTCACTTCTAGAGAGGCAGTTTCTTTCTTGAAAAGAAGAGACTCTACAGTGATTTTATTTTATTTAGGAAAAGGGAGTAATAATAATAATATTATAATAAATACCATGTCCCATCTAGATGCTAAAAATGACATTCTGCGAGGCAGAAAGATAAGCCTCTTGTTTATTTGCCTTTACACTGATATCTGTGCCCTTTGCTACTAATGTCCCCAGAGCTGGCACCAAGCAGCTGAATGAATACTGGGCAATTCCACTGAGTGTTCTGTGTGTATGAGGTTAAGTCACTGACAACATAATGAACATTTTATTTTTTTTTATTTTTAGAAATGTAACACACAATGGCATTTATAGCCATTGTGGTTCTACTTTCAGATTGTGATATAATTCTAAAGCTAATTACCGAATTTCTGTGTTTATAGAAAATTGGAGCATGTGGTAATTATGTGCTATTAATAAAACTTGGATTTTGTATAAGCTTGGAAATGCAACAATTCAAACAATAAAGCTGTTTGGCACCGTTTGATGGCACTATAGACAAATGATGAGGGAGTGATTTATCTTAATTTATAAAGTAGAAAATTCTTAGCTCTGTTCCCAGGGAAAAAAATATCTGCTGAAATGCCATATCAGGGCATAAACATCAGTGAAACCATTTTACTTTGCAGACCTTAGACAGCAGCTATATTCACGCCTTATAAGCTTATAAGAAGGGATGGCAGTAAGAGTAGGATAGTTAAGGCCCACAACGTTGGCAATGTTTCAGTTCAGCCTGAAAGCCCAGATTCTGGTCAAAGGAGATGGAGGTGGGCACAGTGGACCTGGTCCAGGATGTGGCTAACTCCGTTCTCCCTGGCTGTCTGCCTTGAGAGATCATGGGTCTCAAACTGGACTGCACAGTTAAGTCATCAGGAGGGAATTCTTAAAATACTGATGGCTGGGCCCCACTATAAGCCAACTGAATCAGGCTCTCTTGGGGTGAGACCTGGGCTTAAGGTGATTCTCCTGTGCAGCAGCCAAGGTTGAGAATTGGTGCTTTATTAGAGGAGACAGTGCCTCAATCCCCCATGTTGCATTCCTAGCCCTTTCTCACCCATTCCATCTGTCCTTGAGATCTTACATGAAAACAGACTGTGCCTTGCACTTGTGGAGGTGGGGCCACACTTCCTTTCTCCTGCCCTCCTCTCTCACTTGATCAGCATGCAGCCCACAGATACATCCTCACACCTCGCACCCATGAGAGTGGATTTGGAAAGTTTTTACAGGTATATTTCCGCAGATCCTCAAGGCTGCTTTCCCTTCCTTTTCCAATCAATTATTACTGAGACTTGAGTTCCTCTTCACATATCAGTCAATACTTGAAAAGGAGCTCCCATGAGGTCTCCAGAATTACCCTAAGAAAACGATCCTCAAACCGTGCTCAACAGAACTGTGGTGTTTTGTGAAATGGACTGAGAGGTTTCATACCTAAAATTAAATGGTGACTGTCTTTCCTCAAATAACAGAAGAAAAATAAGTGGATAGAATTTCTTCAACTTTAAGATGATCTTCCCCACAAAACTTTCCTAAACCCATGGTGCCTGCCAATGCTTGCCTATCCTCAGTTAATTAAAGGATGCATCTGCTTTTTGTACCAAATTATGTTCCTGGCTATTTTAAATGAAATCTGCCCCTATGTCCTGGGGTCTCAAGAGCACTTTCTCCAATGCACAACCATCTGGACGTGTGTAGGGACAATTGTCCCAAGGGTTTCAAAAGATGAGTTCTCCCCTACCTTAGACTAGAAGCCTCCTGAGATGGCTTCCTGCTTTACAATTCTGGGGTTTTATGACCATGCATGCTCTGAGATGAGGGAAGATATTGGATGTATGCAGTGGCATTGCATGCTGTGTGCTGAAGTCAGGAAGTGTGGGAGGACGGTCCATGCTAAAGGAAGGCCCAGCTGTACCCAGGTGGGGTTGTTTTCCCTCTTGTTCCCATACTGCGCCCCTTTCTGTTTCATCCATTGTAAGGAGCTCTTTTCTGGAAGTTTTAGAATTTGTTACTCTTTCATTATTCCAAGTCAATGTAATAAGTGTTGGTCCTGGTGAACGCTTAATACCTGAGTTATGCTGAATTCCAATCGTAGTAACAAGAGACTATTAAAACCAAGCAGAAGATGGAATTGGAGGCCATTGTCTTCAATGAAACAACTCAGAAAACAAAATAGCACATGTTCTCACTTGTAAGTGGGAGCTAAATGGTGGGTACACATGGACATGGGGTGTGGAATGATAGACATCAGAGACTCAGAAGGGTGGGAAGGTGTGGGGGGTGAGAAAATACTCAGTGGGTAAAACGTACATTATTGGGGTGATGGATGCCCTAAAAGCACAGACTTCACCACTATGCAATATGTCAAAGTAACAAAACTACACTTGTACTCCTTAAATTTACACAAATTTTAACAAACGAGCAAATAACAGCAAGTGAATGTACATAGCCACTATAGTCCTCTGACCATAAAGCCTTGATAGCACCATCACCCAGCCTCAAGTTTGCCCTGGGTAGCCCTGTTGCTCCAGTTGTACTTCCTTGGCCTCTCTTTGCAAATCTAAAGCACTGTCCTCGTGACCAATGGCTCTTCTCTGATCTCAGCCAGGTTCGACTGGAGGCAGAGATGAGGGCTCCTGCAGGAGAATGCCCTGTAGAAATGTTTGGCAGAATGGCTCTCACTTTTTCCTGAGCCAACCCATCTCAGATTTTTTTTCTTGTAAAAGCAAAATAAATTCAATATTTGCCTACTGGAAACTAGAGCTAGTGCAATTAGACACAGACCCTCATCTTTCAGTTGTCTCATATAACAGATTGTTTGAGATTTCATTTTGAAAATTTACAGCTGATTATTCTGTCTTTTTATCAATTTTACAGAGACATGAGAGAAATGAAAAACCTTTTAAGCAAACTCAGGGAAACTATGCCTTTACCATTGAAAAATCAAGGTGAGTCTTGTCACTTCTCTTTGAGGCAGAGGATGTTTTTAATGGGATAACCTTGGGAATTGTTTCTTGGAAATTAAAGCATGTGTCTCACACAAACAGTAGAAGGCATTGAGCATTCATTAGTCTTTCCTCAAGAAGATATCAAAATGAGACTAGAAACTCTCTGGTGAACACAGAATGCTCTGAGGGGGCCCAAGGTACATTATGACCTTAAAACGAACTCCTTCTCCACTGGCCCTATTACTCACTGTGGAAAGCACCATGCCAGGCACAGCAAGAGACTTAAGAACACCTACAAAGGAAGATCTCTGCCATCCACTTGTGTAATTATCTTTAAAAAGTAATCCAAAAAATTAACATATATTGAGAACTTACAGCATGCCACTATTCAAAATACTTTGCATGTATTAACTGTATTAACTTATTTAATTCTAAACAACTTTGAGGGAAATGCTATTAGTGTTTCCCAATTTACTAGAAACTGGCGCACAGAAAGGTTAGCTAAATTGGCCAAGGTCACACAGACTGTAAGTAGAAAAACTGGGATGTGAAATCAGGCAGTGTGTCTCCAGGTCTATCCTATGGGAGTATATGCCCTAATGCACAAATGAGAGGGAGATGTTCACTAGAATGAGGGAAAGTCCTCTGCATGCCTTTTAAACTATTGTATCCTCAGTATCTGGAGCCTGGGACATAGTAGAATAACACCTGTCACAATCGATGTTTGTTAAATCTGCACCTACCTTTGCAGCCCCAGAGACTGACGACATGTACAAAGGACCAATAATAAGTGCTTACATTAAGTATACATGGTTGGAGCAGCCACAGGTGAAGTACCAACTTCAGAGGATGGTACATAGAGGTGGAGAAAGGCTTCTAGGAGGCAAGAAAGAAACTCTTCTTGTTTTCAGTGAGCAAAGCCTGATGGGAGGGAAGACAGGGTGCCACTTGCCTTGAAGTGAGGAGGAGGAGGAGGAGGATTTGGCAGTGGAGCTGGAGGCTCCTCTTGGCTCCAGGAGCAGCTCAGCAGAAGGTGGAGGGGTGGAAGTGAGAACACCAGATGAAGAGGCTGAGGAGTAGTGTGGCCTGAGCTACACAGGGGTGGAGGTCAGAAAATAAGAAGCAGGGGCCACAGCACATCAGATAGCTCAGAACATCCCCTGAAGGGGCCTGGTCACAAAGGCCAACTGGCTTGAGCCACAGGCGTAGTGTTTTGAGAAAGTAGAAAACATGCTTTAGTGATGAGAGACTGCTCTGACCACCACATGGAAGATTGTTGCCAGAAATAAGCACAGTGTTTAGAACAAGGGCTTTGAATTAAGGATAGCCTTGGGTTCAAATGCAGGCTCTGCCACCTACCAGCTTTGCACCCTGGAACAAGTTGTTTAACTTCTGCAAATGTATTTCCTCATCCCTGCAAAGGGGATAATAGTATCACCTACTTTAGAAGTCTGTTGTGGGGATTAAATGAAGCAATGTGTCATACACCTACTACCAAACTTAGAGAGCAAACACTTGACACTGTTACTATTATTGTTGTCACTGTTATTATTATTATTTACAAGTTGGCCAACCCAGCTTTGCTCAAATCACCATCAAATAGAGGAATCCCTGCTACCACTCACTCTGCAACAGACCACGTGTAGTGTATATGTCAGGCTGGTCTTGAGCCTGCAATTCAAAGCATTGGCCCCAGGACTTTAGATCCACAGCTCATGTTTGAAGCTGTCCTCAGTGTCTTAATAGGTTTGGCAAGCCTCCTTCATCAGTAGCACGCTGGCCTCTCGCCCTCCCTCACATTCAGCTTTCCTAGAGGATGGCTGCCCAGGGTCCCCCAGTCTGAATTTCATGGGTGCCACGTCACCTATATTTTAAGCCACATCATCCTAAACATTCCCTCCCCATTTAGTGATCATTCATCCAGCAGTTTTTGACTGTGTGTTAATAGAAAAACAGAAATTTTGTTTTATTTGGTCATTTATAATCATAAAGAATATGATATAAATATTTTATGTGACTTTGTATCATCTTTATACACAGAAAAAAATAATTAGAATTTTAATTACATTTTTAAATGTAATAATAATAATCAAAGGTTGATACTGTGAGTGAAAACATGAGTGAAAAGGGAATAGTCATCAAAATAAATTATACTCAGGACTTGAACCTTGGATCTATCTGGGGAACAAAAAGGAAAAAGCTAGAAAGGAGACATAAGGACTTATTCAGAAGGAAGTGGTGCAGTAGGATTTTAATAATCAAAAATAACTAATGTAAAGGATTGTGAGGAATTTGAGTTTCTTCACTGAGGGGAGAAATGGGAACCCTTAGCATGTGACAATACATCTCTGTTCTCTATGTGTTTAACATGACCTCACAGCCTGCTGAGCTGACCAGTGGGGAAGGGGACTGTGTCTGAACTGGAGGATCCAGAGGAAACCTGAAGAGTCTCCCTGGGAACATTTTGACAGATGCATATGGCACCATTTTAATGAACAAATCATACAGATTCTTCCTGTTACATAGACTGAGATAGACCATAGAGGCTTCCCCAATTCCTTTCCGGAATTCTTTTCAGGTGGTTTATTTATTATACAGGTCTAATATGTGCAGGAAATGGTACAGGGTAAAATGTGGAAAAAAGTATTCCAGTTCTTTTCTGTAGGACCTTATTGTCAAAACATGATTCTAACGGGATGAAAACCATTATAGAAAGCCATCTGTTTTCTTTCTGCCTTCTTATTTCCTTTCTCTTTTTATTCCATTTCATGGGTCCTCAAATCAGAAAAAAAGGGAAAAGATACCACTCCTGGTCCCCATTTTTCCTATCTCAACTCCGACCACGTGAAAATGCTGCCGACTGAGTCCGCTATTCTCCAGGTTCTAACTTGGCCGTCAACTCCAAAACTGTTCCATGTTTATTTCAGCATTTAAAGACTTAATCATATCTTCTCCCCTTTCTACTACAGTCAAAACTCGGCTCCACAATGGTTTACTTTAAATCAACTTTCAGTGGAGAAGAAAGGAAGGTGGCCAAGGGCAGGAATTTTAATGGTTAGTGATTATGCCTTCATTTTCAGCCTTTTCTTTCCCGTCCATCCAGTTTAAGACTGGAGGCCAAGAGATGCACGAAAGAAAAGCAAGCCACCCTTGCACTGCTGAGTTCCACTGCAGGCTGCAGACAAGGGCCAGGTCTCCTGGCTGTCAGCCCGCTGTTCTTTCCCCTGCTTCAGCGCCCCTCCTGTCCTACATTCTAGGACACTGGCAGTGCTGTAGGGAGCTTCATTAATTATGATAGTCTCGCTGTGTCAAATGGATTACAAATGGAACCACCTGTGGGGAGCCTGCAAGGTTACGGACAGAGGCTAAAAGGAGATTGGAAAGTGAAGGACAAGCATCTTCTAAATGCATGCTGTTATCAAACAAAACAAATCAGCAGAAATAAATTAAGCCTGAAGGACAGTTTTGCCTTTTCCAAAATTCTGACTTAGTGAATGCTGTGGGAGGTGTCAGTATGTTCATTCTTGCATAGAATTTGGTCGTTGATGCCATGCACGAGAATCAGTCGAGAAGTAGGTAAGTCAGGAATTGACCTGGGCTAGAATGAGTCCCCTCCTGTGAACAGTACTACTCCAGACTAATGTGGGCCTAGAGATAGTTCTCCCAAACTCATAGCATCCTCCTCCAATCAGGACCCCCACATCCAGAACCGAACCTGGCTGTGTGAGGCAGAAGAATTCTCAGATATCTGGCTGAAGAACACTGGGCAGTTATGCCACCATCTAGCCTAGAGATGACCTTTTAGGTCCTTCCCCCAAGGGCCTCGTAAAGACTTTCTATGTTTCTAGCTGCTGTCTGAAAATTATTCTGGGCAGTTTTACCAGTAGCCCCATATCCTTTGCAATTTCTGCAATCTCTTGTCCAAGATTCAGTGTGACGTATGTAAACCAATCTAATTTCTTAATGCATTACTCTATTATGTTGAGCTCCTACTCACAAATGTGAAATGTCTACTCACTATCTACTGAAGGAAGAACAGACCTCTCACCCCAGCAGCCTTTGTCCCCATCCTCATCCAACATATAATGGTCACCAATGATGTGTCAAATTCTGTGCTAGGTGCTGAGGAGGTCTCTCCTCCACTAAAACCTGTCCCTTTCAACAGGGAAAAATTGGATGGGAATCACCTAGGAAACTTTTCCAAATGCCATATGCCTCCTCTCTCACAGATTCTGGTAGAGCCTTCAGGGTTGGGCTGAAAACAACTATTACATATGCAGACACACACACACACAATCGGAAAGACGCAGAAATTAGTGCTCACAATATAATAATGCCATAACAGTTAGATATGGGTTGCTACAAGGTATATTAGATTCTCACCTAGCCTAGGCTTTAATTGAAAATGGGGGATTATTAGGGATTGCTTTTTAGAAAGTATCTGTGCTGAGAATTTTTAGGATGAGTAGCACTTAGCCAAAGAAATAGAAAAAAGATAGTCTAGGCAGAAGATTCTGGATGTGTGAAGGCATATGGGGAGATGAAATAGGAGGGGATTTTGATAACTGCAAGGACTTAAGTAGTTGGGAAAGTCTCTAGACAAAAGGCTTAAGAGAGAGACAAGAGAGAGACAAGAGCTGTATCATTAAGACCCCTTAGGCCATGTTAAGAGGTTTGGGAGCCACTGGAAGGAGTCCATAAGGAGGCAGGTGCAGTCATCCAGGTGAGAAATGCTTAAGATCTCACCTAAAGTCAGGGGATTGGAGAGGAGGACAGAGACAATTGGATGTGGTGCATAAGGAGAAGCAGAATCAAGGAAGAAACCCAAGTTCAGACTTGGAAAATGGAGTAAATAACGATGTTGGTCACCAAGTTAGAGACAACAGAGGAGCAGTAGTAAAGGCAGAGAACAACAACTTTTGGACATGGGGGGAACTTTCTGGAGCAGTGCTCAGTGGTTAATAGTGCTGAAGTGAGACATGTGATCTGAGAGGACTGAAACACAGATTTGAGCATCATCAGCATAGTGGGAATTGAAGCCCTACCAACAGTGTGCACAGACAAGAGTCCTGGAATACCAAAATGGAAGGTTTGAGAGGAAAGATCAGTTTACAAAGGGGACTGAGATGAAAATCACAAGAGCATTATTAAATAAATCAAAGAAGGTTGCAAAGAAGGAATGGCCAGTGGTGAAGTTAAATACGAATTGGAAGTGTCCACAGGATTTAACAACAAGGTAGTCACTTGTGGTGTTGGCAAAAACAGCTTTCTTGGAATTTTGGGCATGGAAGCTTGGCTAAGGAGGAGGGGAAGTGAATGGCAGATGATGAGCTGGGGCAGCCGGGGTAAATTCATTAAGACTTTTATAAAGAGTTGCTTACAGAGCGGTGGGAAGATGGGATTGGATGCAGATGATGTGCCAAGAGCTGTAGCAATTGTTTATAGAAGCAATGGGAACGTGAAGGAATGCAGAAGCATGGAGCAGTCAGAAAAGACTGCAGGAAAAAAAATGTTTAAGCTAATCTTTGAAGAAGGGCTTGCCATTTGTCTAAGGAGGGAGGACTTTTCTGAAAAGAGAGGTGGCAAGTGCAAAGGCAGCAGGCAAAAGAAAGTACAGGCATCGTTAGGGAATTCTAAGTAACTCTGTTTTGGACTATCTCCTCCTTCATAAGCCCTTCATTCCAGCCAGACTGGACTGTTCACTTGGACCCAAATTCAGGCTGCCTTTGATCACTTCTCTTTATTCACACTGTTCTCTCCATTCTGAAGGCCTATCCCCTGCCACCTTCACCAAATGTCCAAGTTCTCATTCCTCGTGGCCCAGCATGAACTCCCAGGGCCTCCGTGAATCTTCCATAAACATCTTTTTCCTTCTCCTCCAAATGGGAGGAATCTCCCCCCCTTCTCCTGCCTGGCATTCTCATAGCAATGTATTCAGATCTTTCTTACGGCATTTTTCATGAAGCCTTATAGTTACTCAAGGAAAGATCCTTGAGGCCAGGGACTATCTTTCTATTAGGATCCATCTTGGTATTATCCTCAGTACCCAATGTAGAGCCTTGGACTTAGCAGGCCTTCTGTTAATCCAGTGGTTCTCAAAGTGTGCTCTTAGGACCAGCAGCAATGTCTGGGAACTTGTAAGAAATGCTGATCCTCTGGCCCCACCCCAGAGCTACTGACTGAGAAACTCTGGAGGTGGGGTCAGCAATTTGTGCTTTAACAAGACCTAAGATGAGGCTGATGCAGCTAATGTTTGAGAACCACTGGCTTAGCTGAGGGTCTCTCTCTTTTTTTCCCTGGAATAGATATTTGTAACTGCAGTGTAGTAGAAGCATTCCTTATCACCTATATAAGAAATCTTTTATCAGCAAAATAAATTTGAGCAATAGAGAAGTGGTTTGGGGGAATTGCAGTGTCCCTGGCTTTAGTAGCATTCAAGAATTAAATGTTGAGGCTGGGTATGGTGGCTTATTCCTATAATCCCAGCACTTTGGGAGGCTGAGGTGGGAGTATTGCTTGAGGCCAAGAGTTCGAGTCCAGTCTGGGCAACGTAATGAAACCCTGTCACTCCAAAAATAAATAAAATTTTTTTTAAAAATCTAAAAGAATTAAACATTGAATGACTGAGGTTTGAACTTACTGGTGTCCAAATTTCCTATTCTCCCTCTTTTTTTTTTTACTTTCTCCTGTGCTTTACTTACTCTGCTTCCCTTTCCACCTTTCATTTTCACATTTAAAACTGTCTTAGGTTATAGTTTTCTGAGAGTGAGTACTTTGGAGAAAAGATGATATAAAAGTCTTAATTAGAAGCCACATCTAAACAAAAATTTGCAATAAAAAGCAAAGATTTTCCAATAAGTTCAAGTGGATTATTCCAGAAAATTTAGAATGAGTGGGGAAACATTCCCTTTTGCTTACATTCTTGCAGTCCTTCTGTTTATTCAGTGGTTCTCATAGGGTGGTTTTAGGACTAGCAGCAATGTCTGGGAACTTGTAAGAAATGCTGATGCTCTGGCCCCACCCCAGAGCTGCTGAGATAGGCTTTCAGAGACAGGATTTCAATCAATGTGGAGAGACACATTTCCTTGGAGCTGAATTCACTTCAAACCATCCCAGGAATACTTACTGCTTGGTAAATTTCAGCATTTACTGCAGGTGTCAGCTCCCTATGGTGTAGAAAGCTGCTCTGAATTTCTGCCAATAATTTTTTAGCTTTTCTATTACCTCAGCCTTAGGTGATAGTCAGACAAGCTCTAAGCAAGGCAAAGGTCTCACAAATGTGCAGCAAAGATGCCCCAAACCAGCAGTTGTCCTTAATAGGCAGCCTGACCTTTCTTCATGTCTGAGCACTTTCTCATCAATCCTAACAATTTATTCACTTGTGAGAGAGATATATAGTACACATAAATATATGTGTATATGTGGGTATGTATGTGTACATAATGTGTATATATATGCTATATATATGTATATCTGGATACATATATATATGCTATATATATGTATATCTGGATACATATATATATGCTATATATATGTATATCTGGATACATATATATATGCTATATATATGTATATCTGGATACATATATATATATATATATAGAGAGAGAGAGAGAGAGAGAAGGCTGAGCGAGAAGAATTTCAATAGCTCAAAAGGCTGTGCTATTGAAAGGTTTTTAGGTTTTTTTTAATCCACTGTAGTGAGTGCATCACAGATATAAGGGTGAACCTTGAAACAAATTTCATAATATCTGTGTATAATACCTACTTGCTTTTAATATATACAAAAACAAGACAGTGGAACTAAATATATGACCACAACATACACGTACACATTTTCCTTTGTAAATACAACATTGTGGTAGGTATTTCCTCATGTAAGAGGAGCAAACACATCAGAGTTGCATTCTATAATGTATAAAGACCACTTCAGTCTCTCCCCAAATTAGATGTCTTTGGGGAAAGGGAAGGAGATACCAGAATTTAGAAAATAGATCTTCCAAGTCTTAAATAAAGAACACTATGAAGATCTTTCTTTCCCATAAATATCTTCATAGTTTTGGTGACTCTGTTTTAGGGAAGCATTGAATTCCAGGTGAATTTGAGTTTCAGAAAGTGTATTCAGAGTCCAAAGAGACACTGAAAGGTAAAATTCTTTACCCCTCAGAATTTGCTATATCTTTGCCATATCCAACTAGGTTAAGTACATTGATCAATTCATGGTTAAAGAAGTAAGAGTCCTAAAAATGATGAGAAAATTAGTTATTTCTTTCTGCTCCAAATATTTCATGGTTTATCTCTGAGATGTTCTCCTGAAAACTGAGGCTAATGTTTAGTATCTAACACTGTTTTCAGTTTCTTAACTATTGGGAGCAAGTTAACTTTAAAAGAAAGATATCCTCTTTTTAACTCTCATAATGTTGACATCCAGATTATAGTAAATTATTTTTCACTATGGAAAGGACAATTATAGCCCTGTTTTTCTCCATGTTAACAGAATATGAGCTTTAAGAAAGGATTTTAATCTCTGGAGACTGGGAGGGTGGACTGTGTTTGATTCATTTGATATGCCCAGCGGAGGCACCTGTTTTCTTCTCTGGCTTGGACTTGCTACTCTAGCTCTATCTAAATATATAACATAGTGCAACATTCCAAGGAACACTGTCAACCTTGGTGGGTGATACTAATTTACAAATAAGTATGACACATTAGAGCCTTTGGGAAGGGGAGGAGAAGCCCAGGCACTTAGATGACACTTTATGTAAGAGGACTGGAAAGCCAGAATCTATTTTTGCTCTCAACAGTTTCCTGAGCATTGTAAACCAAAAAGTATCTGAGACACATCTCAGTCAATGTAGAAATTTATTTTGCCAAGATTAAGTACATGCCCATGACACAGCCTCAGGAGGTCCTGAGAACATGTGCCCAAGGTGGTCAGGCTACAACTTGGTTTTATACGTGTAGGAAGACATAAGACATTAATCGATACACATAAGATGTATATCGGTTTGGTCTGGAAAAGCGGGACAACTGGAAGCGGGGCTTCTAAGTCATAGGCAGATTCAAAGATTTTCTGATTGGCAGTTGCTTGAGTTATTATCTAAAGACCGGGAAGCAACAGAAAGAAATGTCTGGGTTATTATGATAGGGGGTTATGGAGACCAAGGTTTTATCATGTAGATGAAGCCTCCAGGTAGCAGACTTCAGCAAAAATAGATTATAAATGCTTCTTATCGGACGGAAGGAGTCTGTTTTATCAGTCTTAAGGTCTCTGTGTTGATGTTAACTCCAGTCAGCTTTGTCTAAATTCCAAAAGGGAGGAGGATATAATGAAGAATGTTCAACTGCCTCTTCCCAACATGGCCTGAACTAGCTTTTCAAGTTAACTTTGGAATGCAGTTGGCTGAGAGGAGGGGGCCATTCAGGTGGTTGGGGGGTTTACAATTTTATTTTTGGTTTACAGCATCTAGGCTCAGTAATCAGGAAAAACAAGCCCTCTTCTACGAATCAGTTCGATTGAGGTGGGGCACATTCTTCACTTTAGCTATCTCTTCATCTAACTTCTGCTTCTGTGCCCTTTGCCAAGCTTCCATCCCCTTTAAGGTTAGGACAGGGAAAGGAGGGAACTCCTTAGCCCCACTCTGGAAGGAAAGTGCAACTAGTCTTGGCGGAGCTTAGGTACGTAACAGTCACCAATGCCAACCATCTTGTTGCCCTTAGCTCCAGTCTGACCATGTCATAACACTGCCCCAGTTGGAAAATTCTAGATTATCCCCTCATAGTCCTTTGCCTCTGGGACCCACATTGACAAGTTCTGCTTCAACAGGATATTTCTACCCACCTTCTCTTTTGCTTTGCACTTTTTTAAATAACCCAACTCTTTAAACCAGATTAGATTTACTGGTTTATTTCTACCTCTACCTGTCATCATCCTAAAAATTTCAAACCAAAACTTATTAATTCAACAGCTGGCAGTCTTCTATGAATGCCCTTGTGTACAGAAATCTATAGAAAGTGCTGGGGAAAGACTCAATAGGAAATAGTTGAAACATGAAGAGACATGAAGTCAATGAATGAAGGTGTGATAATGATCCAATGTAAAGGAAAATAGTTAATAATAGCTATTTTAACTAAACGCTTCCTCTATGCTAGACAGTAAGCTACTCACCATAGCTAAATGTTTTTCATAGATTATTTCATGTAATCCTCACCTGGGCTAAGTTTTATTAAACTCTATTTTACAGACAGCTTAGCAAGCTTCAGTTACATGTTCAAAGTCACAGAACTGGCAAATAGCAGAGGCAGGTTTAGAAAAGAAGCCAACCTTACTCATAAGCATGGGTTCTTTCAAATAAGGTATATACGTTTCCCAACTGAAAGATTGCCTCTAAGCAGTTTCAATTCAATTTTAAGCAGTGGTTCTCAGCCTTGAACTCTTTTGCCTCCCACCCCAGGGAACATTTGGTCATAGCTGGGGATATACTTGGTTGCCACAAATTGTCATACAGTGCTACTGGCATCTGATGAATTGAGGGATGCTACTAAACATTCCACAGTGCTCAGGACAGTACCCCACAACCAAGAATCATCTGGTCCAAAATGCCAACAGTGCTGAGGTTGAGAAATCCTGATTAGGAGGATGGTGGATTTTTAAAGCCACTTCCTAAAAAGCAGGTTGTTGTGTCTATACCTCACTTATGTGCACATTATGTCCCATCACAGATGACAGCAGCCTTCTGAATCTAACTCCCTACCCCCTGGTGAGAAGACGGAAGAGAAGGTTCTTTGGGCTGTGTTGTCTCATCTCAAGCTAGGTGGCTCCTCCTGGAAACCCACTGAGAACATCTGAAAAAAAATCACAAAACCCGAGGACCTCCAGACAGCTGAACCACACAGTTATTGGTTTTTGACTATGTTTTCTATGCTTCCTTATTACTTTTATCTGCCTCCCCCTGCCCTTTTAAATGATTTTACACTTGAAAGCAGCTGCCGTCAAGAAAAAAAAGAACAGATTCAAAAACCAGGCTGTTTTTAAAAGGGAATTTTAAAGCTGACATTGTGCATGTCTGCTCCAAACCACGCCATGACAGATGCAAGAATTATGATTTTTAAATTATTTAAAGGTTTTTTAAATGTATTATACAGAGGAAAAATATTTCACATATAATAGTATATCTATAGCTCTTGCTGATCTCATGTTAAAATTTATCGTATATGAAAGAAGTCTTTAAACATAGAAATCTATTTAAAACTGAAAAACTGTGTTCAAAAATCCAATCTATCAATATCATTAGAAATAATATTATAAGCAAACATATACCACCTCACCTATTGCTTTCTCTGCACTCATTTACATTTAGTCTTCCATTCTGTCAGAATCTAAGAGCTTCAACATAAAAGTATCTTAATTTATAAAGCAACAAAAACCACATATGAAAAGTACTAAAATTTTGTAAATACACAATAATCCTAATACCTTCGTACAAATGCATATGGGCAACTAATTTCTTTTTGATCCAATGATGTCTTTTTCAGCTTCTTGGAGAATGAAGTAATCCAGTTAGGAAATGGTGTAGTAACATATACAATTGCCCTCAAATGTAAAATCAAATATTATTACATTTTGTTCTAATTGAAATCTGAAGCATGGTGTCTGCACATCAGCATAGTGTTAAATCTTATAGGGCATGCTGGAATTAGCTCAGATTATAAAAATATTTAACATTTTACATTGTTAATAAAGTTTTTTAGTTAAGCTAAGCTTGTCTCATTTTAGATGACTATGCAGATAAGATTTTTCCAACGTGTACTTGGTGTCTTGTCTTATGCTTAGACTCTTGAAAGCAGGACACATTAAGCAATACTATATTTTAGAAAGGAGGAAGCCACATGCTTTGTTTTTCTGCTCACAGCTTTGTTGTGATCTTCCTTCACTAAACTTGTAACATGGTACAAATTTTGTTATACCGTCTCCTGTTCTTCCTTTGGCCCATTTCCCAGACAGAATTTCCCATGGGTTGAGAGATCAAGTCTTTGCACTTTTTTTCTTGTTTTCCATAGTCTGAAAAACCTTCAAGTCAGACAGGAGGCACCAGTGTCCAGTACAATAGAAGGATGAGCTAGATGCCGATAAGTGGTTTATCCAAGACACATCTTTAGTCCCAACCCTGTTCTTTACCAATACTTATGTGCACAGGCATTTATATGTATACCAATATTTTTACCTAAAAACTAAATATATTAAGGCCTTTTGCTTTAGTGAAGATGAACTACTGTAATAATTATTGTATTAGGTTGAATTATATGAAATTTCCTATATGTGACTGTTTTGACCTACAAAATGGCAATTTCTTATAGTTCACCCTAATATCCAATGTGGAAATTATACTTGGAATTGTCTTCTAGCTCTTTTGATTGAAAGTGAAAGAATTAAAGGGTTGGAAGAGAACGTTATACAGGTCTCTATTTAGATCATACCAGCTGGTTTTTGGCCTTATTCTTTGAATCTAGAGTTGTGTTCCAAGGAACCAGTAATTAATGCATGGTTATAGGTATACCTGGCTTCAAAAAAAAGAAGTAGCCGTGGAAAGCTATATGAGAAAATCACAATTTTCTGAATCAAATATTTGTAAAACAATTTGGCTATTTAAAGACTCTTAGGGTAAATACTCCCTGGAAAAGCAAGCAATCCAGACTTATCTGGTCTGCAAACCTTGATTTCAGCTTAATATCCTTTCCTGAATCTAATTCATTTTCACCCACTAAGGTCATTTCATTTAAGATCCATTGTTTTTGAAATTTTGAAGTAGCCCAGTTTGGCAGCTCTCAGCACCTGCCTCTGCCCTCTCCTATACTTCAACTATATTGAACTCTAGCTTCAATCTAGTTCCTACTAATCCATGCAAAAGTTATTAACTGATAAGCCCAATCTTGTTCAGCACGTTCTTCTAAATGCCTGACCTAAATAACTTCTGCTTGGTTAACTTGTGTTCATTCTCACCTTAGCCTCAGTGTGAAAGTAACACTTACCTTCTGTGCAATTGTCCTTTGTACAACTGAAGACTGTTAATAAATTCAGGTCTCACCTCCATGTCTGAAAAGGCTATAGTAGCTATTCATGGAGATGGGAATTTGTCTAATTACCTAGCCAGAGTTTGCATATTTAAGGTAATATATTCAGCTACCGTATCTTTTATTCATAGTGCCTGTTTTCCAGCCTTTGATCAGTTTTGTAGTTCCCGTGGATAAACTCCAAGATCTAAAGATCCTCTTTCAGTAGCATATACTAAAATTAAGTTTAGTGCTCAAAACCCTGGTAACCTACACTGGCCCAAGGTTACAGTAGGTAATTCACCGTCTCACATTAGACAGGCCAATGCATCCCTTAGGAGCTGCCCCACTCTCCTCTCACCTACCAAAGGATTTTCTCAGGTGTGGTTCCAAGCGATAAAGTTCTACTGTCTCGGCTTCCTGCTGGTAATTCGCTTTCAGATTAGCAATAACACTGAGCTGATCTCTAGGGTTAAGAAGAGAACATTGAACTCATTTTGTCGCATGTACCCACAGGCTTGAAACAGAAAATGATGTAAACTTTTGTGGCATACATTCACCCATTTTCCCACCATATCTTTACTATCCTGTGTTGATTTTTTTTTCAAATTACAAAGACAATACATGTTCTTTGTGGGAAATCTGAAAAATACTACCAAATAGAAAATAAAAATCACCTGAATTCCACCACGACCACATTGTTTAAAACCACATTTCTGGGTTTTAAATCAGTCAGTGGCTGGGCCCAAAGGCACTTTTGGGTAAGATAAGTGAAGAAATGCCCACAAGGCCAAGGTGTCACTTAAAAAAACAAACAAAAAAAACAAGCCAGAAAAAAAAAATTCTGTCCGCTAATGTTTTGCACGCATCTAGGAGCAGACTCACTGCAAACCTCTGGTTATGCCATTATTCAGGGGTATAAAGAAAGCTTTAGAAGTAGCATAGTCCTGATGCCTCCTCTAATGAGTTAAAGCTCTTGGGGGAAATTCTAAAATTGCCAGACCATTTTGTTTCTCTGTGCTCCTACGAAACCAGTCGGGATACTGAGTGTTTGGCAATACTGCCACCTACTGAAAGCTGAGCTTCAGAGTGAGGTGAAATAAAGACAGAATGTAAAAGCATCTACTTTGTTTTAAACAGCAAACAAATGGACCAGATTAACAATGATCCCATCTGGAATTTAAAACTCTGAAAGTGTCAACATTGAAAGGATTAAGCATATCATCCGGTCAAACTTCCCACCCTACCCACATACCCAGGCAACGTCTATCATTTCTTTGTCTTAGGAATGTCACCAAATACAAAATGCTCAACTTTCAGGTAACCATAGGTAGGATGAGAAAAAGCTGTGATACTATTGGCCTCAGGATAAATTATTAGAATTAAATATATAGACCATAATAGACCTAAGAATATAAAAGAATTGGGTATATTATAAAAATGACATTTCAGATCTATCAGAAAAGTTTGGATTATTAATTTATATTGGGATAGCTGGTTAGCTATTTCTTGAGAGAAATATTAGACCTATACCTCATAATTTTTATCAGAATAAATTCCAGATGAAATAAAGATTTACATATTCAAGCACATAAATAAACATACAACAAGACTAGCAGGCAATGTGAATGGATATTTATATAATTTTAGTGTGAAAGAAGCCTTTCTTTGAGTGACACCAAAGGAAAAAAACAGAAAGAAAGGATGGATGGAATTTGACTGATTAAAAATGCTAAACTCCTATATAGTAAAAAATAACAAACCAAATTGAGAAAACAATATATGCTACAAAAAGTATAGATCTCAAATACATATTAAGAGCTTAAACATCACTACTTTTGGGACATTTCCATGATCTACAATCCCCTTCTCAACCAAGTGTTTCCATTTCATTCTTTCCTTATTGAACGTTTTCATTATTGCTTGTTTAATTGCCTGTTTATCCCTATTAAATTGGAAGTATAAGAAGGCAGCAACCATGTCTATTTTGCTTATTGTTGTATCCATAACACCTAACACAGTGCTACACAAAGCAAATGCTGAAAACATACTTATTGAATGAGTGAATAATGAATGAATAAATGACATTTTATAATTCAAGGAGAATCAAACTTTCCAACAGAAAATTGGACCAAGAACACAAACTGGCAATGCACAATAAACTAAAATAACCTACTAATAATAAATATGAAAAAGTGTTTTAATATACTAGTAATAAAAAATGCAAGTTAATATGATATATTCCTTTTTATATGTCAGAAAGGCAAACGGTATAAAGAATTAAAATTCCCAGGGACAAAAAGGAAGTACAGAAATAAACCTCTTACAGAGTCAACAGGAATGTAAATTGATTCCACCTTTCTGAAAAAATATTTTGGTAATATAGTTTTCCTGCATGCCTAGTAATTCCACTTTAGGGAAATTCTCCTTTAAATGGGTCAGAAAATAAAATGAGCTAAGATGTATTTATTCATTATTCAAAAAGTATATGCAAGAAAGGATGTTTATAGCAGCATTATTTGGATAAGCAGAAAAATGTAAATAAGCCTACTTTATAGGGTTGGTTAAATATGGTACATCCTTTCAATGGAATACTGTGTACCAGTTAAGAATAAGCACCATATGTGTATTTATTGAAATGTACAAGCTATATTGTTAGATGAAAAAGGAAGTTATAGAGGAATATTTATAGTACGATCCCTTTTTAAAAATATATGTATGCATGTGTGCATTAAAGAGTCTGAAAGGATACTTGCCAAAGTGTAAAAGCATTTATCTCTGGGAGGTGAGATTTGGAGCAATTATATTTTCTTTTTGCATATCTGTAACTTCTAATTTTCCACAATGAGCATGTAGTGTCTGTAAAATTTTTCAGGGAATAAACAATGATGTTCACAATATATATTAAATGAAAAACACATGTTATAAAACAGTATGTATAGTATGACACAATATTTGTAAAAAAGAAAATTATATATAAATATATCTATGTATGTATATATATGCATAAGAAAGCTAGAAGGACATACACTAAAATGTTAATAGTAGTTATGGGTAGTGGGATTATGGGTGATTATTTTTTCTTTTTGCTTTTCTGTGTTTTCTAATTTTTCTACAATGAACATGTATTACTTGTGTAATAAAAACTAATAATAAAAGTTTTAAAAAATGAATATGTGAGAGGGACATTTTTGACTCACTACTTGTCTTCATCCTCTTCCCCACCCTATTCCCATCCCCTCCTTGGCTTATTCTTTGTCAAAATATGGGCAGTGGGGATATGGAGAGGAAACAACAGGGCGCCAGAGCTTTTGAGAATAGAAGAGACAGAGAGACACAAAGATGGGTGAGAAGGAAAGAGAGAGAAAGGAAGGAAGGGCCTGGAAAAGAAGGTAAGAGAGAAACAAAACCTGGTAAGTGAAGTCACTAGAGGAAGGAGTAAAACAGATTTAGAAACTTTTTCACTAACAAGAGCAATGTCTTTAAATTTAGCTCAGGGTTTCTGATAGCTACAGCAAGAAAAAGAAATACATTAAGTTAAATAATTTTGTTTTCTAATAAAAGGATACACACACACACACACACACACACACGCACACACATACCCCTACATTCCTGGAGAGATATCTAGAAATGAAATTCTGACAGGAATGTATCCCAAGAAGGTTTTCAAGGGGCAAACTGTTGTGGTCCAGCTGGATGCCAAGGGCTGTACAGTACAGCTTGGAGTTCATAGACTTTCATGTGAATCTCAGATGTGCTGCAACCAAGTACATGCCTATGGCTAGCAGTTCCAGTATCCATTCTCTCCTTTTCTTCTTTAGTAATAGAGAACCCAAAGACACCACTAGTCACCTAAAGTAAGACTCCCATTTCCCAGGCTCCTCTGCATGTGAGTGTGGCTGTATAACTGAATTTGGCCAGAAGTGTATGAGTAGAAGTGCACAATTTCCAGGTAACATTCATTAAATAAAGGGCATGCATTTTCGTGATCTTCTTTTCTTCCCTGTGCAATGAGAACACGAGCGTGGGAACTGAAGCAACCATGCTGGATCCAGAAATGGACACCAACTGAAGATGGCAGAGGTTCCCTATGTCAACCTAAAATAATCAAAATCTAACTTAAAGAGAGTTTCTTGAAGCCCAAGTGGGAAGATGTACCACCCAGAAACACCACCTCCAAAGGAATAGAGTCAGTGTTCGAAAGTAAGGAAATTAAGATTTCATTTCTATAGGCAGAGACAGAGGAGATTTTAGCAGAATTACCTTATTCATACAAGGTTGGCACACATAGCAATTTGCTTATAGGCAGTGTTTCTTTCTGGGAAGGGTACACTTGACACACTCTTACAGAGGGTGTAATAACCATGGGTTTTCTGTCATCTGGTCTAGGCAAAGCAGGACAACAAAGGAGAAATTAATCTAAGAGTCATTAATTAAGAAGGCAGGAGGTTTTGTTCCTGATGTTTAATTCTCTCTAGCCATTGAACCGAACGAGAAAAATAAGAAAGCAAGTTAATCTATAAAACAAGAACAGAGATTGTAACCATATTTGACTCAGATCACAGTCATATCTCTCTCAAGGCTTAAAGTATTTGGTGTTTAATTCTCTCCAGCCAATGAACTAAACAAGAAAAATAAGAAAGCGAGTTAATCTATAATCTAAGAGCAGAGATGGTAACAATATTTAACTCAGATCACAGTCATATCTCTCTCAAGGCTGAAAGTGTTTGGGGGATTCCAATAGCTCTTAAATTTTATTTATTTTCATATCTAGCAGCCCTGGGCCACCTACCTCCATCCTAATACCCACAAAAATAAATAAATAAAGTAATGTCTACCTTGTTTAAGGCATTATGAGGTGCATCTTTGTACAGAAGAGCCTGTTCACTAAATTAATTTCCATATGCCTCAGTTTCCTCATAGTAAAATGGGGATAATAACACCAACATCATAAGAGGTTCAACCAAATAACTGTCTAATTACTTGCTTAGAACTAAAGCTCTTTTATGGAGAAAAAATCAAACAAACAAAACATTGCACGATACCGTACTGGAGAACATTGGGGAAAGGAAAATCTTTTAAAAAGTGTTTTAAATCAAACATTAATTGATTTCCATGTGGAAAAAAATGTAAACTTGACTGCTGCCTCATGTCATGCACAAAAATTAATTCCAAATTGATTACTGATATAAAGTTAAAAAGTAAAAAGTACAGAAGATAATATAGGAGAATATCTTCACACCTGTAGAATTGTGAAATAGTTCCTAACAGGACACACACCACTTTGGAAAACTGTTCAACAATATCTGTTATCTAGAACATTTGTGTACCCTCTGATCTAATAATTTCACTCCTAGATAGAAACCCAACAAAAACATATGTGTGTGTATTCAGACAGGTAAAAGAATATTCATAGCTACATTATTTGCAGCAGCCAAAAACAGTAAACAATTCAAAGATCCATCAATAGAAGCATGGAATGAGCAAATTGTGGTATATTCATGCAGTTGAATGCTATAGAGCAGTAAAAACAAATAAATGAACTACATTACAGCTACTTACAACCATATGAAAGAATATAACCATAACAATGATGAGTGGACAAAAGCTAAGTGTGAAAGAATGCATAGTGCTACAGCAGCCAACATTTACAGCAGCTGAGAGACAATATTATGGCCCCGTGACACAAATCTGGGCAGGCACCACAGCATTTATGACAATTCACCCCTTGCATTGCTCAGATCCACTTGCTTCTCACATTAAATTTGCTCCATCCAGATACAGTTTCTTCTGAATTCTGCTGTCACAATTCCTGGAGCCATAAATAAAAAGAGGGATAGTGGGACAAACCACAGCCCCCACTTATGCATTTGGTCCCAAGATTGTATAGCTGATCCTCATCATCTCCCTATTCTACCACCCATTCTAGAACCCTTCATTCTAGGCTGGCCCTTCTGGGTTGCCTGGTAGAATGGCTAGACCCTCACCAAGGAATATGAGGTCCTGAGGGTTACCATGCTCTTATTGGACTGTGTTTGCTGTTCTTTTTGACTTACAGTTAAACCTGGGTATGAGAATACCAAGAGAGGATGCATCAACCTGAGTGCCAAATATTTACCTGCATCATGATTATTTTGCAGTAGCCCTCTCATGCCATGAAGATCAGGGCCAGCTACCCCTGTCTGTATGATAACTCTTTTATTTGCCTACAAGTTAACTGGCATAAGGAATCTAAAGTGACTTGGTAACAGCTGTAGCTTAAAGTTTAGTGGGACTCATTTTCTCCCCTCTAGGACCCAGGATCTCTAGACCTACAGACACTGAAGTTATAGAAATGGGAAGCATACAGTGGATTACTGAGGCCACTCTTACTTTCAGCCTTTGATTTTTGGGCCCATATATTCTATCTATTGGAGACACAACCATATAGCGACCATTGGTTTAAGGAGAATAGTGCATCCTGGAGGATAACACCCAATGTTACAAGGTATCCTCTCCTTTAAGAGCATGTCATCACTCCATCAGGGTGGAGTATGTCATAGGAACAGTGAATCCAGTAGTCATGTTTTCTCTGATAACGTTTCCTATAAAATGGGACCCTTGGTTTGAGGCAGTGGTATGCAGGATCTTATTTCAGTAGATCACACGTCAGTGAGTCCACAGAGAATGGTGCTGGATGAAGCCCTGCAGACAGTAAGGGCAAACCTGCGTTCAGAAAACAGGTTAATCCTAGTCGGGTAGATGCCGTCAACTTACCATCAAGTGGCAGGTAGTTCCTATCGAGAAATGACATTGTATCATGGGCACAGTGTCAATCTCTGTTACCGATAGGTTGGACATTCAGCAGGCCGAATGTCTGCCAGCCTTGGTGAGAAAGGCTTGCATTAGTTTCCTGTTTTTGCTGTAACAAATTACCACATACTTTGTGGCTAAAAACAATATAAATTTATCAACAGACCATTCTGGAGGTCAGAAATCAGTTTCACTGGTCTAAAATCCAGGGACAGCCAACTTGCATTCCTTCCAGAGGCTCTAGAGAAGGATCTATTTCCTTTCCTTTATAGCTTCTAGAGGCCTCCTGCATTTCTTGGTTCATGGCCCCTTTCTCCATCTTTAGGCCAGCAGTGTAGCATCTTCAATTCTCCTCCCTCTCTGTTTATAACCCCTGCTTCCATCATCACTTCTTCCTTGACTTGGACCTTTCTGCCTCCCTTTTGTAAGGGCTCTTGTCATTACATCAGGCTTACCCAGATAATCCAGGATAATTTTCCTGTCTCAAGATCCTTAACATAATCAAATCTACAAAGCTCCTTTTGCCATGTAAAATGACCCACTTACAGGTTCAAGGGATTAGGATGTGAACATCTTTGGAGGAGTCATTATTCTGTCTACCACAAATCAATGCTGTTGGGCCCAATCATAGCCTCATCCCTCCCAGGAGCTGTTTTTTGAATGGTTTAGAATTTTCTGCTGCAGATTGCATGGCCTCGCTTCAAAACCCTAAGGGTCTCTGCTGTGATTCTCTTACAGGAGTTTTCCAGAGTCTCCATTAGCATCCTCAAATACCCAGATACCTCTAGTACCATGGCCTCTGCCAGATATAACCCAAGTGACAGGGCTGCTAATCCTGTACCCTAAACCTGCTGCAGGGCTGCTCCTTGCTCTGGGACCCACTTAAAACTAACATTCTTAACATCATCTGATACACGGGTCAGAACTCCATCCCTAAGGAAGATGATAAGAATCAGCTATATCGTCTTGGGACCAACTGCATCCCAAGTGGAAATAAGCTGCCTCAAACCCTGAAGGGTCTGACCAAGCTTCATAGTTCTTCCTTAATGATAGGAAATTTAAGGCACAATAACTTGTTTTCATTTTGGAGGGGATGTCCCAGCATCCCCAAGACCATGGGACCCCTAAAAACATTACCAATGTAGTAGGTCCCTTAATCTTTGCAAGGGTTATTTCCCATCCCCTGGAGTTCATGTGTTTTACCATGGCATTCACAGTACTTCGTGGTCACCAAGTCCAGTTAACATGATGCCACCAACTTAGTGGATAGAGGCGATGTTCCCTAGAAAGAACCCTCAAATTAATAGGCTCAGACTGTGCTGTCATGAGGCATGGTGAGGTTTTCTACAGAGAGAAAAGCCTGGCTCCAAAAGATCATCTGAGGACACGGAGTTATGCTATGTCTCAGGTACTCAACCGCTCAGTGATTAAAAAGTATATTATGAAAACATAGTGTGCTGTGGACATGTGAGGTCTACTGGAGATGGAGAAGCTGGGTTCCAAAAAGTCATCTGAGGACATGGAGTTTGGCTATACCCCAGGTATACATCTGCTGAGTAATAATATTATACAATGAGAACATAGAGTGCTTTTTTCATTGTTAGATAAAAGCCCATAATGTTGTGGCATAATTTGTAATAGTACACATGTACTTTCCTGTTGATAAAACTTAGCCTGGGCTTTTAAAGGTTTCCTCCCCATCTCTTCCCCGAAAACCTCTGCTAGTGACACGTAAAGATAGTTGATTTGTTTCTGGGAAGATAAAATTAGCAATTCTTACTGGGAACCTGTAATATCTCTAGAATCCTGATCCTCTTAAAACTTCTTGCATCTTTTTCTGTAATAATTTTTATTATAATTACAATTAGTAGAGATCTTTGGAATTGTCTTAAACTCTCATAACACACATACCTGTGGCTGTATTAATCAGTTACAGTAAAGGTACCACATTCAGCAAAGCAGCTACTATTGGAGCTTCTTGGGTAAGCTTGTGGCAGTCAGCTCACTGCATCTGCCATGGTTTGTGCAGTTTGTGAAGAACCCAAACTGGTGAATTAAATAGGGATATGATAAGAATCAACATCCATGAATTTCTTCCATTATCCTTGATATGTAATGTTTTTGATTAACTATCTTGATGAGGCTGGAAGGTTTGAGAAACTACCACTAGGCCTTTTCTACTACAATAGCTCTTCCTCTATAGGTCAACAAATCAATGTGATAGTACTGCCAATTGCTAAGTATATCCATTTCAGTTATATATTTCATAGCAGAAGAAATAATTACTAGGTGGGTCCATGGATGCCACTGACACACTGTGAGGCCAATCTTGGTCAGGACTCCACTTGTTCTTCCTCTAACAGATGTTGGGCCCCTGAATATTAGTGTCGGCTTAGAACCTTTATCCAAAGCACTTGAAAGAGTAGAGTATCCCCCTTTTCCCATCATTTGGTGTCCTGAATAAATGGCCATAGGGCCATTTGGGGAAGGACTAGGGGAATCATTACTGCACAAACTTTGCAAGAGGAAAGTTTGCAGAGACCATCTTAATGGACATGTATCCCCCCAGTCAGTAGATGAGGAGAGAAAACCGGCTCATATCTGGAAACTGGATAAGAGATTGTGATGTCAGCCTTCTGCTCATCATTTTTGCTCCCTTCAAATTATATTTTAAGTAAACCTTTGCCATTTATCTTACTTATAGGAATACATGATGACCATTATCAGCCATCTCCAAAGATCCCTGCAGGTTTACCTCTCTTCCTTCTATTCTGATCCTGCTGCCCATTACAGCAATTATGCCCACCTTGCTTCTGATGATTAGATGATTCCCCCTGGCTTTTGTTAATCCAGGATCCTACCATCTCCATTGCTAGTAGGATCCCAGTTCAATAACGGCTTCTTCTACTATCAGCCCTGTCCTACACAGGATGGACACCACAAAACTCGTTATTAATACTGCTACTCCCTCACTAGGACATTCCTTATTGTCTTGGAAAATAAAGTGTCCTCTGCATCCTCCCAAGGAACAGAGTCAGCTGGTGGGTTTTCCAGTCTCATAGTAGATCTATGCCAGTATGTTTACTTCTCTGAGTCTTCTAATCCCTTCCTCTATATTCTGCATGGTCATTCTTGTATCACAGCTTTATTTAATGTGGCCCATCATTTTTTTCAAGCTTCCAAGTGCCCTAACTGCTGTTTAAACCATCTTCCAGGACCCTTACGAAAGTGTGAAATCTTATGTCACAGAAGAGTGTTTCTTATTCAGTTTTATATTTTGTCACCCCTTGATCCAGCACCCTTAGGATCCACGTTCTTCTGGTTTCTGCTGGTACACATAAGTCAGCTCCTTTGGTGTATAATTCATCACCTCCTTTCATAAGCCTAGCATATGTCCATTGTAGATCTCACCTTAGTTACTGGTCTGGCAGCCAGAAAAGGAAACACAGGCAGATCCTGTTTCCTTCCTATGAGGAAGACCTGCATTGTCTTGTAAGGCCCCAGTGTCATTTGAGGTGTCTGCATTGTCTTCAAAATGGAGGGTGGTGGCTCTATTTTCCACAAGGTGGAATGAGCCATTTCTGCAGGCTCGGAGGGTTCTGGAGAATCTGGGCAATTTAACAGACTCAAGGGAAAATATTTAGAAGTTCCCTTTCCAGAGCTCCATCTCTATGGGGACCCTAACTCTAGTATTGCGAATTCAGACTGCTTTGAAATTCTGCCCCTCTTAAAACTAAATCTAGTGTGTCTAGTCTTCAGGTATGTCTGCCCTCCAGCTACAGAAGATGAGGTTCTCTTTATGTTCTTCCCAAAAGGCCCACTCACTCTCACAGTTTGCTTTAGATTGTTGACTGATTGCCCAGAGCCTATTTTCCCTCATCAGTGACCATCCCCTTCCACAGCCCTCCTAATTGTTAGTCCTCCTATGCTAGAGCCAGTGCATCCCCTCCTACCTATATCCTGTCCAAATTGCAACAGGATAGGTGAATGCCTTAGAAATTACACTGCTAGAACATGCCAAAGCTCAGCATTGGGATTATTCCCCAGACAGATGGCAGTGAGGTTCCTAGCCTGCTATTAGGTCCCTGCTATCAGGCTAGGAACCTCACTGCCATCTGTCTGGTGAGTAATCCTATCCTTAGAAGCAGCCTCCTAGGACCATTCTGGTACCCAATGTCTTAGGCTTGGTTTCATAGAAGCAGATCCTAAGATAAGGATTTGTATGCATGTATTAGTATATTTTTGAAGGAATACTCTTCTCCTTGCTCAGCTCTTTCCTCTTTTCCTATCTTAGAGGAAAGAGCTGAGCAAGGACATTGTCTTAGGTAAAATCTAGGCTTAGCCTGATCCACTGTTAGGGGTGGAAGGAACAGGGTCTGGGGCATAAACTTCATTGTCTAATTGCACCCCTTTGAGGCAAAGAAGCCAGCTTTTGACCCTCATGCTTGTGGGGCATTGGCTGTGGACCATCTGGCAAGGGAGCTGTGCAGAATAACCTCTTGAGGAAAGATGGCATATCAGCAGAGGGCAGTTCTCAGGAGAGGGGCGGTGGGCTGTGAAGTGGCATCTGGAAGGTGCACTAGCGCAGGAGGGGGGATCTGGGCAAGACACCAACTGCATCTTCTACAATAGCTTTTAATTGAGGTCTTATATAATTATCTTATCTAAAATAGGAGGCCGAGCATTCCAGCGCCCTTCCTTGATTTATTTTCCTCCAGAGAGCTTATCCGCTTCTTACATATGACAGAATTTGTTTATAATCATGTCTCCCCCTACTAAAATATAAGTTCCATGAGGACAGGGTTTATTGTCTGTTTTTAATCACTGCTAGATCCCCAGTGCCCAGAAGACTGCCTGGCACACAGTCATCTCTGAAGAAACATTTTGAGTGAATATGTTGTTGATATTACTGTCTGATCGTCTGACATGTCAAACATATAGATCTCTTTTGAATCAACAAAACCATCATTCTCTACTCTGGGCTTTCATCAGAGTATTTTGCTCTCAAATTAGCAACTACCATTTTCCTATCAAAAGTGAGGTTGAGAATGCCCAAGAGACTAACTATGCTTTCTTCTTAGTTTCTAAATTCTGTCTTCATCACTATATATTGGCAGAAAATAATCCAAGATCCATAAATTAAAATAGATGCCAGAAAATACCACTATTGAGTTATAAGTTTACAGTGCTCGGCCTCAGCTGTTACCCTTTGACTCTGCAAGATAAACTTTCCTATGAAGAAATTCTTCCACAAAACTCCACATGGTGAAAGTCTATATTATTTTTAATGCAGGAAACTGTAACATGGTGGAGAGTGCTCTCAGTTTGGCTTCATAGATATGAGGTATTATTCTAGCTTACACATAACTGCAGAAGTCAACTTATCTCTCATTCTATGTGATCCTGGGTCACTATGCCTGTGATCTTGGGTCACTATGCCTTTAAACTTCCTGTTTAAAGTGAAATAATATGCCTAAGGAAAAGCTATCACAAACCCATCTACTGCACTAGGTATCTAAGAAGGAAGAGAGAAAAAGAAGAAACTACATCACGTAGAAAATTTTCCCATGGAGAATTTGTTTCCATTCAATTTTCTTTTTTTTGAGGTAGGGTCTCACTCTGTTGCCTAAGTTGAAATGCAGTGGTGTGATGACAGCTCACTATAACCTCTACGTCCCCAGGCTCAAGTGATCCTCCTACCTCAGTCTCCTGAGTTGCTGGGACTATGGGCACATGCCACCATGCCAGGTAATTTTTTTTTTGCTGTTTTTTTTTTTTTGTAAAGAAGGGGTTTTGCCATGTTGCCCAGGCTGGTCTTGAACTCCTGGGCTCAAGAGATCTGCCTGCCTTGACCTCCCAAAGTGCTGGGACTATAGGTGTGAGCCACTGCACCTGGCTGCATTCAGTTCTTTTTTTTTTTTTTTTTTTTTAAGAAATCCCCTTAACTCTCCTACTAAAATTCCATCTCTTAACGCAGTACACTGTCTATCTCTAGGGATTCCATTCTGTCACTTATCTATATCAGAACCCATCCTCCATATAGGTGAAGAGAGGAGTACTCACCCCAAGTGAGAGAGGTGAAGTGTGGGGCCAGCATTCACATTGCCCCCAAATGTTCAGAAACCTGACTGTGGCACCTGATCCAGGCTTGCCTCTTCCACCTCCTTCAGCAACCCACTCTACTTAAAAATAACCCTCTTCCCATCCCCAATTCAGAAATCAACTTCTTTTGTGTTTTCTTTTCTCAGATTTAGAAAAGATTTCTACAAATTCATTAGAACATTGGTATCATTGCACATTTCTTTCAAATTTTGATCAAGATGAAATTTTTATTTTTGCTACATATTGCTATGGTGAGTCTCTCACTGAGCTGAGCCAATTGTATGACTTGTTACAGAGCAAGATATCATCTTCTATTGAGAGATAAAAGGCTTAGAAAACATCAAACTGATGCAAAAGAAAGATTATGCACTTACTGGACATATAGTAGCTTTGCTTCATGAGTATATAGGAGAGAGTGGTCATGGCACTGAATAGTTCTTCTAAAAATTGGCACAATGTTAAAGGACAGCTGGGTGGATAGTTTAAAACCTATTATGCCACAAAATTCTAATGTCAGAACCTATTCTGTGCTCCTCATACATTTACCCAAAGATGAAGCCATAAGTTAAATGACAATCAGCTTTAACCAGCTCATTCTTAACTAGGAACAAACAAACAAGGATCACTAGATATTTGAGGAGAGTCTACAACTTGAAAGAGAAAGACTATCAAAAAAGCAAATCAGAAACACTGACACTGGAGAAAATATAGTTCTAATTATACTCTAGTACATTTGGAAAGATATTGCATCCTCAACAAACAAGATAGAGTATTCTTAGAAAAACAACAACAGAATAAAAAAAAAGAGCTAATGAAAATTCAAAACAATCACCAAGATATTCAAAAGGATTGTTGAACAAAACACTAGTGAGTAAAATACAACCAGATAGATAGATAGATAGATGATAGATAGATAGATGATAGATAGATAGATAGATAGATAGATAGATAGATAGATAGATAGATAGGTAGACAGACAGACGACAATACAGCCAGACCAACAGGAGGATTATGCCAGGAATGCACGACTGGTTCAACTTTCAAGAATCAATGTCATTCCCTATATCAAGAAACCAAGGAGAAAATCATCTGATAATCTCAATAGGTGGGGGGAAGCATGTGATAAAATTCAATATCCATTCACGATTTTTTTTAATGAACAAGCTAGGAATTAAATTTGAATTCCCAGCAACTAGGAGTTAAAGGAAACTTCCAAAAAAGTATAAGGTGCATCTACAAAAAGCCTATAGGTAATATAACACTTGATGGTGAAAGACTGAATACTTTCTCTCTAAGAAGAGAAACAGGTAGCTATGTCCACTTTTACCATTCCTATTAAAATTTTACTGGAGCTATCATATAAGATAGAAAATAGCACAGCTGGCTAGGATGTAAAGAAATTGAAGCTCTAGTGTACTGCAGGTAGGAAAGCAAAATAATGTAGCTGCTTCAGAAAACAGTTTGGCAGTTCCTCAAAAGATAAACATAGAGTTGCCGTATGACTCAGCAAATTCCCCCTAGGAATATACCCAAGATAAATGAAAACATATGTCCATACAAAACTCTGTGCACAACCATTTGTAGCAGTATTATTTACAATAGCCAAAAATTAGAAAAAAACAAATGTCAAGAAGCTGATGAATGGAGAAATAACATGTGGTATACCTATACAACAAAATAATAATGGCAATAAAAAGGATTGAAGTGTTGATATATGCTACAACATAAATAAACCCAAAAATATTATGCTAAGTGAAAGAACTCAGCCACATATTATATTATTCAAATTATGTGAAATATCCAGAATAAGCAAATTGTAGAGACAGAAGGTAGATTGCTAGTTGCCTAGTATAGGGGGTAGGGAGGTTGCAGGGGAAATGGGAATTGAAGGTTAGTGAGTATAAGGTTTCTTTAAGAGTGATGAAAATGTTATAAAATGGATTATGGTGATGGTTGCACAACTCTGTGAATATACTAAAAACCACTGAATTGATAAATCATATAGTATGTGAATTCTCTCAATAAAGCTATTACATATACTTTTTAATGTATTGGTGCTCCTAGCTAGTGAAATAAAGCAAGAAAGGAAATTACAAGCAAACAGGTTGAAAAGGAAGAATTAAACTTCTCTACTTACAAATGATATAATTGTCTATGTGAAAGATCCCAAAGAATTTACAAAAAGGTACTACCTCTAATAAGTAAATTTAGCAAGGTCATAGGATACAAGGTCAATGTTTTTTAAATCAAGTATACGTCTACATACTAGAAATGAACAATTAGAAACTGAAATTTTAAAAAGTATCATTTGAAACAGCACCAAAAATTGAAATACTTAGATAAAATTCAACAAAATATGCATTAAGATCTATATCCTGAAAACTATAAAAACTGATCAAATTAATCAAAGATAAATTAAAGATAATTCATCATGATCAAGCTGGATTTATCTCAGGGATGCAAGGATGGTTCAATATATGCAAGTCAATCAATGTGATTATATCATATCATCAACAGAATTGAAATGATCAGCCATATGATTATTTCAATTGATACTGAGAAAGCATTCAATACAATTCAACAATGTGCCATGATAAAAAAGTAAAGACAAAATAAAAAACCTGGGTATACAAGGAACATACCTCAACACAATAAAAGCAGACCCACAGGGTCTGCAACACAATATAATAGACCCACAGTTAGTACCTTACTAAATGAGGAAAAACTGAAAGTCCTTCTAAGATATGGAACACAACAAGGATGCCCACTTTCGTAACTGTCATCCATGTAGTACTGGAAGTACTAGCTAAAACAGTCAGACAAGAGAAAGAAATAAAGGGCAACCAATTAAAACAGAAAAAGTCAAATTCTTCTTGTTTGCAGATGATATAATCTTGTATTTGGAAAAACCTAAAGACTCCACCAAAAAACTATTAGAATTGATAAACAAATTCAGTAAAGTTGCAGGATACAATATTAACATACAAAAATCAGTAGCATTTCTATATACCAACAGCAAACAATCTGAAAAAGAAATCAAGAATGTAATCCCATTTACAACAGCTACAAATAAAATAAAATACCTAGGAATAAACTTAGCCAAAGAAGTGAAAGATCTCTACAACGAAAACTATAAAACATTAATGAAAGAAGTTGAAGAGGACACACACAAAAATGGAAAGATATTCCATGTTTATGGATCAGAAGAATCAATATTGTTAAAATGTCTATATTACCCAAAGCATCCAAAATCCTAGCAGGATGTTTTGTAGAAATTGACAAACCTAATTCCAAATTCATATGGAAAAGAAAAGAAACTGGAATAGCCAAAACTATTTGAAAAAGAACAAAATTGGAGAACCGTATTACCGGAATCAAGACATAATATACAGCTACTACAATAATAAAAACAGGGTAATATTGGCAAAAGGATAGTCACACAGATCAATGCAACAGAATAGAGAATCCAGTCATAGACACACACATACATGGCATTAAGTGATTTTCTACCAAGGTGCCAAGGCAACTTAATGGAAAGTTTGGTTTTTTCAACAACTGGTGCTGGAACAATTGATCATCCATATGCAAAAAATGAATCTTGACCAATACCTTGCATCACACTAAAAAATTAACTCAAAACTTGCAACACAAATGTAAAATCTAAAGCTACAAAAACTTCTAAGAAAAAAATATAGAAAGATATTTATAATGAATTAGACAAAGATTTCTTAGATACACACAAAAAACACAAATCAAAAAAGAAACATTGATACAATGGATTAAGCTGGGTGTGGTGGCTCATGCCTGTAATACCAACACTTTGGGAGGCCGAGGCAGATGGATCACTTGAGGTCAGGAGTTCAAGACCAGCCCGGCCAACATGGTGAAGCCCCATCTTTACTAAAAATACAAAAAATTAGCCAGGCATGGTGGCACATACCTGTAATCCCAGCTACTCAGGAGGCTGAGGCAAGAGAACTACTTGAGCCCAGGAGGTGGAGGTTGCAGTAAGCTGAGATCATGCCACTGCACTCCAGCCTGGGCAACAGAGTGAGACCCTGAAAAAAAAAAAAAGAGAAAGATACAATGGATTAAACACTTCTTTTTAAAGGTATTAACTTTAAAAAAGTAAAAGTTAGCCACAGACTGGGAGAAAATGTTTGTAAAATACATACCTGATGAAACATTGATATCCAGAATATATAAAAAGTGCTTGAATCTCAATAAAAAGAAAACAAACAAACTGATAAAAATTATAGGCAAAAGATTGAAAAACTATTTCAGCAAAGAGGATCTACAGATGCCTAATGAGCATATTAAGGAAATGCAAACTAAAACCACAATGAAATAATTATATACACCTATCAGGATGAAGGGGTGGGAATAGCCCTCAGAAATGACTCCCTAAAGAAGGCTGCATTCTATAGTACAGAGCATTAGACTCTAAGTCAAAAGTTCTGGGTTTCACCTCCAGCTACACCCATCGTGTAGCACGGAGTCACGGACCCCTGTCCATAGTTTCTTTATCAGCCCTGCAGAGATAATAACATTCGTCCTACTGATCTTCCAAGCTATTATGAAACCTCCATAAGTAGTAAAATTCTATACAAACTTAAAGAACCACAGATAAGAGAACTTCATGAACTGTTTGGAAAAGTATTACCATTCTAAAGGATATTTGGATAGCTTCACCACATACAGTCATCCCTTGGCATCCACCAGGGATTGGTTCCCTGCGCCACCACCAACCCCCACCACCCCCACAGATACTAAGCCTGCAGATGCTTAAGTCCCTTACATAAAATGCTGTAGTATAGTATTTGCAAATAACCTGTGCAATCTTCCCATATATTTTAAATCAACCCTAGATTACTTATAATACCTAACACAATGTAAATGTTATGTAAATAGTTGTTATACTATATTGTTTTATCTGTTATTTTTATTATTGTATTTGTATTTTTTATTGTTTCCTTCTGAATATTTTTAAGCCACAGTTGGTTGACTTCATGGATGTGGAACCCTCAGATACCATGGGTCAACTATACTTTGTGCATATGATCCATGACTGAGAGATGCCTGCTTTCGAGCAGCTCACCATGCAAGGGGCAGACAAACTCTAAAAAGAATAATGTGTTCCTAACAATAAGCAGCCGTTTAAATACTTAGTCAACCTGTCTACTGGGGGGAAACAAGCTACTTTCCAACTCCAGGCATGAGTGTTAGATATTCTTCTGCTCCACCAGCTCTATCTCTAATCTTCTCCAACTTGCTCTGTGCCCCAGGAGGATTAGCCATGTGAATTCCATCAGTGGGCTCCCTTGCCCTTTGGCTTCCAAATGTGTCTGTCAAAGGGGAGCCTGACAGGAGGGAGGAGGGAGGAGAAAGACAATGAAATCAGGACATGTGTCACACTGACTGTCTCCCTGCAGGGTCACAGTGGGCTGACTACATGCAGTGATCGAATGTCTCGACTCTTGGCAGATGGTCCTCCCCATGCAACCCTCTCTCTAGGTTCTGCTCCCTAAGAGTTGTAAAGGCATCCCATTGTTAATATTCTTGGAGGGCCACACTATCTCTTGTGGTTTCCTTATATCCTGTCCACACTTTTTACATTTTTTTTAAATTAAACTCTCTTCACACCACTTGTCTGTTTCCTACAGATACACAGCCACCTTGTGTCTTATATCCTAGGGTGGATACCAAGGCTCTCATGCTAAAGGCAGCACAAAACATTCATTCATTAAACAGCTGTTCACTAAGAGCTGCCTTTGTGTCAAGTCCTAGGGAAGACAGCAGTAAACAATATAAATAAATATTCTTCCCTCTACTCTGCAGTGGGTGATTAGAGAAGGCTTCTTGAGGAGACAACATGGAGGCAGAATCCAGGACAATGTGAAAGAGCCAGACATATGAAGATGTCTAGAAAGAACTTTTTAGGAAGAGGGACAAAAGATGTAATGACTGAGGAAGAAACAATGACCGAGGGAGAAACAAGCTTGGCCTTATGGGGGATACACATAAATCCATGTGGCTGAAGCAGAGTGAATGAAAAGGAGACTGGTAGGAATGGTAGCAAATGTGAGACTTTGTAGGTCATGTTAAGGAGTGTGGATTTGATTCCAAGTGTTATGGGAAGCCCTTAGGAGAGGGCACGGGGGAGCTTAGGTGTAGCATGATCTGATTTATATTTTAAAGATTTATTGGCTGCTGTGTGGGAGCAGACTGTAGAGCAAAAGTGGAAGCAGAGTTAAGACAGTGTTAAAATAGCCGAGATAAGAGAGGATGATGGCATGGATGAGACTGGTAACAATGGGATATGAGGAGAAGTGGTAATAGAAAGTAATCTAAACTTGTTTGTGAGCTGGATATAAAGTGATGGAAAAAAGGAACAAAGGATGCTACTAAAAAAGTTTGATCTCAGTGACTCAGATGCCATTTACTAAGATGTGGAAAACTTGCAGGTTGCAAGTTGTGGGATGGCATGGTTGTGGAGAAATGAGAACTTGTGTGCCTATGTGAAACCCAAATTGAGATGTTAGAGAGGCAAGGAGATATGAGCTTCGCTCTTAGAAAAGAGATGAGAGTTCAAGAAACATCTGTGTGAACTACCCACACATGGAAATGGATGAGAATCCCCTGAGAAACAATGTGGCTGGAGAAGATTAGCGGCAGGCCCTGAGCCAGAGCATCACCTGGGGTTTAAAGCTTGGGGAAAAGAGGGGCTAGCAAAGAAGTCTGAGAAGAAGCACTCATAAGAAAGAAAGATGATAGTGATGCTCTAGCCTAGTGAAAGGGCGTTCAAGAAAAATCAACTGTGCTAAATGTTGCTGAAAAGTGAAATAAGTCAAAGCTTAAAATGAAGTCACTGGGGCCGGGCGCAGTGGTTCACACCTGTAATCCCAGCACTTTTGGGGGCCAAGGCTGGTGGATCACATGAGGTTGGGAGTTCAAGACCAGCTTGGCCAACATGGCGAAAACCCATCTCTACTAAAAATACAAAAATTAGCCGGGTGTGGTGGCACACGCCCATAATCCCAGCTACTCTGGAGGCTGAGGCAGGAGAATTGCTTGAGCCCAGGAGGCAGAGGTTGCAGTAAGCCAAGATCACACCACTGCACTCCAGCCTGGACAACAGAGCAAGACTCCGTCTCTAAAAGAAAAAAAAAGAAGTCATTGAGTTTGCCAACATGTAGGTTGCTGATGATTTTAATGTTGAATGACAGAGACAAATGTAAGTTAATGGGAAAATTGGAGGTTATGGGATGTAGATAGCCACTATTAGACAACTACTGGAAGGAGTTTTGGTGTAAGGGGGAGCAGCTGGAGAAAAAGGTGGAGCCAAGAAAGAAGGATTATTAAGACAATAGAGTATATTTGTATGCTGATGGGACTTATCTAGCCAGGAGAGAAATATTGATCATGTAGGAAGGAGGGGAGCTCGTTGAAGGAATGAAGTTTTGAGAAGGTGAGAGAGAGTGTAGGATCCACTTTATAAGTAGAGGACTTGCCCTTAGGTAGGGACTCAAACAGGAATTTTAAATTCCTGTTTCTAAATGCCACCAGTATATTAAAATCCCTTGAGATTTTTTTTGAAAGAAAAAAATAGATGTCCCACAGTAGATTAATTAATTCAGAATCTCTAGAAGTGGGATTTTGGCATCAGCATTTTAAAAATTCTACATATAGCTCGTGTTGATAATCACTGATGCATTGAAATGGGAGTGAAGTCAGGTTGTGTGAATACAAATACAGGTAGTCTGATCTACTTGGTGATGGAAGAATGAGGCAGTTCTCCTCTGATTGCTTCTATTTTCTCAATGAAATAAGAAACAAAGTCAGAGCTGAGAGGGTGCTGTTGATTTGAAGAGAGAGAGTTAGGGCATGAAATAATTTTTGGAAGTAGGAAAGTAAATTTACTCATGAAATATAATACAATTGCAAGGATTTGCAGAGGGCCCACTTGAGACTTCTGGGGAAAAATGTAATATGAGACTAAATTAGCACAGCTGTGTTTCTTCTCTAGCCACATCCATCCGGGTACAGAAGGAGTAGGTGGAGATGTTCTTTTGTGACATTTGAAGCAGTTGCCACCACTTGACTCCTGACTGAAGTTACAAAGTGGAGGCGGCTGCCTTTGGAAATTTCCTACCTCCCGCCTGCTTCCTCAAACTACTCCAGGCTGACCTAACCCTATCAGTATGATCTAAAAAGAGGAGCTAGTAAACCTAAATGGAATTCTAATTGGTAGAAGAGTTGAAGGAAAGGAAAGGAGATTTTAACAGTACCTTACTGAGCCATAATTTACATGAAGTACAAAATGTACAAATCTTATTGCTTAACAATTTTGCAATTTCTATACACCAACATGTGATCACCACTAAATCAAGATATAAAAACTTTTTTTTTTTTTGAGAGAGAGAGAGAGAGAGAGAGTCTCACTGTCACCTAGGCTGGAGTACAGTGGCACGATCTCGGCTCACTACAACCTCTGCCTCCCGAGTTCAAGCAGTTCTCATGCCTCAGCTTCCCGAATAGCTGGGATTACAGGCATGCATCATAGGCCAGGCTAATTTTTGTATTTTTAGTAGAGATGAAGTTTTGCCATGTTGGCCAGACTGGTCTCAAACTCCTGACCTCAAGTGATCTGCCCGCCTCAGCCTCCCAAAATGCTGAGATTACAGGCATGAGCCACTGTACCCGGCCAATATATAAAAACTTCGATCTCATTCTATGAAGTTCTCCTCGTAACCCTATAAAGTCAACATTCCCCTACAAAAGTTAAACAATATCGTGATTTCTGTGCCCACAGATTAATTGTGCTTGTTCTTTAACTTCGTGTCAATGGCACCATACAATATGAACTCTTGTGTCTGACTTCTTCTGCGTAAGGTTTTTGAGAATAATCTACATTGTTTCATGCACCAGTAGTTTGTCCTTTTGTTACTATTGAGACTGCATTGTATAAATAGACCACAGTTGTTTATCCATTGTCCAGTTGATGGATATTTGTATGTTTCCAGGTTTTTGCTTTTATGAATAAGGTTGCTGTGAATGTTCTTTTTGTGGACATATGTACTCATTTCTTCTCGATATCTATCTAGAAGTAGAATATAATCTGAAATTTCCATGTTATAGAATAGGTATATATTTAATTTCATTGGAAATAATTTTCCACAGTTGTCTATTTTATACTCCAACAGCAATGTCAGAGCATGCCGGGTGCTCCACATCTTCACCAATAATTGATATTATTAGTCATTTTGGCTGACAAAATTGTAGTGGATGTGAGAAATAATATTTCTATTTTTGTCATTTTATTTTACTAGTCACTGACTTGAAGCTCAGAGAAATAATATTTCTGAAGAAGATATTCAGGAGTCACTTGTCCACTCTAGACATGGCACATCAGGTCAAAGTGCAACAACTCCACACAAGAAGGAAATGGATCTGAGAACCTTTATCCTGAAAGGCAAGCTGGTATGTCTTAGAAGGGTGGCAGTGAAAAAAGGACTCTGCACAGATTGAGTAGAACATGAGAGTTGGGGGGAAAGGCAGCCACATCTTCTGAAGCCTGTTAAAAATATATATTAAACGATACTTGTCAAAATATGGTATAGACTTTATTCAGGACCATCATGGTAGGTACAGGGACCACTGCAATGGGATCTTGCAGTGTGGGAGAGAGACTGGGCTCAACTCTGAAAACACCATGGGCAAGTGGGAATTTATAGCCAGGGAGCAAGGTGGGGGTCAGAGGATGGAAAATTACTGAGAGGAAGCATCAGGGGTAGGAGGGATTCTGGCTAAACCAATCTAACAGGATTCTTGCTGAAGACCAGCCAGGCTGATCAGACATCATCCAGAAGATGGTGGAGAATGATCAAGGATGATCAGAGGTCAAGGATGAAGGGTTATTGCTAAACTGACATAGCAAGTTCTTTGCTACACCTGGATTTTTACAAGGAAGTACACAGATGGGCCTAGGAAGAAGCTCAGAAGCCTGACTAAAGTTTGGCCAAGCAAAGAATCTTTGTAAAGTTCTAATGTGTGACACAAGGGATTGAGTTAGCTAAACAAAAGCACAACTCTTGACTTTTGTCTCCTCTCCTGTCCTCTCCTCCTCCCAACAAACATTCTCCCAACTCAGTATTGAATCCTTTGAATCCTTTGATTCTCTTATTTGATACTGCTTAGATTCCTTAGGAAGCACAGCTTATGGAGCCCAAGGAAGCCAGAGAATGATTTAAAAGGAGATTCCTCCAATTCCAGTCTTCTGAAGGTTACTTTCCCATCTCATTAGGTAGAAGGACACTGGCCAGCACTCATATTCCCAGAATGGGAGGCTATAAGCATGATTCTCTGATTTCTACCTTGAACTCAGAGACAGCCTGGAGTCAAAAAAAAGACCCTGACACAAGAGTTTCATTTGTTCATTCATTCATTCACATATAGATACATAGATGATACATACATGTGTGTTGAGCCCGGATGTCTGCGGTCTCTCTTTTGTGCCAGAGATTGCCTATTCCCTCTTCCTGGGCATCTCTCAGGCCTAAATCTGTTACTCTTCCTGTTGCTAAATCCCCAAGTGAGCGCAGGAAGCAGACAGGAAGTCATCTGCAAGAACTGACTTATAATGTCCCTTCCAGTCTTAACAGTTAATCACTCCAGAAGACCAGCCTCATTCATAAACATAGCTCTGTGACTGGTGCTAGTCATTTTTGATGTGATTCCTTATGACTGATTGACTAGTAGCTTTTTAATGAGGCCTTCAGACTCTATGCCAATGGTCTTAATTACTGTTGCTGATACATTTAAAACATAACACCACTGCTTTTGAAAAACAATTTAAAGTATACAAGTGTAGTTCACAATATGCCCTCAAGATGGCAGTACAATAATACCTTGTGCTTCACCGTATCTTCACATATTTTTAATTCTGCTAAATTATAAAACATGTTGAGGGGGAAACTTTATCATAAGAGATTGAAAAAAATGAATTTTTTGTTTTGTATTATTCTATTATTGCTACAGGAGCATGTCTGAAATAATAGCATCTCACATCTGCATTGTACTTTAAAGTATGAAAAACACCATCTCTCCCATTATTTCACTGAATCCTCACAAAAAATGAGTGTGATGATTATTTTCATTTTATGTAATAAAGTCCAAAGATTAATTATGAATGACATACATAAAACATTATGAGTTCATGTGCTCCAGTAAGCAGCATAACCAGTTTTCCAAAGACCAGAATTCTTTCCTGCAAAAAATTCTTATCTGCTTAGCAAAAAGCAAGTATCTACAGGTCCAATAACACTTTAAATATCACAGGTTATTGTGATCCAGTAGAGGTTTGGGGTTAAAATCATAGAATTTGGAGCTGAGGTTGTCTGATAAGTAGGGTGACCAACTTATCCTGGTTTGGCAACGACTTTGCCAGTTTTAGCTCTGAAAGCCACACGTCCTGGGAACACCCTCAGTCCCAAGCAAACCTGGACAGTTGGTGATGAGCTTCCTGAGTCACCTGTCCATTGGTTACCTGTTGATTGTCCAACAGCACTGTGAAAACTCCTCCAACTGGTGCCCAGCACACCACCTTACACTTAATACTAGCCAATAAATTTTTGTTAAATTCTAATTCAGCTTTGTGTTTTGCTCAGGAAAAAAAATCTTTTCTGCTGTTTCCTAGGTAAGACACAATCTTTGGACTCACTCTTGTTGATGCCAGACTCAATAGTTCAGCCATTTTGGTATCATTTTCTCATCTAGTGTCAGCGTGGTTCAAACTTCCATGAAGTTTTAGTATTCAGAGACGACTTTTTGAAAGGGGACAGCAAAGTACAGGAACTGAAAGATATTGTGCACAGAAGAGAAGAACCTTTCTCTGCTTGCCTCTACCTTAACATGGCGTAAGGCAAAACCAAGCTCTTTCATATTTCAGATACGTAAGCACTTCATCAACATTGAATATATATACACAAATGGTCAGTCTTTCCTTGCTTCACCCTTTAAACTCTCTTGGATATGTGAAGATTAACATGCCCCTAAGAACCTAAAAATAAAGTGGGATCTCAGAGTTGAGGTAGACAGGAGAGTGTATGTGTGAATGTGCTCACACACAAAGTAGATGGTATGTACACAAATGTGGGAAAACCACCCCAGACACAATTCCCTGGACATCATTGTGATTCTGCTGCCTTCTGTCCCACTCCAGAAAGCAAAGTCATTAAGCGCATTAGGAAAGCCAAAAGACTGAACGGAAAATACTTTGGGATAAAGACGCCAATGCCCTCCTTAAAAGAAAAAAAATCTTTGATACTTGTGACCTGTACAATGCTAGAAATTAAATTGTTATTCAATGTCAGAAATTAAATTGCACAATGCCAGAAATTAAATAACCAATAAATTGTTATTCCAAAAAGTGCTTTGATATTTGTACAGGTCACAAAAAATCTTTGATATTTGTGACCTGTACAATGCCAGAAATTAAATTGTTATTCAATGCCAGAAATTAAATTGCACAATGCCAGAAATTAAATAACCAATAAATTGTTATTCCAAAAAGTACACTGAACATGGGGTAGCATCTATGAAAAGTGAATGGCTATAAACTTTTAAAGTCATTGTACAAGTTCACTCAAACTACTTTCAAATGTGAAAAGTAAATGTAGCTTTCTTATTTTTCTAATCTTCACCCACCCTGACATATCTTAATCTCTTCAGTTTCAACCATTTCTTTTCAGTACAAATGGCCCTTTCAGCGACATGCTGCCCCTCAGATGTTCCTCCCCAGCCTCCTCACAAAGATGGCATCCCCACATAAATCCTGTGAGGAGATGGGTGTCAGACGTGACATGGCCTGTGGCTCTCTTACCAACGCGTTCCTTGCCTCATGTCACACTGCCACATCAGCAACTGGAGTCAATGGCTGATGATTTTTTGCGGCTTCCTCGTGTTCCTCTCTCCTGACGTGGCCCCACCGGGGCACTTCCCTCTGTGTAACCTCAAGTCTTGCTGTAAAGTCTGCTCCCTCCACAGGCAGTGAGCCCCACGTATCCAACTGTGTGGAGGGAGGGGACTAGGGAGAAAATGTCATGAAAATGAAGTTTTGAAAATATCAAGCTGATAGGGTGGGGTTTTTTTTCCTTTCTTCTCTCCAGTAAATTAAGTTCTCAGGCTGAGAGCCATTCTGTCATTATAGCCCCCAGAGAAGGATGGAGAGGAGTGAGAATACCCTTCAGGAAAGGATAGAATGGAGGAGAAGTTCTAACAAGCCAGGGGGAAGTGACAATTTGGCCTCTTTCAGACACTAGGAGATTATGGAGAAGAGAAGAGGACAGAAATACAGAAAGCAAGACTTCCAGTATTTGTTGTCTGACTTCTGACTTCTAGGCTATCAAAGAAGAGCAAGCTAGACAGTCTGAAGAGAAAGCTGCAGACTTTACAGAGCTACCCCCCTGCATCACACAATTCCAGGGGGGCACAATCATATGAATGGCCCTCTCAGCAGCTCCAGCCACTTCAGAGTAAACCTGGAAGGGTTATAAGGTCACATGGCATTGGGGCATTGCTAAGTCTTCCCGAGCTCCCGGGGATATGGAAAGTTGCTGTCGCTCCGTGTGGCATGTGGTAGGACACAAAGGGGTTAATGCTGCTGACTGATAGGTTTCTTGGGCTCATCCTACAGTGCGAGCCATGTCTACAGGGCAACTACCCAGAGTGAGAACCAAATGGGAGTTCACAGCCAGATGTCAGGGGGAAACGCCATATCCCTGACCGCTGAGGTGGGTCTGAATCAATGGACAATACCTCAGAGAAGACAAGACAAAGAGAAACTAGACCACAAGGTTGCCTGCTTCGTCAGTAAACTTCAGCAATGGGAGCCAGCAGGAGGAGCAGTGACAAGATGGAAGGGGGCCATTATTTTGGCAGAAGCCAGGGAGCACAAAGATCCACTCACAGATCACAGTCCCCTCTCCTTCCCGCCATTGCCTCAAGAACATAAGACCAGGACCCCAAGAGCCACCTTTGCCAGGGACAAGGCATTGGGCGAAGAACTGTGAACGATGAAACACTTACTGGAAAGTCAGAGACTAAAAGGAAACCATTGAAATCAGAATAGAATGATAAATCCTTACTTGCAGTTCTCCTGGCCCACACTACCCAAGAGAGTAGGAGTCAGGGAGGGGATGCATATAAGAAAAATTAGATTAATTGTCAACCACATTTTCTTTGCACTTTTATTGATAGAATAAGTTAATATGCCATTCTGCTGTAATAGTTTATAGAAAAAGTTTTTACTCTATTGATAATTCAGCAAATAGGTCCTTTAATAAATTACTCAATCAGCTAATTGCTAGTCCATAAATCACTATTTGGCAAACTGGTGCTCTGCAAATTGGTTTTCCAGCAAACAAATCTTTTGATAAACTGCTTTTTAGTAAATTGATCTGTTTCAGCCTACAGGGAAGAAAATACAGAGAATCCTCACTCCCATGATGTTTATTTTTACTCTGTATGGTCTTAGCAACTCAAAGTTTGCACTATCTGAAAGCACTTTAAAATATATTTATATTGCTTTCATATCAGCATCTGCAGCTTCACCATTATGGTATAAACATAAAATCTAATGAATTGTGCATGACTAGTCACAAATCTGGTGTGAGTGGCTCTCCAAATACAGTTCTAGTCTTTTCTAAATCTTCTCGCATGACCAGAATGCAACAGAGGAAAGGGGGAAAATGGGGTTGGGAGGCAGGTGAGGCAAGGGGGGATGAATGATACAAATAACCCTGAAGCAACCTGGGCTGACCCTGTGAAAATTCACAGAAAAACTACAAGTCTTTTTTGCCTGGAGCTTGCCTGCCCTGTGCTATCTTTGAGACACTCAGTTGTCTCTACTTCAAACCACTCTGTATTTCCACAAAATACAGAATTCTTTGTCCTGGCTAAACTTTGCTGGTGCACAGCGTGCAACATTTTTTCTAAGGCCAACATACCAAAAGATGAGGCTTGTGTGTCCCCAGGAGCATCTGTAGTAAGACACCCTTATAATCAAAATTACCCCCAATGCCATACTTCACAGTATCCCTGCCTAATTGGTTCGATTCTAGCTCTCTTTGCTCCAACTCAATGTATGCAAGTCTGTGTCTTCCTGATCTCCCAGAATACCAACTCTCCCCAACTCCCCTACCCTGCCCCATTCACCCCGCCACAGTACTGTCTCTTGTTCTCAGTGTCCTCTCCTGATTACTCTCCCTGCTCAAGGCTCCCCAATGGAACCTCCCCTCAATGACTTCAGCCCACATTGATATCTCCATTTTTTCTTTTTTTGAAACCCTATAAGCACTGCTTGCCTGTATCACACATTCTGGCTCTCGATACCATCTGTCTTATATTTACCTATACTATGTATGTGCCACTCCATAAGCTTCTTGAATTGAAGTGCCTTGTCTTTGTTCTGTGATGAGGACATCCATATGAACTCTACTAAAGGCTTACAGAATTTAAAGGAATTTTCAGCTGTAGCTTTGCTCTGATTTAGAAATAATTGTGCTTGCTCATATGCTCAAAATAGACACCATACCAAATCATTTAGTAGAAAGAATGCTTTCAAAAGGATTTTTGTAATGACAGGGAAATATGGTATTCAGAAATGGAACTGAATTGGTTCTTTAAAAACAACTTTGGAACATAATATTCTTCTTACAAATTTGTTGAACACACAGACCTAGAGTATATAGATATTTCCGGGAAAAAAATAAATGAAGTGTTATAGAATACATTTAAGATCCAAATGAGATAAAGAGACATACCCGTAGACTTATATCTCATTTGGATCCTAAATATATTCTATAACATTTTTTATTTCAATTAAAAAGAAGAAAAACTTAGAAAATGCAAAGGCAGAAAATAAAGAAATAATCTTCATGTCACAGTAGGTCATAAATTGAATATTGGGTGTTTTTAAAGAATGAATATGGCCAGGTGCAATAGCTTACGCCTATAATCCTAGCACTTTGGGAGGCTGAGGTGGGAGAAGCGCTTGAGCCCAGAAGTTTGAGACCAGTCTGGGCAATGTAGTGAGACCTCATTTCTACAAAAATATAATTAGCCTGGTGTGGTGGCAGGCACCTGTGGTTCCAGCTACTCAGGAAGCTGAAGAGGGAGGATGGCTTGAGCCTGGGAGGTTGAGGCTGCAGTGAGCTGTGATCGCACCACTGCACTTTAGCCTGGATAACAGAGTGAGACCCTGTATCAAAAAAAGAGTGAATACAATATTGGAGAAGAACGAAAAAGCATATAAACTAATAAATAGGAATCTGAAAACAAAATAACTTTTGATGAAATGTTCATATACAAGTCTATCTTTAAATCAATAGTTTCTTAAAATTTCCTAAAACAAACAACATAAATTTGTTAATGTAGTTTATGTATATCTCCAGAGTACAAGTATTAAATGCTTGTGGGCATTATGATACATTCCTTTTGCTCTACTATGATTGGTTAATCCTTAAAGTATTGAATTTTCGTTTGGAAATGTCAGCTAGAGGTGTGAAGATATTGGAATGAAAAGGCAGAAGAAATAAAGGCTAAGAAAAAAGAAAAATAAAGAATTTTATTTTCTTTTACAAAATAAAGAATTTTGTAAAGAAAATTCTTGTAAACAAAAACAAAAGCATTTTGTAAACATAATGCTATCTATATACTGCTATGAATATTTTTGATGTGTAGGTATCTAAATGTTAGCAGTATATATTTAAAACCATAGTGACAGGCCGGGCACAGTGGCTCACACCTGTAATCCCAGCACTTTGGGAGGCCGAGGCGGGCAGATCATGAGGTCAGGAGATCAAGACCATCGTGGCTAACACAGTGAAACCCCATCTCTACTAAAAATACAAAAAATTAGCTGGGCATGGTGACAGGCACCTGTAGTCCCAGCTACTCAGGAGGCCTAGGCAGGAGAATGGCATGAACCTGGGAGGTGGAGCTTGCAGTGAGCCAAGATTGCATCACTGCACTCCAGCCTGGGGGACAGAGTGAGACTCCATCCCAAAAAAAAAAAAAAAAAAAAAAAAATATATATATATATATATATATATATATATAGCGACAAATATTAGAAGAAATAGCTAACAGATTTGAAAATAGTACCTTTGTCTAAAGGAAAATGAAAATGGAATAGTACAGGGAACAAGGACTTGTTTTTTTCATTATAAGCATTGTAATACTAACTGATTTTTGAAACGATTCATCTATTGCTATGAAAAAATTAAAATTAAATTTTAGCAAAAGTATGAGATACTAAGAGCTGATTGGAGGCTCTGCAAGCCTGGGTGCAGTTTCTCAGTTGATAGTGACCTCAAATTGGGGTGACTGGGTAGAGAACTATATCTACATAGGAGGGGGATCTGCTGCTGTTATTAAATGAAGGCCTTTTCTCTGAAGCTGTGTTCCAGAGAAAAATCCATGAAAGGAAGTTAATAGTGTCTACAGGTGCCCAACCAAAATTTAAGTGTAAGCATATTTTTAGAGATTTGGAGATTATCATCAGAACTAAGCAAATTCAACCTCTAAGAAGAAAGACTGGTGGTGAGTAGGATAGAACAGCAAATTAGGCCAGGCGTGGTCACTCACACCTGTAATCCCAGCATTTTGAGAGGCAGAAGCCAGTGGATCACTTGAGGTCAGGAGTTTGAGACCAGCCTGGTCAACATGGTGAAACCTTATCTCTACCAAAAAATAAAAAATTAGCCGGGCATAGTGGCGCAGCCTGTAGTCCCAGCTACTTGGGAGGCTGAGGCAGGAGAATCGCTTCAATCCAGGAGATGGAGGTTGTAGTGAGCCAAGATCGCTGCCACAGCGCTGCAGTGTGGTCAACAGAGTAAGACTCTGTCTCAAAATAATAATAATAATAATAATAATAACAATAGCAAACTATTGCTTTCCATTACAAGTCCATTTTAAACATGTGCACATACTTTTAGGAACACTTAAAAAACTGAAACCTTTTCTTTCACTGCAATCCATTAGGAATCCTTTCCGAAATGTAAATAACCACTTGCCACAGGAATAGTGCCATTTTCATCTTTGTTTCTCCCACATGACAGAGTCTGGTGCTTTGCACATATTAAGTGACCGATTGCTGTTGAACGAATGCATGAACCTTGTTATATACCTTCTGCTGCATGTTCTCCATGTGCCCTTCCAGATTCCTCTTCAACTGTTTCTACTCTGTCTGTTGGGAGGCTCTTCCAGGAGACCTAACTACAGGAAGAGAAAGAGGTCCAGGTGACTGTTCCACCAGCTCTCTTTCTCTTTCTCTCTCTAGGTAGGTAACAGTTCCACAGTGGCTGTGTTCCCTGACCCAAGTTCACAACTTTTGCTAGGCAGCCTTTTTCCTATAGCTATAGCTCTCACCAGATTCCAGTAGCCACACCCTCTCCTTTTCCCTTCATATCCAGGGAAGGTAACAGCTTCCTGTGCCTACTAGTCCCTTGTCCTAGTCCTTTCAGGCTACTATATCAAAGTACCATAAAATGGGTGACTCAATAAACAGAAATGTTTTTTCTCACAGTTCTGGAGGCCAGAAGTCTGAGATACAGGTGCCACCATGGTCGGTTCCTGGTGAGGGGCCTCTTCTGGGTTGCAGACTGCCATCTTGTATCCTTAGGTGGCGAAAGGAGACAAGGTGTCTCTTTTATAAGGTCACTGATACCATTCACAAGGGCTCTGCTTTCGTGACCTAACCACCTACCAAAGGCCTCATCTCCTAATATCATCATATTGGGAGTTAGGATTTCAACAGGAAATTTAGAGTGACACAAACATTCAGCCCATAACATCTGTGTATGTTTCATCATCCTACCTAAACCCACATCTCTGTACACAGTCCTTTCTTTACATTTTTTCTATTTCCTTTTGATTCTTATTATTAATTTTTGTTCTACTTTCTGCTCAAACCTTGACAGATGCAACATCTACCTAATGTCTTTAATCAACCAAATTCAATACATCTTTAAGGGACACGGCATTGTGCAAAGTAATGTGGAATTATGATATGATACACTCTTGCCCTTTAGTTGTTCAGTCCAGTAAGGAAAACGGGAAGAAATACAAATAATTATATATTCATCATACTTATACTCATCAAAGAGAAATGAAAAATATTAAAATAGGATGACTGGTAAACTCACGAAGGGCAGACAGTCTTTAAATTAGCTTTTTTCCCCATTTTTTTACTAAAGGAAGTTTTCAAAGGAAAGTGAATGAGAATATATCTGCCTTACCCTCTGTCATAATTGGGTTAGAATAATTACCTTAATAAACATAGTTCTGGACCTGGGACTCATTCCACAGCTATATCTTGAAATATATGTATTTCAAGATGTTTGATAGTTGATATGTGCCAATAAGATGTATAGCAGAGTCCTAGATCCTTTAGTATTAATGAATGCCTAAATGTTATCTTAAAAAGCAGGAAATACCAGACATTCAAGAATTTACAGACTTAGAGACATCCCAGGATAGAGGGAAAGGAAAAAACTTTCCTGACTCTATTCTTTTTTTGTCTACCCTCGTTAGCTTTGTCATGTGAGAGGTTATGGTATTTTGGCAGGAGAAGAGTGGAATTTGTAAACCAAGATTTTTTAAAATTATATGGTAGGCAGTGAAGACTTACCAGTTAAGAGCATGGATTTTGGAGCCAGGCCAACTGCTTGGGTTCAAATCTTGACTCTGCTACTTCTTTAAGCAAGCTGTTTAGCATCTCTCTGCCTCAGCTATGCCATCTGTACAATGAGGATAATAGCAGTCCTTATTTCATAGGATCACAAAGAAAATTAGATGAATTAAGGTGAACAGAGAACTTGCATATAGTACATGCTATTTTAGTATTAGCTATTGTATTTTTGGCACTTATAAAATCATTATGAAAACCTTTCTCTGAATTACATTTGGCCTGGCATGTGGGTTGACTTCCTTAGGATAAAGAATTCCGGCCGGGCGCAGTGGCTCACACCTGTAATCTCAGCACTTTGGGAGGCCGAGGCGGGCGGATCGCGAAGTCAGGAAATCGAGACCATCCTGGCTAACATGGTGAAACCTCGTCTCTACTAAAAATACAAAAAATTAGCCAGGCGTAGTGGCGGGCGCCTGTAGTCCCAGCTACTCGTGAGGCTGAGGCAGGAGAATGGTGTGAACCCAGGAGGCGGAGCTTGCTGTGAGCCGAGATCGCGCCACTGCACTCCAGCCTGGGTGACAGAGCGAGACTCCGTCTCAAAAAAACAAAAAGAATTCCATGTGGCCAGTCTCTTGAAATTCTGCCAAATGTCTCTGTCTTAATTTATATTTCCCGAGATGAGTCCTGATTGGATATAACACTATGAAACATAGCAAAATTTAATATTAACTTATAAGCTCTTTAAATAATAACTTATACAGAGCTCAAAGAAGGAAGAGATTGTGCTGATTTGGAAAAGGTTAGTAGATGCTTCATGAAGGTGAATATTTGAGATCAGACATTTAAAAATCAATAGGACTGAGGGAGGAAGAAAAAGTACATCTCTGTCCTCTTAGGAAAACATTTTTAGTTACCAGATTGTGCTTGTCTTTTGTTTATAACAGGGTACACTTTCCAAAAGCACTTAATCTTCCCAAGGCCAACACTAATAGGCTCTAATGTTGTCTATTCTGGAAAAAAAAAAAAAAAAAAAGAAAGAAAGAAAGCCAAATAAAGGTTATATAACCATGTTACAAATTTTAATGCTTTGTGTGCCATTTTGCCAGAATTTTATTAAAGACTGTAAGGTCACAATAGTTAGTACCAACTTGAGTGTGTGTGTGTGTGTGTGTGTGTTTGTGGAATACACATGTCAGCCCTTCTCTCCCTGCTTCTAAGTGGTATTCTTCTAGTTTATTTGGGGGAAAGGAGGGTTTGGCTCTTGCCTGTCCTGAGTTAGTTTCACACCACAGCTGCTTCTCTCTGCCTCTGTTAGCAACCCCGTGGGCCATCATTCACTTTACTGCTAGCTGCTACCAGGACACAAGGCCTGCTGCTCCCTTGAAGGGATGTTGCTAACCCCTGTGGGTGTCAGCAAAGGAGTGAGTATGGGACTGGTGTTTTTACTACCCTGACTCTTAATTTCCCCCATTCCCACCCCACTAGGATGTTCTGCCAAATTAAGTTTATACTGAACCATCTAGAGTCAGAGGGAGTTTTCTTCGTAACAACACAACTCAAAATGAGTATTAGATGTCTTTGGTCTTAAGTGTCTTCTGGACATCACACCACTGGAAATTCTTGTCCCTCTATCTTATTGCCAGACTTCCCTCTCCTTCTCCTCCCCAAACCCTCTAATCTTCCTGATTAACCCCAGTATAAAATCTTTGTTTATTATTATGCAGATCAGTATATCCATCTTTTGTTTCATCATCCTCTTTAAGCACATGGCCTTAGGGTCTCTCTTTCAACTCTCAAGCAACTCAGCAAGGTATTTCCCTAAACAAAAACATTTTCCTCCCTAAGACAACTCCAGTGCCAGGTGCTCAAAGGTAAACATGATGAAATGGAGAGGACTCCTCACAGAGCACACCTATAGTTGAATATGAAAGGATCAGCTCAGATAGTTATTCCTCCACTGACGTGCTAGCAAAGCTACAGAGAGTAACAAAGCAAAAGACCATCTTTGCTTAGTCAAATTAAATATTAGATTAGTTAACTTGGGTCCCCTAGAAAGAGAGCTGAGATGGGAACTACTGAGCAAGTGCCTTATTGAATATCCTCAGGTGAAATCTGCAGAGGAATGAGGAAAGAAGCATGGGGGCAGGGAAAAAAAACAGTCAAAGGTGTGGTTTTTGTCTAAATCTAGCTTTTGTCTGACCCCACGGGGAACTCTGGACAACAGTAACACCACAGAGTTATCTTAACTGGAGACAAGAGGGCCAGACTGTTGTACTCACGTGTCAGTCAGACGTTGACTGGGAGGAACCCTGAGGGGAGGTTGTAACTTCTCAAGCAAGTCCAGGTGAAGTGGCTCTTGTTGGCATGGGGCAATTCTCAGGAGAAGGGTACACCTGTGAGCTGTTACCAACTAACATGCAAAGCAGCAGGAGGAGGGCCTGATGCAGCCTAATGAAGAGAATGGGTAAGGAGCAACAGTAACATCTACTACAGTGCCCAACACCTCACAACAGAACCTACTGTCTCAGTGCCCAGGTCTGGAGCTGACAGGCAGCTTTGGAGCTGGCCAGACTCAGGAAGAGGTCAAACATACACCAACACCAAACTACATTCAGCCAAAGTCATTTTCTGCATTTTTCTTTCCATACCCCAAATTAAAATTTCTACTCCCTTGGTATTTTTATATTTCACATTTTTACTTTATTATGACTCACTATCCAAAAACATTTACCATTCTCAACTTATGAGTATTGTTTGATTCCACAATAGGTACAACCACAGCTGGATCTAGAGAGAGGTTAATATAACTAGATACATGTGTGAGACTGACATATGATCAGAGCATTGCTAGGCTTCTGTTGATTGGATTGCTTATTGACAGATTAAATCAAGTCTTAGCTAAAGAGGCACAGATCCACAAAACAATTGACTGCTCTTGCAAAAGAAGTAGATGTAGTGTTCATTTAATATTTTATATGCAGTTTTCCCCTAAGCAAATATTTGAAAATGTTCTATTCATCTGATAATTGCAGATAATATAACCCAAAACACAACGATTCTCTATAACAAAAAAGAATGAAAGAAGCAATATGCACCATTATACTGTATAGTATTGAAGCCAAGATTTGCCAGTTGCAAAGAACAATCAAACTAATTCTATGAATGAAAGAAGTTAATTTCAAGGATACAGATGCTTCACAGACTCCAAAGACAGGGAATGACCCTGAGAGGTGAAATAGTTCTTAGTAATGGTATGGTATCCTTCACCCCAGTCTTTTTACAGCCTAGTCCTATTGCCATAATCTCTCAGCCATCTTTCTTTACTTTCTCACTTACACATAGCTATCAGACCCAATTCTACATTAAACTCTAAAGACTTATTTCTAGATCCTTTGGTTCAAATCCTGATTGGGTGACCAGTAAACTCTGTACAGAATGGCAGGGGTCCTGTCACCTGCTGTCTGCTCTGCAGAGCTAGAACAAGAAACTTTAAACCAGAAAATTAAATTGCGTATGGTGGATCCATAAATGTATCCATACATTGGCATGTAGAGTTTACACAAACCATACATGTTCACTTCTAGTAACTGGATATTCCATGTTCATCCTGTTAAGGCCAAGGGAGAGTTTATAAGGCCAAGGGTATAGCCTGAGGCCTGTAGACTAATAAGGCCCTTGAACAAATAAGCCTACTACTTAATTCTTCTAGGATCCGTTCTTAGATGACTATACTAATTCTAAGGGTGGAGTAAACCAGACAATAAGGAGGACACCTGGAAGAAGTTTTAGCTTTGGACTATGTTCAATAACCTAGGTGGGGTAAGAAAGCTGGGGGCGGGCAGAGACCATAATTTTCTCCATAAATAATTTTGTTTTAGGACATATAGGTTGAAACTAAGATGGTAGATTCTGCTCTAATCAGCCCTTCTCAGTTTCATCCAGCTCTCTGAAGCTCCAAGATGGTATCTGGCTCATAGGCTAGTCTCATGCCTTTGAGGAACAATGTTCAGCATTATATGTAGCATGATTACAGAAGCTTTCGGAAGGGCATGACTACTCCAAAAGGCCTCTTGCAAAAAGCCAACAGCAATGCCTGAAATTTCATCATTAAGGATTCACCCATGCCCAGATGGGTTTCTAAATACCATTCCTCATTAAAGTAATAACACACCTTGGAAAATGGCTGACTCCAGGGCAGCAGCAGAGAATGTTTAAGGGGAACCAGGGCATCTTCTCACAAAGCAAAGCAGTCCTCAGAACTGATTAGGTTATATCAAAGGGAGATAAAAGCTGGCTTATAGAGACTTGCGCTGGCCAGATTTGGCATTAATTATAATGTATGCACTAAATTTAATTTGAGCATCAAAGAGAATAATGACAATAATTGATTATAACTTCTAAAAGTCTATAGTTATACTTGAGAGAAAAAAGCTCATCTTTATTTTTTAATGCAGCTAATAAATATAGGTTAAATAATAGAAGGAAAAAAAATCACCATTTTGTAACTCAATTCCTAATGTTATAATTGGCTGAGAACAAGAATCCTCAATGGGTTCTAAAACCACAGCGTGAAAAGACACTGTGAAAACTCAATCCCAAAATATGACCTCATAGATCGCTTACTAATAAAAATGGAAATGTCTGACAGGCAGCCCCAAATCAAGTGATCAAATGTATTAGTATTATTATTCAAACATTATTATCAATAATGAGGCAACCTAACATTATATGCATCTTGATGTGATGCATTATGAAATATGGAAATATTTTACCCAAAATGTTTACCTGAGATTGATCAAGACTCTAGATCTAACTTAAAGCTTATAAGAAATACAGAGAAGATAACAAGTTTAATTACACCATGAGTAGTCTTCTATAAATCAGCTAGCTTAATTTCTTCAATAAGTCATCAAAAAAGTCACAAAAAAAGTGAAAAAAACCCAGAAGGACTCTTCTGGGTTAAAAACAATGAGGAACATACCAAACAAATGAAATGTGTAATCCTTGACTAATCCTGAATTTTTAAATAAAAGTCATTGTTGGAAACATTGGGGAATATAAAATAGATATTAGATGACATTATGGCATTATTATCAACTTTCTAGGAATTGTGCCTATTGTGGGATGATACTTCGTTATCAGGTGATTCATACTGAAGTATTTAGGTATGCATATCTTAATGTTTGAATTTATTTTCTTATGGTTCAGGAAGAAACCATACATATATACAAACACACAGAGACAGTGAGATAAAACCAATGTAGCAAAGTATTAACAATTGATGAACCAGACAAAGGGTATGCAGAGTATTCATTGTATTATTCTTTCAACTTTTCTATAGTTTTGAAATTTTAAAAAATAAGAAATTTGGTAAAATAATAGAGATAAGCATTTTTAAATGTAACTTCGAGCGAAAATCTCCATGGCAGTCTAGCCATGTGGCAAAGAGGGAAAAAGCATTTTCAGGAAAGGAATACAAGCAGGCTGTGGAGTAATCACTAGCTAGAGAGAGTAGCATGACTAAAAGGAAGACAAATGCTAATAATCAAGACAATGGGAAAAGGCCTCAAAGGCATTTTAGGATTATTCAAAGCATCCCCTCCCATTACAGGCCTAGACGCCTGAGAGGAAAGAATGGTGTCATGGTCCAGGCCCAGGACACTTCTGCCCTGCTAGACCTCAGGACACTGCTCCCTGCATCCTGACAGCTCTGGCTCCAGCCTCAGTTCAAAGGGCCCCACGTACAGCTCACACTGCTACACCACAGGGCACAAGCCATAAGCCTTGGGAGCTTCCACATAGTGTTAAGCTTGCAGGTTCACCAAATGCAAGAGTAAAAGATGCTTATCAGCTTCCAACTAGATTTCAAAGAATGTATGGGAAAGCCTGGTGCCCAGGGAGAAGCCTGACACAGGGATGGAGCCTCTCAGAGAGACTCTACTAGGGAAGTGCCAAGGGGAAATGTGGGGTTGGAGCCCCCATACAGAATCTCCAGCAGAGAACTCCCTAGTGGAGCTGTGAGAAGGGAGCCACCACCCTTTCCATTCTGGGATGTAAGAATGGTAAGGCCACCGGCAGTTTGCACCCTGAATTAGTCAGGGTTCTCTAGAGGGACGGAACTAATAGGATAGGTGTATATATGAAGGAGAGTTTATTGAAGGAGTGTTGACTCACACAATCACAAGGTGAAGTCCCACAGTAGGCTGTCTGCAAGCTGAAGAGCAAGGAAGCCAGTCCAAGTCCCAAAACCTCAAAAGTAGAGAAGCTAACACTGTAGCCTTCAGTCTATGGCCAAAGGCCCAAGAGCCCCTGGCAAATCACTGGCATCAGTCCAAGAGTCCAAAAGCTGAAGAACTTGGAGTCTGATGTTCAAGAGCAGGAAGCATCCAGCACGGGAGAAAGATGAGGCTGGAAGACTCTACTTGTCTGCTCTTTCCAACTTCTCCCTGCTTTATTCTAGCCCTGCTGGCAGCTGATTAGATGGTGCCCACCCAGATTGAGGGTGGGCCTGCCTCTCCCAGTCCACCAACTCAAATGTTAATCTCCTTTGGCAATACCCTCACAGACACACCCAGGAACAATACTTTGCATCCTTCAATCCAATCAAGTTGACACTCAGTATTAACCATCAGACATCCTAAGCCTGAAAAAGCCATAGCCACTCAACTCAAACTTGTGAAAGCAACCATGTGGGCCACACCCTGCAAAGCCATAGGGGTGGAGTTGTCCAAGGCCTTGAGAGCCCATCCCTTGCACTAGTATGCCCTGGATGAGGGGCATGGACTCAAAGGAGATTTTTTTTGGAGCTGTGAGATTTAATAACTACCCTCCTGGTTTCAGATTTGCATGGGGTCAGTTGTTCCTTTCTTTTGGCAAATTTCTCCATTTTGGGATGGGAATGTTTACCCAGTGCCTATGCCACTATTGTATCTTCAAAGTAAATAGTTTGTTTCTGATCTGATCTTATGGGCTCATAGGAATGTGCCTCGAGCCTCAGGTGAGATTTTGGAGTTTTGAGTTAATGCTGAAACGAATTAAGACTTTGGGGGACTATTGAGAAGGGATGATGTTGCAATGTCAGAGGGACATGAAATTTGGGCATCCAGAGGAAGAATGATATGGTTTACATGTGTGTCCTTTCCAAATTTTATGTTGAAATGTGATTCCCCAATGTTGGAGGTGTGGCCTACTGGGAGATGTGTGTCCATGGGGCAGATCCCTCATGAATGGCTTAGCACCATCCCCTTGATAATGAGTGAGTTCTCACTCTGTTAATTCACAAGGAGAGCTGGATGTTTAAAAGAGCCTGGCACCTCCTTCTCTCTCTCTTGCTCACACTCTCAGCATGTGATATGCTGGCTACCGTTCATCTTCTGCTGTGAGTATAAGCTTTCTGAAGCCCTCACCAGAAGTAAATGCTGGTGCCATGCTTCCTGTACAGCTTACAGAATTGTGAGCCAAATAAACCTCTTTTTGTCATAAATTATCCAGTTTCAGGTATTCCTTTATATTAGCAACACAAATGGACTAACACAATCTTATAAAGCATTTTTTAAATTCTTTGTAGAGGTGAGATCTCACTATATTGCCCAAGCTGGTCTCAAACTCCTGGCCTCAAGTGATCCTCTCACCTCATTCTCCCAAAGCACTGGGATTACAGGCATGAACCACCATGCTCAGCCCACATGAGGTATTTGTAAATATGGATTTTTTATCAGTAAATTGAAATATAAATGTATGTTTATTATTTTAAGAGTAAAAATCCTTCAGTACTTAAAACAATTAATTTTCCTGAGCATGATGGTTTTAAAATATGTCAACAAATTATTTGCCACTCCTCCAAATGGGGACCAATTTTAGTGACTCATTTCTAACAAATAGAAAAGTGATGCTATGTGACATCTGAAGCCAACTTATAAAAAGAATAGCTTTCACCTGACTCCCTCTCCCAGTCTTCAAATGACAATAGCATAGCCCAGCACAACATCTAACCACAGCCTCATAAGAAATCCTAAGCTAGAACCCCCCGTAAGCTATTTCTGAAATTCTGACCCATAGAAAGATAAGTATAATAAATTTTTACTATCATTTTAAGCTACTATGATTTAAGATAATTTGTTACACAGCAATAGATTGATAAACTGCATTAAGATAACATGCCCATTTGATAATATGCTTCAAAAACCTATTTAAAATGCCTACTTTTTGACACAAAAATTCCACTTTTCAGACATGTATACAAAAAAATCAGACATGTATACAAAGATATATGTAGAATAATATTTCTTCCAGCATCACTTATAATAGTAAAGTAGAAAAGCAATCTAAATTTCCAATAATAAAGAACCAGTTGTATAAACTATGACACATCCAGGCAATGAAATAGAATGCAGCTACTAAAAGTATGTAGCAATCCTTGGCTGTCTATTCATACTTAAAAGTAAGGCATTAAAAAGCTGATTATGGTGGATTTTGCCTGTAATCTCAGCACTTTGGGAAGCTGAGGTAGGAGGATCACTTGGGGCCAGAAGTTTGAGACCAGCCTGGTCAACATAGTAAGAACCCCTCTGTATTAGTCCATTTTCAAATTGCTGTTAAAAACATACCTGAGACTGAGCAATTTACAAAAGAAGGAAGTTTATTGGACTTACAGTTCCACGTGGCTGGGGAGGCCTCATAATCATGGTGTAAGGTGAAAGGCAAGGAGGAGCAAGTCACATCTTACATGGATGGCAGAAGGCAAAGAGAGAGCTTGTGCAGGGAAGTTCCCATTTTTAGAACCATCAGATATCGTGAGACTCATTCACTACCATGAGAACAGTGCAGGAAAGACCCACCCCCATAATTCAATCACCTCCCACTGGGTTCCTCCCATGACATGTGGGAATAGTGGGAGCTACAATTCAAGATGAGATTTGGGTGGGGACACAGCCAAACCATATCACTCTCTCTACCAAAAATACAAAAATTAGCTGAGTACGGTGATACATACCTATAGTCCCAGCTCCTTGGGAGGCTGAGGTGGGAGGATTGCTTCATCCTGGGAGGTTGAGGCTGCAGTGAGCTGATTGTGTCACTGCACTCCAGGCTGGGTGACAGAGTAAGCCCCTGTCAAAAAAAAAAAAAAAAAAAAAAAAAAAAAAAAAAAAAAAAAGCTGTTTAGCAGCTCTGTATTGGTAGGAGAGCTTATTAACTGGCCAGACTCCCCTTGGAGAGTTCTGGTGAACCCTATCTATTTCAGTAGTCCTCTCCCAACTATCACTAATTGAACCTTTTTCCTAAGGCTGATGTGTTTCTTGCAGAGAAGAATACTCCAAACTTATACTTTGTGGGAATAATTCTGGCTGCCAGCATGCTAGAACCTTGGGGATAAGGCAGCTGAAAGTCTAACCATTTAGTTTGTATTAATGTCCACCCTCATTTGTATCCACAGACCTCAGATACCAAGTCTAGTGTTGGAGGTAGGGCCTAGGGGGATGTGTTTGAATCATGGGGACAGATCCTTCATGAATGGCTTAGCACCATCCCCTTGGTGATGAATGAGTTGAGTTCATGCAAAATCTGGTTGTTTAAAAATGTGTGGCACCTTCCTCCTAATCCCCCCACCATATGACATTGCCTGCCCTCCCTTCACCTTCTTCCATGATTGTAAGCTTCCTGGGGCTCTTACCAGAAGCAGATGCTGAAACCATGCTTGTACAGCCTGAAGAATTGTGAGCCAATTAAACCTCTTTTCCTTATAAATTATCCTGCCTCAGATATTTGTAGCAATGCAAAAATGGACAAAGGCAATAAGCATGATAGATTGTTACATTAATGGCCTTCAGTGAATCATACCTCTGTATGGATGAGTTTGCTGTCTTGGAACCCAGGTCATATGATTATATGAAAAGTCCAAGCTGATTACTGAATGATGAGTGAGCACATGCAGAAATAGGCCCTGAAACCACATAGAGAAAGAGGCCCAGCCATCCTTCAATCATCCCTAACTGAATGCAGCCTCAAGAGTAGTGTCAGATGAGAACAATAAAAGAAACACTCAGCCAACATATAGGATTGTGAAAAATAATAAATCACTGCTGTTTTACCATGCAGCTTTGGGGTGTTTGTTGCACAGAAATATATATGTGATGCAGTGTGGGAAGAGGCAGTGAGCTGTGCAGAGTTGGGAAGGTGATCTGGGGCTAAATTGTATGACCGTAAGACTTTAAACCTATATTCTTCAGCCCACTCAGCTCAGCAATGCTGCCTTCAAAGATACCTTGAATTCCCAATTTTTACGCCTTTTCAGGAATCTGAGAATTCGATTGCTAAACATTAACTTAAATGTGCAAAGTCCATTTTACCATGTAAGGTAACACATTCACAAGTTCCAGTGAATACAATATAGACAATTTGGGGGAGCTATTTTATATTTCTTTCTTCACTTAGACTATCTTCTATGTCATTTATTAGAGATTTAAGATTTGCCCCAAAGAGATCTTGTATATTCATGCATAAATTAATTCTCGTTTGCAGTCTTGCATATTCATACATAAGTTAATTCTTGTTAATGGTGTCTAGTTTCTAGTTTCTTATGGACTATGATTTTTTTAATGCTGCTCTTGTATCCAACAAACTTGCTGAATGCTTCTGTTTGTTCAGAGAGTTTATTGATTCTGTGTTTTTTTTCTAGGTAAGTGATCATCCTGTGTAAATAATTATTCCGTGCAAATATTCTTTTCCCTTCTGTGATAGTCATTAGTGCTATTCACCAAATATTTCCACTTCTTCCTCCATCCAGATACATAGTAGGATTGTACTTCCCTTCTGTGTTTGTTTTCTATTGCTGTTATAACAAATTACTGCAAACAGTAGCTTCAAACAACTCAAATTTATGATGTCCAGTTCTGTAGGTCAGAAGCCTAACACAGCTGCCACTGTGCTAAAATCAAGGTGTCAGCAGGGCTACATTCCTTTTGAAGGCTCTAGGGAAGTGTCTTAGTCTGTTCCTGCTACTATAACAAAATACCACAGACTGAGTAATTTGTAAGTAATAGAAATTTATTCCTCACAGTTCTGGAGGCTGGAAAGTCCGAGATCAGAGTATCAGTAGATTCAGTATATAGTACAGGCTCACTCTCTGTTGCCAAGATGGCATCTTGTATCTTCTGAAGGGTATAAATGCTGCGACCTCACATGGCAGACAAGAAAAAAGGTACAAATGCAGTATCTTCATGTGGCAGAAGAGATGGAAGGGATAAGCATCTCTCTGAAGCCTCTTTTATAACAGCATTAATCTCATTCATGAAAGCAGAGTCCTCACTCAAGGCCTAATCACCTTCCAAAGTCCCCACTTCTTAATACCATCACCTTGGGATTTAAGTTCCAACCTATAAATTTTGCAGGGACAGAGTTATAGCAAGGAAGAAACCATTCCCTTTTTTCTCTTTCCAGCTTCTGGAGGCCACCTACATTCCTTGACTTCTTAATACCATCACCTTGGGATTTAAGTTCCAACCTATAAATTTTGCAGGGACAGAGTTATAGCAACGAAGAAACCATTCCCTTTTTTCTTTTTCCAGCTTCTGGAGGCCACCCACATTCCTTGACTTCTTAATATCATCACCTTGGGGTTTAAGTTCCAACCTATAAATCTTGGAGGGACAGATTCATAGCAAGGAAGAAACTATTTCCTCTTTTTTCTAGCTTCTGGAGGCCACCCACATTCCTTGACACATGGCCCCCTCCCTCTACCTTCAAAGTCAGCAATGTAGTATCTCTCTGACCCTGCTTCCATTACCACATCTCTTTGTCTGACTCTCTCTTCTGCCTCCCTCTTCTACTTAATAGGACCTCTAGAATTATACTGGGCTCACTGGAATAATCCAGGATAATGTCTCTATTAAAGTCAGCTGATTAGCAACCTTAATTCTATCTATGAGTTTAAATCCCATTTTCAATATAACCTAACATTGTCACAGGTTCCAGGGATGAAGACACGGATATTGTTTTTTTGTTTGTTTGTTTTTTGTTTGTTTGTTTTTGAGATGGAGTCTCGCTCTATTGCCCAGGCTGGAGTGCAATGTCATGATCTCGGCTCACTGCAACGTCCGCCTCCTGGGTTCAAGTGATTCTTCTGCCTCAGCCTCCCAAGTGTCTGGGATTACAGGTGCTCGCCACCATGCCTGGCTAATTTTTGTATGTTTAGTAGAGATGGGGTTTCACCATGTTAGCCAGGCTGGTCTTGAACTACTGACCTCATGTGATCCACCCACCTCGGCCTCCCAAAGTGCTGGTATTAAAGGCATAGCCACTGCACCCGGCCAAAGACAAGGACATCTTATTTTTGTTTCTTTTTTTCCTTTGTTGTTTTCCATTCAACTGTCTAAATGATTTTTCTTCATCTAACAGCTATACATTATATTTTTTTCATTTGGTGTTGTCTTTAACTTAATACCCATACTCAGGCTTATTTACGTCTGTTGATTTCTTAAGCTTATCAGTGTTTATAAATTAATCCCAACAAGAAAACTAATTTGACACACTCTTTTTAATTTTTTATTTATTTATTTATTTAGAGACGGAGTCTCGCTCTGTCGCCAGGCTAGAGTGCAGTGGCACGACCTTGGCTCACTGCCATCTCTGCCTCCCTCATTCAAGCGATTCTTCTGCCTCAGCCCCTTGAGTAGCTGAGACTACTGGTGCACACCACCATGCCCGGCTAATTTTTTGTATTTTAGTTGAGACGGGGTTTCACCATGTTGGCCAGGATGGTCTTGATCTCCTGACCTTGTGATCTGCCCACCTCAGCCTCCCAAAGTGCTGGGATTACAGGCGTGAGCCACCACGCCCAGCCCACACACTCTCATGTGCTTGTAGTACTTCCCACCTCATAGCCCATTTATCATGTTGTTAATATCTAGATTTTTAATTTTTCTTTATTATGAATATGATTTTTAAAATTTCTTTAGTTCTGGTTTTTAAAAATAAAAAATAGGCCTTAATAAGTTATCTGACCACCCACGCATCCCATATCTCTTGCCCTAGATTCTAGACTTTTTGCTTTCTTCACAAGAGTTTTCAGTAAAAACTTTTTTGTGGTATACCTTCTGAGGCTGTACAACATGAGAATATTTTTCTTATATTTTCAAATTTGATTGACTATTTGGCTGAATTTAACATTCTAGTTTTGAAATTTTTTTACTGTCATAAAAATATTACTTTATTGCCATTTTTTATCTCATGTTGCTTATTTTAAAAATCTGATGTGTTATTTTTATTCCTTTCTGTTGATCTATTCTTTGCTTTTATAGTTTTTGTCTTTGATATTCTTAAACTTCATTATCATCTCTGGGTATTTCTTTATTTCTCTTTTCCATCTGAAGTCTTTCATCTTTTTAAAAGCTTTATCCAAAATTATTTCTTAAATATTTCTCCTCTTCATCTTTATTGTTTTCTCCTTTGGGGTCTCCCATTTTCTGAATGTTGGCCCTGCCCTTCTAAACGGCTCAGTCTCCTTTTCTGTTTTATTTTTTATCATTTCTTGTTGCTTTCTGGAAGAGTTCTTCTGATTTTTTACTTCAGTATCTTGCTCCTTAGCAATCTATCTCTGTATCTATCCCATACTATATTAAATTCTCAAGATTTCTGTTTTAATATTTCTAACTCAGATGATAACTATTGTTCAGTTTACAGGATTTTTTTTTTTTTTTTGAGACAGTCGAATTATTTAGCTGTTAGTTATTTTGGCCTTTGAGCTTATGTTCCCCTGAAGGTATCAGCTATTCTCTCCAGTAATATGCACCAGAGAACACCCAAAGTCTATGTCAGTCCAGGTGTGTTTAAGGATAATAGAGAAGATGAGTCAAGGATGCAGAGCCTCGGACACAAAAGAACCACTGCTAATCTCTTGCTGCTACTCCCAGTCTTTCCCTTTGACCCTTAGGGAAGAGTAGCATTTGGAATAGACTAGGTTGAAATCCTAGGCCTAAGGGTTTCAAAGAGTAAGACTGAAAGACTGACACTGGTCTGTTTTCATGAACACCCTTCCCCAGCAAGACTTTAATGCTTCTCTGATTTTGCCTTCAGGGCTCTAATGTCAGAGGTGAAAGGGCAGACAATGATTGTTCGAAGACAAACCAAAACAGAGACAATTGCAGAATTTATAAAACTTTCTTCTACCTATCCTCTCTTCGCCAAAGACAGCCGCTCTCCACACCAGGCTGCACCAACCAACCCCTCATAATGTTTAGGACAGATTTAATCTTCCCAGAGATTTTTCGCTGATGCTTATTGGGACTGGTTTCTGGAATCCATACCTCCCTGTAACATTTACAGTTACTTCAGCATTGCAGTTAGGGTAGGAGTCTACAACCCAGGCTAGTCTGTCATCTTGGCAGAAAGCAGACACAGGACATTTTTCTAGCTTTTCTGTCCATAGTGCCATCATAGGGTTCAAAAATATTGAAGTAATTTGTACAGTCACTAGAATGTACCATAATATCCACTATTTTGTATTCTTGCCAGCCATTTGTATAATCATATATTTTACTAATTCAGTAGAAAGAAAAAGTGCACCTCACTGGTTAATTTGCCTTTCTTTGTTCTCTAATGAGATTGAAGTATTTTCCCATGTTTACTAAGTAATTGGCTTTTTGCTCATGAGAATTGACTATGGCATTTGCCCATTAGCTATTTAAAGTTTAACATTTTTTTCTCATTTATTTGATCTTCTGTAATTTATTTTGATTTAAAATTTATTCACTTATTTTGGTTGGTACTGAGGATTTTCTTGTAAAGTGCATTAGAAAAGGTCTTTATATACGATAAGAACAATAATAAAAGATCTGGTGATGCCGCGGTGAAAGGATTCTCCTCCAGGAGCTCTCTATAAAATAGAGACTTTAACTCTTTTTTGTTTCTATGTGCAAATGTTATTATTTGTAGGCATTCAAATCTGTCAGTACATTACATTATTATTTTGTCTATTGTTCCTAAGCTTGTAATTTATAAAAATATCTTTTCATAGTCTGCAAGCTGTTAAATTATATTTTATTCTGAATTCTAAGCTTTAGTATTCTATTAGTCAATTTTTAATCTATCTGAAATGAATTTAGGGGATGAGGATAAAGCTTAAAACACAAAAATTACAAACTGGCTTTCCAAAGGGACCTTGTTTGTACCTTTTATCCAGCTAAATTATTACCACAGTGGATGGCATAAGACCATGAATACAGGAATTGCAAGGAAGATAAATACTCTGTTGTCAATAAAAAAAAAAAAAAAAAAAAAAAAAAAAAAAGATTGCTCAGCCAAAAGAGAATAATGACAGAGAGGAAACTCATAAAGTGTTCTTATAGAGACTGTTTTGGTTTTATTTTGCTGTTCTGATAGCTTGATTGTGGGGGAAGGGGTACAAAGGGAAATGGAAAAGGCTAGCTTATTTTAACTCTTTATCTTATTGCAAAATTGCCTGAATAATACAAGAGCGAGCTTGAATTGCTACAGCTGGTGCCGCTTAGCCTGGACCACATGGAGTTTCGGGGATGAGCTGAACAGTGACTATTATACTTTGCTGAGCTGATTATCCTTTTGTTTCCTGAATAAACTCAGTACCTATGATTCACTTCTTCATTTTTTTCCAGTTACCTTTGATTCAAAATTAACAAATATATAATGTATACACTCTTATTCTTTGATGACCATATTGTTTACAGATCATAGCTCCATTCTCCTTACTGAAACCTGTCAGTCACCCCAAATGCTTATCTTTGGCTTCTGGGCAGCCTTTGTAGAACAAGAGAAAAAAATTATGTTGTCCTTTTTTTGCTAATTGTCTGGAAAAATAAGATACCTGGATGACAAAAATGTTCCCAGTACCCTTCCTGTGTGCATTCTCCCTGTGGAAATAATTTGCTTGATTGAATTTATACAGATCTTGCCTTCATCCTGGTGGAAAGTATTTATCAAGCTGCTTTCAGACTTTATGCCTGGATAATTCTGTTGCCTGCACATTGGTTGTCAAATAACATAAACTAAGTCAGTTTCCTTCTTTGTACCTTAATGTTCTCATTTGAAATAACATGTTGCTCCTATTTGAGAGCTAAATTACTAAAATATATTTGTATAAATGTTTGAGTATCATAGTTAAAATTCTTAATTGCAAAGGAGAGGTTAGAAAAGAAATAAGAGGAAATGTAGTTTTAACCTATCTATCCCAATAGGCAACAAAGTGACCTTATCTGTTCTTTGCTTTAAATGTATTTTTGTTATTATGTTTAAGACCACAGTGTCTAACATATATACATATTTCTTAAATAAATGAATGAATAAAATTTAACAATTCGAATCCTATACTCCAAAATTAACTTAAGAATATATGACAGCCTAAAATTAACCCATTACAGAAACTAATTTGAAGAAAATACATTAAATAATTAGACAGACAAGTCCATGCTTCATTTGAAAAAAAAATAATACTATTTTACAACTTTAAAAGCTAATACTATGAGAAGGCAATTAAGAACAGCTCTGTGGTACTTTCATTTATTTTAGACTGTTTTCTTATTCTATTAGAAACAGTGGATTAATATTCACTGTTGGATGTAATTCAGATTCAATGAAGGAAAACAACACACTTTCATATTTCAAATTCTTTTCACTGTATTGTGAGATCTGGCTTCTACTGGCCTTTACTACCCAGCATCAGAATAGGTACCTCTCTAAGGTGGATGTTACTCAATAGAAGTTGTCATCAAATGATGGTTTCCTGAGTTGGAGTTCTTTTACAAGATTAGCTGTTCTGTTCTTACTCCCATCACCTTCCTGAAGGAATAGGCTCATGTGGGTAAACTGTCAAGCAGGTGAGATAGGAAGAGGGGAGGTGAGATAGGAAGAGGGGAAGTGAGATAGGAAGAGGGGAAGGGAAAGGCTGGAGCAGAGAAAAGGTAGCAAGAGGATTCAGAGTACCTGGGAGCCTGGGTGGGGAGAATAGAATTATAAAGAATAAGAACGAACACCAAAAGGATAAGGAGGAATTTAATTTCACCTGACTGTCTTCATTTAATGTTCACTTTTTTGTTAGTCAGTCAAGCAACATTTATTGATCCCCTGCTGTGTGCTAGCACTGTGCCAGGTTCCGTAGCAGCTATGTAGTTGTCATAGACACAGCTTCTTTCTTTTTTCAAGGGGTTTATAATCTAGAAAAAGAGATAAAATGAAAACATAATAACAAAAGGTAGAATGAGATAAAGGTCATGGGTCTTCATGCATTCATTCATTCTCAAATTCATCTCCTTCCATTTTCTCTTTACTCTAAATAGGCTCTTACCACCACCAGTCCTCCAAAACCGTTTCCATAAAGCTCACTAATGACCAGTTACTAAATCTAATGGCCAGTTCTCAGTCCTTATCTGACCTATTAGCAGCTTTTGTCACAATCTATCATTCTCCCTTGAAATACTGTCTTCCTCTGGCTTCCAGGGCAATGCAGTCTCTTGGGTTTCCTCCTCTCTCATTCTGGTCTGTTTTTATATCCTTTATTGGTTCATTCTCTTCTCTTAGATTTCTTTATGTGAGAGTGTCCCAGAACTTGGTCATTGGTCCTCTTCTTTCCTTATCCCCTTGATGATCTCATCTAGGTTTATTACTCTAAATACTATGTTCATGCTTTTTTTGATGACTCCCAAATTTATCTCCAACTCAGACCTCTTTTCTGAACTTAAAATTCATATGTCCAACTGGGTTCTTCACATCACCACTTGAATGTCTAATAAATATCTTTTAATCAACATGTCCAAAACTGAACTCCTGATTCCCACTTCCCCCAAAACCATCAATGCACAACTTTCCCTTCTCAGTTTATATCAACTCTTCTGTTCCACGTGCTCATGATAAAAACCTTGGAGTCACCTGTGGTTCCCCTCTTTCTCTCACATCCTATATGCAATCTGTCAGAAAATTTTATTGGCTCTTTTAAAAATGCAAAATTTGACCAGGAGTGGTGGCTCATGCCTGTAATCCCAGCACTCTGGGAGGCCGAGGCAGGCGGATTGCCTGAGGTCAGGAGTTTGAGACCAGCCTGGCTAACATGGTGAAACCCCGTCTCTACTAAAAATACAAAAACTAGCCAGGTGTGGAGGCACACGCCTGTAGGCAGGAGAATCTCTAGAACTCAGGAGGCAGAGGTTGCAGTGAACCATCAGATCACACCACTGCACTCCAGTCTGCATGACAGAGCAAGACTCCATCTCAAAAAAAAAAAAAAGCAAAATTTGACTACTTCTCAGCATCTCCTCTGCTACCACTCTGGTCCACATACATTGGTCCTGTCAGATTCCCCTACCTTTTAACTGTTTTCTGTACTTATACCTTTGACCCTCTCCTTTGGACTCTAGTATCAACCAAGCTGCCAGAGTAATTCTTTTAAAACATAAGTCAGATCTTGTCATTTTTCTTTCAGAGTCCTGAAATTACTTCCCTTTTCACTCCATATAAAAGCCAAAGTCCTTACAAACATCCAGAATGGCCCCAGATGATATGACCTCCCCTCCTATTATTCTCTTCCTCGCCCACTCTGCTGTAGGCACTCTGTCTGCTGCTATTTCTCCCAAACACGAGGAATGCTCTTATCTCAGGGCTTTGCACTGGCTGTTCCTCCACATGGAACACTCTCCTTCCAGATGTCCACATGACTGACTCCCTCAGCTCCTTCAAGTCTTTGCTCAAATACCACCATTGCAATGGGACTCACCCTGACCACCTTATTTAATACTGCAAATTGTGCACTTCAGGTTTCCTGCTTTTCTTTTTCATTTTTCTACAGCACATATGACTTTCTAACATCCTATACCATTGATTTATCATCTTTATCACCTGTCTCTCTCTGCTAGAATCTGAACTCCATAAGGGAAGGGATCTTTTTCTTCTTTATTCACTGTTCTCTCAAGCATCTAGAACAGTGCCTGGCACATTACAGGAGCTTAATAAAATTCATTGAATTGAAATTGAATTCATTCAACATCCAGCTGGCAAATACAAACTTACCATCTACTGTGTGCCAGGTTCTAGGCTAGAGGTGGTGGAGGTGAACAATGAAGGGACCAGTTTAAACTTAAAATTAAGAGGCAGGAAAATGAAGTTTATATGCATCAGTTTGCCTGTGGCATAAAGTTGAGTTCTTAATGGAAGCACTGAGAGAGGAAAGGCAGATTGAAACAGAAGGTAGTAAGGAAGTCCTGGAAGTTTTTGTGAAGAATTGTAATGTGATCTGAACTTCACTTTAGAAGGATTTCATTTAGGCTGGGCACGATGATTCACGCCTGTAATCCCAGCACTTTGGGAGGCCAACGTGGGCGGATCACTTGAGGTCAGGAGTTCGTGGCCAGCCTGGCCAACATGGTGAAACTCTGTCTCTACTAAAAATACAAAAATTAGCCGGATGTGGTGGCTAGTGCCTGTAATCCCAACTACTTAGGAGGCTGAGGCAGGAGAATCATTTGAACCTGGGAGGCAGAGGTTGCAGTGAGCTGGGATTGTGCCACTGCACTCCAGCCTGGCTGACAGAGCAAGACTCTGTCTCAAAAAAAAAAAAGAAAGATTTCATTTAGTTGCAAGGTACAGACACTGGGAGCAGATGACAGTAGTACAGCAGAATCTCTAAGGAAAGTCACTGAATCTTCTACTTTCTGAATTTTCTACTTTGAAGGCTCCTGGCAAAGACCTTGTTTCCATTAAGGAGTGAAAGGCAAAAAAATGACAACTGAAACTCACAGGAGATCAAAATAAACACAGAAATTCCAATTTACTTATTTACTGTGAGAAACATCACTGTCACATAAACTGGAAATTCTGTTAATAACGTATTCTTTCTAGGAATAGAATGGAAAATCGTGACAAGAAGCTCTTTTAGAATGTACAAGAGAACCATCATAAGGACTCAAGCTTAGTTTCTCTCATGGATGTAAACTCTTTCTATAGCCAGGCTCAGGGAAATCAGGGGATTGCCCAGTCAACATGGAATGAGGATGAATTGTTCCTTGGCTTTGGAATTACTGGCAGACCTGGAACTGAGATAGCCTGCTGGCCTGTTTTACAATAGGAATTTAGAGTTTACCAGAGATTCTCAGCCTGGATTAGAATCTCCTGGAGAGTATTTTAAAAATACCAACGCTAGGTGCCACCCCAGGTGAATTAAATCAGAATCTCTTCAGGTAGAGATCAGGTATTGTTATGAGCTAGGTAGTTTTCAAGAGCTCCCCACAGAACTATCATTTTGAATTGGTCCGAAGATAAGTCTTGGAAGGGCCATTAATCAATGGCCTCTGGAACTCTCCCTTTTGAACCTCTAGAGATGACCAGCCCTTGTCAGTTTGACACGACCTTGTTCCATATTTCGTCTTTCTTTGGATAATTTAATGTATTCTAAGAGGTTCCAGAGGAGAGGCTTCCCGCAGGCCTTGGAGCAATCCTGCTTTTAACCCATGATGTCTGTCTCTGTTCCTACTCATGAAGTGTGAGCATGACTTTTTTATATTGGGCAAGAGTGTCCTCATTTTGAAGTTCTTGGGGTGATGTGGTATCTCACTAGGAAATGAACTGAAGGGAAATGAGCCTGAGAAAGGCAAGGCTGGCTGGAAACCTATGCTGTAGTTCAGGCACTAGATTGTAAGTAGGATGATAACAGTGGGGCAGAAAGGAAATAGAAGGGGCAGAGAAGGAACAGGGAAAGGAATGGAAGATTAAATTAACTGTATTGGTCCAAATTATTCTTTTAATACTAAAATAAAACATTTTACAGGAAATAATTGAAGTCATTAGGGGAGGGCAGATTCACAGAGCATCACAACTTTAGAAAATTATGTGGAAATTGATCTGTTACATGATTCAATGATAATCTAACCTAAGGTTTTAATTTATCAGGTGAACAATTATTTTTCCTAATGTAATTTTGAATATATCACCTTTTTTGGTCCCTGAATTATATATTATATAGCTATTAGACTATTAGGTTACAGAACAGAAAGCTGAGCTATCAATAAATGAATTTGGAAGCCCTGGCAATCACTCTGGATAATGCAGGTTTAGACTACACATACACATACGCGCATGCAAGATATAACTGGATAACCCTACACGCTATTCAAGATGATTTCTGATCTGGTACTAAACAATTTTGCACCCCTTGGCTTTTCTTCACTTATGCAGGCAAGGAGTCAAGAAACAAACAAATGAAACAAAAAATGTTTTAAAAATTAACCACAAGAATGAGTGTCTCCTAATCTCTTCAACGTTTGTTTTTCAGATAGGGACTATAATTGCTTGATTTACACCAGTGTTCCCAGAGATCTTTAGAGGCAACATGTTGTTTACCCAATCCCTTTCATGTCTTTCCCTCTGTGTTCAAGGATATAGCACAATTACTTGACTATGTAAACAGCTACCCTGCTGAGTTAATAATAGCCAGCATGCATATTATTTCATTTTAAAAGTTTCCTCTTTCACTATTTGGATTCAATGACAATATCTAGATCACAAAACAAACCAAATAGAAAAGTTTTTAAGAGCGGCAAAATATAATATCTAAAATTTGAGAAAACTGAACATTTGCCCAGTTTTAAACACGATACCTTGAAATCACTGATTTAAAAATATGTATATTTTTACAGTTTATAAGTCTTTACTGAGGGCCCTGAGGATTGTGCCAAAGTTATACAGCAAGCTGTGGGGACTGAACCTCTTGAAACACAGCATCATCCAATACAAATACCTATGGGGACTGGGCTTTAATCAGTCTCGGTGGGATCTAGAAACAGAACAGTGGAAGTAGTAGACACTCTTTGGGAGGTTCACTTTCTCTATCATACCTGCTGTCTCCATTTTCACCAGTCAACTTTTGCTGCAGCAGTGAAGCATTCCTCCAAACCTCCGAGGCTTACAACAATAAATAGATATTTCTGCCTTGAGATATGCAGCATAAATGTGACATATCTGGCTTAGGCTTGGCTCTGGTTGAGATCTGTGCTCTGTGTCTCTCATTCTGTGTTTTTCATGCTGAAAGGCAGGGATACAAGGGGATAAGTGGGAACACAGCATGCCTTTTAAAACTTCTGCTCAAAACTGGAAGACTGTTCCTTCCCCCCAAGTCCCATTGGTCAAAGCAAGTCACATGACCAAACCTAAAGTTAGGGAGATGGCATCATATACTTTTCCCACAGTGAACATGACAAGAGTAGGAAGGGAAGGACAAACTGTGAGAAATAGCATGATTCACCATCCCCTATCTCTAAAAGCTAACAACCCACATTCCCAGGGCTAGGGCTCATGCAGAAATGTTTATCAGTGCTGTTGGAACATAAGACCCAATTTAAAAAGCCATTATCACAATCATGAAATAATGCATTCTGACCTTACCATTCGAAAACATAAAAAGTAAAGCAAACTGGCTTTATGATACTTGGTAGGCAGCCTGTAAAGTGCCCCCCATGAGGCCAGCCTCCAGGTATTTACAGCCCATGCAATCTCTCCGTGAGTGTGGACTGGGCCTAACAACCCCCTTCTAATAAATAGAAGATGGCAAAAGTGACGGGATATCACTCCTGAGAATTAGGTTACAAAAAGACTGTTATTTTCTGTCTTTCTCTCTCAATCTTCTCACTCTGGGGAAAGCAAGAAATTTGCAAAGAAAGAAAAGTTTGCCATGATGTGACAGGCTGAGGTGGCAAATAACTAATGTCATCAGCTAACAGCCTTGTGAGTAAATTTGGAAGCCCAACATAGCCTTGATCTGACTGCAGCCCTGACCAAGAACTTGACTGCAGCCTTTTGAGGGACCCCTGAATCAGAGGCACACAGCCAAGCCTTGCCCAGATTCCTGACCCATAGAAACTGTGAGATAATAAATATTTGTTATGTAGTCATAAATACTATCCCACATGAATAATTAAGTTGGCGAGCCTCGTTGACAATTTTGTGACTTACTAAATGAAATGCTATTATTACAAAGTGATACTTGAATCTAAAGAAAAAACAAAAACAACATATCTATCTATCTATTGATGAACCTGAGTTAAATGACTAAGAATGACATTATTCTGCCTCATAGTTGGACATATCCGGAATAAATTTTATTTGTACTCATTTAATGAAGCAACAATATCTATTTCATACGGGATAAAAGAATGATGATTACTAAAGACAAAGCGACAATGATGATGTCAGCACTAAGACAACTGTCCACATTCTGACAATTTAGCTAGAATATATCACATATGAACTTTCCTTGAAATTTTATTTCTGTATATGTAAAACTCGTTAAATTCTCCAGAAAGTGTGTACATGAAGATTCCAAATCTTTAAGAGTTACTTTTCAGTTAGCAAACTTATATATATACATTACCATTTCATTGATAGTTATATTTGTTTTAGAATTGTAGACCAGATTTTCTATAGATTTCTATATTCCTTCAGGTTTAGTCACTTGTATAACTAAAAGAGGAATACCTCTTCATGTTTTCTTATTCATTCCTTTATTTCTCCCTTTCCTATTCTGGGCTACAGGCTGTGCCTGGCACATTGTTAGTACTTGGTAAATGCTTATGGAATGAAGGAAGGGAGAAAAGAAGGAGGGAGCTGAAGTTCAGAGACTGACAGTGTATCAATGTGGTATGCTATATACTATTTTCTCTTTTTAGAAACATACTCCTCAGGTTCATAGACTATAAAAATTGAACCACAAACATGAGATTTTTCTGAATAACACTCAATATTCCATTATGTATAGGAGGTCTTAGTGTGTCCCCTTTCTGTACTGAGGATCATGTGTACACTATAAAGTTCATATAATTAACTACCTCTGATAATCTTCTCCCTGCTTCATGCTACTATCCTTCTTTTCCCTATTGGCAGTTTCTTGTGGGAATTGCCTTGGGTGAAAGTCATTCTTGTAAGAAAGTTAGTTTTCTTTAAAAAACAAAAAATGTAATGTTCTTAGCAATCAAAACAGCAATAAAAGCAATAGAAGATATAATTCCTATACAAGGTGTATAAGTTAAACATGCAACTATAGAGCTTTTAATAGTATTTAGCACTGCTATCATTAACTAGTTTCTGTAAAAGCCAAAAAAGCTGGCATATTAGGTAATTTGCGAAGTATTTTATTATCTGATCTCTTTTACCAAGTTACTTTCCATTTCCTGTCAGACTCCATGCCAGGAAAAATAGAGATTTTTTTTTGTTTTTTTGTTTTGTGTGTGTGTGTGTGTTTTGTTTTGTTTTGTTTTTGACTAGAATGATTTCTCCCAACCTTATTTACCTTGCAGACTCCAGCTTCTTTTTCAATGTTCAATTTAGGCCAAACCCTGAACCAAAACTGTTCAGGGAGACCCCCAGACTGCTATGCAAATATGACAGTCTCAGCCAATCCCATGAGGAGCTCTGAAGCAAATATCACTGTGATAATTGATTTTATGTGTCAACTTAGTTAGCCTATCGTATCTAGGTATTTGGTTAAACATTTTTCTAGATATTTCTGTGAATGTATTTTTAAAATGAGATTAACACTTAAATCAGCAGACTTTGAGAGTAAAGCAGATTGTTCTTCATAATGTAGGTGAGCTGCATCCCATCAGCTGAAAGCTTTAAGAGAAAAAGATTGGCGTCTCCAAAAGAAGAGGGAATTATGCCAACAGCCTGGCAGCCTGTGGTATTTATTATGGCAGCCTGATATAATTTGGCTGTGTCCCCACCCAAATCTCATCTTGATTTGTAATTCCCATAATCCCCACGTGTCATGGGAGGGACCCAGTGGGAGGTAATTTAATCACGGGGGCAGTTACTCTCATGCTGTTCTCAAGATAGCGATGGTTTTATAAGGGGCTTTCCCCCCTTTTGCTCAGCACTTCTCCTTGTTGCTGCCCTGTGAAGAAGGACATGTTTGCTTCCTCTTCTGCCATGATTGTAAGTTTCCTGAGGCCTCCCCAGCCCTGCAGAACTATGAGTCAATTAAACCTCTTCCCTTTATAAATTACCCAGTCTCTGACATGTCTTTATTAGTGTGTGAGAACAGACTAATACACAGCTCTGGTAAACAAACACCATCACCAAGTCTCAGCTGGGTAGAAAAGACCAGGCCCTAGTAACTTCTGTCCTCAGTCATTGGATGGGGGTTGCCTCGGAAGAAAGTGGTCTCTACTTAAAAGTTGCAGTAGATCTCAAAGATGCTGCAGTTAGAAACTGTCATTTGACTGTCCTTCTCACAGCTGAATGGCAATTTTTCTTAAAGGATGAACCAAACAGTGCACCTATCTGGCTGCCACATGTGGGAAGAAGGAAACAAAGATAACACATAAGAAAAGGTAAGAAAACATTCTGCTTCACCAACAAACATGAGACAATCCTGCCAATGTTATAATTCATGGTGGTTATGTTTGTGATGAATTTGTATTGAGCCAACTTAGTTAAGCTGGAACAACATTTCTAAGAATTCCCTTTCCTACATAGATCCAAGCTAGTGTGGGCTACCAAAAATGTTTTGCATGAGATTTAGAAAAGGGAAGTAGAGTAGCAACCGCATTCTTTTTATGCTCAGGTCAAAGCAAGGCATGAAGCACCGTTGCAGCTCACACATACTATGATCTGATGGCTCATCCTAATGGCAAGGCAATAACTGGTCCTGCAGCTCTCCCCAGATCCACTGGATCTCTTCCATCAACTTCTTTAGATACTGAGCCAGGTACATGTTTAGCTCCTTGCTTAAGGGTACTGTATTAGTCAGGGTTCTCCAGAGAAACACAACCAATAGAATAGATAGATGATAGATGATTAGATAGATAGACAGATAGATAGATAGATAGATAGATAGATAGATAGATAGATAGATAGATAGATTATTATGAGGAACTGGCTCATGCAATTATGACGACTAAATCCTATGATCTGCTGTCTGCAAGCTGGAGCCATGGGAAAGACACAGAGCTATACTTCCAGTTCAAGTCTGAAGGCCTGAGAACCAGAAGAACCAATGATGGGAGTTCTAGTCTGAGGGAAAGAGAAGATCAATGTTCAAGGTCAAGCATTCAGGCTGAGAGTGAAAATTCTCCCTTCCTTCACCCTTTGCTTCTCTTCAGGCTCTCAACAGATTGAATAATGCCCACTCACATTGGGGAGGGCAATTAGATTTACTTAATCTACTGATTCAAACACTAATCTCATCCAGAAACACCCACACAGACACACCCAGAAATAATGTTTAACCAAAAATCTGGGCACCCAGTAACCCAATCAAGGTGACACATAAAGTTAACTGTTCCAAGCACCAACTTTTCCTGCAGGACAATCCTATCATCACAGTTGGAGGCTTGCCATCAGTGAGAGACACATGCAGGTTTCAGTGTGTCCTCATAGGTTTCGCTTATTCTCTCAGGTTCTAGTTTGTTCCTGCTTCCCCCACTTCATGTTTTTCTGCCCTTGCTCACTGCCTGCCCTGCTGAATTCAGGCTGTAGCTCTAGAGGCAAAAGAAACAATCTCCCATAAACTGTTCAAATAGCTCCCACAAGTGTGTAAGGTCAAATTCCTAAACAATCTTCCTTCTTAAATATATCTCTTAGTGGTTCTGCTTTCTGTTCAAACCTTGACTGATACAATAATTATTCTTAGGGACAAGAATGGCTTAATTTATAGCCAACCTGAAATTTACCTAGGAATTGCTTTGCAAGACTATGGCTTGAGGTCATTAAAATTTGGGGATTGCAAATTCATGGTGTGTTCTGCCATGCTCCCTGCTTCACCTGAGGCAGGCATTGCTAATCAATCATAGTATTTTTTCCTGTTGGCTGGAATGCACTCAGAATTTTTCTCATTACAGTGTTCTAGGCAAGCCTTAAAATTTGATTATGTTTAGCTTTTTACTTGAAACCTGTTTTTGTTAGTAAACATGAGGGACTCACATAATGTACATTTTATTTCAGAAAGCATCAAATTTTAATATCAGCTTCAGAAAGTTTTATGGAAATCATCATAACATGTTTCTTAACGATGAGCTTAAAAAATAACCAGAGCAAAATGTAAGAAGAAAGAGGGGACATCATATTTTTTGCCTGGGCTCTTGTAGTGGACTGAATGATGGCCCACAAAAGGTATGTTCACATCCTAATCCCCAGAACCTGTAATGTTATCTTAATTGGAAAAAGCATCTTTTCAGATGTAATTAAAAATCTTTTTTGTGTGTGTGACAGGGTCTCATTCTGACACTCAGGCTGGAGTGCAATCATACCCCTCTGTAATGAACTCCTACACTCAAGTGATCCTCCTACCTCAGCCTCCTGAGTAGCTGGGACTACAGGCATGCTGCCACGTTCAGCTACTTTTTTAAATTAATCATGTTGCCCAGGCTGGTCTCAAACTCCTGGGCTCAAGTCATCCTCCTGCTGCGGCCTCCAAAAGTGTTGGAAAAGAATCTTAAGATCAGGAGGTCATTCTGGATTAGCCAGGTAGGCCCTAAATCCAACGAAAAAATGTCTTTATAAGAGAAAGGCAGAGGGAAATTTGAAACAGACAGAATAGGAAAGGACAGACAGAAAAGGAGGAGGCAGTGTGACCACAGAGGCAGAAATTGATGTGATGTTGGACAAGTTAAGGAATGCCTGTTGTTTTAACTATCTCCTATTTACCCCATTGGTGAGGGAGGGATCTCCACCCCAAGATTATTGGGGTGGCTGAAGACATGACACCCGTCACTGGAGAGATGAGATCAACAGCAGTTTATTTGTCACATATATTCACAGCCTGGGGAAGAGGATACCACAGGCCATGCAGGGTCACATGGGGATTGCACGTGGTAACAGAATGAACAACCAGAGGCAGTGGGAGGCAGGCTCTGTAGTGTCAAGAGGATGAAGTACATCATGGTTCCTGTGGGGAGATGACTGGCTTATTTGAATAATTCGATGGGCTGGCAGAGAACTGAAACCCACTACTCAAGGATAAGTAGGCACTGTGCCTGATCCCTTTCATAAGGTGGGCTATCTGTTTAGACAATCCGATCTGCAGTAGCAGAATGGGGAAAGGAGGTCGCAGTTAGGCCATTCAAGTCTCTCTTAATTCTATCAGATAGATGTCAAGACACTGCAGAAAATTGGGCCTTAATTTTAGGTATTATTCTACACCTATGGGCACCTGAATCTAGAAAAGCAAATGACTGATTGTCACCTAAACCTTCAGGGGGTATGTGGCCCTGCTGACACCTTGAATTTGGCTTTCTGGCCTCTAGAACTACTGTGAGAGAATAAATTTATACAGTGTTAAGCCACCCAGTTTGTGGTATTTGTTATAGCAGCCACAGGAAACTCATACAGCTCTCTAGCATTTCCCCAACTAAAAGAACAATGAGTACTTTTGGTTGGAAAACAGGATCTGGCTTGCTTTAAGATGATATACTTAAGGTAATATGAAGAGAGGCAGAGCCATCATCTCTTAAAGGGCAAAGGTGAGAAAAATCAGAGACCTCCACCTATTATTAAAATTGTAAGATTAACTGTATCTTCATTACCAACAATTAGTCTTTAACATCAAATGAGTCATTAACGTATACTATATGCATTGAAATTATCACTTTGTATATAAATCCTATGCTTTTGTCCTTTAAGATGTATTGCCTTATTATTTTAGTATCCTTTTGCTACTTATCTTTTTTGATCCTTCTGTTCTCCTAGTGAATGTTTTTGAGGATTTAAAAAACTATTTCCCTGTGAATGGTTTTCTGATTTTCTTTGGAAAGAGATAGAATACTTTTCTAAACTTTATTTTAATCATATATTTATGAGAGACTTTTTCAGACATGCTTTGCAGCTTGAAATTTTTATTATATTGCATCCAAGGTTTCATATCTTATTACATTTTTGTGTGCATAGTTTCTTATTACAATGTGTTTTCTATAGTTGTTTAAAGCCACAGTTTAATCAGAAATTAGAATGTGTCAGTGTCTTTTATTTCTGTTGTGTATGTAGGCCACCAGTACAACTCATTATAGTAGTTGCCTTTTTATTTTTGCATATGTTGGGTCTTTTGTTTTGATCCTTAATTTCTTTGGGAATGATTCCTATGAGAGTAATTTTTGTAGAAAATGGAACTTTAATAGAAAATGGTTTTAATTACCGTATATGTCATATTCTTTCTCAGATTTTCATACATTTTTACATCTCAATTACGAAGTTCAAATTTGAAAGTTTCCAGCATTTATATTATTTATTTGTTGCTCCTAAGTTGTCTGTTCTACTGTAATCCTTTTACTATTTTCTTTTTTGATCTGCAATATGACAAGGAAATTTAAATTATTTTATACACACATATTTTATATACACACATACAGAGTCTCCCAATTTAGTACATTAAAAAACAATTATTGGCCGGGCGCGGTGGCTCATGCTTGTAATCCCAGCACTTTGGGAGGCTTTGAGACCAGCCTGGCCAACATGGTGAAACCCCGCCTCTACTAAAAATACAAAAATTAGCCAGGCGTGGTGGCAGGCACCTGTAATCCCAGCTACTTGGAAGGCTGAGGCAGGAGAATCACTTGAACCCGGGAGGCAAAGGTTGCAATGAGCCAAGATCGCGCCATTGCACTCCAGCCTGGGCAACGAGTGAAACTCCATCCAAAAAAAAAAAAGAAAAGAAAAAAACAACTTTTTTTTTACTTGTTTTCCACAGTTTTTTGATGTAAGCATCATTTTTCAAACAGCTTCATTAAGCTATAATTCACATACCATACAATTTATCCATTTAATGTCTACATTTCAATGGTTTCTGGATTGTGTATTTAATTCATGATTAATTCTTTATATAGGACTCCCCTTTAAGACAATAATTTCAACAGGTAGTGCATGGAGGATTGGGAACCAATGGGTACCAACCAGAAGTAAGAGAGACACTTTCCTCTCAGACCACCAGCACTCACTGGAAGTACACAAACCTGGAGTACACAGACCTTGGCAAAGGCTGAAGCTCAAACAGGGGCTTGGTTGAAAGTCTGTGGACAGGACTCAGTTACCTTTGACCTGGAGGGGAGACACAGATCCAAAAACTGAAAATTAAAAATAAGTGACAATCTGCACATCAAATCGTGAGATCCAGAATCTCCTTCACCTAACCCGCTCTTCCAAATGCCAACAGCCAGGATCACACACACACAGACACACGCACTCACTGATTCCCACATGCAGGCATGTATGAGCAGGAAATTAGATGATTCTTTTCTGGAAAAATTGAGTATCCCAGAAACAAAGACTTCCACATATGACATTTAGTGGTTTCCCAATACAAATAGGGCAAGCCCAACACAACTCACAGAGCTTCAATTCATATTTTTGGTACTTCACATTTCAACATGAACAGAGTCAAAGATCACCAGACATTTAAGGAAACTGTTAATATAAAAGAGACCAAAATACACACACACACACACACACACACACACACAACACAATATTCACACACACAACTTGGGGACATGTACCATGGGGAACAAAAGAACTTCAAAGAGAACAAAACACTATACAAGAAAGGAGGCATACATTTGATGACTTGCCTCAGTGGTGAACAAATATAACAATTAATTATTATTAAGTATAATATAATTAATAATTATTATAATGTAAAGGCAGACTGAATAAGGTGATATAACTATAGTGATAGGAAGAAAGGGTGGAGGAATATTTTTTACAAAGCTAAATCACCTACAACATAAGTAAGTCAATAGCTAACATCTAAATTGATAAATAAATAGACAGCGGAATAAGCTAGGTAAGGGGCAACTACCATGTTCCGGGACATGCTGCAGGGCTGGAGAACCAACATCCACCAGGGCTGTGGGCTATGACTACTGAGCCAGACCCTGGCAGCTCTGGATTATCCGAGCTTTGTGAAGCCTGTGGATGAACACGTTTGCAGAGTGACTGTTACTCTTCACTAGGATCCCAAAGTCCCCAAGGCATGAACATTATCCCACCCCAATGGCTGGCAACCTCCCAGAGAAACCCCCAACCCCACCCAATCTGCCCTACTTGGTGCAGTGCCCTCAGATGCACAAAATCCTTGTCTATAAGGACATCACACATGGCAACTTTCAGATGACTGTGACCCCAAAGGTGGAGGGGGACATCTGGGCGCTGCTGAAGGATGTGGAGGATTTTCTGAGCCCACTGCTGGGAAAGACACCTGTTCCTGTGTACCCGTACCCGTACCTCAGCCAGGTCAATGAGGTGACAGGTATGCTGCAGGTCAGGGGAGACTTTTTTTTTTTTTTTGTGAGACAGAGTCTCGCTCTGTTGCCCACGCTGGAGTGCAGTGGCGTGGTGCGATCTCGGCTCACTGCAACCTCCACCTCCACCTCCCGGGTTCAAGTGATTCTCCTGCCTCAGCCTCCTGAGTAGCTGGAACTCAGGCGCACCCTGCCACGCCCGGCTAATTTTTGTATTTTTAGTAGAGATGGGGTTTCACGATGTTGGCCAGGATGGTCTCGATTTCCTGACCTTGTGATCTACCTGCCTAGACTTCCCAAAGTGCTGGGATTACAGGCATGATCCACCGTGCCCGGCCAGGAGACTTTGATCAGTAGCTCAAGACTGACTCCTGGAGAAGGGTTTCTGAGGCCCAGCTGAGCAGCCTGCACCATGGCGTACCCCACAGACTAGAGTCCAGAAGACCTCAGGAAGAGAGAATGTTGCCCAAGGATAGTGCTGGCTTGCAAGTAAACCCTCACTCCTGTTGATTCCAGGCCACTGTCAAGTCTAGGGCCTCAGCAAGCAAAAGGAGCCCGATACGCTGATCCTATGTCACAAGCCCTAGCAATCATTAATGCAATTTTCTATTTGGCTATATATAGTATTTAAGTCACTAAAATTTGTACAATATTTACAAATTAAATAATCATCTGAAGCTGTGCAAAAATAAATCGCAAGTATGAGTATATTGTTTTAAAATATTGAGGAAAGTATCAAAATTAACAGCTAAACCAGTTGTAAGTGGCTGATTCCAGGAACAGGGACGGTATTAGGATGGTGGGTGGGACCTGTTAAGGAGGAAACTGGTTAAAAGATTACTGTTTTTCATTGTAAGCCTTTTAGGGCTATTTTAATTTTTAATATGTTTTACTTAGATAAGGAATAAAAACTAATGTAAAAGAAAAAAAATCCGGATATAGTATTTTAATTAGCATTGTTTGGTTTGTTTTCTAAATTATAGTTTCAAAGGCAGACAGCAAAGACTTTGGGGCAGATAACTATGTAAATTGACTAATCTTTCGAATGCTTTCTCTCTTTCTTTCTTTCTTTCTTTCTTTCTTTCTTTCTTCTTCCTCTTTCTTTCTCTCTCTCTTTCTTCCTTTCCTCTTTCTTTTCTTTCTTTCTTTCTCTCTTTCAGATGCAGGGTGGTGGGGGGGGGGGTTCTCCTTATATTGCCCAGCCCAGACTCGAACCCCTGCAAAAAGCCCTCCACCTCAGCCTCTAGAGTAGGTGGGGCTACAGGCATGCGACACTGCATCCAGCTAATCCTGCAAATATTGTTAAGTAAACCGGTTAGGTGTCCAAGGGAGAGAATATAGTCATAGGTTCCTAGTTTCTATTTGTGATTGGGCTGGTAAAGCCCCTTCCTCATCCCTCTTTTCCTTTCATCACTGGAGACAGAAACTAAAAACCATGGCTTCAGGCTGCTAAAAGCCTAAAACAAAACAACAGAACTGCAACAACAACAACAAAATAAGGTGGCTTGGACAAGCTTGAGAATGTCTTTAGATGATTCCTCAGCAGGGAGAGGGGAAGTGGAGAGTGGGAACATACAATTTCTTGAGAAAATAAACTCTGAAGTTTAAAAAAGAACTCAGGCAGTACTTTCTTTCTTTCTTTTTTTCTTTTCTTTTTTTTTTTTTGAGACGGAGTCCTGCTCAGTCGCCCAGGCTGGAGTGCAGTGGCGCGATCTCCGCTCACTGCAAGCTCCGCCTCCCGGGTCCACGCCATTCTCCTGCCTCAGCCTCCCGAGTGGCTGGGACTACAGGCGCCCGCCACCACGCCCGGCTAATTTTTTGTATTTTTAGTGGAGATGGGGTTTCACCGTGTTAGCCAGGATGGTCTTGATCTCCTGACCTCGTGATCCGCCCCCCTCGGCCTCCCAAAGTGCTGGAATTACAGGCTTGAGCCACCGCGCCCGGCCCGAAGTCAGGCAATAATTTATACTACAAGAAGGAAATAAAAACCTCAAGGGGTGGTAATGACAATGATTGTCTGAAACAGACACGCCTGGATCACCTAGAGGATGTGAGGAGAGTCAGATAACCAGCACTGGCCCTCTTGCTTCTGGGCAGCCTCTCCTTCTCATTCAGCTCCTGGTTCCTCACCACTTTCCACCGTCCGGCCTTTCTTCCCTTTCCCCCCGCCCCCCCACCCCCGCCCTTTCTCACGTCCCTTTCCGCAGCTGCAGCTTTTGCTGGTACTAGCCATAATGTGACCTGAAAGGTTTCCTTTTTTCAGGTATACCTCATTTAATAAATAGATTATGAGCGAAATGGTAACAATTTACCTGTTTCAATAAAAATAATTTCTATTAAACCCACGGAGACCAAAAGAACTATGTACATTTTGTACTTGCATGAGAACATTTGTTGATCTGGGTGGGAGTGACAGTGATGCCCAACAATAAAAGAAGATTTGCCATCCCAGATTTCAAAGAAGATAAATGCACAGGTGTGTTTTCCAGCGGGCTGTGGCTGGTGAATACGCAGTGTAAGGGCTTTAATGGACAGACACGTAGACTTTTAACTTGCTGCTCTTCTTCTAAGCACTGTGCCACAAATTTGGACTTAATCACTGCAGGTAGAGTATTTTCCAGCTGATGATCTTTCAGGCGGGAATAGAGAGAACGTTTAGATCTCTACTCTTGACTTTCCCAAACTATTTTTGGCATCATGTCATCTGATTGATGACTTAGTCCTTGTTCTACCTTGCAGAGTACAGAATTTCCCAACCCTTTTAAATGTTAACATTTAATTACTGTAATTCTTGAGAAACATCTATGACCATTTTAATCTAGAAGTTTTAGGCTTTTTGAGGGGCAAGCTACCTGTTTTTCTTTGTGTTTGACATAACTAAATAATTTTCCTAGAAAAAGAGTGATTGATGAAGAAATTTTACTTTAATATACATTTGAAACACATATTCTATTTAAAATATCATTACCTGACATTTTATTTATTTTATTCTCTCTCTGTTTCTTTCTCTCCCCCATAATTCTGGGGTTTACAGAATCGGTGGAATTTCCTTCCCTTCCCTGTCTGGTACTCGACGTTTGGGTTCAGCATGAAATCGGTCTTGTTGCTCCCTGTACTGAGAACTGCCCATACTAGTGTGTACTGGCTTATCACTGCAAGTCATCTTGTATTGGGCTGAATGACCAGGCTTTTGCCTTGTTCTTTGTAGGCCAATGTACTGGGTGTCAGAGTAGATAGCTACAGAAAAACTATGACAACTCGGGTAATCAAGGAGGTGGCCGTTGCTAAGCAACAGAAAGGCAAGCAGGATGTCTTGTGCTTGGGTCTTGGCAGTGTACTAGGAATAAAGAAGACCCACCAATCATTCCTTGTCCTCAGGGCACTGATTCAACATGCAGGTGCAAAGTGGGCCCAGAATGTGGAGATTCAGGATCAGCACCTGGCTTCTCTCCCAGTCCTTAGTTTGCAGCTCACCATCACTCCTTCCCCTGATTCCATGTTATGACAATGGGGTTCCTTGTGCCTCAATAAGCATCTCTTTCCCCCAGTACATTCTCCTTCCCCCCACCAACACATTTTATTTTCTAGGACTCAGCTTCTCATTGGTCCTCATTGAAATCTTGTTTAATTCTTGAGATCCTTCTTAGAGCCCCTAACCTTAAACCCAGCCTTCAACATATGCTTCGAGTTTTACAACTGTGTCTTCCAGCTATCCTCTGCCCTAACTGCTCCACCATTGAGTCCCCATATATGTTGGGGCTTCCTATATTTGCCGTGGTCTGTGACTGACAGTGACCATTTCCTGGCTCTTTTCTGCATCTCACACAGTTTCTACCTTGCCTGACTAGGAGGGTCTAATAAATACCTGGACTCCAGACCTCACTTCCCCTTCCACCTGCAATCCTTTCCCCACATACACCCAAATTCCAGTGCCCATGCCTCTTCGACACATCCTGAGATATGATGGCACTAGCTATTTATTTCCTGCACTAATGTTCTTATTTTGACCCTTTGTTCTCAACATGGAGGCCCCACTGGTGCTTCTGGTGTGGGCTAGAGTGCATAGTTCAGACAATGTGAATTATCAGAGGACTTCTAATTTATAAATGGGCTTTATTTCCCAGCAAGATTGATTCCAGACAATATCCAAGTCTACAGGAGCATACATTTCAGAGTTAATGTTATACATTTTAGTTGGGCTTTCCCGTCAGCCTACAAAAAGCCCGTTGGATCCAAAACGTATTAGAGGTACCATGCTCAAGCTTTATTTCAACTCTGACAAAAATTGGTTCTGTGAAGAAATGGAATTTGAGTTTTCAGTAGCAGTCCCAGGATCAATCTCCCAAGCTTCAGCAATTGGACAGGAACTTCTGTCGTTTCTATCAGTGTTAGTGGAATTAGAAAGGCACTGTTGGAATGCAAAGAGTTAATTATAGCTGGGGTAGGAATGGAAGGGTTAGGAGCGAGCTGCCTTCTGTTACCGCTTCCAGGAACTGAGGGGTGGACAGTCCAGCTGGTAGAGATGGGGAGATAGAAAAGACACTGTTGAGAAGCCTCACACCTGAACTGTCAATGTGATTGGTAAGATAAAGGGGCAGCAAGTTAACATGGCCCAGGATGTTCTTAGGGGAGCTTGTTATGTCAAATCTGGATATGTGGGGTGAGTGAGGCACCTCACTTCACATTATGCACAATTCGGTGATTAGTTAATACTTCATGGTTTAATTGCTGCATTCTGTCTCACAAAAATGTAATATTTTTGTCACCTTCAAAAAAACCCTATCGCCCACATTATATACAATAACACATTATACTGATAAGACCACAGAACAATAATATAATCAAGGATGAATACTGTTATATCCCACAAAAATAAAGCCAGACTGTAATTAACAAACTCAGTTGACTCAAGTGGCGTATAATATTTCTAAGCTTGTGGGATTTAAGGGTACGACAAATGCAATCATTTTTACTTCTCTAAATTGATAGTACTCACAAGAATTAGTATTTAAATACAATTCCACAATACTGTTGACTAATGTGGCAAGATAACCCAAGATAAAACTTTTTAGTCAGGGTGAGTCAAGGTGTATTAGTGTGTGTATTAGTCAGGGTTCCCCAGAAAAACAGAACCAATAGAATCTATAGAGAGAGAGAGAAAGAGAAAGAGATTCGCTATGAGGGATGGGCTCCTGTGATTGTGGAGGCTGAGAAGTCCCACTATTGCCACCTGGAGGCCCAGGGAAGCGGGTGGTGTAGCTCCAGTCTATAAGCCCAAAGGCCTAAGAACCAGGGAGGCCGCTGGTATAATTCCCAGTTTGAGTCCGAAGGCCCAAGAACCAGGAGCATAATGTTCAAGGGGAGGAGAAGATGGATGTCCCAACTCAAGCAGAAAGCAAATTCGCCCTTCTTCTGCCATTTTGTTCTATCTGGGTCTTCAAGGGATGCTGAATGATGCTCACGCACGCTGGTGGGGGCAATCTTTACTCAGTCTACAGCACTGGAAGAGATTCAAATGCTAATCTCTTATTGAAACACCCTCACAGACACACCCAGAAATGTTTTACCAGCTATCTGGGTGTCCCTGAACTCAGTCAAGGTGACATGTAAAATTAACCATCACATTACATCTCATGTTTCTATAGTCTCAACACAAAACAGTAAGAGATATTACTCCTCCCTGTCCCAATCCTGACCCATCTCCTTCTAATGATATACACATCAAAAGAAAGTTGAACTTTCCTTGTCCAAGAACTGTGTTATGAGAATTTTGTTTTCCAAAACCTGGGAAAAAAGCAGACTTATCCATCAAGGCTTTTTTTAAATCAAGCATTAAAGAGTGGCTATTTTATTTATGGGTAGTGTGTGAACACTCAGGAGCTGCGGAAGCTGTCCCAGTGATTGCTGCCCAGACCTGCCACCTTTAAACAGACCCTGCTGCCAGGAGCTGAGGCCCCTATAATTAATTGAACACCAGAGCAGGGGCATAGCCAGTGCATTTGACAGTAGGAATCAATCTTTTTTTTTTTGACACCCTTACCTGTATAAGATAAAATTATGTTTAGAATAATCACATAATAATTACTTCCTTGATTCACTCCCTAGTTTTAAAACAATTAACAATTAAGGATATAAAATTTCAATTTAAAAGAGTTTATGCAAATTGATCTAGAATATTTCACATAGAAGCAGTATGCACTTGGATTCACTGTTTTAAATTTTAAACACAAATAAAAATTCCAAGTTACCATATGGAAAGGGAGAATTGAAATAACTGAAGCTCTCTTTATTCATCTGTACAATCACTGTGTTATCATTGCTTCTTTTGAACCTAATGTTTAAATGCAGGAATATGTAACACCATAGAGATTCACGTCAATGATTCCGAAGCTTTAGAAATTTGTCACTAACCAAATGTGTAAGACTGATCTATGGCAGTGGTGAAGTGGGGCGAAACAACTGAATAACAGAAGATTCTTCTATTTAAAGTCCCTGTAGAATGAAATATTTATTAAAGCATAAGTAATGAAAAGTGCTAATTTGTAGCTTACATACATATTGTTAAATCTCAACCATATTCATAGAAATTGTTTAGACTTTAGACCCACAACTTTCTTTTTCGTGATGGAGTATTTTTCACTGACATTGTTTGAAATAGCCAGGACACAGTGATAATAAAAAGGCAGAGTGATTTTTAAATTAGCATTATTATTGTTTTTAATTACCTACAAAAATGCAACCTCTTAGGCCTGCACCTGGGCATAAGACTGTTCCCGCAAATTGTTTAAAATTGCATAATCTCTCCAGGACATTTGCACTAACAGGGGAAGAGGTAAAGCTCTCCCAACATGTGACTAAGATTGAATTTCCTACCAGTTAGATTGGTGTTTGGCATCAGAGTTCATTTGATTTTAAAAAATGATTAAATATGTTTTGTTTTTCACCTAAGCACATAAATTCATATTGGTTATATTGCTGTAACATAGCTAACGTAAGTGATATACTACATGCTTAAATATTTGTTTTTTCTAAGTAAGAAATCTAAGCATTCTTAGATTATTTTTACTAGTAAAATATGGGAAGATATGGTTAAATTTTCAAAAATTTATAAAATAAACCCAGCATAGAACTTGGTAACAATTTTTTGCTAGATAAACTCTCTTACCAAAAGTCTTACATGGATATAGTTTAAAAAAAAAAAATTCTTCCTCTCCAACTTGGAAGTCACTAAAGGTCATGTAAACAGTAATTAAAAGCATTTTTTTGGCTTCAGCTCTACCTACTATTTCAGCGCTTCAGTCACTTTTCATCTTCCCAATTACCTGCATGCATTCTTAGGTGAAATCAGGGGAACTGCTAATTTTTACAGATAAATAAGCCCTCTTAGCTTCCATCAGCTTAGAGATCTCTACTGCCCCTGAAAGCCTTGGAGCTCACTAGCTCCACCTATGTTGTCATCATGGTCCTGTGCTTCCACCAAGGACATTAGCGCCACCTCCACAGACCTGTTGCTGTCAACGCCTCTGCCAATACTAATGCAGTGGTCCAGCTTATGCCAGAGCTGTGAGATCCCTTTGCACATTGGAATATTGGTAGCAGCACTTGAGTTTACAACCAAAGTTAAGAACATGGAAGGTTGGCCAGGTGCGGTGGCTCACGCCCGTAATCCCAACACTTTGGGAGACCGAGGGGGGCGGATCACCTGAGGTCAGGAATTCAAGACCAGCCTGACCAACATGGAGAAACCCCGTCTCTAGTAAAAAATACAAAAATAGCCGAGTGTGGTGGCTTATGCCTGTAATCCTAGCTACTCTGGAGGCTGAGGCAGGAGAATTGCTTGAACCCGGGAAGCAGAGGTTGCAGTGACCCGAGATCGTGCCATTGCCCTCCAGGCTGGGCAACAAGAGCGAAACTCTGTCAAAAGAAAGAAAAGAAAGAAGAAAGAAAGAAAGAGAGAGAGAGAGAAAGAAAGAAAGAGAGAGAGAGAGGGAGGGAGGGAGAGGGAGGGAGGGAAGGGAGAGAGAGAGAAAGAGAGAGAAAGAAAGGAAAGAAGAAAGAAAGAGAGAGAGAGAAAGAGAGAGAGAAAGAAAAGAAAGAAAGAAAGAAAGAAAGAAAGAAAGAAAGAAAGAAAGAAAGAAAGAAAGAAAAGAAAGAAAGAAAGAGAAAGAAAGGGAAGGAAGGAAGAAACTTTGTTCCAGGAGGAAAACAAGGAAAGAATGTTGTGTAGGAGGGGCGAGGAATCTGAGATGGCCAAGAGGCAGTCTCAGGTCCCAGTGTATAGAAAACATGATCATTTCTCCTGGTAGAAGCATCACTCCCCTACACATTCAAACTTTCAAACCAGCAGAGTCCATCCTCATTTGATTCTGAGACCCACATAATCTAGCAAAGATGGGCAGAATCTCTGAGTAAATATTAATTTAGACTAGTTTTTCTGACCTTACATATCAAACAGAACCTTGGTAGACTGACTATAAATTTTGCCCTTGGGAATTGCTGGTTCTATAAACCAAAGCTAAAGAGCTGGGTGTTAGCCTACCTGTCTTAGCCTGTTTTGTGCTGCTATAACAGAATACCTAAGACTAGGTAATTTATAAAGAACAGAAGTTTATTTCTCACAGTTATGGAGGCTGAGAAGTCCAAGATCTAAGGGCCTTTTTGCTGGTTCATCATATGATGGAAGGTGAAAGAGAGAGAAAAGGGGGACAAGCTTGTCCTTTTGTAAAAAACCCACTCCTGCAATAACAAAGCCTCTCCCTCGATAATGGTGTTAATCTATTATTCATGAGGGCAGAGCCCTTGTGGCCTAATCACCTCTTAAAATTCCTGCCTCTTAATACTGTTATAATTCCATTAAATTTCCAACACATGCTTTTTGGGGGCACATTCAAATCTTAGCACTACCCTATTTCTGCCACTCTTTAGAACCTGCCTAACCCTGAAACACCCATTCTATCGTACTTAACAGCCTCCATCCAAACAGTGGCTCTCCCATCCTTATACTAGACCACAAGATCACAAAAAACAGTTTCCACTTTAATCTGGGAGAAGGGGGAATGGTGAATTACTCTTTATGACATACCTGATTCACAGTAAATTCTAAATGAATTGGTAGCCTTTTCCTTTCTCTTGGAAGGGGAAAGGTGGATTAAACAGTGACTATTAAAAGTAGGTTAATAATTATTAAGTGTAGGTTACTATACTTAAGATAAATCCTCTCAGAGATTAGAAATAACATATAGACCAATGCAACTCTAATCAAATTGCCTCTTCAAATGAGGGAGAGACCCTCTTCACTCTCCCCACATCCTGAGAGTTGTAAGAAAAGGGGAGAGTCAGAAAACAGTCTCTAGGCTATGTTATGATACAGTAACCTATATCAAGAGCTGGTCCTCTGTTGACACCCTTACCTTTGGAAGAGCTACGAAGGGATCGTCTCTCAGCTCAGATCACAAGTATTTCATGGAGTGACGTGCTTTCTAAGGAGTGTTTGTATCACTTATTGGTGACAACAACCACTTCCTGATGAATTGCTGTTTGTCTTCATAGTCGCTGGCTAGGGACCCCATCTCCCAATTCTGTACTAGTTCAATCATATTGTTCGTGTTGGGACACGAACTCCTTCAACATCTTGACAGGGTGACATTCATCCCAAAGGAGAAGGGTGTAAGTCAGCCATGTCCACTGAGCCATGAGCCATGATCCTTTTTATCTTAGTCACAGGCCAGAAAGTTTGCCAGGTTTGTTCAGGTTTCCGATGAAATCAGACACCTCCTCCTTCATCAGATAAATCAGATTGTGAGTTCTAAGCATGGCTGCTACTTCTGCCCTGCAGCTTCTTCAGGAGAGATGCCTACTCTTGGCTAAAGGCCCTCATAGAAGTAGCCAGTGCTGACAGTCTCGGGGTGGATCCCAGCGAGTCCATCCTCTTAGGCGAGGGGATGCTGGGGGCTTTTTCTTTTTTAAGAGACAGGATCTCACTATGTTGACCAGGCTGGACTTGAACTCCTAGGCTCAAGAAATCCTCCTGCCTCAGCCTCCCAAGTAGCTGGGACTGCAGGCACATGCCACTGCACCCTGCACTGTGGGGAATTTTTTAACTTTTGATAACAATGCTAATATAAATATGAAAAGTTTAGATGTAAATTTATAGGCATAAAATACACATGAAAAGTATATACACATATAAAATATACATTTTAAAAGTATAAAGACGAATATCCTCTCACAAATCATCAGAGGGGTCCAGGAGAGGAAAAGGGAGTATGGGACAGAAGTTGACAATGTAGTGTTGGAGTTAAGAAACGCAAGCCACATAGCAGGGGTTAAACTCCTACTGTGCCCCTTACTCTCCATGGGACCTTACTGGCTCTGTGGCCTTAACCTCTCCATGCCTCAGTTTCCTCATCTCTGAAAAGGAGATATAAATAGTTCCTACCTTAAAGGGTGTTATGAGGATTAAGTGAGACAATAGGTGTGAAATGCACACAACAGTGCCTGGCATGTGGAGAGTGATTAATCAACGGTAACCATTAGTATTCGTTTTGTCTGTAGGTGGTTGCATCTCTGGGGTGAAAGAACAGAGAGCTACTCTGCTTTTCTCTGGGAATGAGGGAGCACTGTAAGGCCACACATGGGAATAAGGACAATAAGACTGGATAACCTCCTAAACGATGTTTACAATCTCCCCTAGTGTATTTGGGGTTGGCAGGCATCCCCCACTGCCACCTGTGCATATTACTGACACTTTACAGCCTGCTGTCTGATAGTGCTGCTGTTGCTGACTTCTGTGTGCCAGGTATACAAATTAGCCACCTGGCTTTTAATCTAATGTATGATGTATTAAAGACATTGCCGTCGCTGTAATTATTTGCAGTGGAAGCCTCCCAGTGGAACTTTAGCTGCTGGACTCTTCACTGAAGCTTCCAAACCGGGCTTCAGAAGCCCAGGAATTATCGGCCTTTGCACAGTACTGCCTGCTCTAACCTTCTAAATCACCATGGCCAAAAAGCCAGATACTCGCCAATTGGCTTAAATGGTGTAACATTTCTCTTCTTCCTGTAGCTGCCCCATGAAGTAATGTCAAAGGGCAGAGTTTGTTAGGATCTTTCAGTCATAAGTCACAGAAAACCCGATTCAAAGAAGTTGAAACAATCAAGGCAATTAATTGGCTCATATTATGAAAAGCTCAGGGAGTTGGCTGATCCAGTGGCTCAGTGTTGGAAAAGGGCCTCTTTCCTTTCTGCCTTTCAGCTCTGCCATCTGCAGTGTCCTCTTCATCCTGAGGCCACCTCTCACCATAGTTGTTGCATGGCTGACTCCTGGCTGCATTCAGGCCTGTGCTTTCCTCCACATCCAGCAGGAGATTCTGGCCTAGTATTTTTGGCAAGAATTTGAAGCCCACACTGATTCAAGATGCTTAGGTCATATGTTTAACCCTTAAACCAAGGATTGCAACCAGCCATCTCTGGCATTGGGGTTGGTTTAGCTACCTCTGAAACTCAGAGTCTGTGTGGAGAAACTAACATATGGGTAACCTTGGAAAGGAGGAGGGAGAAATGGGAGCTTGTATAAAGCAACAAATGTCCTTCATAGGGATGAAGTAATTTGGAAGTAATAGAGGGATGTATGCTTTTGAGGTTCTATGATCTTAGGTCTGTGTTCCCAGAGTGAGTGAGAACTGCAATGTGGAATATATAAGGGAGGACTTCCATCCCACCATGGGACACACTCATAGGAATCCATGAATATCTAGGTATCATGGTGCCTGGTATCTGAAAGATACAGCACAGCTCTAGGGACAGAATTTATTAACCCTTTCAGCAGCGAGAATTCATCAACACCCCACCCCACCCCTGCCTCCACTAGCACCATTATGCTCACTCAGCAACTCTGCTTCTAACCCTCCTTTTACTGCCAAGAAATTATTTTACTCTTTTTGGTTTTCTATACGTTTGTTCGTCTATTGTGCTGCCTTATAACCTGTAAGCTATAATTTCAGCTTTCTCGTGACCCCTGCTTCCTCGTGGCCTCTTCGTGTGCATCTTTTCAGATTCTACTCTACCTACCAATTGCTCAATTCTATTGGTTTCCGGGAGATATGGGGTGAGAAAATCCCATAGCTCGGCTTTGAAAACTGGACAAGATTTTGAGATAAAGAAGAAAGATATGACATTTCTTGCATAGAAAAACATACATTAAGATATTTCGGGGGCAAGAAGAAGATTGATTCACCAGAGCAGCGGAAGATGTTAAACAAGAGAAAAGTAAAGTTGGAAAGGTAGAGTGGCACTGGTTATAGAAACTTTGGAAATAAAGATACATTGAAAGCTTTTAAGCAAAGCACTCATCTGGCCTCTTCATTATTTCTATAGCCAAAGTCAGCTTTGTTTGAACCCTTATCTTTCTTTTACCCAGTAGCCAATATTTCTTGTCCCTAGTCTCTCTCTGCTTGTTCTGTCACGCCAATTCTCGGTAAACCCTACTGGGCTGGAAATTTGAAGTAAGGGGCAGCACTTACCTATAAGACACCACTTACCATTGTCCTGTGAGGAGTCATACCCGCAGTTCTCAGCCCTATCAGACTCAGTGTCCCCATTTTATAAGAAATCTTCCTATAACTTTCCCTTTGCTATCTTGAAATAGGATGTGTCTACATACCTAATTGTTATAGGCTGAACTGTGTCCTTCTAGGAATTCATATATTGAAGTCCTAACCACTAATACCTCAGAATGTGACCATATTTGGAGACAGAGCCTTTAAAGAGGTAACTAAAATAAAATTAGGTCACTAGAGTGGGCCCTAATCCAGTTCTAGGGTGTCCTTAGAAGAAGAGGAAATTTAGACAGAGACAAGTACGGTGAGAAGGTGACGTGGAGGCATAGTGAGAAGACAGCAATCGAGGCCTGTTAAGGAGACAATCCCAGGACAGATCCTTCTCCTTATGACTCTCAGAAGAAACCAATCCTGCTGACATCTTGATCTCAGACTTCCAGACTCCAGAACTGTGAGATAATACATTTCTGTTGTTAAGCCACCTGGTCTGCGGTACTTTATTATGGTGGACCTTGCAAACAAATACACTAATTATATATAATGCTTTTATTATAATATAAAGAATACATAAAAGGAGTGTAATTTACCATAAAATATATACAGTATTTCCATATGTAAATGCTCAAGCACAACTGTACCAAAAGACATAATGCTTACATCAATACTCTGCATGCAATAGCTATAAATCACTGTGGTGTGACGGTACAAATGCAGGCTGCCACAGTGTGCGGTGTTGGCAACACAAATACAAACCCTTAAGCAACATAACCATTGGCACATAATTTTTTGTGAAAAAGTCTTGGTAGAGTTCCAAACAAAACAAATAACAATCTTCCCTCATTTTACGTGGTAGCTGTATTCCTGGAAAATTCAACAAAAACACTGTATTTATTTGGAACACAAGGATAGGTTCTAAGTACAGACAATTGTAAGTAGGTTTTTCATCTACATGAATGTCCTGTAGAACATTTGAAAGTCACATACAGTTCTTCATTTTCCTGTACATGTTGCAGGGGGTCAGGATGTCTAGCATCCCTGACCCACATCCCTCAATGCCAGGACAGTGTCATCATGACAACCAAAAATGTCTCCTTATTTCCAGAATATTCTCTAAAGGGGAGTATCACCTTTGTGACACAAGAAGAAGAGAAAATAAAAGATGTAATCGATGGCTATCTTTTGGTGCGGGATCAGCCCCACCCTACTCCCTATCAGAACTCCTCCTGCCTGGAGGAAGATAACTGGGGACTAAGTCACAGGGGACTACACAGCAGGCAAGGTCAAGCAATTTCCTAACTGGTTAAAGCCGCAGTCTTAACACTGCCCTTAAGCTTCATATGGTAAAAGGCTCCTTTGTTGGTTTGAACTTCAGAGGCCTCAAGATACTCCAAGCTTGGTGAAATTTGGCCTCTGTGGTCATGCCTGTCTCTGGATTTTTCTGTGTTTTATGTGTTCCCACCAGTCACAATGGTAAGCCCTATAATTCACAAGTTTTGGGTAGAATAATTCGAAGGGTATTGCCTCAGTAGTGGGGAAAAATTCAGTCCTAAAGGCTAATCTAGTCCAGCCTAACAAATATTAAAAACAAACCCGAAAGACTCAAACTGTTTCCTGCATCCCAGTACAAAGCTCAAGAGTATTTATAGGAATGCAAAAACATCCAGTACCCAACAAGGTAAAATTCGACGTCTGGGATCCAATCAAGCCCCTGGCCAAGGGAAGGAAGCAGAAATGAAGAGGGAGAAACAATGCTCTATCTTGTACATTTTATGAATGTTATAATCGCCTCCTCTCCCATCGTAAGACTATTATTACCTTTTTGTTTATACACCCAAGCATTGTTTGGCTTATCACAATAAGCATGCATTATCATCGTTATTTTAAAAAGGCTTTGTGAACAAACCAATCAAGAAAATGGGAATATCAAACAAAAAGGAGACAAAAGAAGTTCCTACAGCACATCAAAACTGACTGAAGGTCTCTTTCTCCCTATTTCCTTTGCCTTTTTTTTTTCCTCTGGCTGCCTCCCTCTCTAGAAAGTTCTCACTTTCTTTACCTTCATGTCTTGCGTTTCTTAAACTTTCTGGATTTTTCAGCTGAACACCGAATGCAACTGCACCATGGCCAGTTGTTACAGGAGACTTTGTTTCTTGTTTTTTATTTTTAAATGGGCAGATCTTAATGTTTCACATTTACTTCTCAAAGAAAGAGAACACCAACTCCGCCTCTCTGGTGTTCAGCTGCCTTTTATCTGGTCCTCTCCTCCACTCCTTGAGTCAATGGCCGGGCAGTTAAGTCTCCACCAGACCCAGTCTGTTTGCCCAGAATCCACCTGCCCTGTCCCTAGACAGGAAAACTGCAACTTAGGCAGCATCTGCCTGCACTGAAAACATGTCCCACCTCTTCTTTTTTCCCTCTGGAGAAAGCTCTTTCTGGCATCGAGTGGGGACAGCTAAGGTCTCCAGGCTGCTGATGAAGTGAGGGAAAGTGGAGGAGAGTCGGCGCCGAGATGGGCGGATAAAAGGAGCGACCGCTCAGCAGCGAGAGGGAGAGGCGAGAGTAAGGCGCCCAGACACCATGTGGACAAGGGGAGGAGAGAAATCAGAGGTGGCGCGCGAAGGCTGAGCGCCCAGGCAGCCAGAGCCCAGATCGGAAGAGCCGAGTCCGGGCAGAGGGGTCCGCGGGCTCTGGAGGTGCTGGACGGGTGCGATCCGAGAGCAGACCGGGGCCCTCGCGAGCCTCTCCCGGCCCCTGCCCGCGATGAGCGAGGCCAGCCGACTGTGCTCCGGCTACTACAGCCTCAACCAGAGCTTCGTGGAGCCCTTCCAGTGCCCCCGGCGCGGCGAGGGGGCAGCGCTCCAGTATTGCTGCGGCTTCGCCGACCTCAAGTACTGCTGCAGCGAGCCGGGCAGCTACTTCCCCTACAAGCACAGCTACATGTGGAGCCTCAGGTGGGCTGAGAGCCCGCGCGTGCGGCGGCTGGCCGAGCCCGGGGCTAGGGAGGCGACAAGCGGAGCCACGCCAGGGCCAGGGAGGTTCCCCCGCGTCCCCGCTATCCGCCCTAGGTTAGGTCCCTACGGAAGGACGCGGAGCCTCTGAGGGCGGGTGAGGGCAGGGAGAGAAATCTCGCCCCGGCTCGGAGCTCCCCCGGGAGCCAGGACAGGAGGCGAGGCGCACGCTGGAGGAGCGCGGGCTTTGCGCCCAGGGCGCACTTGGGGCCCGCCTGGCTGGCCCCGCTGAGTTCCCCGCCCGCCTCCCGGGAGCCGACTGCTCTCCCCTCGCCGGGACCAGTCCCAGGCTGATAGCCCTACTGGTGGAGCGCGAGGACAGGAAGATAACCCAAGGGGAAGGTTTAAAATCCTCTTTTTGGTTTATCTGGTGTATTTGAAGAGAAAGGAGGCTCCTATGGGGCTCTTCTTACTGCATTAACAAGGACCAGAGTATTTTAAGACTCTTTGAGGGGTGTGAAGGAATTGGCTGTGTTCTTTAAAATACATGTATATTTTTAAAAGTGTGTGTGTGTGTGTGTGTGTGTGTGTTCCTGAGGGCCTGTGCAAGCAACTGGGCTTTACGACTTGCACTTTTTGGAGGATCTGACCCCTACCCTGGAGAGAATTGAAGCGACACCAAGAAAGGTACAGCTTTTGGTTGCTATGATTATACACACACTCTGTAGAACAGGACACCCCCTTTCTTGAAACCCGAGCCATGTGGCTATTGCTGGAATGTGAAGAGACTTTCTAAGGTGAGGTCTTTCTTGTTTCTTTTTCCCATAGTGGCAATTTTATTTTACTTATTCCAACTAGTATTGATGTAGACATTTTCATTATGAATTGCTTTTCCCACTTCCACTCTGAAGGGCTGCAAACTTTAAACTTGATTTTTCATTTTGCTTGAAGAATGAATGGGGTTCAACAATCAAGGAACGAGCTCCCACCTTAAATTGTTTTGTACATATTCATTAGTTTATGGGGTTGGAGGAGATGGAGTCTGCTAGTAAGAGGTAAAGTATTGTGATTATGTCTCCCAGTCTCCTACATGACCCAGAATTTAACACACATGCCAAGTCTATAGCAAATGACTAAATGTTACTTCTTGAAGCAATAAAATATTAACATATTTTTCTATATTGCAAGCATCAAAAAGTCTCAAAAGGAGTGCCTACCTTCCAGTAAGTTTAACTGACAAAATTGTATTTTGCTGGACAGGGGCAAAATGTCAGAAAATAATGATAGCTTATCCTTAGTAGATTACATGGGGAAGAAATCTATATTGCACTGGTTTATTATCTGGCCTTTTGGAAAATAACAGAGTAATCTATCTCTGGGTCATTGGAGGCGTTACTAATGGCAGAAGCACCTCCAACAGGGACTGGCAATTCCTCAGTCAAACTCAACTGGAAAATGTGCCTGAGATTCTCAGATCCTTGAATAGTTCCAAAGTGACAAGCAATAGAGGACATAAAACCTTCCTAAGATGTATGAGGGCACAAAAGAGTGAACAGCTTGCTGGGGTCTTCATTCAGTACTGACAAAATGGACAGTGCAGCTCCATTCCCAGGAAATAGAAAAATCACTTCAACTGATGTTGTCATTTGGCAGTGTTAAACCTGGGGTTCCTGTGAGTTATTGAGCTCTGAGAACACAATAGGGAGGTAAATTTATTAGAGCTTCATTTGCCCCCTATTCTTTGCTCTCCACTCCTAATTTAAAATAGTCCAACTGGGAAGAGTCACTAGCCCTTGTTTTGAGATTCTATAGTGGCAGGAGAAAGGCACAGCTGTGGCTATCACAAGGTAAGTGAACTTCCTAAGTAGGAGAATTGCCACATTAATGTGACAGCAGCTTCAGACCCTCTCTCAAAGCTTGTAAAACAACTGCCATAGGGTGCTGAGGAAAGGATAATTCTTCCTTTCCTGTGTCTGGCCCCTTCCCATCTTTTCTCCTCCTATGACTCCCTATGTTCTTAGGATTTTCCTTGGTAACCTTCTCCAGGACTTAGGGAAATAAGGTCTATTGGACAGGGCCATGCACGAGTGGCTATTTAATAAGTATTTATTGAAATGAATATTTTAGGAGTCTCCTGGAGCTCCATCTTTTCTGAGAGTTAATACCTAGAGTTTTGCATGCATAAAGCAACATTTCTTCTCCTTTTTTTTTTTTGAAACGGGGTCTCACTCTGTCGCCCAGGCTGGAGTGCAGTGGCGCAATCTCGGCTCACTGCAACCTTCGCCTTCCGGGTTCACGCCATTCTCCTGCCTCAGCCTCCCGAGTAGCTGGGACTACAGGCGCCTGCCACCATGCCTGGCTAATTTTTTGTATTTTTAGTAGAGACGGGGTTTCACCATGTTAGCCAGGATGGTCTCAATCTCCTGACCTCGTGATTCGCCCGCCTCAGCCTCCCAAAGTGCTAGGATTACAGGCGTGAGCCACCGCGCCCAGCCATAAAGCAACATTTCTATAAAGTGAACGGTGACATTGAAACTGTTTGTCAGTATTATGAAGAACATTCTTTTTTAACAGAAAGCATGGATGGCATGCTTTGTTTTTGTTTTTCTTTCAAATTGAATGGTCTGGTTTTATAATTTGTAGATTGAAAGCCCACACTATGTATGTGGAAGTTAATTAAACTAACAATTTTGCTTTCAAATAGACTAAATTACATTTTTACCTTGAAGATTTTTTAATCAGGTTCTTGTTTGAAGAATCTTTCCAGATGTCTAGCCTCTTATCTGCTCTGTGCACCAGATAATATTAACTGAGTGGATTACATTCCCATGTGTCTGTGTATGGTGAAGTGATCCTAACCTTCCCTGACACTTAAAATGCACAAAAGTTAGGTTTGGTGCAAACAAGTACAAAAGAGGAGTCGCCAAATATAGGGAGTCTACCTTTTAGATGAGAGCAAACCCCAAGTTGAAATATAACTCTACAGTGAGTCACTCTACAGTGACTCTAGCCATAAAATTCCCCAGCCTTCACTCATCTACAGGGCTAGTGGAACTGGGTTGACAATAAACCAAGCACAAGAATCTCTGGAAGTCGACTTCAAGTGTGTGCTTCAGGAGGCAATCTCTTCTTTGCAGGGGTGCTCTACCTCCTGAAATCAAGGACAAGTGGAGTGAGCTTAGCTCTTCACTTTCAGTTCTGTTCTCCTTCCTCCCAAAGCAACAATGCTCCTGGCATCCCTGGTCAAATTCTCCCTTCCCTCCCTTTTGGTACAGGTCAAACTTGTCAGTGTCCTAATCCCAGAGAAAGAGCAGAAGCCTAAAGGCAAGCCAGGAAGATAATGAAGAAAAAGATCATTACTTTTCAATGACGTATGTTCCAAATACAGGTAGATCAATTGGCAGTCAATTATTATTTATTTACATTTATTGAACATTTTCTACAAGCTAAGTTCTCAAATGCTTTAAATAAGTGTGTACAACACTACCATGAAAGTTGACAGAAGTATCTGTTTTTGAGTAGAATTGATTAAAATCTATTTATAGGTTAAAATCTATTGGTAGATTTTAATTAGAACAAAATGTGGTTCAAGAAGTACATGTTAGCATATTAGTCTTTCAAGATAATGCTTTTTTTCCCAAGCTCTTTTCCCATTTAGTGGTATTAAGTTCACAGGCTTATGAAAACTGTATTTCTCAAATGATTAGACTTAGAGGTAACTGCATCAGACGGAATCATTACAAATTTAGGGTGGAGCAAATACAATCAGATACACATTTATTTTTAGAGAAAAATACACGGGCTTCTTCCTTAATGCTAGAAGCCATTGACATTATGCCCTTTTAGAAAGGAAAAGTCAAACTGAACATGAACTTGATATGAATTTCACAAATACGATTTTCCTTTAATTCAAATTGCTTTCTCCTTTTTTATAATAGTTTTGGCTTTGTAAATCAACAAATGGCATTTCACATATGTCTTTAGTGCTTTTGCAGAAACAAATATTTTTCTATTCATCATTTGTTGGTGAACCCAATCTTTCCTTCTAAAGTATATTAATAATAGAGATTTATTTGATGGAGATGTTTTAGAATTATCCCTAGAGAATCATGTGACCTTTAACCTATAATATGAACACGTGGTCTTCCATATTAATAGTAACGTACAGGCCGGCCGGGAGCGGTGGCTCACGTCTGTAATCCCAGCACTTTGGGAGGCCGAGGCGGGTGGATCGCCTGAGCTCAGGAGTTCGAGACCATCCTGGGCAACATGGTGAAACCCCGTTTCTACTAAAATACAAAAAATTAACTGGGCATGATGGCGTGCACCTGTAGTCCCAGCTACTCGGGAGGCTGAGGCACGAGAATCACTTGAGCTCTGGAGGCGGAGGTTGCAGTGATCCAAGATTGTGCCATTGCACTCTACCATGGGCTTCAGAGTGAGACACCATCTCAAAAAAAAAAAAAAAGTAATGTGTAAATTTAAAAGGGCCTCGAAAATCCTGCAGAGAAAATATAAGAATTTGGTGGTGGATAAAGGTGAACTGTAGATTTCAATCAGTTCCTTTTTATGCTAAAATACAATTTGGTTATGAATAACTGAAAACAAGAATTAACAATATATTTATGCCTTCTCTTTAGTTGAACCAGTGTGAACCACTTTGTGTGACACATATTTTTTTTCTGTTTTCCTCAGCATTGGTGCCTTGATTGGACTAGGAATTGCTGCCCTTGTTTTACTCGCCTTTGTCATCAGTGTCTGTGTCCTTTGCTATTTATTTCTGTATACGAAACCTCAAAGATTAGACACTGGCCTTAAGCTTCAACACTTAGAGGCTTCTTCCACTCAAGAAGGTAATCAGTATCTATTATTTGTTACCAATTACCTGAACTCTATCCAAAAGAATAACTTGTACCTGGGTGATAATACTGTTAACAATGAATGCTTTTTAAAAATTCAGTTCACTATGTGTCTCACTAAAAATTCACATTGAATCAGGCCGTTAATGATGAAATACCTTAGGGAAATTGTGCTGAAGGAAAAATAGCAGCAGGATGTAATTATTCTCATGAAAATTAAATCATTGGTTCAGTAAATCTGCTTTAAATATATTTATGTTCCTTCCAGTTATTAAAGTTTATCCTCTTGAAATTTTTAAAATTTTGATTTTGGATGGAGTCAAAGAAGTCAAATTGTTGCAGGAAGTCAGGGACCCTGAACAGAGGGACCGGCTGGAGCCACAGCAGAGGAACATAAATTGTGAAGATTTCATTTTAATATGGACATAGATCAGTTCCCAAAATTAATACTTTTATAATTTCTTATGCCTGTCTTTACTGCAACCTCTGAACATAAATTGTGAAGATTTCATTTTAATATGGACATTTATAAGTTCCCCAAATTAATACTTTTATAATTTCTTATGCCTGTCTTTACCATAATCTCTTAATCCTGTTATCTTCGTAAGCTGAGAATGTATGTCACCTCAGGACCACTATTGTGTTAAACTGTACAAATTGATTGTAAAACATGTGTGTTTGAACAATATGAAATCAGTGCACCTTGAAAAAGAACAGAATAACAGTGATTTTTCAGAGAACAAGGGAAGACAAACATAAGGTCTGACTGCCTGCGGGGTTGGGCAGAATAGAGCCATATTTTTCTTCTTGCAGAGAGCCTATAAATGGACCTGCAAGTAGGGAAGATCTCACTGAATTCTTTTCCTGGCAAGGAATATTAATAATTAAGACCCTGGGAAAGGAATGCATTCCTGGGGGGAGGTCTATAAACAGCCGGTCTGGGAGTGTCTGTCTTATGTGGTTGAGATAAGGACTGAAATACGCCCTGGTCTCCTGCAGTACCCTCAGGCTTATTAGGGTGAGGAAAAAACCCCACCCTGGTGAATTTGAGGTCAGACCGGTTCTCTGCTCTCGAACCCTGTTTTCTGTTGTTTAAGACGTTTATCAAGACAATACGTGCACTGCTGAAAGTAGACCCTTATCAGGAGTTTTTGATTTCGCCCTTTGCCTTGTGATCTTTGCTTTGCTCTTTGCCTTATGATCTTTGTTGGCTTCAGAAGCATGTGATCTTTGTTCTCCTTTTTGCCCTTTGACGCTTGTGATCTTTGTGACCTACTCCCTATTCGTATACCCCCTCCCCTTTTAAAGTCCTTAGTAAAAACCTGCTGGTTTTGCGGCTCAGGTGGGCATCACCATCCTACTGATATGTGATGTCACCCCTGGAGGCCCAGCTGTAAAATTCCTCTCTTTGTACTCTTTCTCTTTATTTCTCAGCCAGCTGACACTTAGGGAAAATAGAAAGAACCTATGTTGAAATATTGGGGGTGGGTCACCCCATATCAAATAAATAGAGGAACCAAGTATTTGATAACTTATTATCTGAACCAAATATTTGCATGACTCTATATTGGCTAGTCAGTGGTCAGTTAAGAATTTATCTGTGTGTCTACTGTGTACAGAGTTCAGAAGGGCATATAAAATAATTGAGGCATATAAAAGAAATAGAAAAAATAAGTAGAAGATGTATTGACCAGATTGCAAACTAGTTAAAATATTGGGATTTATATGTGTGTAGTGTGACTATAAAGTAGAAATAAATGTTTATGGTTTGTGGAACTAGGTCCTATTATTTCTCAAACATCAAGTGTTATACAAATGCTAGTTGTTACCATTATAAAACTCAATTGCAAAGAATTGTTAAAACTGTTGTGAATATGAATTTCTATAGTGTATTAAAAAGTACTAATTATAAATTTTATTGTGAGATACACATATAAACAAATCTAGAATATACATTATAGATATAAATGGAATTTATCAAGAATTTATATATAGAATATATAAACTTAGAATATAAATTTAGGATTTATGTATGTATTTAGAATGACACACAAGTGCTTACTTGCTTCCATGTAAAAATAAAATGAAAATCTTTGTGTTAAAAAAATTGAGAAAAGTCCCCACCCATATGCTCTATTTTAGCTGCATCCTAAAACTTCTCATATTATGGGGTACCTGTTCTGTGACCTTATCAAATACATCACCACTGTGTGATTGCATTAGCTCTCATTTCCTTCTCTGTAGAGGAGATCTCTCAGAGGGTATCCTGTGTCACAGAACAAGGGGGCCAAGATTCCTTGAAAGTTCTCTTCCTGAAGTTCTGTTTGGAGATTGCATGGCCAAAATGACAGGTTGTTAGCTGAATTTAGTACAAATGACTTAGGCCCAGTTTCTCCACTGGAAGTTGATTAGTGATTATCAAATAATCAGATTGTAAAATCAATTTTTATCTCAATTGCTTAGGTAAAGTTGCAGTTCATAAATTTGTGCCTAAGAATCATGTAGAGAGCTTGTTAAAAACACAAGTTCCAGGCTCTGCATTTTAAAACAAGTAGCTCCTCTTTCTGCTTCTGTCCTTGTTCCCCTGCTGTCTGCTCTCCAGAGCAGCCAGAGCAGACCTGTTAAAACACAAGTCAGGTCATGTCACTCCTCTGCTGAAAACACTAATCGCTTCCTATCTCTTTCAATAGAGAAAACAGTCTTCATCATGACCTGTGGGGACTTTTGTGATCTGCCCTTTTATTTCTTATCTTCACATGCCCAGCATCATTGGCCCCTTTGCTGTTCCTTGAACTTCCTGACTCAGGGTCTTTGCACATGCTTCCACTATTGTCTAGGATGCTTTTCCCTCAGATATCTGCATGACTTACATTATCACTTTCCATCTTTACTCAAAAGTTACCTTCCCAGGAGCTCTCCCCTGGTTACCCTATCTGTATTTTTAACTCCCTTTCAACATTTAATACCCTCTTCCTGCTTTGAATTTATCTTAGGCACTTACCATTAACATATTATATCCTTTACTTACCTGTTGTCTATCTTTTGTCCACTCCAACTAGAAACTAAGTTCCAGAAAAGTAGGAGTTTTTGTCTTGTTTGCTCTCTACTGTATCCCCAGTGCCTAGAATACATAGCAAATATTCCATGAATGAATTGAATGGGGTAGCACTGCATGTGTGTGATCAAAGGAGCATATTTTGAGAAACATTGGCAAAATATTGTCACTGTCACAGTCATAAAACATTCATTGATTGCCTTCTCTATACAACGCACTGTGCTAAATAAAAATTGGTTATTTTTCCAGATTTAGCTTAGATACTGCTCCAAAATTTTATTTCATATTGACTTTAGAACATAGCAACAGAATTAGTTGGTTTGTTGATTCAAGTTTTGTGTTCTTGTCACTATTGAGTGAAGGAGGTCCATTATAGTTAGATGAGGCTGCTTACTTGCAAAGAAATATCCTCATTCTGCCCCTCTCATAAATATATTTTGTCAAATTGACAAATCAATTCAGTACACCTTTCCCAAATGCATGCTATTGGTAAGGCAAGATTTTACGTGATCAGTGACTTCCTGCTGCTTTCAAATGAGGTGATTTTGGTCTCTTGCATTGATTTTAACCAAATTAGATATAGTGGAGAGCCCAAAATAAAAATAGTTCAAATGTCACTAGAATGGGAAGAGAAAATTGTTTGTATTTGAAAGTGAGCCTTTGATGTGATATTTAAACATTGCTGTACCCTTCGTTAAATATGCATGTTCCGTTCCAATGATTCTACTACCTAGCAATGGATGCCAGTGTTCTAGCTATTGAGAAAGCAAGTCTGTGGCTTTATTGCATTTAAGGAATGTCTTGAAGGTTAGGAATATAATAGAATATTTAAATAACAAAATCAAGCAAGTAAATATTACATCAGAGGAAAATTGGTTTCACCAGTTAGCCATTTCCTTTCTCATGGGTCAGCCTCTCAATATTTTAGGTTAATTTTTACAGTTGAAACTGTTTTCATTATAGGAAATCTGAATGGCCTAAAGGGAAATGTGTTCTTGTGTACATACTAAATTGACTTAGGACACTGAACTTTTTTCCCTCTATAAATGACAAGAGTCTAAACTAGTCTAATATTAGACTATTTTGCCAAGATTTTCCATAGTATATCTTTATTCTACTGAATTTCATTACAATTTAAGGCTCCAACGTTTGGAATGGATCTTGAAAAAAGCAAGTCTCTGGTAGTGATTGTAGACTCTAATTGGACTACCCCTAGGGCTCATTCTGTACAGAGGACCTATTGCTAAAGCAATTGATTGGTCTTTAAGTTGTGTTCCATAACCACCTTCTTCTTTTTAAACTTTTGTGTTTCGGGTTATGCATGCTTCAAATGCCAATGTTTAAAAGAATACCATTGCTTGTAAATTGTTCTGTACAGGACGTACAAAGAAAAAGATGGCTGTGTGAAAGGCACCCTTCTGAGTCTACACTCTGAGGGTGAGGGCTCATTCCACAGGTTGGGGAGGAATTAATGGCTAATCAAGGAGCAATTAAAGGGGTGTCTTAGAGCCCTGCTTCTCAAACTTTTCCACCAGAGAATCCTTAAATGTATACAGTTGTCCCTCAGTATTCATTGAGATTGGTTCGAAGACCCCCTGTGGATACCAAAGTCCTCAGATGTTCAAGTCTCTGATATAAACTGGCATAGTATTTGCATGTAACTACACATATCCTTCCATTTTATTTATTTGTTTATTTATTTAGAGACAGAGTCTCGCTCTGTTGCCCAGGCTGGAGTATGGTGGCGCAATCTTGGCTCACTGCAACCTCTGCCTCCCTGTTTCAAGCCATTCTCCCACCTCAGCCTCCCGAGTAGCTGAGACTACAGGCAGTGGTCACCATGCCTGGCTAAGTTTTTTGTATTTTCAGTAAAGGTGAGGTTTCACCATGTTGGTCAGGCTGGTCTCAAACTCATGACCTCAAATGATCCACCTGTGTCAGCCTACCAAAGTGCTGGGATTATAGGCATGAGCCACTGTGCCTGGCCCTTTTATATGCCATGAATCAGTAGTCTCCATCTGTTTTTAACACCAGGGACCAGTTCCATAGAAGATAATTTTGCAGGTCGGGGGTGGGAGGGATGGTTTTGGGGTGAAACTGCTCCACCTCAGATCATCAGACATTAGATTCTCGTAAGGAAAGCACAACCTAGATCCCTCACATGCGCAGTTCACAATAGGGTTCATGCTCCTTTGAGAGTCTAATGCCAGTGTTGATTTGACAGGAGGTGGAGCGGAAGCAGTAATGCTTGCTTGCCCTTTGCTCACCTCCTGCTGTGCAGCCTGGTTCCTAACAGGCCACAGATTAGCACTGGTCCATGGCCCAGGGGTTGGGGACCCCTGCTTTAAATCATCTCTAGGTTAATATGTAGTACAATGTAAATGCTCTGTAAGTAGTTCTTATTCTGTGTTGTTTAGGGAGTAATTACAAGAAAAAAAGTCTGTACATGTTCATTACAGATGCTTTTTTTTCCCAAATATTTTTGATCCATGGTTGGTTGAATCTACAGATGCAGAACCCATGGATATGGAGGGCCAACTATGTGAGAGAAAGGAGCCTGTGTCTCCAGAATTCTAAGGGCTAGAGTAGAAAGGCCTGCTTTAAGCCTAATGAGCTTTAAATTATCTGAAGTTCCAATTTATTTTTAAAATTATGAGAATTTTCAATTTGACTGCATAATATAATGACTTGCTTTACTCTAATAATAGCATCTTCTCCCTCTCATATCTGAGTAAAATTGATGCTCCAGGAAGATAAAGCATATTTATCCTGGGGCTTTGAATATCTATTGATATTCTGGAGTTTTAGAAGGGGCTGGGGGAAGGAGCAAAGAGAAGGGTTCTTAGAAGCAGAATTTTTGATAAAAATTAGAAGGGCAAATATTAGTAGAGCTGCTTGGCACAAATAAAATAATACAGTTGTATAGGTATAATAAACAACAAGCCTGTATTTGATGTTCTCTTTTGTAAAGGCAGATGATATAAATGAAAAAGGGTAAGTAAATTAGCAGTAAGGCACAGTTATCTAGGAGAAAAGCATAAATTATATATGAAATACTGAGAAGGAAAGCAAATTTAAAGATAATGCAAACATTTATTCTGCCTGTAAGCAAAACAGGATTTGGGCTGGCTCAGCATGGTCTGCTATATTCGTCTTAGAAGATATCCTTGCTCCCCCAAAAGAAAATCTTCCTTTCAATTCATTATAGTTCATTATCAGTTCATTATAGGAAAATTAGGAAATACAGAGAAACAAACAAATAAATCTTGTATGTGACTAATTTTCAACTGTAGAAGTTTCTTTTTTTGTGGTTTCTCCTTTTGGTTTCACACTTAGAAAGTTTTCCCCTCACCAAAAGATATAAAGATAAAAGATTCAAGTATAAAAAATAAATGCATTAGAAGAAAATATAGGTAACTGTATTTTCCAGTATAGTTTATATTTTCTAGTATAGTTAATTTCTGATTTCTAATATAGTTAATTTTTTTTTTTGAGATGGAGTTTTGCTCTTGTCGGCCAGGCTGGAGTGCAATGGTATGATCTTGGTTCACCGCAACCTCCGCCTCCCGGGTTCAAGCGGTTCTTCTGCCTCAGCCTCCTGAGTAGCTGGAATTACAGGCATGAGCCACCACGCCAGGCTAATTTTGTATTTTTAGTAGAGATGGGGTTTCTCTATGTTGGTCAGGCTGGTCTCGAACTCCTGAACTCAGGTGATCAGCCTGCCTTGGCCTCCCAAAGTGCTGGGATTACAGGCGTGAGCCACCGCACCTGGCCCTAATATAGTTAATTTTTAACTATATTTTCTAATATAGTTCGAAGTATTAGTAATTAGTTATAGTTACCTATGGTTATCTAATTATATAATTACCTAGCTATATAATTACCTAATATAATATAGTTACCTATATTTATATATTTGCATACCTATAAATAAATGTATTAGGTAATTATGTAGTTGTCGATATTTTCTTCTAATGCATTTTTCTTATACTTAAATCTTTAATACTCCTGGAGCTTTAATTTTGGTATAAAATGTGAGGTAGAGATCTGTCTTTTTTATTTTCCAAATAATGAGTCAGTTGTCAAATATTTATTGGCTAATCCGTTTTTCTCTTGACAATTTAAAATGTCACTAGTCATAAACTAAATTCTTATATATATTGTGGTCTGTTTTGGACTCTGTGTTTTGTTAAATTGATCCATTTGTTTATTTTAAGCTAATAATATACTTTAAGAATTACTGTAGCTATACAGTTTATTTTAATATCTGATTAAACAAGACTCCATCTCCCCTCTCCTGTCATGCTTCTTTTTCAAAGTTTCTTGGCTAGTCTAGTAGCATTCAAGTTTCCAAATAAACTTTCAAATCACTCTGTCCAATCTTAAAAAGACAAATGGTATTTTGATGGGTTTTGTACTAAATTTATAAAGAAGTTGGGAACTACTTTTCTAAATAGCCTTAACGTCCTTTCAGAAACATTTGCTCAAAGCTTTTATGAATTAGGCTGCCAAATTATTTATTAATAGTAATATCAGTGTTTATTTCAGAAAGATTTTAAAGGAATTCATTGAGATCTCAGCAGAAGATAGGGTAATTGGAACTCAATGGCATAAAAGGCCACCTGTGTCCCTTTAAATAGAAAGACGTTTTTATTTAAAATAATGAGCCTAGAATTTTATACAACTGCTTTTGTTCCTACAATGTAGAAAATCAAATTGCTCAATAGAGCTACTGCTACATTTATTAGGTTGGTACAAAAGTAATTGCAGTTTTTGACGTTATAATAGCATTTCTGAGTCCTCCTCAAGGCACAGAGTCAGGCAATCCTCAGTCATGTTCAAACCAATAAGCAAAATAGAAGCCAGTATCTCATTGAAAATTATTTATTTCAAGGATATATAATATCTGCTAACTTCCTTTGTAAGATGTTGTTGATCATCAATGGTTGGAAGAATTTAACAATACAGAAAAGAAAGAAAAAGGTGAATTCTGGAAAAAATAGGGTAGGAAAATAATTTCTGACTACAACTGCCTCCACTCATTAATGAGTGACTACAGCAAAAGGGCAAGTCCAAGATTCTAACTTTCATGATAAATTTTTTGACTGTGCTTATGTGAGATCTCTTTATATACTTGAGGGGAAGGCAGGGCATTGAAAAGGGAGAGGTCAATAAGTTTTGCTCACTTCACCGTTTAGCTCACACCCAGTCCTGTGCATCATCATATTAAATTTGAAGAGAAAACATCCTCTTACAAATAAAAAAAACACTTTTAGGGTAAAAACTTGAGATTGCTTGTTTCCACAAGAAGGAACTGCAGGATGAGTGGGATGTGTAGATTTTCTACTAAATAATAAGGTGACTCAGCTAGGTTAGTACGTGGAAGCTGCTGAAGAACTTCAGAATGGTAACACAGAAGCTAGGAGGACATTCGCAGATGATAGTAGAAAGGCTTAATTACAGTTCTGCCTGATAGCCACAAGATAAAGACCTGCAGAAGTCCCCAACATTCTTTTGATATTTTGAAATGGCAGGCAAGAGCAGCGTTCACAGAAGAATCATAAGTCCCCGAGGAAAGGGTTTGAAAATAAATATAAAATTTAACTGTTATCAGAAAAATTATGTTGGCCTACCTGTGATGAGGATAGGTAGAAAGATTTCATTCGATGAATTGGATTTAAATTTTGGCAAAGGCCAAAGCTTTAATTTAATGCCAGTCTAGGAAGTATAGGATTAAAGAAAGGTTGAAATTTACATACAATGACTAGAACAACAAAAACAAAGAATGGAAATAAGTAGCAGGCAGCAGGAAGAGCAGCTGACAATTAACCTAGGAAAGAACTGTGATGTCGAATCTTGGCAATTCCCACTTCACTAATGAGAAAAATAAATTAAATAAGAAAAAATTTTTATGTGTAACAAATCTCTGCAATGATATTACAGATTTATTTAAATTGAATCCATGTTGTTACCTGTGACAGAAAAGAGGCACAGGTAACAATCCCTATTTTGTTGGTTAAGAAACTAGTTTCTATTTATTAAAAAAAAAACAGAAAAGCTGAGGTTGCTGAGATATTTTCATCTTTCTCTTTTAAAATTATCCCAGAGTTGCAGTTAGCTGGACTGTATTATCACTATAGCTCCACTAAGTGCAGTTATTTCCCAATATGTCCAATTACTCTAAGTTACCAGAGGGATATACCTTGAAAGCACTTTTGGATTTGTCTAACCTGCAGGAAGAGAGAACGCTAGAGGTGTTATGGTGTTTATAACACATCTTTTCTTGTTCACGTAGCAATTTGGTTTTGTTAGGGGAATTGCTTTGGCTTTAGAAGCCAATCAAAAAAAATCTTTGTACTTAACACTGGTTAGAAAGATCCAATAGCCAAGTAAATAATGAGTTGAGGCTGGGGAATAAAGGTCTTTACAAGTCATAAATTAATAAAAATCTATACTACTGTAATGTATTTTGCAAGCCTTTTAATCTCAGAGGGGAGTAAACAAGTTAGATAAATTCCTTCAGTTGTTGCCAGAGAAATATATAATGGAAACAAGAGCATCAGAATGGGGATGACTTAGAGAGAACCCCGGAATGACTAAGTTAGGAAACAACTTCCTTAGTTTATTTCCCATTAAAAAACCCAAAAACCCCAAATTGGTTATGACAAAACACCTTGAACGTCTGATTAAACTACTATGAATTTAAGTATGTAAAAAGCTTTGGAAACATGAGGGACTTTAACACTACACTTTTTAGATTTCCAGGAATTCAAAAAAAATTAAAATTTTAGATACTTAAATCGGTGCTTATATAAGATACAAATGTCACCCAGATAATACAAAACTAATTTATAGCTTAAATCTTTGATCTTTTATCTTTACCTGCTATGATACTAAAGAGTAAAAATAATATTAAACAAGTGAAAAATAACCTACAAACACCTTAATTTGATTTTCAAATATTATATAATGTGAATCCAAAATATCTGAGACAGGTCTCTGTCAATTTAGGTTTATTTTGCCAAGGTTAACGACGTATCCCTGACACAGCCTCAGGAAGTCCTGAGACATGTGCCCAAGGTGGGTGGGGATACAGTCTGCTTTTATGTATTTTAAGGAGACATGAGACATCAGTTAATATGTGTAAGATGGGCTGGGTGCAGTGGCTCACACCTGTAATCCCAGCACTTTGGGAGGCAGATGCGGGCAGATCACTTGAGCCCAGGATTTCAAGGCCAGCCTGGGCAACACAGTGAAACTCCATCTCTACCAAAAAATTAAAAAAATTAGCTGAGCATGTTGGTGCATGCCTGTAGTCCCAGCTACTTGGGAGGCAAGGCAGGAGAATTTCTTGAACCCAGGAGGTAGAGGTTACAGTGAGCCGAGATTGCACCACTGTACTCCAGCCTGGTGACAGAGCAAGACTGCGTCTTAAACACACAAACAAAATGTGTAAGATGTGCATTGGTTTGGTCTGGTAAGGTGAGACAACACCAGGTTAGAAGTAGATAAGAGACAAAAGGTTGCATTCTTTTGAGTCCTTGATCAGCCTTCCACTAAATACACAATTTAGTCTGGCTCAGTGAATCTGCATTTTTACATAAACAGTAGGGGGAGAGGAAGCAATCAGATATGCATTTGTCTCAGCTGAGCCTCAGAGGGATGACTTTGAAATAGAATGGGAGGCAGGTTTGCCTTAAGCAGTTCCCAGGTTGACTTTTCTCTTTAGCTTAGTGATTTTGAAGTCCCAAGATTTATTTATTTTCCTTTCACATTTCCACCCTTTTCTTTTTAAAATCTTTTGGAGAAAGCATTTTAGAAGAAAAATGAGTCTGGTCTCAGGTTTTGTCTGATCTCTCATGGCTAGTATGATTAATTCCTAGATGGGTAGGTCCCACATTATGAGGAAAGCTCATTTTTAGCAGGTTGTGAAGTCTCATGTCCTATCAAAGAGAAAATAGGGGGAGGAAGAGAGAAAACAAACAAAAACAGAACAATCCTGGTAAATCAATATAGGCCATATTACTTTGAAGTGGCTTATGTATGTAAATAGGTTGCTGTTATTTTCTTCTAAAGCTTAAGTTGTCTAGCTTCAGTTTGCAGGGCTTTAAAGAAAGCACAGCTTAGTTTTCAGTGATTTCAACGTAGGAAAAATAGGGGAAAAAAGATAAAAGAAAGAATAAAAATTAAATTAAAAACATTATTTTGGAGACTTGTAGCCTGGAAAAACTTTATAATTCAGTCCAAACTGTAGAAAATAATAAAAATTGAAAAACATTAGGCAAGACTAGAATCTAATAACAGGTGTACTATAGCTCATTTTGAAACATAGTTTTTCTTTCTCCAGTCTTCCATTTTTATTAAAAACAAATCATAATAGGACCAATTTGTTTGCAAAAATAAGCTTTAGTCTTATGCTTGGCCTGATTATTTGTATATAGGGCAGCAAGGATAATTATTTTTCAAATAGGCTTTTAAAATTGGCTTTGATGAAACTCAAGGAATCTCAGATAAGACTTTTTATTTATTTATTTATTTATTTTTAGCTGAGCCCAGCCATAAGTTTGTATCCTCAAATACCTATGAGTTGTGTAATTTCCTCTCCTCTTGAGGTCCCAGGATAACTTGGGCCTCCTGGGCCTGTTAGAATGTGACATTCTTTACTTACCACAGGTTAGGAGCCCTCTACGGGGACCGTGAGGACATGGTATGAGGCCAGTTTTCCCCAAAGGGCTTTTATTGGCTGTATGGGTTAAGCTTGATTCCTTAAAGGAAAGCATGCTATTCTATTCAAAGCCTTGGTAAAACAACCAGTTTCTCCAATTGTGTCCTGTTGCAAAAGAAAACATTCTTATTGCACTTACACAAATAACTATATTGCCATAAGTTAAGAAAACTCACAAATAGTTTCCAAATTCTGGAGAAATCAGGCAGAGAGAAATATGCTCCAAATTTTGTTTACAGGAGTATACTTTACTCAATTGTTAAAAGCTGTAAATAGCTTAAAAGAAGTTTTCTTCACTCTGAAAAACAAAACAAAAGATCAGCAACATTTTAAGCAAAAAGTCAAAAAGATTACTTCAGTCTTCTTTTAACTCAGTCCATGCACTTAACTCTGGTCCTGTTTGATATTCGTGAACATTTCAGCTCTCTGAGAGTCCTGAAAGTTTTTTCCTGTATTCTAATGTCACAATTTCCAAAGTTATTAAAAAACCTGCATTCAAGAGCACCTATCAAAGTCCTACAGCTGATTATAAACCACCTTTTGAAGAGGATCAAAACAAGAGAAGTCTTAGGACAGCCATTATTAAAACCACATTTTACTAGCAATTTTTTACTTCTGTGGCATACAACAGTTTTACATAATAATTATAATTATTAATAACATACACTAAGTCATATTAAAATTATAGGAGTTTCCCATAATTTGGGAACACATACCAATAACCTTTATACAGATATAGCCCAAAGAATACCAAACACCATTTCATATTTGACAATGCTTCCTGTATGATTTCTATACCAATAAGCCAAATATGTCTCTTTTGCACTTCTGGGGACTAATAGCAAAAAATTAATGAGGACCCAAGTTAGAATTTGACTTTAGAAAGTGTGTCAAATATAAAAAGTTTAAAACACTTGATATCATGAAATAAGATCACAGGTCATTGCAAAATAAGTCATTCATTTAACCAAAGGGATAACATAAAGATTTCAAAAACAGGTGAAAACCTTTATTCTTTGAGAGAAAAGACTTAATTTCCTGAATAATAAGCCCTAATAAAGACAGCATGAGGCCAATTAAACCTATCTTTCAAAATCTTAAAAACAATCCATACAATGCCTGATTTTTTAATCATCTTGACAATAAGATATAATTTCCATAAACCTTGTATATTATTTGTTAAATTTGAATCTAATTTTTAGAAAATGTTTACTTTGCAAAGTCAATACTTTTTTTATTTCTTAAATTTTTCATGCCATCTTTCTCTACTATATTTATTTTAAATATCTTTGCTTGCTGATTGGGCAAAGGCTATTTTCCAGGCTAGTAAATGCTGTGCCTACAACAAATTAGCTTTTAAGAATCAAATTATACTGATTGCATGTTTACAAGTAGAATATTAAGTAACTTATTTTACTACCAAAAATAGTTCAGAAGAGAAGTAATTGAAATAAAGTCATTATTGTGCCACTCTAGGCCCTGGATTTTAAATTTCAGTGCTTCTAATATTAGCCTAGAGATCAATACCATGCATGTTTCAGTCTTATGGGTAAGATATGGAAGCTGCAGTGAGACATCTTTCTTTTTTTTTTTTTTAATATTATACTTTAAGTTTTAGGGTACATGTGCACATTGTGCGGGTTAGTTACATATGTATACATGTGCCATGCTGGTGCACTGCACCCACTAACTCGTCATCTAGCATTAGGTATATCTCCCAATGCTATCCCTCCCCCCTCCCCCCACCCCACCACAGTCACCAGAGTGTGATATTCCCCTTCCTGTGTCCATGTGATCTCATTGTTCAATTCCCACCTATGAGTGAGAATATGTGGTGTTTGGTTTTTTGTTCTTGCGATAGTTTACTGAGAATGATGGTTTCCAGTCTCATCCATTTCCCTACAAAGGACATGAACTCATCATTTTTTATGGCTGCATAGTATTCCATGGTGTATATGTGCCACATTTTCTTAATCCAGTCTATCATTGTTGGACATTTGGGTTGGTTCCAAGTCTTTGCTATTGTGAATAATGCCGCAATAAACATACGTGTGCATGTGTCTTTATAGCAGCATGATTTATAGTCATTTGGGTATATACCTAGTAATGGGATGGCTGGGTCAAATGGTATTTCTAGTTCTAGATCCCTGAGGAATCGCCACAGTGACTTCCACAATGGTTGAACTAGTTTACAGTCCCACCAACAGTGTAAAAGTGTTCCTATTTCTCCACATCCTCTCCAGCACCTGTTGTTTCCTGACTTTTTAATGATTGCCATTCTAACTGGTGTGAGATGGTATCTCATAGTGGTTTTGATTTGCATTTCTCTGATGGCCAGTGATGATGAGCATTTTTTTCATGTGTTTTTTGGCTGCATAAATGTCTTCTTTTGAGAAGTGTCTGTTCATGTCCTTCGCCCACTTTTTGATGGGGTTGTTTTTTTTCTTGTAAATTTGTTTGAGTTCATTGTAGATTCTGGATATTAGCCCTTTGTCAGATGAGTAGGTTGCGAAAATTTTCTCCCATATTGTAGGTTGCCTGTTCACTCTGATGGTAGTTTCTTTTGCTGTGCAGAAGCTCTTTAGTTTAATGAGATCCCATTTGTCAATTTTGGCTTTTGTTGCCATTGCTTTTGGTGTTTTGGACATGAAGTCCTTGCCCACGCCTATGTCCTGAATGGTAATGCCTAGGTTTTCTTCTAGGGTTTTTATGGTTTTAGGTCTAACGTTTAAATCTTTAATCCATCTTGAATTGATTTTTGTATAAGGTGTAAGGAAGGGATCCAGTTTCAGCTTTCTACATATGGCTAGCCAGTTTTCCCAGCACCATTTATTAAATAGGGAATCCTTTCCCCATTGCTTGTTTTTCTCAGGTTTGTCAAAGATCAGATAATTGTAGGTATGCGGCGTTATTTCTGAGGGCTCTGTTCTGTTCCATTGATCTATATCTCTGTTTTGGTACCAGTACCATGCTGTTTTGGTTACTGTAGCCTTGTAGTATAGTTTGAAGTCAGGTAGTGTGATGCCTCCAGCTTTGTTCTTTTGGCTTAGGATTGACTTGGCGATGCGGGCTCTTTTTTGGTTCCATATGAACTTTAAAGTAGTTTTTTCCAATTCTGTGCAGAAAGTCATTGGTAGCTTGATGGAGATGGCATTGAATCTGTAAATTACCTTGGGCAGTATGGCCATTTTCACGATATTGATTCTTCCTACCCATGAGCATGGAATGTTCTTCCATTTGTTTGTATCCTCTTTTATTTCCTTGAGCAGTGGTTTGTAGTTCTCCTCAAAGAGGTCCTTCACATCCCTTGTAAGTTGGATTCCTAGGTATTTTATTCTCTTTGAAGCAATTGTGAATGGGAGTTCACTCATGATTTGGCTCTCTGTTTGTCTGTTGTTGGTGTATAAGAATGCTTGTGATTTTTGTACATTGATTTTGTATCCTGAGACTTTGCTGAAGTTGCTTATCAGCTTAAGGAGATTTTGGGCTGAGACGATGGGGTTTTCTAGATAAACAATCATGTTGTCTGCAAACAGGGACAATTTGACTTCCTCTTTTCCTAATTGAATACCTTTTATTTCCTTCTCCTGCCTGATTGCCCTGGCCAGAACTTCCAACACTATGTTGAATAGGAGCGGTGAGAGAGGGCATCCCTGTCTTGTGCCAGTTTTCAAAGGGAATGCTTCCAGTTTTTGCCCATTCAGTATGATATTGGCTGTGGGTTTGTCATAGATAGCTCTTATTATTTTGAAATACGTCCCATCAATACCTAATTTATTGAGAGTTTTTAGCATGAAGGGTTGTTGAATTTTGTCAAAGGCTTTTTCTGCATGTATTGAGATAATCATGTGGTTTTTGTCTTTGGTTCTGTTTATATGCTGGATTACATTTATTGATTTGCGTATATTGAACCAGCCTTGCATCCCAGGGATCAAACCCACTTGATCATGGTGGATAAGCTTTTTGATGTGCTGCTGGATTCGGTTTGCCAGTATTTTATTGAGGATTTTTGCATCAATGTTCATCAAGGATATTGGTCTAAAATTCTCTTTTTTGGTTGTGTCTCTGCCCGGCTTTGGTATCAGAATGATGCTGGCCTCATAAAATGAGTTAGGGAGGATTCCCTCTTTTTCTATTGATTGGAATAGTTTCAGAAGGAATGGTACCAGTTCCTCCTTGTACCTCTGGTAGAATTCGGCTGTGAATCCATCTGGTCCTGGACTCTTTTTGGTTGGTAAACTATTGATTATTGCCACAATTTCAGCTCCTGTTATTGGTCTATTCAGAGATTCAACTTCTTCCTGGTTTAGTCTTGGGAGAGTGTATGTGTCGAGGAATGTATCCATTTCTTCTAGATTTTCTAGTTTATTTGTGTAGAGGTGTTTGTAGTATTCTCTGATGGTAGTTTGTATTTCTGTGGGATCAGTGGTGATATCCCCTTTATCATTTTTTATTGTGTCTATTTGATTCTTCTCTCTTTTTTTCTTTATTAGTCTTGCTAGCGGTCTATCAATTTTGTTGATCCTTTCAAAAAACCAGCTCCTGGATTCATTGATTTTTTGAAGGGTTTTTTGTGTCTCTATTTCCTTCAGTTCTGCTCTGATTTTAGTTATTTCTTGCCTTCTGCTAGCTTTTGAATGTGTTTGCTCTTGCTTTTCTAGTTCTTTTAATTGTGATGTTAGGGTGTCAATTTTGGATCTTTCCTGCTTTCTCTTGTGGGCATTTAGTGCTATAAATTTCCCTCTACACACTGCTTTGAATGTGTCCCAGAGATTCTGGTATGTTGTGTCTTTGTTCTTGTTGGTTTCAAAGAACATCTTTATTTCTGCCTTCATTTCGTTATGTACCCAGTAGTCATTCAGGAGCATGTTGTTCAGTTTCCATGTAGTTGAGCGGCTTTGAGTGAGATTATTAATCCTGAGTTCTAGTTTGATTGCACTGTGGTCTGAGAGACAGTTTGTTATAATTTCTGTTCTTTTACATTTGCTGAGGAGAGTTTTACTTCCAACTATGTGGTCAATTTTGGAATAGGTGTGGTGTGGTGCTGAAAAAAATGTATATTCTGTTGATTTGGGGTGGAGAGTTCTGTAGATGTCTATTAGGTCCACTTGGTGCAGAGCTGAGTTCAATTCCTGGGTATCCTTGTTGACTTTCTGTCTCGTTGATCTGTCTAATGTTGACAGTGGGGTGTTAAAGTCTCCCATTATTAATGTGTGGGAGTCTAAATCTCTTTGTAGGTCACTCAGGACTTGCTTTATGAATCTGGGTGCTCCTGTATTGGGTGCATATATATTTAGGATAATTAGCTCCTCTTGTTGAATTGATCCCTTTACCATTATGTAATGGCCTTCTTTGTCTCTTTTGATCTTTGTTGGTTTGAAGTCTGTTTTATCAGAGACTAGGATTGCAACCCCTGCCTTTTTTTGTTTTCCATTTGCTTGGTAGATCTTCCTCCATCCTTTTATTTTGAGCCTATGTGTGTCTCTGCATGTGAGATGGGTTTCCTGAATACAGCACACTGATGGGTCTTGACTCTTTATGCAACTTGCCAGTCTATGTCTTTTAATTGGAGAATTTAGTCCATTTACATTTAAAGTTAATATTGTTATGTGTGAATTTGATCCTGTCATTATGATGTTAGCTGGTGATTTTGCTCGTTAGTTGATGCAGTTTCTTCCTAGTCTCGATGGTCTTTACATTTTGGCATGATTTTGCAGCGGCTGGTACCGGTTGTTCCTTTCCATGTTTAGTGCTTCCTTCAGGAGCTCTTTTAGGGCAGGCCTGGTGGTGAAAAAATCTCTCAGCATTTGCTTGTCTGTAAAGTATTTTATTTCTCCTTCACTTATGAAGCTTAGTTTGGCTGGATATGAAATTCTGGGTTGAAAATTCTTTTCTTTAAGAATGTTGAATATTGGCCCCCACTCTCTTCTGGCTTGTAGGGTTTCTGTCAAGAGATCCGCTGTTAGTCTGATGGGCTTCCCTTTGAGGGTAACCCGACCTTTCTCTCTGGCTGCCCTTAACATTTTTTCCTTCATTTCAACTTTGGTGAATCTGACAATTATGTGTCTTGGAGTTGCTCTTCTCAAGGAGTATCTTTGTGGCATTCTCTGTATATCCTGAATCTGAACGTTGGCCTGCCTTGCTAGATTGGGGAAGTTCTCCTGGATAATATCCTGCAGAGTGTTTTCCAACTTGGTTCCATTCTCCCCATCACTTTCAGGTACACCAATCAGACGCAGATTTGGTCTTTTCACATAGTCCCATATTTCTTGGAGGCTTTGCTCATTTCTTTTTATTCTTTTTTCTCTAAACTTCCCTTCTCGCTTCATTTCATTCATTTCATCTTCCATTGCTGATACCCTTTCTTCCAGTTGATCGCATTGGCTCCTGAGGCTTCTGCATTCTTCACGTAGTTCTCGAGCCTTGGTTTTCAGCTCCATCAGCTCCTTTAAGCACTTCTCTGTATTGGTTATTCTAGTTATACATTCTTCTAAATTTTTTTCAAAGTTTTCAACTTCTTTGCCTTTGGTTTGAATGTCCTCCCATAGCTCAGAGTAATTTGATCGTCTGAAGCCTTCTTCTCTCAGCTCGTCAAAATCATTCTCCATCCAGCTTTGTTCCATTGCTGGTGAGGAACTGCGTTCCTTTGGAGGAGGAGAGGTGCTCTGTGTTTTAGAGTTTCCAGTTTTTCTGTTCTGTTTTTTCCCCATCTTTGTGGTTTTATCTACTTTTGGTCTTTGATGATGGTGATGTACAGATGGGTTTTCGGTGTGGATGTCCTTTCTGTTTGTTAGTTTTCCTTCTAACAGACAGGACCCTCAGCTGCAGGTCTGTTGGAATACCCTGCAGTGTGAGGTGTCAGTGTGCCCCTGCTGGGGGGTGCCTCCCAGTTAGGTTGCTCGGGGGTCAGGGGTCAGGGACCCACTTGAGGAGGCAGTCTGCCTGTTCTCAGATCTCCAGCTGCGTGCTGGGAGAACCACTGCTCTCTTCAAAGCTGTCAGACAGGGACATTTAAGTCTGCAGAGGTTACTACTGTCTTTTTGTTTGTCTGTGCCCTGCCCCCAGAGGTGGAGCCTACAGAGGCAGGCAGGCCTCCTTGAGCTGTGGTGGGCTCCACCCAGTTCGAGCTTCCCGGCTGCTTTGTTTACCTAAGCAAGCCTGGGCAATGGTGGGCGCCCCTCCCCCAGCCTGGCTGCCGCCTTGCAGTTTGATCTCAGACTGCTGTGCTAGCAATCAGCGAGATTCCGTGGGCGTAGGACCCTCTGAGCCAGGTGTGGGATATAGTCTCGTGGTGCGCTGTTTTTTTAAGCCGGTCTGAAAAGCGCAATATTCGGGTGGGAGTGACCCGATTTTCCAGGTGTGTCCGTCACCCCTTTCTTTGACTCAGAAAGGGAACTCTCTGACCCCTTGCGCTTCCCAGGTGAGGCAATGCCTCGCCCTGCTTCAGCTCGTGCACGGTGCGTGCACCCACTGGCCTGCGCCCACTGTCTGGCACTCCCTAGTGAGATGAACCCGGTACCTCAGATGGAAATGCAGAAATCACCCGTCTTCTGCGTCGCTCACGCTGGGAGCTGTAGACCGGAGCTGTTACTATTCGGCCATCTTGGCTCCCCCCACCGACATCTTTCAAAACTTGTAAATAATATTGTCCTTTGAGTGTTGAACCATGAAGTCGTCCCAGAGTGAGGGATGTCCTGATTGATACTAGAAAGCATTTTACTTATAGAAAGGTATCTTTAATATATATTTTTACTTACAAAAAGCAGTTTAGTTATAGAAAGCAATTAATATGCAAAGCCAGGAAGTATTAGCATACTTAAAGGCAAGGTTTAGATTCACCAAAAAAAAAAAATTAAAAACTCATATCCAGAAGACATGCTATATGGTGAAAAGAAGAGGATGTACAGTAGCTACTTCTAATGGAAGGAGTCTTGACTAATGGACTTCCCCTTAGGGAGGTTTGTGGCAGATTTTCTAAAACCTGAAGGAGAATTCTTCAAGCAAAGGAGGCTGGAGAATTAGAGACACTAGGCAGCTGGAAGAGGCTTGGGGCAGAGAGGGAGACACCAGGGAAAGTTTGGGGAAAACAGGACTTGTGGGTCTCTGAACCACCAAAGAAAAGGAAGGTAATGGGGTGAACTGAGCCAGAAGAGGAAAGCAGAACCAGATCATCAGCCTAACCAAGTTTATGTGTGATCCTAAAGTGCTTTAGCAGACAGGCTGATAGTGTTATGTGTAAGTGCTATGTAAGTATTAACTATCATTGTATTGCTGATAGTTTTACATTCTTCTCATTTGACATCGTATTCTAAGCACATTCCATGTAATTAAACATTTATTAGAAACCATTTTTTTTAAGTTAAATGGCTGCATGATATCTCAGGCATGATATTTAGCAATTCTATCATTGGAAATTTAAGGTACTTTCATTTCTTGGTATTTAAAATAACCAGTGAAGAAGATGTCTGTAAGTTTTAGATCTCATCGTTGATGGTTTCCTTGGGAATTTCTTGTTAAAGCGGAATTACAGGGTAGGAACATTTGACACTTTTAAGTATGCACCAATTTACACTCCCATCATGCTACACCGTTGACCAAGAAAAATTACTTTTTACCCTCACCTAATTGAGAGATGAGAAACAGTTTCTCACCTTCCAAATTTACATTTCCTTCTGACTAGCAAGATTAAAACTTTTTCATGTTTATTAGCCATTTTATCTTTTCGGTCACTTTCTTCACTCACTAAAAGGTGTTAATGTCCTACATGTTGATATGTAAGATCTTTACATATTAGGCATGCATTATTTGCTCTAAATATTTTTTGCTAGTTGGTTTTCAATCTTGTCTTTTGCTACTCAGTTTTAAAGTTTTCTGTCTTATCCTTTATTAATACACTCAACTAATATTTATTGAACAACTATGTGCAAGGCATTTTTATAGACACATCATTAATGAACAAAATAGTCAAAAGTTTCTTGGAATGTGGTACTTAAATTTTAGTGAGAGGAGATAGACAATAACTGATAAGCATGATAAATAGGTAAATTATATTAGTTAATAAGTGCTTTGGGGGGAGAAATGGAGGACAGAAGGGGTTGGTGATGGGGATATGGAGGCTGCAATTTTAAGTAATGTTTTGGGTAGGTCTTATTGAGAAGATGACTTTTGAGGAAGGACTTGGAAAAAAGTGAGTTATTGTGCAGATTATCTGGAAGAAGAGCATAGTAGACAGAGTGAATAATCAGTGCAAAAGTCCTAAGGGCTGGAACATGCCTGAAATGTTTAATCAAAGAGGTTGGAGTGAACCAAAGAATGAAGTAGAAAAAAATGAAGTCAGAGGTTAATGGTGTGTGTATGAAATCATGTAGGCCACTGTATAAGACTTGGGTGAATGGAGGGTTCTCGGCAGAGGGCATGATTCAACTTATTTTTTAAAGAATAGCTCTTTGAATGTTGTGCTGAAAACAGAATAGTGGTAGCAGTGAAGATGGTGAGAAGTGGTCTGATTCTGAATGTATTTTAAAAGTATAGTCAACAAGGATTTCTGATGGATTGCATGTAGGGTGAGAGAAAAGAGAGGCATCAAGGACCAGAGGTTTTTGGCCACTGGACTGTGGATTTAGCAACATGGAGGTAATTAGTAATGGTGAAGTAGCAGGGAGTAAAAAAGAATGGTGTCCTGGAAGCCAAGGAAATAACTGGATCAACTGCTGCTAAGAAATCAAAGAAGATGAGAATGAACTGGACTGTGCATTTAGCAACACTGAGGTCATTAGTAATGTCTGTGATTTCTTCCACTGTTCTTTACGTATTTATGTTATTTTCTATTGGTGAAATGATACATTAATTATTTCTACAATCATTCAACTTTTCCTAACACTGTTCATTGAATAATCCATTTCTTTGCTATGTTTGTTTAGACTAACTTCTGATCAGCAAAGATCCATATTCCTTCACCTTTGCTCATTTTGGACTCATATTTATATGGAGTGAGTGAATGGGATTGTGGCACTACTGTGTCCTTTTAATAAACCACATCTAAATCAGTTATAATGGCAAAGCCTTAAGGTTGGGCAAGTTACTATGATTGGCTTTAGTGTAGTTTATGCATAGGAGAGGGACAGTCACACTTTTGTTAAGTCACTCAGAAATTGTTACCTTCTTATCAGATGTGTAGTTATTTTCCTCATGGAAGCATGGAGGAAAAAAGGTAAGCATGGAAATAAATTTTTTTATTACTGAATTATTTCCCTTATTTGACTTTCATAAGGAAATACTCAAAAACCACTTCAAAATAACTCAATTCTCACTCATACACATAGCATTTTCAGGACATCATATTTTCAATATTGCTACAAAAATTATTTTTAAGTGCAAATTTTTATAAGTGAAACGATGTCATAATTTCAAATAATTATTTTGTTTTGTGTATCTGCAGGCAAGTCAAATGGAAAAACCAAAGCCCTCAATTCAAATGCAGCATCAAATGCAACAAATGAAACATACTATGAAGCTGATGATATAATTCAAGAAAAAACAATGGATGCAACACAAATCCACATTGCTTATTAACTAAAAATTCTGTGTTTTAAATGCTTACTGGAGAGATGGGACAATAAAAATAAAGCGTGCACTTGAAACGGTTTGTAATATTGCTTTTCAAAAATTCGTCACTCACAAAGCAAGACACAGCTGCATTTTTGATCATTCAGTTACTTTATTAAACGCACATTAAGGTTTTATTGGTTTTCCTTTGTATAAATTTATTTGCTAATTAAGATGTTTCTGTATCACATGAGATTATGCTAATTATTCAGGAGAAATTAAATAATTTATCAATAACAAGATAAGCAGTCCTATCTCAGTGAAGAACAGTGAGAAGTTTATGTCACATTACCAGCATTTCTCAACTTTCTGATACTTACAGGCAGTTATTCTTATGAGATGGTACTGGATAGGTAAATATCAAGGGAACTGTCTTAAAAACTAGAGGTGACTTGTTCTTAAATCTCTTAGAAGTCAACCCACATCTTTTTAGATTTTTCTGGGCACAAACAATATACTCAGTAACAAAAAAATCACAATGTATAATCTGTACAATAAATATTTTGTTTCAAGAGATAAGCATAACAAAAAATCCTTTGCTGATATATTTCCTAAATAATCTGTATAATGAAAGCTACAAAACAAATGAGTTCTCTGGTCCCACCTAATGCTATCACATTAATACCACCTAGAAATCTAGAAATAAAACTAATTTCTGCAAATTATAATTTTTAAAGATTTTTATTCATAAGTGTGTTTTCTATTATAACACAGACCTGGTTTTGTAACAGAATTCAACAGAAAAAAAAAGGGAATTATTTTAAGCAGCTCTACTGAGCATATCTACTATGTCCTGTAGTTTTTGTAGTCAGAAACTAGCATTTCAGACAAGATCTGGCACATTTAGGGTGGTATGGCCATAGCCAAAAACTAGCATTTCAAAATGTGCTGAATACAGCTTCTCTGGTCTGATATATAAAAAAGAATACCTTATTTTTCTTGGGCATGCAAAGCTCAGGGTTACAAACTTTTCGTCATTAGCCTGTCAAAATTTCTACCAAGTACTAAGGTTATCTTCTAGACCAGAATTAAGAGAAGTTTCTGTGATGATGGAAATGTTCTTTCTATATCTGCACTAATATGGTAGCCACCAGTCACATGTGGCTACTGAACACTTAAGATGTGGCTAATGCAACTGAAAAAATAAAATTTTTCATTTATTTAATTAATTTAAATAACCCTATGTGGCTATACTGGCACCATAGTGCCAGATCACTATTGCAACAACCTACTGCCAAAGTTGAACTTCACATTCAAAAATACAATTTTGCAAAGGTTTAAATACTAAAATTGCTTAAAGTATATGTTAAGTTTGAAAATTAAGACATTTCCATTATAAAAATGACATTTTACACGGCCATAAAAACAAAGAATTTTCACTTATTTTTTGTGAAAGTTTATAAAGCTTTTATGGGTGCTTCTTGATCTTTGATACAACTTTGATTTTAAAGTATCCCAGAAAATTTGCTATCTTTACAGTAATTTAATAATATTACCATATTGTCTCAGGTGAAAATCTAGGTTGAGAAAAATTTAGTTAAGGCACTGGCACCATTCTACTTTTGTTGCTCATGGCCAAGGACTATAAATGGCACAAGAAGCAAGAAACAGACAGAGCTAGCAAAATGCTCACTGCCCCAACTCCTCCCAATTTGTGGGAAAGGCATAGTGGGGTCAGGCATGACTGGATGCATCATGGGTTGTGCTATAGAAGAGGCACCCCAATTCTCTGCCACTCTACCTATTTTTAGAGGAGTTGGGAGGAGATACTGAGATCAGAAGACTGGCCTTCGCAACTGGGATTATTGTCACACTGGTATAAGAAACCTACTGTTCTTGGGCACCCAATGTCCAGGAAGTTTTGGTCTCAGCACTAGGATCAGCTGGAGTCCTTGAAGCACTCCCTGCTGAGCTAGCTTATCACTAGGTTACCTGAGGTAGAACCACAGGGCTCATCCAGTGGACCAACTGGTATGTTTCTCTGTAACTCTGAAGCAGTTGTGCTTCACAGGTTAAGCCAAATTTTAAAAGCAAGGGGCCTTATTAAATTACAGCACATTTTGTACACTGAAAAATATTCTAAATGGTTTATTCGGACCTAACAAATATTAAAATAGTGATAGAATTTAAGTCAGTCAAAAATAACCTAAAATACAATTAAGAACAAAACACATCTCAAAGTATGTACATGTACATATAACTCTGGGGATGGATCTAATAAAGAATACAGTAGCTTTATGTGTTTTTAGATGATTTAGGTTACTGTGTAATTTTTGGAAATAATAATGAGACTGTAGAAAGAAATGTGAGTCTAATAATAGAGCCTAAAATAATCAAATTATATTTTATGTAGCCTTCTAATGAAAGCAATTTCATCTTTTAAAAATGGTGGGATTAATCGGATTATGAAATTGATAAAACCAAACCCTAATAAAAGTCATTTCCTTCCTTAAAATCTTTTTTTTTTTTTGAGATAGAGTCTCGCTCTGTCGCCCAGGCTGGAGTACAGTGGTGTGATCTCAGCTTACTGCAACTTCCACCTCCTGGGTTTGAGCGATTCTCCTGCCCCAGACTCCAGAGTAGCTGGGAATACAGGTGCCTGTCACCACGTCCGGCTAATTTTTCTATTTTTAGTAGAGACAGGGTTTCGCCAAGTTGGCCAGGCTGGTCTTGAACTCCTGACCTCAGGTGATCCGCCCGCCTCAGCCTCCCAAAGTGCTGGGATTACAGGCGTGAGCCACTGTGCCCGGCCCCCCTTGAAACTCTTTAATGGTGTCTCATTGCTTACACATTACAGTTCAAGCTCCCAAACACGGAACACACGACTCCTTCCTCCTGTTCCTAAGAACTTAAAATGGTAGTCTCAATTCTTACCACTTCCTGCCTCGCCTATGATACACCAGCAACACCAGATTGCTTGTAATTCTTGACAAACACATAACACAGCTTGTTCTACCTCTGGTGTTTGTTCACAGTACCCACTCTGTCAGGAACTGCCATAACCCTCATTCTTATCCTTAATCAAATTGCAATTCAGTCACTACTTTCTCTAGGTAGCCTCTTCTAATTTATCCAGACTACTTTAGGTAACCCCGAGTTTCTATAAACTCATGTTCATGTCAATTACTGCACTAATTATATAACGGTGTATGCTCTGGTGTTTCTCCTACCAACTACACTGTGAAGTCCTTCAGGGAGGCAAATGTGTCTTACTTATCTCTGTATCCCCAGTACTTAGCACAGCGTTTGCCACGTTAGGTACTCAATAAATATTTGTTGAAGAAAGGATTCAATGGCATTTTTATCAACATTATTAACAACTCTTCAGCCTAGTTTACTCTGAAGGTAAACTAGGGTTATATAATTTTAGATACAGTTGTAAATACAAACACATATAGTTGTTTTACTTCTCATTTATTGTTGTTTTGACCTCAGAGAGTCAAAGATGTAAATGGAGATGTATATTAAGTATGAAGAAATAGGGATACCTCTGAGAAATATCAACCAACATATGATATGCAAAAAAAAAAAAGGGGGAAATTGTGTGGTGAGAAGGTCCATCAACCCAAAAATAATGGCCATAAAGTGCCAGATAATCTAGTTCCAGATGCAAACCTAAATATAAATTCTGCCTGCATTTGGTGAAAATGACATGCATTAGGTTGTAAGAATATGAACCAAATATCAATTATCTGCTTGAAGAAGTTGAACGTGTTTATTATATTAATAAATTCAACCTTTACTATTATAGAATGTTATAATAATTTCTAAAGTGAATATTGCTTGAATTTTAAAATATTGATAATTATATATATTAAACCTTGAAGTGATTTCAGAGATAATCTGGTACAATATTTTATAGACGAAAGACACCAAGGCCCAGGGAAACTAAGTGACTTTGTTCAAGATCATACAGGTAGTTAGAATGACCAGGACTGTTTTACTGCTAAATTCAGTTTTCCTTCTGGTACATACTGCCTGGGAGGGAATTTCATTAATTTTCTTCTAAAACATATTCATGAGATTTGCATCCAATCTCAATAATAATATCATATTAGAAGAAAATTACTTCAGTGAAAATAAATTTTTATTCAATTTCATAAACTATGCTAAAATTATGGGAAATTTACTTAGAAATGCCAACATCATTTCTGGGGGGAAAATTACTGATCATTAAAATATTTTAATTTGCATACTACATTAGTTAACGAGGACTGACTTTTGCTCTTCTCAGTCATTATTGTGTCACCATTCAGAAACCTAATGAGCCAATTTATAATCTCTACAATTAACAGTAATAAAACTTACAAGTAATTAACTATTTCACTACAATTACTATCATTTTTAACTATCTTACTCAATGGAATAAGGTCATTGCCTTTGTAGCATTTTCTAATTATTTTTTAATATTTTATTTTACTGTTATTTTTTCAAGGCTAGTCAAGTCAAGCAGTGGGAGTAAAGAAACACCACTGCACTTGTGCCAGCCTCGTTTTTAAAAAAGCTTTATATTAAAAACCGATTTTTAAAATCTTGATAATCGAAGAATATTTTCAAAAAACTAGCAGCAAAGGCAAAACAAATCCCTAAAAACCTACTGGCTCTGTATTTTTTCTCCCAGTAACTGACTGACCTATTTAAACAAAAGCATTTCCTTTTGAGAGGCCCAAATGACTAAATTAGGTTATGGAAGGGTTGAAAGCGTGAGAGCTCTCATGGCTGCAATGCAGAGGGCTGTGGATACAGCTTCCCTAGAATTTAAGCATGGGTAAGCATATGTTAAGAGGAGTTATAAGGCTCCCTGAGTCTTACTGAGGGTATCCACATTGGGTGCCAGGTGAAACAAGAATCAGTAAACCTTTCTAGCCTGTGAGGTTAAGTATACTTAGCTGATTTCACTATCATGAATTCACCTGCAGCCGTATCTATAGGTTATCAATTTGAAAATTTCTAAGCGCACCATAGTGAGGTATTTGCAATCTTTGGTGCTGTGCCATGACATTGGTTGATGTTCGATGCTTCTACAACATAAGCATTTACTTTAGTGGACATAAGGGCTACCTAAGTATTAAGCAAAGTAACACTGATCAATGTGAAAATAGAAATTTAAAAAACGTATCTACTAATATGTGTTTGAAAATGCTTACCCATATAAAATTTCCATTATTATACAAAGGCTTTCATGATGCAACTCCCTGGCTCTTAAATTTTAAAAAGTACAGAATAAAATTCTCAATTCTTTTTTTGACACTTTTTACTCTTGAGTTTGCCACTAAAGTAAAAGAGAGAAACATCCCAAACTGGTCATTTATGAAAACGTTAAGTTCAGTGTGAAACTTGCTTTAAAACTACAAATTATGTCAGACAAAATAAATATATATGCTCACATTTATAAAATTTTCCACAGTACTCATAGAAACAAGCTTCATAAAATTTATACTGAATACAATAAAAATCAGTTCTAATAAAGATTTAGCTATCTTCCTAAATAAAAATTTCTGTGTTTGAGGTATCACTGTAAGACATGCCAATATGGCACATTTGTAAAACAACCCAGGAGTCTATTCTAAAAATCACAACCAACTCAGCATCATCTCTGCAGACTTACTAACAGGCTGAACTAATCTCTTTATACAAGAAGTATTTTAATTATTACAAAAACAAAGGAGGCAGGTACTAGAAATTCTGCATTTCATAGAAGAGTAAAACTTTGTTAGAGATATTTTCATGATCATCTACCTGCAGACACCATTCATTTAAAAAGTCCTAGTCAAGACCATTAAGCAGCTGCATCTTCTACAACATTGAAAAAAAATCCCTAGAGATTTAAAAAACTGAAGAATTTCACTATCTTTAAAAGATATTATATTTTAGTACATAAAGCTATTAAATTTCTCTGTGTCAAGAGCAAAACATTACCCCTTACCTTGCTTCATCATTGGAAGGTGGACACCTGATCCAGCAATACTCATTAACTGCTAGGTAGATGACCCATGTTGATGGCAGTAAAGCCATTTTACAATGAACTTATGAAGTAGTAACACTAGCCAAACACACAGAGACACAAATACCAAAAATGATGTGTTTAGTATACACAAATAGCTATACTTGGGGCATGGCTATCAAGTAACAAGACTGATTTAATACTTTACAGTTACAGCACATTAAAAATATATTGCCAGAGGGATAATGGTCCCAAATACGAAAAATGTCTATATGGAAAAGGCTGTGATTTATTGCAAAGCATAATATATAGCAAATTCCAAGGAAGGGCAAACACGTTTTAAAAACAAATTTTTAAATTTAACGGCTTAAGCCAAAGTCTCAGTTACTTTCTGGAGAATTCAGAACTATTAGGTGTAGAAGAATGCTTTTCCTTTTTTCTCTTCTTTTTTTCCTTTTTGTGATGTTTCCCTTTTTTTGATTTACTCTTTTTTTCTTTTTTCTTTTCTTTCTTCTGATATTTTTGTTTCTTTTGTTTTGAAGTGTCCTCTTCAGTGGAACTGGATGAGTAAGACCTATGGATAATAATACATACTGACTGAGAATTGCATTTATGACTGATAGATAAATTTAAGTGGGATTTGAACTGCCTTAAATTCTTCTTGGAGTAAGGTAGGGAGTATAAACATAAACTTAAAAAATGCTTCATATATTTGCATTCCCTTAAAACGATGAATTTAGAATTTTTGCTGCTTGGTCACAGAAACCAACAAAACTAGTATCTATTCCACTCAATACTAATGTAATGAGTTTTAAAGTCAATAAGGATGAAATTATTTTTCTGTGATTTTTGGTTTTTCATGCAGTCATATCATTCAAAATCCTAAAAGGCAAACAAAGGGGCATTCACCAAGCCTTATTATATTCACTTGTGTATACAATAACTTCGCATATTTTCTTAAAAGTGTCTCAAAAGTTGCAATTCTCTATTTTAAAGGGCTATAATTGTACGTTCATATGAATGAATGAAAGCTGAAAGTTAGCAAAATAAAAGCACTTTTGGTAATTCTTCTGATTTTTCAAGTACTTGATCCCTCTAGACGGAGAGTGATACAGATGAATACTTGCATTACAAAATAATTTTCATTAGTTACAAAAGGATGCTTTTATGCTATATATAAATGAAAAAGGATGGGTTATCATTGTGCTTTTGAAAAATATTACTCTAATACTAAATTGAAAAAATTGGTTCAATTCCTTCCTCTAATATTCATAAAAAAAAGGAAAAGAAAAAGAAAAAAACAGAAAACCCTATCTTTTAAGATCTTACTTAAAGAGATGTGCAACATTCTACCTATACTCAAACTCAAAATATGAGTGACAAGACAGAAACTGAGTTAATTTAAAATGTAAACAAAGGTATCTAAAGAGTTAGTTTAGTGATCTAAATATTAGGAGTTAAAACTCAAACTAAGAAAATCTGAGACGGATATAAAGGAGGTGCCAATGTAAATTCAGGAGACTACAGGGCTCCAAGGCTATTTTGTGTCTGTATAGTGTGTGAATTCCTTGACTGCCTTCCTCCTTTAGTGACTCCGAGTTTTCCCTTATTTTTGTAATGTTGTGTTCCTTTTTCCTCCTTGTTTGTCTACTTACTTAGACTTCCAATCATCTGTTAAAGCTTATTTTCTCATGTATTCTCCTGCACCCTTGCCTCTTCAGTTGTTATTCTCAAATCTTGTCTATTTTCCTCTTTTAAAGACCCTGTTTGACTTGACCTCTGGATTCTGACTAAAGCTTCTTCCCTGCCTGCACTTTTTTCTTTAGCTTTTTGGTCCTGAAGTTTTTTTTTTTGTTTGTTTCTTTTTTTTTTTTTTTTTTCTGAGACAGAGTTTCACTCTTGTTGCCCAGGCTGGAGTGCAATGGCGTGATCTCGGCTCACTGCAACCTCCGCTCCCCCGAGTTCAAGCAATTCTCCTGCCTCAGCCTCCCAAGTAGCTGGGATTACAGGTACCCACCTGTAATCCACCAGCTAATTTTTTTTGTATTTTTAGTAGAGATGGGGTTTCACTGTGTTGGCCAGGCTGGTCTCAAACTCCAGACCTCAGGTGATCGACCCACCTTAGCCTCCCAAAGTGCTGGGATTATAGGAGTGAGCCACCGTGCCTGGCCTGAAGTCTCCTTTTTAAGGCAAAATTTCAGGCTGTGGCATAGCAACACTTTCAGGGGGCACTATCTCTGCTAAGTGTGCACAGAAAAGTTAATTTAATTTCAGGTTTGTGATGCTCAAGGTAAAGAGGCCCAAATAAATAATCTGTTACTATAAAAAATATTTGGGAGGCTGAGGCAGGCGGATCACAAGGTCAGGAGATTGAGACCATCCTGGCTAACACGGTGAAACCCTGTCTGTACTAAAAATACAAAAAAATTAGTCGGGCATGGTGGTGGGCACCTGTAGTCCCAGCTACTGGGGAGGCTGAGGCAGGAGAATGGAGTGAACCCGGGAGGCGGAGCTTGAAGTGAGCTGAGACTGTGCCACTGGACTCCAGCCTGGGCAACAGAGCGAGACTCTGTCTCAAAAAAAAAAAAAAAAAAGAAATATACAGATGTACTTCAACTTATGATGGAGTTACGCCTTGATAAATCTATCTGAAGCTGAAAATACACAAAATACAGCTAACCTACTGAACATCATAGCTTAACGTGGCTGCCCTTAAATATGCTCAGAACACTTACATTAGCCTCTAGTTGGGCAAAATCATCTAACACAAAGCCTATTTTATAATAAAGCATTGAATATCTCATGTAATTTATTGAATACTGTCCTGAAAGTGAAAAATAGAATGGTTGTATGGGTACTTGAAGTACATTTCTACTGCACCATCATAAAGTTGAAAGATCATATCAAACCACATAAATTGGGAACTATCTGTATTAGAATTTGGAAGACTATCAGATATCATTTCCTGTGAGCAATCCATCTTCCTGTGCTAGAATAAATGATTTAATAATACATTAACAGAAAACCCTGAGCTCTAAATTCCTATTTGTTTTTATATTAAAGATTATTAGTTAACTCCTAACGCTTGAAAGTGGGCTACTTTTCCAATTTATAAGATACCTGAAATATTAAAATACATGTATTAAATGCTCTATAAAAACTACAAAGTGGCAGCCCCTGGTTTCTACAACCTATTCTGTATGAGAACTGGGTCTAAACTAGAAATAATTATGGTTAAGTGCTTTTAAAAAATGCCTGTATGTGCAAATTTATGCTAGTATGAATGAAACTGCACGCATTAACAAGAGAAGTGGCCACTTACTACTTTCAATAACTTCTTTAACCAGTTAGTTTTTAAAAGAGTTAATAGTAAAAATGCACAGGTGGCCGAAGACTGGAAGGAAGTTGTGATGCTAAAAATTCCTTCAGGTCTTTCACAACCCTCATCAGCCACCATATATATATATATATATGAAACTGTCAGGCTAAATACATATAAATACAAAGGTGTGTGTATGTGCATATAATTACATATATATATATATATATATATATTTTTTTTTTTTTGGTGGGCGGGGGGCAGATAGGGTCTTGCTGTGTTGCCCAGGCTGGAGTACAGTGGTGTGATCATGTCTCCTGGGCTCAAGCAATCCTCTCACCTCAGCCTTCCACATAGCTGGGAACACAGGTACATGCCACCACACTTGGATAATTTTTCTTTTACTTTTTGCAGAGATGAGGTCTCCCTATGTTGCCCAAGCCTGTCTCAAACTTCTGGGCTCAAGCCATTCTCCTGCCTTGACCTCTCAAAGTGCTGGGATTATAGGCATGAGCCATCGCACCTGGACAGCATGACAAGTTCTATTAAATTCTATTAATAAGTTAATTTATTAGCCATGGTAATATTACAAGAATACAAATATTTTAGTCAATTTCATGTATATGAAGACAAAATATATATTAAGAGTTTAAACTTAAGCTCAATGAAAAGCTTAGTTGTTGAAGAAAAAATATTAAATTAACTATTATACACAAAAAATAAAATTTTATAATCCATCCTAAACTCATAGGCCTGCTTTGTTTTTTAAAATGTTGTTCAAAAAATACCTTTTCCTTTTTTTTTTCAATTTGATTTTTTCTTTGCTTTTTTCTTTCTTCTTTTCCTCTTCTTCATTTATTCCTGTGGGGGAGAGGTGAGAAGAAAAAAATCTGGTTAATATATGATTCTATATATTAATATGGCATGTATATATGTTAAAATTTTAGCTGTTGGTGAATTTCACTGGTTAGGATAATTTTTGTAATAATTTTCCCCTTTCTTAATTATCTTTATCCATTAAAAAACTCATAAAAGTATTAAATGTTTTTTATAAACATTTCAAATACTAAGTCCATCAAGTAAAAAAATGCAAGTACCCCACCTCTAATTCCCATAGGAAATCAAGGCCAGTGGTTTGATGGGTATTGTTTGGCCCTTAAAAAGCAGAACACTACAACAGTGCACAGTTTTAAAATTTTATTTTGCAACAAAATTAGGATCATGCAATATGTATTATTCTCTAACTTGTTTTTTAAATACACTATTTGGTGTGTATTCTTGTAGGCATTCTTTATATAAAACCAAATACACACACATTTACTCATACACACATAGTTGCATATAAGTTCCAAGTATTTTTTGCCTTTGAAAAATGTACTGTCACATATATTTTGCAGCTTTTTTTTCACTTAACATAGCAGATATTTATCTTTGTCATTAAATATATATCATTATTAAACACAGAAGTGTTCCCATTAACCATATTTTATCAATTTCTACTTTCATTGTTAGAAACAATAAGCAATGGAAATCTTTGTACATATAAGAAGTATTTCTGGGTGACAGAACTTGTGTATATTTAAAGAAAAAGCAGGCTGGGCGCGGTGGCTCATGCCTGTAATCCCAGCACTTTGGGAGGCGAGGCGGGTGGATCATGAGGTCAGAAATTCGAGACTAGGCTGGACAACATGGTGAAACCCCATTTCTACTAAAAATACAAAAAATTAGCCAGGCGTGGCGGCAGGAGCCTGTACTCCCAGCTACTCGGGAGGAAGCCTTGGGGTTATTTGGCAAGGTAAAGAATAGACATCAGTTTGTCTCATAAAATCCTAGGAGATTTTTATTGACCACGCTTTCATTTATTCAACAAATATTTACTAAATGCTTATGTGTCAAGTACTGTGCTATGTACTGGGTCTTTGCTGTGCATGATCCTTGCCCACAGGGAACTTATAGTTAAGTGGTGAGAAAGAAAATTAACAGGCAAAGATAGCATTCTAAGTGAACAGCAAGGGTAGTGCATGTCAGGAAGAGGAAATTAGTGCCAAAGCTCCAAGGCAAAAAGAGTTTGGTGCGTTCTAGAAACTAAGAAGAGGTTGTTGCGGATAGAAGGGGAGGGGCAACTATGAATAAGAATGAACATGAATGAGAACAGATGAACAATATCATAAATACATGTAGAATACCATGAAATGAGAGGCCAGAGAGGTAAGCAGGAACTTGCTTATTCAAGACCATGAAGGCAACAGTAAGGATTTTACATTCTAAGTGAGACGGACTGTGTGATCGGCAGACTTACAAGGTAAATGAATTGGAAAGGGCTAAGGGGAAAAGGCAGGGGAATAATAAAGTAACTGGAGTAGTGCAGGCCAGAGATGGTGTCCTGAGGTGATATGTGTGTGCGAAGGATGATGGAACGAAAGGAATCAAGGATGACCACCAGGTTTTTAGCAGTGCCACTGATTAAAATGTGGATTGGTGGGAAGTGGGTAGGAGCCTGAAGGACAATTGTGGGTGGGAAGTAAAGATTTCAATTTTAGACATTTGAGATCTAAAAGACCTGTTTGACATCCAAGTAGGTAACTGAAGTAGGTAGTTTGGTATGTGATTCTGAAGTTTAGAGATTAGTCTGGACACACACACTGATCAGCTTATAGATAGTATTTAAAACTATGGGGAATAAATAAAATCATTTAGTAAGAGAATGATGAGAAAAAAATACAGGGAGTAAAGCCCAGGAAGATTATCTGCATCTTGAGGAACTCCAACATTTACGGGCTGAGAAGAGCAAGAAGAAGAGCTGTCAAAAAGACTGACAAAGAAGGGCCACGGGGTTGGAAGAATACCAGAACCAAGAAGTAGGAATGTTGAAGAGAGGGGCTACCTATCAAATAGTACCTAAAGGCCAAGTAGAATGTGGATATAAAAACGCCAAATAAATTTGGCAAAAAGTATTTAAAGACCTTGACAAGTGGACTGAAAAACAAATGGAAATAAAAAGGTAGAGAAAGTAAGAATAAATAACTTTGATGAGAAGTTTAGCTAGAAAGCAGCAGAGAAATGGAATGTTAGCTACAGGGATGCAAAGGATCTAGGGAAGAACAATGGGAAAAACGAAAAAAAATTGATGCTGATTGAAATGATGACGCAGAGAGGGGATAACTGAAGGAATAAAATTCTTGAAGAAAAGAATTCATAGCAATTATGGTAGGACATGCCTTCGAAAGGAAGGACAGTCCTTCCATTTTAACTGAAGGAAAGAAAAGAAAGATGGATATATATATATGCAAATTTGTGGATTCAGTAATTGGAAGCTAAGATGCTCTCATTTGGTGTCTTCTATTTTGTCAATGAAAGAGGGAGTCATTAGCCGAAGGAGGAAGGGAGAAGTGGGAAAGGTATAAAATAAGTATGTGGAGTGAACTTGCAAAAATAAATGCAAGCTGAGATTAGGGATCATGAATTTATAGAAACACCAGTCTGCCTCTTCACCTTTGCACTGCTGTAAGGGGATCAGCATAGAGAAGGCAAAGAGGTTCATCCATATTTGGGGTTTTGCTAGATAAGGGTAAAAGATAAAGAAAGGAGTAAGGCAGTTACAGATATTTGCAAAAGAATAATGGTGATAACTATGATGGAATCTAAGCTAGATAAGGGGAAGACTAACTGAATGAAAGTGGTGGGTCAATAGCCTGAGGGTCTTTACATTAAATAAACTGGAAAGATAAGAACTTGGAGTAAAAAGCGTACAGTGTATGCCATTAATTTTGGAGGCTGAGAACAAGGTCCAGGGTGCAATCATGGAAATGTGTGGCTAAGGTGAAGAGACAGAAAAGATCATTTTCAATGATAAGGTGGAGAAGATGAGTTAGGGTGTTGTCAGGTCATTCACAGGTCATCTAAGAATGTCTCTAAGAACAATGAGAGGACTTGAGATGAAAAATAAGACAATTGAGAGTTTGAGGCTGGAGGATCGCATAAGACTCAGAGTTCGAAACCAGCCTGGTCAACATAGTGACATCATGTCTTTATAAAAGAAAAAAAAAATTAGCCAGGCATGGTGGCACATGCCTGTAGTCTCAGCTACACTGGAGGCTGAGGCGGAGGACTGCTTGGGCCCAGGAGTTTGAGGCTGCAGTGATTCCAGAAGCCATGATTGCATTACTGAACTCCAGCCTAGACAACAGAGTGGGCCCTTGTCTCAAAAAAAAAAAAAAAAAGAGGACAGGAATCTTAAAATAATTGTGAGGAATGGCCTGAACTAGATATAGGACGACAATAAAAATGGGAAGAAGCAGGAAAGCCAAATGACAGGAGCCTCAAAAGGGCATTTTGCTAAGACAATATGTTGATGATGTCTTGAACATATAAAAAATGTGAGTTATTAAAGACAATCAGTGAGAAGTATGTAGTTTAGAGAACTAAAAATGTAATTAAGGAAAAAAATAATGGCCAGACCAAAGATAAAATGTATTAAGAAGGAAAGCAGTCTTGAAATTCCAAGAACTATTTTTAATGCCTTCCAGCTCTCAGTTCTCTCTCTTCCTTTCTGGTTGTGGTGCTGGCCACCTCTTTCTTGCATGCTATCAGCTAAGGTGTCAATGGTTGGCATACTAAGTTGGAAAAAATGATTAAAGGCAAAGTGAAGAAAACAGGATGGGGGAAATAAGGCATTTTTTAAAAAGTCACATCCAATGACAATGTACATCTGGAGACTCAGAAATTGTACAAATCAGTGCTATAGGCTACTTATCTCTATTTCTAGTATCCACGATTTTGTCAGTTATGCCAACAGCTTTTTAGAAAACTGGTCAATGCCATTTGTCCTGAAAAACTTCTCTCCATTATGAGAGAAGTACTAAAACAATGCAAGTGATGAAATGCTGGGAGAGATTCTATACTATTCAAGCAGAATGAATAAATGATTTTTGAAGCTCACCTATTTCAATTACATGAAATACTTGGAAATAACAAAACACTCTATCAGCTCAGGTTCGTATTTGCAAATGACCTGACAATTTACACAGATATTCCCAAGGAGTCTACAAAAATCCAGAATCAGCTCAGCAAGAAGAAAAAATAAACATACAAAAATCAATTTATTTTTATTAGCAACGAACATGCAGAGAACAAAATTAAAGATACAGTATCATTTATAATTTTCCAAAAAAGTATATAAAAGATGTATAGGACTTATATGCTGAAAACTACACAGTGCTGATGAAAGAAATCCAAGAAGTTCTAAATAAAGAGACATACCATGTTAATGGATCAGAAGACTCAACAAAGTAATGACGTCCATTCTCCCCAAACTGATATACACATTTAATGCAATTCCTATTCAAAATCCTAGCAAAGCTTTCTGTAAATATAGTCATAAGTTTAAAATTTTTACGGAAATGAAAAGGAACTAAAATAGCTTGAACAATTTTGATGAAGAATAAAGTGGGAAGAATTAGTATCCCCATTCAAGACTTATTTTATAGCTATATGAATAAAGACTATGTGGTATTAGTGGAGGCAAAGACACATTAATCAATGAAACAGCACAGAGAATCCAGAAACAAGCACACACAAATAGAACCAACTGATTTTTTGGGGAAAAAAAAAAAAAAGCAAAGCAATTTAATGCAGGAAAGACACTTTTTAAGAAATGGTGTTGGAACAACTGAACACCCATAGGCAAAATAGATCAAGCCTCACTGCTTACATAAAAATCAACTCAAAATTTATCATGGACTTAAATGTAAAATTAAAACCACAAAACTTTTAGAAAAAAAAAAGAGCATTTTTCAGATCTATGCATAGGCAAAGGTTCTTATATTTGACACCAAAAGCACAGTCTATAAAAGGAAAACTGATCAATTGGACTTCATCAAAATTAAAAACTACTGCTTTGTGAAAGACCTGGTAAGAGGATAAAAAAGACAAATGCCATACTGGGAGTAACTATTTTCAAAACAGGTATCTGACAAAGGACTAGTGTCTAGAATGGTATAAAGAATATCAACATGTATAAAGAACATACAAAATATACACATGTACCCACATATATATACACACACACATATATGTATGTTCAGAACTCAACATTCAACAGTAATGAAAAGATGTATAACATCATTAGCCATTAGGAAAATGTAAATAAAGCAACAATGGGCTATAACTACACATGTTAGAATGCTAAGCACAAAAATGCTGGTGACAACACCAAATGCTAGTCACTCACACGCTTCTCGTAGGGACGTAAAATGGTATAGCCACTGTAGAGTTTGACAGTTTATTAGGAAACAAAATATACAACTACCATAACAACCCAGCAATTTTACTGTGGGGCATATGTCTCATAGAAATAAAGACTTACGTTCACCCAAATCCTGTTTATAGCAGTTTTATTAATAATAACCCCAAACTGACAATCCAGTGGATAAATACTTAATACTTAAACAAACAGTAGTATATCCATAACATACACTACTATTCAGAAATAAAAAATAACGAATTAGTCAGTCTGTAGAGAATTATAATTAGTGAAAAAAGCTCATCAGAAGGGTTACATACTGTAAGATTCTATTTACAAAACATTATTGAAATGACAATATTATAAAAATAGAGAGCAAAGTTTTGGTTTATAGGGCTTAGGAACGTGGTGAGGGCAAGAGAAAAGTGGATGTAGGTATCAAAAGACAGTATGAATGGTCGTTGTGGTGATGGAAATGTTCTGTGTAGACTGTATCAAAGACATTATCCTGCTTTGAAACTGTAGTTTTCGAAGATGTTACCATTGAGGGAAACCAGGTAAGGGACAAAAGGGTCTCTATGTGATTTCTTACAGCTACATGTTAATCTACAATATTCTCAAAATAAAAATTTCGATTAAAAAATCAATTGTCACATATGTATGGGTCTATTCTGTTCCATTGATCTATCTTTACATCGATACTACACTTTCATGATTACCTGTGGCTTTACAATAAATCTTGAAATGAGGTTGTGTTAGTTTTTTAATTTTACTAATCCTTTTGAAAGTGTTTTGGCTTTTCTAGGTTCTTTACATTTCCACAAGTACTTTAGAATTGGCTTGTCAATTTTTTTTATTTTTATTTTTAGAGATAAGGTCTTGCTTGGCTTGTCGGTTTCTCAAATGGCCTGCTGGAATTTTGATTGTGATTCCTTTTTTTTTAATAGATCTGCTTGGGGAGAAGTTACATTTCTTTTAAAATTGAAACTTCCACTCAATGAATATAGCGTATCTTTACTTATTTCTTTAATGTCCCTCAACAATATTTTGTAAAATATGTTTCAGTCTTGCATACCTTGTCAGATTTATATTCTTAGTATTTCATTCTTTATGCTACCATAAAAGATATCTGTAAAATTTTAACTTGATTGTTCATTGCCAGTGTACAGAAATACAATTGATTTCTGCTAACTGATCTTGTAGACTCTTGCAACTTTGCTAAACTCAGTTATTAGTTCTAGAAGCTTTTTTGAAAGATTCTGTAGATACTTCTACATAGATGATCATTTCATCTGCAAAAAAAGACAGTTTTAAACTCTTTCCTGAAATCTGGATGCCTTTATTTTTCATACCTTATTGCACTCGCTAGAATCTCCAGCAGAATGTTGAGTAGAAGTGGTATGAGTGGACATATTTGCCTTGTTTCTTATGTTATGGAAGGCCTTCAGTCTTTTATCATTAAGTATGATGTAACATTTTGGTTTTTTATAGATTTTGTATGAAGTTAATGAAGTTCTCTTCTATTTCTAATTGGCTCAGAATTTTTTATCAGAAGTATATGATGGACTTGCTGAATAATTTTTCTTAAAATATTGTGACAATGTTTTTTTTTTAGTCTCTTAAATACCATGAATTACACTGACTTCTGAATATAAAACAAATGTATTCCTGAAATAAAACCAACTTAGTCATATTATACTTTTTATATACTGCTGGATTCAATTTGCTAAAATTCTCTTAAGAATTTTTACATCTGTATTAATAAGTCTCTAACTTTCTTTTCTTGTAATATCTTAATCTGGTTTTGTTATAAGGGTAATGCTGGTCTTATAAATTGAGTTGAGAAATACTCTCCTCCCTTCAATTTTTAAAAAGATTTTACATACAAATTGTATTATTTCTCCTTTAAATGTTTTCTCATAAGAGAAGCCATTGGGCATGAAGTTTGCTGAAAGTTTTTAAACTAAACATTTAACTTAAGAGATGCGGGGGTACTCTTCATATTTTAGATTTCTTCTTCAAACTTCTGCTGGTTTGTATCTTTCAAGTAATTTGTCCATTTTATCTAAGTTATCCAATTTATTGGCATAAAGTTCTTTAAAACTTTATCTTCTCCCTTTTATGTCCACATGATCTGTAGTGTTATCGATTCTCTCATTTCTGATATCAGTAATATATGCTTTTTCTCTCTCTTTTTAAAATCTCATTAGTTTGGATAGTGATTTTTCAGTTTATGGACCTTCTCAAATAACCAGTTTTTGGTTTTATTGATTTTCTATAGTTTTGTTTTCCATTTCATTGATTCACCTCTGATCTTTATTATTCTCTTTCTTCTGCTTACTGTGGGTTTAATTTGTTCTTTCTTCTAGTTTGTTAAGGTGGAAGTTGAAGTCATAGATTTGAGACATTTCTTCTTTTTTTCTAATACAGGTAATTAGTACTATAAGTTTGTCTCTAAGTACTTCTTTGGAGGCATACCACAAATGTGTTTTTATTTTCATTCAGTTAAAATTACCTTCTAATTTTCTTTTGCTCTTTTTTTGTTGACCCAATAGACTATTTACAATTACATTAAATTATAAACATTTGGGCATTTTCTAAGTAGCTTTCTGCTATGGCCCAGAATCAGGTCTATCTTGATAGGTACACTTAAAAAAAAAATGTGTATTTTGCTGTTGTTGGGTGAGGTGTTACATAAAGGTTAAATAGGTCAAGTTGGTTGATAGTGTTACTCAAGTCTTCCATGTCCTCACAGATTTACTGTCTACTTGTGCCATTAGTTAATGAGAAAGGTGTTGAGATCGCTGGCTATAATTGCAAATTTGTCTATCCATAAGAATTTTTATTTACGGTTATACCAGGATTTGTTTCAGATATTTGTTAGTAGGTGCATAAACACTTAGAATTTTTTTTTTTTTTTGAGATGGAGTTTCACTCTGTTGCTCAGGCTGGAATGCAGTGGCATGATCTCGGCTCACTGCAACCTCTGCCTCCCGGGTTCAAGTGATTCTCCTGCCTGAGCCTCCCGAGTAGCTGATGTTACAGGCATGCGCCACCATGCCCAGCTACTTTTTTGTATTTTTAGTAGAGATGGGGTTTTGCCATGTTGACCAGGCTGGTCTTGAACTCCTGACCTTAGGTGATCCGCCTACCTCGGCCTCCCAAAATGCTGGGATTATAGGTGTGAGCCATCATGCCAGGCCAACACTTAGAATTTTTATATTCTCTTGACCAAATGACCCTTTTATCATTAGGAAAAAAAACCTCTTCATTCCTGGTATTCTTTGCTTTGAAATCTACTTGGTCTGACATTAAAATTGTCACTTTAGCTTTCCTTTTAGTAGTTGTCTCTCTTCTTTTTTTTTTTTTTTTGGAGTTATAGTAATTTCAGAATAACTACTGCAAACATGCCCCCAAAAAGTTATGAGGAACTAAGGAAATAAAACAGTAGCTATGGGAATAATTTCCTCTTCTACTTAGCAATGATGGATTAGGAGTTTACTTACTAGGTTTTATAGAGAAATTGGTTCTAATAAAAACAAAATATACAGAATATGCTGTCCAACACCAGCAGAATACATTCTTCTCAAGCACACAGAACATTCTCCAGAACAGAGCATGTTAGGTGACAAAATAAGTCTTCACAAATTTAAGAAGATTGGAATCATATTGAGTATCTTTTCTGACCACAATGGTATGAAAATGTAAATCAGTAATGAAAGAAAAACTGGAAAATTCACATATATGTAGAAATTAAACCACACACACCTGACCAACCATTGGGTCAAAGAAGAAATCAAAAGAGAAATTAAAAAAAACTTGAGATAAATGAAATTACAACACACCACAATTTATGGGATTCTGCAAAAGCAGTACTAAAAGGGAAATTTATATGATAAATGATTTTATTAAGAAAGAAGAGGGCCAAGTGAAGTGGTTCATACTGTCAAAAAAAAAAAAAAAAGAAAAGAAGGATCTCAAAAAAACACAACCAAACATTATACCTTTAAGAAACTAGAAAAAAAAAACACAATAAATGAAATAGAGACTAGAAAAACAACAGAAAAGCCCAAAGAAACTAAGAGCTTTTTAATAAAAAGATAAAACTGACATATCTTTAACTAGACTAACTCAGAAAAAAGACAGGGCCAAAATTAGAACTGAAAAAAGAGAGTATAAGTGATGTCACAGAAATATAAAGGGGTGTTATATAAATATATAACTATATAAGAGAATACAAGGAACATTTATATGTCAACAAATTGGGTAACTTACAAGAATACACTCCTTGAAACATAAAATGTATCAGGAGTGAATCATGAAGAAATCGAAAATAGGAACAGACCAGTAACAAGTAAAGACACTGGGTCAGTAATCCTCCCAGCAGAGAAAAGCCCAGGACTAGATGGCTTTGCTGGTGAAGTCAACCAAACATTTAAAGAGCAATTAAGCCAATTCTTCCAAAGCACTTCTAAAGAACTGGAGAGAAGAGATCACTTCCAAACTTATTTTACAAGGCTGGTATCACCCTGATACCAAAGCCAGACAAAGGTACCTTAAGAAAATAAAATTACAGACCAATACACCTGATGAACATATATGCAACAATCTTCAGCAAAATTCTAGCAAACCAAACTTAGCAGCACATTAAAAGGATCATACACTATGATCAAGTGGGATTCATCCATGGGACACAAGGATGGCTCAATATATGCAAATCCATAAATGTGAAACATCACATTAAGAAAGGAAGGCTAAAAATCAAATGAATATTTCAATAGATGCAGAAAGAGCATTTGACAATATATGTGCTCATGGATTGAAAGAATATTGTTAAAATGCCTACATTATCTAAAGCAATCTATGAATTCAATGGAATCCCTACCAAAATCCCAATGGCTCTTTTGACAGATATATAAAACATAATCCAAAAATGTATACGGAACCACAAAAGACCCCATACAGCCAAAGCAATCTTAAGAAGAACAAAGCTGTAGGCATCACATTCCTTGATTTCAAAATATATTACACAGCTATAGTAATTAAAATAGTATTGTACTGACATAAAGACAGACACATAGACCAATGTAACAGAATAGGAAGTCCAGGAATAAACCCATGCATATATGATGAACTGACCATGAGGGGTGTTAAGAACACACAATGGGAAAAGGATGTCTTCAGCAAATGGTCTTGGGTCAAGTGTATATCCACATACAAAAGAATAAAACTGTACCCTCACCTCATGCCATATATAAAAATCAACCTAAAATGAAGATATCTGAAAACAACTTTATTCTATTTTCACGCTTGGCTAATAATTTGGTTGAAAATATTATTCTGACTTGGATATAATTTCCCTTCCAAAATGTGAAGGCATTCCCCACATCTATTAGCTTTCAGGACTGCTTTAGAGAAGTGGAAAGCTATTCTGACTCCTGATCTTTGACAGATGACCTGTTTAATCCCTGATCCTGGAAGCCTGGATTATATTTTCCTTGTTCCCTGTGATATGAAGTTTTATAATGGTGTGCCTTTGTGTGGGTCTATTTTTAGCTCTGTGTTTGGTACTTGTGACACCTTTTCAACTGTAAAACTAATGTCCTTCAGTTCTTCGAAATTTTCTTTCTGGGACTCATTTGAGTGAAGTATTTCCTAGACTAATTGTGATATATGTCTGGGAACCAAATAGGTGAAGAAAGTTCTCAGCCTTTAACTTCCTCCCTGCTTTCAGCTATGGTTAGTGTGTCCCAGTCTAAAGAACCTATGTTTTACCCTCTCTAGAAAATAAACCTCCAGTAGTCTGCTGGGGTGATGAAGGGAAGTCATCTGACTTCATAGGGGAAGGGAACTGAGGGTCTAACTCGTGGAGACTTCAAACCAATCCTCCTGTTTTTAGCCTTATATTCAGCCAGAGGTACCCAAGGATACTAATTATCATGTCTTTAGGGGATTCTAGAATATATGTCGGGTTACTTCACAGCTTTCCACACTGCTGAAGAATTTAGCTTTTTCAAGAGTGTAATCAGTTATCACTCTTCTGCTTTTCAGTTTCCAAAATTTTACTGCTATTCCCTCCTAACTCAGTTTCTTTGCCCTTGTGAGTTTACGTCTTTAAATTTTTTTCTACTTCTGGCATTTTAGTGGTATTTCAGTAGAGAACAAAAGTGTGTGTATTCAATCAACTGTCTTTACCCTGAAGCTGTATATACTCATATATGATATGACTCTTGTTTGCCCTCTTTGGGATTCTCTCCCTCTTTTTCCTTTTCAGCTTGTTCTAGCACCTTACATTTGACTTCTTCACTTACCTTAACTGGACATAATATGGAAAGCTTGATATTAAAAACAAAGTTTACTGTTTAATGTTCATCGACAATCTAAACTAAAATGAATTTAAAATTTGTAACTCTCTCATTCCTTGTCTAAGATTATATTCAAATAAGTTATATTTTATTTCAGAGTGATATTTACCATAGTGCATTTTGTAGTTTACAAAGTAGTTTAATTTATGGCATCACGTTTAATCCCTAAAAACCCCACTGCAAGGATGAGCTATTTTATACACAACGTGGGAAAGAAAGGGTTAAATAACAGGTCCGCTATCCACTCTCTCTCTAGGGAGAGAGGAGGATGTGTCCAGGAAAGACAGAGAGTGACCTGGAGAAATCTCTCTGAAACACACTAACAATAGATCTCCTGGAAAAAAAATAAATGATATCTGTTAGCCATAGAACCCCTATTTATATAATTATCATTTACATCCTTTTAGTAGGATGTAACTGAGATTGCTTATGGTAAACAAACCTGGAATCTATAGATTTATGGGGCATAGCTCCCTGGAAAATGTAACTATCCAAGCATAAAATGAGTATGTTTCATGACCAAATCAACTTTCTTTGGTATAAGTAATAAAGAAACTTCTTATGTTAATATTGATCACAGTGGGTTATGAAGTAGAAAGGAAATACCTGGGGAGCTGTATTGGCATGCCCAGAACTCTCTGCTTTGCCTATGCCTCACGATCACTTGTATACTTGAAATTATTAGTGAAGCTTGATACTGGCTAAGATCACTGATCTGCATGAGCATCATTTGACAATCCAACATTTTGTGTTATCCCACAAGGCAGCTGAGCCTCAGGATGGTTAAGTCACTTGGTGAAAGTCATGTGCTAAAACAAATTGCCAAATAGGACTAGAAACCAAATCTTAAATCACACTTTTTCAGCCATTTGACACATATCCTAATGTGATGGGGGAAAAACAACAACAAAAAACATAAGCTGTGTGTCAGAAATAGACTTGCCTCCTGGATCTGTAATTGCTTAGCTGTTCAATCTTAGGCAAATAACTTACAATATTTAAAACCTATTTCCTATGCAGTAGCTCTTACATAAACTATAAAAGAGATCTTAGTAAGTATAATGGAAAGCATGATATAATATGACAGAACATTTACAAACATTTCTAAAGAATGGAAAAAAATATTGCTTACTTTTTTCCTGTAATGCCTGCAATTTATTCAGTTCTTCATTCTCTTCATCGCTATCTTCACTACTTGTACTGCTGACATCCAAAACTATGTCCCTTTTAGGGTCTACTCGGAGAAAATTGCGGCATTCAAAAGTCAGGTGACCAGCTAAGTGAAACAAACAAAAAAAATGTGAGTGATAAAACTATAGATACATTATGTATTTTTGTATGTTTTGCTGCCTCACGGTAACCAGTAAGTTACAATTTCAATAATATAATGTAGAAAGCTTTAACTTTTATTCAGTTGGTAGTAGTTTGGTTATTTTCCCTATACTTTTCCATGAATGCAATACTCAGAAAGAACTTTTTCCTTTCTTCCTCAGAACTCCTTATTCAATAAGCATTTTTGGGGGCCACTTCTTATGGATTTCAAAGTATTGAGTTATTCTATTTCCCTTTCTAAAAATACAGTAATATCTTTAACTAAACTAAGTAAATAAAAAATACCATCATACTTGGGATTTTATATTATATTCCTTTCCCATACCTTTTCTTTCCCAGTTTGACAAATGTACTCATGCAATTATATACCTTTCATCTAATTAAAGTTGGCATAATAATATACAAGCATTAATATAACTGAATGTGCTTTACTAAAGAATACCTAAACATTTAATTCTTGCATCATTTCCCTAAAGACTCTACCCTATAAGAAAACTACAACAGTTATCTACTTATGTATATGTTTTAGAAAGTCAAATATTACAAACACTATAAAAGTAAAGAAAATAATATAACCAATACCTAAATACCTATCATCCAAATGTTAACATTTTGTCATGCTCACTTTCAATTCATTTAAGGAAAAAGCTCACTCGCATGCCTGTGCGCACACACACACACAGCTGGAGAGCTTGTATCAACTTTTGGAACACTTTCTCAATCTCATTCCATTTTTTTTTTTTTGTCCTCTGAAGCAACTGCACTGAAGTTGGTCTCTATCATTCCCAAACAACATATTGTGATATGTATTCTTAAAAAAATAAACTCAATTATACCTATACCTGCAATTTTTTCCTGCCACCCAATATTTTGTGATTTATCTATGTTAACATAACAGGTGTAATTTGCTCATTTTATCTAATCGATAATGTTCTACTGTATGAAAATTATATTTATTTGCTGTACTATTGATAGAAACGTAGGTTGCTTCCAGTAGTTTGCTATTATAAAAAGTGTTTAAATGGGCAGTTGTACATGTCTCTTTGTGCACATGTACTAGGTTTTCTTTAGGGTAGCAGCTTTCAAGTTTTCTTAACAACCGAGAACAGTAAAAAATAATGCAAACAAGTGCACTCATACACACATTCATGGATAAATACACCCTAACACACAAAAACTGAAACAAAAGTTAATTGAAAGATTTCTATATTCAATGTTCAAAACAACCAAGGCTAATGGTGATCAAATAATTCATTTCACGATCCACTAATGATTCACTACAAATCTATGCTAGGGGTTGTTTCCAGTTGTCTCTTATTTTGTGGGTGAAGTCCTTTGGGAGTCCTAGGTTTATACCAGAGACTCTCTAAATAGAGTTCCAATTTGGCTTGGGCAGGGCCCTGGGCCTTATTTTTATCCCCCACATCCTGCCAGCCCATAAAAAATAGAAGTTCAAGAGCCTAGGGTTCATCAAATATCCTCAAGGCTTAATTCCTGGAACTTCTCCTTTCCTTTGGTTGTTGGCCTTTGAATATTCTTAGTTCTTTATTTTTTTCTAGTATATTAATGTATCTAAAATATGTATTGCACATTTTATACAAGTTTCTTAGTTGTTTCTTAGTCTAGTCTGCCATATTATTGGAACAAGTTTTCCTCACTGTGATTTCCTAACAAATGAATCATTCAGAAGCACTCTTTTTAGCTTCCAAACATATGGAGTTTTCAGGCTTTGTGTTTATTGTCAATCTCTAAATTTACTACACTGTTATCAGAGAATGGGATCTGTATGATATTAGTTCTTTGGTATTTGATGAGACTTCTTTTGTGGCCTAGGATGTAGTAAATTTAGGAAAGATTTGTTATGTATTTTGAAAACACAGTCATATACTGCATAATGGTGTTTAGGTCAATGATGGACCACATAGACAACACAGGTCCCATAAGATAATAATACTGTTCCTTGTCAATGTTTAGATATGTTTAGACACACAAATACTTACTACTGTGTTACAACTGCCTACACTATTCAGTACAGTAACATGCTATACAGGTTCATAGCCTAGCAACAATAGGCTATACCATGTAGCCTAGGTGTGTAGTAGACTATACATCCAAGTTTGTGAAAGTACACTCTATAATTTCCACACAAAGATGAAATTGCCTAATGACACACTTCTCAGAATGTATCCCTGTTGTTAAACAACACAACCATATATTGTTATTTGTTGAAAAGGGTTCTATATCTGTTTGCTTGTTCAACTCTTCTCCATCTTAATTTTTTTGTCTAATAACTTCTGATAGAAGTACTTAAAATTATACAAGTATTGATTTGTCAATAATTGCTATTATAAATAATGTTGAAATGAGCAGCTGTAGACATCTCTGTGGGCATGCACCAGGTTTTCTCTAGGGTAGATTTGTCAATTTCTCCTTGTAACACAGATTTTGCTATATATTTTGAGACATTAGTAAATGCTTTGAAGATCATTACTTTATCTTTTTAGTTTATTGTTCGTGAGTTTCCACTTATCACCAGTAGTGCTTTTGCCTCAAAAGTCTGAAATTATAATGGTTCTGTTATAGTAGGTAGCTAGTCAGGCATGAGTGGAGCAGGAGAGGGCTCCCCCACTCACAAAGGAACATCAGGCAACCATCAAGTGATGGTCCAGCAGCTGTCACACTGTCTCTCTAAAATGATAATTGGTCACAGCCAGTGCCAGGGAGAAGCAGTTTCTGAACAGATAAAAATACCTGAAATTGATAATCAGCAGCTTCCAATAAGATCTCAGGAACCGGGCAAGTGGACACAAGCATGTGCATTAAGAGGCAAAAATGAAGGAGTATGACCTTCTGGGGGCATTCCACCAGAAAAGGGAAGAAAAAGCCTCAGGTGAACATGTGTACAACTCCAGTAAACACACTGTGCATGCTCACCTCCCAAGCGCAGGTAGGGCACCATGCATAAGAGAACAATGAAGGGAAAGGGGTGCAAGACGCTGGAAGTAAGCCAGCATGTAAAATGCTAGGTTCAATGTTAATTGGGGCACTTAACCTCAAGGTGCCTGTCTGGGCCTCTTCCAAGTATATTTTCCTTTCTTTCGTTCCTGCTTTAAAGCTTTTTAATAAATGTCTACTCCTGCTCTGAAACTTGCCTCAGTCTCTTCTTCTGTCTCATGACCCTCAGTAGAATTCTTTCTTCTGAGGTGGCAAGAATAGAGGTTGCTGCAGACCTGGACGGATTCGCCACCGGTAACTAGGATACCCACCACCGCTAACAGTTCCACTAGTGCTCTTTTGTTTATTATTCGTTGGGTAATATGAAATTGCCATTTTTGTAGGTAAAATAGTGGAATATCAGCAATGTTCAATCAAATATGTGTTTTTTCCTTGTCCCTTTATTTTGAAAATTTCTGTGTAGTTTTTAGTTTTATGTGTAGTTTTATTAATCACAACACGTAGTTGGACTTAATTTTTTAAATTTGATTTGATATCAGCACAATTTTTAACATTAATTTCTTAGCATGGGAAAAATAGTTCCTGCTTCACAGGAAGCCGTGTAAATTCACTCCTCATACTTACATATACTTACAAGGTATAGGCTGAGGTTGCCAATTCTTATTTGTTTTCTTCTAATTATCTTATGGGAACTCAAACACACTATACGCATTCTTGCTTCTTTCAGTGAGTGAAATTTTTTCTAATCCCTGCTTCACAGCCTTTTTAAGGAGTCTGACTTTACTTGAGGGGCTCCACCCTTGCCATACTGCCATCCCCAGGGCTTGAAAGTGTCACTCCACAGCTCTTAAACACCTACCCAGTAGGCCTGTGGATCCACTGTTTTCAGTAAGATTCCCTGCTCTGACTTTGAGCTCATTTTCTTGTCTAGCACCTGGGGATTTCCCTTTCATTCTTTTGAGTTGGGTTTTTTTGTTGTTGTGGTTGCTGTTGACATAACACTTTTTTCCTCCTGCATTGTTACATGTTTGGAGCAGAATGGTGGGCTTTCTAGGTTGGTTTGGCTTGCCTCTTTGATCAGAACTCCTGATGATACAGGCTGGGCATGGTGGCTCATGCCTGTAATACCAGCACTTAGGGAGGCTGAGGCAGGTGGATCACTTGAGTCCAAGAGTTCAAGACCAGCTTGGCCAACATGGCGAAATCCTGTCTCTACTAAAAATACAAAAATTAACGGCATGGTGGTGCATGCCTGTAATTCCAGCTACTCAGGAGGTTAAGGCACAAGAATTGCTTGAACCTGGGAGGTGGAGGTTGCAGTGAGCTGAGATTGTGCCACTGCACTCCAGCCTGGGCAGCAGAGTAAAACTGCCTCAAAAAAAAAAAAAACTCCTGATGCTCAATCTTTACAGTACTTAAGCTAGCTTTGTACCCAAATACCTCTCATCCTCTCATTGAAATGAATATTAAAAATAAATAAAATGCTTAAATAATGACCATACTGGTAGCAGTCTCTGCCCCACATCCATTTTAGCTTTGCTTCAAGCAAAGCGACCCTAAGGTGATAAGACAAATTAATTGCAAAACTACAAATAAAGTTTCTTACTGATTTTTTTTTCTATTGGGGAATAAGTTAGTGAAGCCTAGGTAATAACTGTGTTGCAAATTACAGTTCTTATGGCTAGCAATCTAAATGTTCTTACAGCAAACAATGTAGAAGAAAAAAAAAGGTGGAGGATTCACCCTTCTGGATTTTAAAATTTATTATAAATCTATAGCAATCAAAGCAGTTGGTACTGGCATAAGAATAGACACACAGACCAATGGAATAGAATTGAAAGTCCAGAAATAAACCCACATATACATAGCGAACTGAGTTTTAGCAAGAGTGAAAGTCCATCCAGTGTGGAAAGAATTGTCTTTTCAACAGATGGTACAGAGACAACTTTTCCACATGGGAAAGAATGTAGTTGGACCCCTCACCTCAGACTATATGTAAAAATTAACTAAAAATGGGTCAAATAAAATAAAATATAAAACCATAAAGCTCTTAGAAGAAAGCATAGGAGTAAATGTTCATTACCTTGGATTTGGCAATGGATTCTTAGATCTAACACCAAAAGCACAAGCAACAAAAGAAAAAAATTGATAAAATGGTCGTCAGAATTAAAAACTTTTGTGCAAAATTATCAGGAAAGTGAAAAGGGAGAATATATTTGCAAATCATCTATCTGGTAGAGCTTAATATCCAGAATACATAAAGAACAACTATAACTCAACAAAAACACAACCTAGTTAAAAAATGAGCAAAGGCCTTGAATAGACATTTGTCTATAGAAGAAATACAAATGGTGAATAAGCACATGAAAAGATACTTAACATCATTAGTCATTAAAGAAATGCAAATCAAAACCACAATGAGGTACCACTTCATACCTATGAGGATGATCTGAATTGTTTCTACTCACAACGCTTCTGACATCAAATGTGTGGGTTTTTTCCACACCAACAGCCAGTTCTCCAACTTTCTGGACACTAACTGGGTGTTCAACAATTCAATTCAATTCTGTTACTACCCAGGGTTAGCACAAGTTAAGGGCTCAGACCCACAAGACTATTCCCATTTCTGATGCCTATAGCGAGTCTAGGCCACCCATACTTCTGACCAGCCAGCTTTATAAGGTCAGGGGGTTCCCATAACCCCATTCTCAAATTCGAAAATTTGCTAGAAAGGCTCACAGAACTCAGCAAAACAGTTTACTTACTATTACCTGTTTATTATATAGCACGGAACTCAGAACAGCCAAATGGAGGAGATGCGTAGGGCAAAGAAGGGGCATAGGGAAAAGAAGGGGCATAGAGCTTCCATGTGCTCTCTGTGTGCCACAATCGTGGCACTTCTGTGTGTTCACAAACCCAGCAGCTCTCTGTACCCTGTAGTTTAGGGGTTTTTATGAAGGCCCCATTAGATAGGCGTGATTGATTCAATCACTGACCACTGGTGATTAAATTCAATCTCTAGCTCCTCATCCTTCTCCCCTTTCTAGAGGTCTGGAAGTGGGGCTGAAAGCTCCAACTTTCTAATCACATGGATTGTTCCTCTGGCAAATGGCCTCCATCCTGAAATTATCTAGGAGCCTCCCAAGAATCGCCTTATTAGTATAAACTCAGGCATGGTTGAAAGGGGCATGCTATGAATAATAAAAGATGCTCCTATCACCCGTATCACTCAGGAAATTCCAAGAGTTTTAGAAGCTCTGTGTCAAGAACCAGGGACAATGACCAAATATACATTTCTTATGATCATAAATGGCTATTTTTTAAAAGGGAAAATACGAGTGTTGGCAAAAAGGTAGAGAAATTAGAGCCCTTGTATATTTCTAGTGGGAATGTAAAATGGTATAGCTGTTACGAAAACCAGTTTGGCAGTTTTTCGGCCGGGCGCGGTGGCTCACGCCTGTAATCCCAGCACTTTGGGAGGTAGAGGTGGGTGGATCACGAGGTCAGGAGATTGAGACCATCCTGGCTAGCACGGTGTAACCTCGTCTATACTAAAAATATAAAAAAGTAGCCGGGCATGGTGGCACACACCTGTAGTCCCAGCTACTTGGGAGGCTGAAGCAAGAGAATTGCTTGAATCTGGGAGGCAGAGGTTAGGTTGCAGTGAGCCGAGATGGCGCCACTGCACTCCAGCCTGGGTGACAGAGCGAGACTCCACCTCAAAAAAAAAGAAAACCAGTTTGGCAGTTTTTCAAAAAAATCAACATAGTAATTCTGCTCCTATGTACATACCCCAAAGAATTGAAAACAGGGACTCAAACAGATACTCGTACATCAACATTCATTGCAGCACTTGTCATAATAGCTAAAATGTGGAAACAATCAAGTGTCTATCCACAGTGGAATGGATAAACAAAATGTGGTATATACATATAGAGAAATAATCCAGCCATTAAAACGAATGATGTTATAATACATGCTACAACATGGATGAACTATGAAAACATTATGCTAAGGGAAATAAGTCAGACACAAAAGGACAAATATGTATGATTCTACTTATATGAAATATCTAGAATAGGCAAATTCACAGGGATAGGTTAATAAGGGCTGGGGAAAGGAGGGAGTGGAGAGTTACTGGTTAATGGTTACAGATTTGGGGCAATGAAAAAGTTTTGCAATAAATAGTAACGATGGCTTTACAACATTGTGAATGTATTTACTGCCACTGAATTGTATATTTAAAAAATGGTTATAATGGCAAATTTTGTGTTATATATATTTTAACACAATTTTTTAAAAAAGCAAATGAAAAGGAGCATGGCATAGTATTAAATCTTACAGATAACCAGAGTTCATATCTCAGTTTTCCCACTGACTAACACAGTAACCCTGGGCCTCAGTTTTCTGATTTGGAACAATAACAAAAATAACAAGTATTGAGGATTTACTGAAGCCAGTCATTGATCCAAACACTTGCATGAATTCATTTAATTTACACAACTCTATGGGATTAGGTACTACAATGATCCCACTTTACAGACAGGAAACTGAAACACAGTGATCAAGCAATTTGCCTAATGTCACATAGCTAGTAAGTGCCAGCAGAGGTTTGTACCTAAGTAATCGGGTGCCAGAACCACTTGTCTTGAATGTTAATAAAACTGGAGATCATGAAACCTATTTCAGAGTTATTTTAAGAATAAAATAATATCTTTCATGCAGTTAGTACAGAGACTAGCACTAAATAGGTATTTAATACACGGTACCAGGTTATGACCATTTATTTTACTAATACAAGGACAAGTATATTCTCCCCTTTCCTCCTTCCAGGAGTAGCTATGCCACATAATAATAATAATAATAATAATAATAATAATAATAATAATAATAATAAAAACCCTCCAGTTTCATGTTTCATTTTGACTGTACAGATAAAAATCTGTCAATCTATACACACACACAAAAACCCTCTTGTTTTATAAATAGGGTACCCAAATGTCTACTTCTGGGCTTACAGAATATATAGACTATGCTAACAGCTACTAATTTAACCAGGCTTTAGCTCTACCTAAAATCCTCAGATTTGAGAACACACAAGCTATTTTATAAGCTTTTAAATTCCTAAACCCAGTTCATTCCACCAAGCTTCCACATCCCTAACATTTTGGTTCCACCCCTAAAAATGCCGGCCTCTTCTGTAGTCATATATTCTTTCTTGAAGTCTTTTTTTTTTTTCCTTTGAGAGAGGGTCTGGCTCTGTTACCCAGGCAGGAGTGCAGTGGCACAATCTTAGCTCACTACAACCTCTGCATCCTGGGCTCAAGCCAACCTCCTACCTTAGCCTCCAAAGTAGCTGAAACAACAGGTGCACGCCACCGTGCCTGGCTAGTTTTTTTGTTTGTTTTTTGTAGAGATGAGGTTTCGCCATGTTGCCCAGGCTGGTTTCAAATTCCTGGGCTCAAGCAATCTGCCTGTCTCAGCCTCCCAAAGTGCTAGGATTACAGGCATGAGCCACTGCACCTGGCCAACTTCCTTGGAAGTCTTATCCTCATATTTATCTTTTATTTCCCCACTGACCTAGCTGATCATTGCCCCTTTCCTAGTCTTTTTCGATAGATTCTTAAACATGTAACTGTCCTATGCGCTCACATAGTGTTGCCACCACACTTAAGGGATATTTGGCTCTTCCTTGAGGGCATTTCTCTATAGTTAATTATCCTTTACCTCAGTATTATTAGTATTCTCCAGGCTTCTCAATATTGTTTCCAAGTAGTAATCCTTAACTGTCCACTCAGCTCCCTGCTGCAGGTTAACAGCCCCATTCATTGAAATTTTTTGAATGTGGCTCATACTCTAACTCTTTACCCCAAGCCCTGCCACGAGATTGAATGGACAGCCTAGGTTGTTGGATAGCTTTTCTGGGTTCCCTGACATTCTAGATTCCATGGTCACACTATGGTCCTTGTTATCATCTGCAACTGTTTTATCTCTGAAATTTTAAACTCCAATATTAAACTCTGACTGTGTCTTTCATCCTTCTAGCTTTTTCATTCATTTACACTCATGCATAGATCTGTTTTTGATTCTCATTATGATCTTCATTCCCTTAATGCCTTCATTTTCTCCCAGTCTCAAATCTCTTATTACTGACAATATGAACAACCTTTTACAAGTCTGACTCTTTTATATACCCTTGTTCATCCTCATTGCAGACAAATGAATCTGACTCAAAGTTACTATTTCTCTGGGTTGTTACCCACCACTCCCCCACCACCTCACAGAGTAGTCAGGCAATGCTTGAGTGTAACAACCACCTGTTCATGCATATTAGCATTTTTTATTTGTCCTTAGTCAACTTCCTCTCCTACTTCCCTCAATGACTTTCTCAAACTGGTACCTGTCTCAAAACATTCATCACTCACTGTCCTGTCCTACTCAAACTCCCTACCTAAGGAGGCAATCCTGTCTTCTAATTTACAAACAAAATTGAGATTACCAGGCTGGATCTCCTACTTTCTATCACCACCTGAAAACATCTATATCTATTCTCATCTAGTTTCTTCCAAACTTCAGAGGTATCCTTGTCATACCTCTTAGAGGAACTTGCTTAATCTTTCCTTATCCTCCAGTATTTGTAATATGTCCTCTAATGTTTCCCTCAGTCTATACCAACATTTTATACCTTAAAAAAGAAAAAAGAAAAAAACCCTCTCCATTTATCCCAGTTTCTTCCAGAAATTACTCAATGTTTTGTACCTCTCTCATGGAAATTTCTTGAAAATGGAGACTACATTGGCTTTCTCTATTTCATCCCCCACCACTCAGGCCTGAATCTACACACTTTGTTTCATGACCTACAAATCTACTTAAACTGATCTTGCTAAGGGAAGCAAAGCATCCTACCTGCCAAACCCAAAGAACATTTTTCAGTTCATTTCTTATAACTCTTATCTGTTGCACCTGACAATTTCCCCCACATCCTTTGGCTAATGTGATGCTACATGCTCTTGTTTCTTCTGCCATATTTTCCCGGTCACTTTTCCCTCGGTTTATGCCTATATTATTTTACTCCACCATCTGATATTGTACTCTATGAGGAGTCTGTTATTATTCTAAAATATGTTTAATTAAATATCATATAGGTCAACAAAATATAAATGTGGAGAAAAAAAGCTTGGTTGTTTCTAGGAAACAAAAGCTGTACCTTTAGAAAGATGTAATTAAGTTGCTTTTAAAAAGCAATTGACAAATTCAGCAATGGCAATAAGACTGTAAAAGGAAAAAAATAATCTAAAATAATGGGACAAGGTACCTGCTTCTCAAAGGGAATGCCATTGGCATTTGGGGCCAGAATGTTCTTCACTGTCCAGGACTGTCCTACCATTGTAGGACGTTTATAATCTTTGGGCTCTACATAGTAAGCGTCATAGTGCTGCACCCTCCATCCTGTTGCTGACAATAAAAAACACTTCTACAGATTTCTAGGGAGGCAGTACCACCTGTGGTTGAGAATTAATGATAAATTTCTTTACAAGTATCTTAACTTCTTGCCTACCTTTGAAGAAGCAAACTATAAAAAATAGAAAATGCATTTCAGATGTGGTTTACACACACAAGACTGAACACCAATAAACAGACATATAAACAGGCAATAAAAAAGTGACAAATTTATATTTATGTAAAATGTTAAAGGTATTTACATATTTGTTTTTATTTCCTGCTGCTGTGATCAACCACTGGGTCTACTATACTAATCTTTTAATCATACTTTCTGAAAACTATCATGATTATTTGAGACATTTATCCCATAAATAATCCCAAGGCCTAGTGTCCTTGCTGTTTTTAAATATTCCGAAGTTACCAACTTAAAAATAAATTCTAATAAAAACTCATTATCAAAATAACTCTTTTTCTGTGAATTTTTTTTGTGTGTTTTTTTTTTTTTTTTTTTTTTTTAGATGGAGTCTCGCTCCATCGCCCAGGCTGGAGTGCAGTGGCGCAATCTCGGCTCACTGCAAACTCCACCTCCCGGGTTCACGCCATTCTCCTGTCTCAGCCTCCCAAGTAGCTGGGACTACAGGCGCCCGCCACCACGTCCGGCTAATTTTTTGTATTTTTAGTAGAGACGGGGTTTCATCGGGTTACCTAGGATGGTCTCGATCTCCTGACCTCGTGATCCACCCACCTTGGCCTCCCAAAGTGCTGGGATTACAGGCGTGAGCCACCATGCCTGGCCTGTGAATTTCTTTTAAGTTAATTTTGCTAAGGAAATTCTGCCACAGAAAGAGAGACCCATGTTATTTAATAATATATTCAAACTTAACTCAAAACTTTAAAAAACAATATATTCACTATTGAAATATACTGAGAAATAAGCTCTTTTTCTATCAAGTATTGAAATTCTTTAAATTGTACAATCTGAACAACTATTTTTGCAACAAAAGAGAGAGAATATTCTTTTGTAAACAATTGAAAAATACCCATATTTTTGGGAATTAAAAGTATTTCAAATCATCTTCTTGACCTTTCTCTTACCTTTATACAAGCAATACAAAAATTCTGGCCCCCAAATAAAAGATAAGCTAATTTGTAAATGAAATTTCTATTAGAAAGACTTGTAAATTGAGAAGACCTTCATCTTTAATAGCTGTGGAGATGTAAATTTAACACAGAAGGGAAATATGACTAAATTTTTCCACAGGAGACAAATCAGAAATTGTTTAACAACTAAATCACTAAAATCAAAGATCTAAATAATAAAGCAAAAATAACTAAATACGGAAATATTGACAAAACGATTTGCTGACTTGGCTTCTCCTAAAGAATTCTAATTACTGCAGATACTTCCATTGTTGTCTTAAATAAAATAACAATGAGGAGACTACATCAACAAATATTTTATTTCCAGAAAATGAATTTAATTGCTTTCCTCAAAGTGTTAGGTTAAAAGAAGTCCAAGTATAGAGACTGATATTAGTAGACAGACTGGGAAATCCATTCCAGATTTTGAAGTAAATGAAGCATTTGTAGGTTCTTAATTCTTGAATAAAGAAATGAGGCAGGTAAGTCAGCAATGATTAAAAGAAAGTAAACAAAGTTAGCAATGCTTGAAAGAAAGCAAACAAGTAGAAATATAAACAAATTTAAAAATAGAAAAGATTTCATTGCACTCATTTCTTGCGTGCAAGTACATTCTTCAGTTTTCATTTATGTGAGTGATATATATAGTTATATATGCAATTTTGCTACTTGAGCAAGCTTCCCTTGAGCCAGTTTTAGCTTTGCTTGGAAGTATGCGACTTGTTCTCTCAGCATTCTTTTAATGTGCCCTTCTGATGGAGATTTATGCCGAGTACTCTCTTATCACATGTTCTTGCATGAACATCTTTTTGTCAAATCATTCTTAGTTGGTAAAACTTAATAACTCTTCAATGAATTGGAATGTATTAACAATCCAGGCTAATTCACACGGTCTGCAAACAACTTAGAAAATAGCAAATGTTGTTGCTATAGCTGTTACTAAAGCTTTAGGCATTACTATATTTAACTAAAGAATATTTACTTACAGTATAAAATTACAAATTTATATTTATAATTACACATGCTTAAGTTTACCTTTTCACTCACTTAATCATAATGGAGATTAATAATTGTTTAAATCAAGTTTTCGCCCATGAGCAGAAATTCTGAGACCAATTGAATCTTTAAAGTAAATGTAATAAACACAAAAAATCTTCATAAATAGTTTGCATTGCCTTCACTTTTTCTCCTAGTATGTGGAAAGGGGGAAAAGAATAAGTATGTATATAGTTTTTAAAAAATATACTTTCTCCAAACTCCTTAATCTACTACTAACCACCTGTATCTTCATGCTACTTTTGGTAGTCATCAGATACATAGCTACCTGTTACTGGGTCTAAAGCAGGGAAGAAAAGTGAATATTTAGTGCTAACAGAGGAATTTCTGTAACTAGATGTTAGCTTAGGGCTAAAGGACTATGCAACTGGGCCCCTGAAATCAGGGTGCTACATTATATTGCCCAAAGAGGCCATGATTCCAGTATGAATAATGCAAAGCATGTCATCTTTTAGAATACTTACGGTAGCCACATTTTTTACAGCCTGCTCTGACACTGTCCTTGTTGCAACCTGAAATACAATTGGATAGAATTTTAGGAAGTAAATAAATATGCGAAAACTTAAAAACTTTATTGTATGAAAAAAGCTAAGAAAAACCATTTGTTATAGAATTTCTTTTTTTTTGTTGTTGAGACAAGGTGTCACTCTGTCACCAAGGCTAGAGTACACTGACATGATCACAGCTCACTACAGCCTCCAGCTCCTGGCTCAGGCGATCCTCCTACCTTAGCCTCCCAAGCAGCTGAGACTACAGGCATGTGCCACCACACCTGGCTAACTTTTAAATTTTTTTGCAGAGATGAGGTTGTGCTTTGTTGCCCAGGCGATCTCAAACTTCTGGCCTCAAGCGATCCTCCTCTGGCCTCTCAAGGTGCTGGGATTGTAGGTAAGAGCCACCGCACCCAGTAGAATTTATTTCTTTAAGAAACAGCAACAACAAAAAATCATCTCTGACCCAGCTTAATGACCTACTCAATTATATGACTCTTATAAATCAACAGAAAGGCCAATTTACTCAAATTATTTGACAAATACATCAATAACATTTTTTTCTAATTCAATATAATAAAATAAGACAAACACATATGGCTAACAAACATAAAAAAAAGCTCCACATCACTAATCATCAGAGAAATGCAAATCAAAACCACAGTGAGATACCAACTCACACCAGTCAGAATAGCTATTATTAAAAAGTCAAAAAACAACAGATATTGGTGAGGCTGTGGAGAAATGGTAATGCTTATAGACTGTTGGTGGGAATGTAAATTAGTTCAGCCACTGTGGAAAGCAGTTTGGAGATTTCTTAAAGAACTTAAAACAGCACTATCATTCGACCCAGCAATTCCATTACTGGGTATATATCCAAAAAAAAAAAAAATCATTTTACCAAAAAGAAACATGCACTCACATCTTCATTGCAGCATTATTTACAACAGCAAAGACATGGAATCAACTGAGGTGCCCATCAATGGTGGATTAAAGAAAATGCACTACATATACACTATGGAATACTATGAAGCCATAAAAAAGAACGAAATTACATCCTTTGCAGCAACATGGATGCAGGTGGAGGCCATTATCCTAAGTGAATTAACACAGGAACAGAAAACCAAATACCACATGTTCTCATTTATAAGTGGGAGCTGAAACATTGGGTACTCATGGACATAAAGATGACAATAACAGATACTGGGGACCATTGGGAGAGGAGGGAGGACAAGGGTTGAAAAACTGTTGGGTACTATGCTCAGTACCTTAGTGATGGGATTTGTACCCCAAACCTCACCATTATGCAATATGTTCAGGTAACAAACTTGCACATGTATCCACTCTGTCTAAAATAAAAGTTGAAAAATAAAAGAAAGTAAAAAAAAAAATCTAGTAAACAGTTAAGAGTTTAAATATTCCAAGAATTCTATAGCATTGAGGAAGAAATTCCAGGGTACTCTGGCCTGTCCCTCAAATGTAAAATAATTTATATATATATGTATATATATACACACACATACATACATTAAGGTTAACAAATATTCTCCTGTTTTCCATTAGAAGGAAAAAATATCTAATTTCTTATAGGAATTGGTGAAATTCCAGAACATTTACTATAATTGCTAGGTATTATAAGAAATATCTAAATTCAACACTCAAATTTTGACAAGAGAAAACAAACTAGTCATATATTCACCCAGTTCTGATAAATATTTACAAATACAGTAATCCTGTATAATTAGTAGTACATGCAGGCAATGCTAAAGATATAGATACCAGAGACAAATTAAAACTGATTTCTTTTTATTGTGATAAAATATAAATAACATACAATTTACCATCTTAACCATTTTAAAGTATACAATTTAGGTGTATTAAGTACATTCACAATATTGTACAACCATCATCACTATTCATTTCAAAAACTCTTTCATCATCCCAAATACTAACTGCATTCATTAAAAAACTGACTATTCCCTCTTCCCTCTAGCCCCTAGTAGTCTCTATTCTACTTTCTGTCTCTATGAGTTTGTCTATTCTAGGTACTTCATATATAGGGAAATCATACAATATTTGTCTTTTGGGCCTGGATTATTTTACTTAGCAGAATGTTTTCAAAGTTCATCCATATTATAGCATGTATTAGAATTTTATTCCCTTTTATGGCTGAATAATATTCCATTGTATGCACATATAGTTAAAACTAATTTTATCCTCCAATAGTGGCTTCAATCAACCAATGAAAGCCCCAGTATAGTATTATTCCATTTTCTTCTTTTTTCCTTTTCCTTTTTTTTTTAAGAGAGAGTCTCACTCTGTCACCCATGCTGGAGTGCAGTGGTGCGTATCTCGGCTCACTGCCAGCTCTGCCTCCCAGGTTCACGCCATTCTCCTGCCTCAGCCTCCTGAGTAGCTGGGACTACAGGCACCCACCACCACGCCCAGCTAATTTTTTGTATTTTTAGTAGAGATGGGGTTTCACCATGTTAGCCAGGATGGTCTCGATCTCCTGACCTCATGATCCGCCTGCCTTAGCTTCCCAAAGTGCTGGGATTACAGGTATTATTCCATTTTCCTGGTAAAGGGCATATAATTCCCAAACCCTTGAAATGGAGATATAATCCTAACTAAATAATATATTTAAATATATACAGTCCAAACATAAAACAGTGCTAATTTAAAAACAAATATAATTTTAAAACTATTTCTTTGGTGTTATGAAGTTAAAACATTAGTTATTTTCCCCTTAAATTTTAATATTATTTTAAAGTATACATTATTGAGGTGGGGCATCATGGCGTACGCCTGTAATCCCAGCAGTTTGAGAAGATTCCTTGAGGCCAGGAATTTGGGGCCAGCCTGGGCAACATAGTGAGACCACATCTCTACAAATTCTTTGTTTTAATTAGCTGGTCCTGGCATGTGCTTTTAGTCTTAGCTACCTGGGAGGCTGAGGTAGGAGGATCGCTCAAGCCCAGGAATTCACGGTTACAGTGAGCTATGACTGCGCCACTGCACTCCAGCCTAGGTGACAGAGGGAGACTCTGTCTCTAATTATTCTAGTAAAAGTACAGTCTGTTCTACTACAATACTTGTTTTAAAAATGCAAGTATTGTTCTAATGTAATTGATACATTGGGGAAAAATTTGAGCATAATGTGATTTTCATCCACATAAAACACTAAGTAAATGCAGAACATTGCATCCAGCTGATCTGAACCACACAGGAGTATACAAAATACACAAGCACATACATCTCAAAACATTTCTAGTGACCTCAGTTCACCGCAAATGTTGTGAACATCCATCAACATCTGGTGTTACAACTTTTCATGGATTTCTTATTGCCCTTTTACGGTCACTTCACAACTCACAAACTGCAACTCTTCTGAAGCTCACTTGCACAGCAAACTCCAGGTCTTTTAAGAGGTAAAATGTCATACTTATTGTAGTATTTATGCATTTTTTTAACCAATTAACGTGTAAAACTGTGCTACTGTTTCTATTAGGTTCCTATCTTTTTTTTTTTTTTTTTTTTTTTTTTGAGACGGAGTCTGCCTCTGTCGCCCAGGCTGGAGTGCAGTGGCGTGATCTCAGCTCACTGCAAGCTTGGCCTTCTGGGTTCACACCATTCTCCTGCCTCAGCCTCCTCCTGAGTAGCTGGGACTACAGGCGCCCGCCACCACGCCAGGCTAATTTTTTGTATTTTTTTTTAGTACAGATGGGGTTTCACCATGTTAGCCAGGATGGTCTCGATCTCCTGACCTCGTAATCCACCTGCCTTGGCCTCCCAAAGTGCTGGGATTACAGGTGTGAGCCACTGCTCCTGGCCCTTCTTTTTTTGAGACTGAGTCTTGCTCTATCACCCAAGCTGGAGTGCAGTGGAGTGATCTCAGCAAACTGCAACCTCTGCCTCCCAGGTTTAAGTGATTCTCCTGCCTCAGCCTCCTGAGTAGGTGGGATTGCAGGTGCCTGCCACCACACCCGGCTAATTTTTGTATTTTTAGTAGAGACGGGGTTTCACCATGTTGGTTCCTATCTTTTTTTAATATGTCATTGAAGCTTTTGAGCATTGTACTCTAATCCCATTGTTTCCCTGTAAACCCTGTCATAGTTAAAAACAAATATGTTGTAGCAGAATTTGACTGGAATAAAATCAAATGAATAATATAATCTGAGGGTCTTTCATTTTGAAAACAACTGCATGTTGAGAAAAGCTCAGAGAATTGGGGTCAGCGTTAAATCTGTTTCCATAGAAACTGTAGATGCTAAAAAAATACTGAATAAAATTATGCTAAATGCATCATTACTATTACTACAACAGAATAAAAATGTTGTAATAGATCTGAAATAATCTTATCTCTGCATGTATTAGAATTGAACTCATGACAAAAGGCACTGATAAATTCATCACTCAAGTATCCCACAGTTTTAGAGTAAACAAACTATGAAACTTTTTCTTGGCAGATCATCATCTTTACTAAAGTTGAAACTTTTACATGACAGGGAAATATAACCAGAACTCTAAATAAAGTACTTTACATCAGCTAGTTCCTCACCAGTCTTTGGTTAAATTATTATTTCAGCTTCATTAGTCTTTAATTTTCGTGATTGTCTGGGCAACTGAATGCTTCTACCCAAGAGTTTGAATCTGAGGCAACTGACTTAATAGATCTGAGGCAAGTGACACAATAAAGTGGGGAAAGTTAATTCATTCTGCTGTCAGGATCCAGTTTCCAGGGGCACTGATGTCACTGGCAGTAGCAGCCCTAACCAGGTTTGGGCTTGTGCAGGATCTTGGATATGGGTTCCCTGGGTCATTTCTATTTTCTGACCCTTATTATGCAGGCTTTGCTTAGATTCACTGAGCTAGCTGATATCTTTCCTTTTCTGCTTAAGTTAACTAGTCAGTTTCTATCGTTTGGAATAAGAACCCTGGCTGATATAACGGTACTCAAAATCCATGTCAAAGTGACTATAGTAGAGCTATATTGTGAGGTCCTTACTCAGCTAAGTTACCTACTTCCCTGCCTTGGGCTCCCGTGCAGTTCTTGGCTCCATTCCTTTTTGAAGTTTGCTAAGGCTGTTCAGAGTAATACAGTGTGCCCACCTCAAAATTTTCCTTTCTAATCATGACCTGCAATCCAAAAGGCATTATATAAAAACTTATAAATTTGACATTGGAAAAAAACTGAATGGCAAAAACCACCAAAAGCAAACTCAAAAGACACGTGGAAACTTGAGGAAAAAATATTTGCGCCTCATAGGACCAAAAAAGAGCAATTATCCCTATGTATATATCTCAGCAAATCATTAAGAAAAAGATCAGTAACCAACAGGAAAAAAATGGGCAAAGGATGTTCACAGAAACGGAAATAGAAATGACTCTCAAACATGTGGAGATATGCTCAGTCTTACTTAAAACAGGTAAAATGTACACTAAAAACTATACTGGGATTCCATTTTCACTTATCAGAATCGCAAAGATTGAAAGGTTGAAGGAAGTGTAGGGGGGCATACTCTCATACATTGCTGGCAGGAGCATAAATTAGTACTATCTCTTATGGAAAGCAGGCTGACAAAACCTGTCAGAATTACAAGTGTACATACCTCTCTGACACAACAATCTCACATTTGGGAATTAGTTCTCCCAATTTATGTGCACAAATGCATACTGACTTATGTACAATGTTATTCACTATAGCATTGTTTTTAATAGGGACAGAGTAGAAATAATTTAAATATCAATACGGAACTGGCTAAATCAATTACGGTATGAAATAATGGGGATGGTTTTTATTTAATGATGTCATGATCGCTAAGATATACTGTAAAAAGAAAAAAAGCAAGGTGCAGAACAGTGTTTATGGCATGCTGCCATTCGTATAAAAAAAAGAAGATGATAGAGCAGGAGCACTGTCATCTGGGACAAACACCACCACTTTAAATTCCAGCTCCCTTTCTAGCCTCATGCATTTCAAGGAAATTACTTCTCTTCTAATTGTAAGCAGCCAGAAAGAACAGACAATAACATACAGATAAGACAGCTGGGCACAAAGGGAGGTGGGGGGAAAGTCTCTTGAGCAACTGCCAAACTTCACCCTCATACAATGGGCCCCAGTAAAATAGTGGGCCTTAATAAGCACATTCCTTTCCCTTCAGGTGCACTAGGATAGAAAAGCTACATGCAGACTGATAGGCCTGCAGCTGCAGAAAGATGTATGGGAACAGACACACAACTCTCCCTCCCAGATAAGCACAACAAAGAGTCAGAGAAGCAGTCCAAGCCTCTGATAAACTCTCCCACCCTGAATCTTTAAAAACTCTTAGTTTGTAAGTGAGTGTGCCTCTGACCTAACTTGGCCAGAAGGCACCTCTCACGTTTGTTTTCTCTAAATAAATCTGTCCTGACTGGCGAGCCATCTTTTCATGTTTCTTACCTCTTTCTTTAATTCTTACAGAAGATATTAGACATACCTCTGTAAGGATATAGATTGGTTACTTGAAGAAAGAAAACTAAGTCCAGACAGAGAAGGACTTGAGTAAGAGACATGTCACTATATACCTTTTGGCAGTTTTAAAATGTGAAAGGTGATTAAATTACCCTTTCAAAAACCAATCTGGAAAATCTCCCTCAAACAAACAAAACTGTAACACTAAGAAAAGTAACTGTCAAGTAAACATTATCTGACAAAAGGCAATTATTGCATTTGTAAATTCTTCAGAGAGGTTACATTGCAGACTTTCAATAAAATTTTATTAATTCATGATGTCAGAGTCTTCATTCTTATACTTGCTAAATATTAAGGGCTTACTCTGAATCTAGTATTCTGTTAAACAACTTGGGTGATAGTGGGAGGAATCAGGTAATTGGGCTGGTCCTTTTTCTTCCAGTAACTTAAAGTAGCCATATAATTTTGAATCCAACTCAGTGCTTACCATGATGGAGAGTTGCTAAGAGGTGCTCAACAAATACTTATTGATTTGAGGTTATAAGCTTAAGAAAATACAGTCATGTTTCATTTAATGACAGGGATACATTCTGAGAAATGTGTTGTTAGGCACAACACAGAAATTTTGTCCTTGTGGCAACATCATGGTGTACATAAATCTGGGTGATATAGCCTGCTATACACCTAGGCTATATGGTATAGCCTACTGCTCCTAAGCTACAAACTTGTACCGTATGTCACTGTATTGATACTACAAGCAGTTGTAACACAATGGTGAGTACTTGTGTATCTAAACATACCTAAACATTGAAAAGGTACAGTAAAAATAAGAGTATTATAATCTTATGGGACCACCATTGTATATGCAGTCAGTTATTGACCAAAACATCATTTTGTGGTGCATGACTATACTTCAGAAGTTGGAAACTGGCAACTTCTCTAGACCCCAGTTGCCAGCTAAGAAATACGCGTGTGCGTATACACACACACTCAATTTATTTGTCAAAATTCTTCAAGCCAAACATTTGTGATCTGTGCTGTTTTTAAAACATGTAAATTATGTCTTAGCAGTTAGCACAAAAGAAAAAAAATTTTAAAGTTAACAGTAGACAACGAAGAAACAGAAAATATTGAGAAAACCAAAAAGAAGGGACAAAAATAAAAGGACTGAGAAAAATTGAGAGAAAGATGGCGAGTCCTCAACACTTGCTTCAGGTTGGTCAGTGGTCCGCAAAGGAATGTCATATTCGATTTAAATTTATTTCCTTGAAATTTTACATCACCTATCTTTCCAAAGGCAACAACTTAGTCACTGGGAATTTTAACAGTGATGCTTAGAACTTAATATATTTTTCCTATTGTCTATTTTGGAATTTAGGGAAGCCTGACATTTTCATTACATTAAAATATTTCCTAGAATCGCTTAAATTTAAACATATACAGCTTAAGTAACTAAGTTTTTTAGTACTAAGTAATTAGAAATTGCAATTACTTCTGTCACAGGACCCATTCTTTTCATTTTTAATTGGATTAGAGTCAATTAGATTAATTTTGTTTAGTAACAAGTTTTATATTTGGTTACTCCATTATGGTTTTAGTTACAATCGGGGAACCTATAAAGACAATTTCAATTACTTCTGCTTTTAAAATTCAAACTGCAGCCATATTTTATAAGTGGTAATATCTATTTATATAATATATATGTTCTGCTTAAGTTGATGCAAAGTAAAATTCCAAGTATTTTATTTTTCTACCATTTATATTAAAAATTCATAGACACACTCCTTTCTTTGGGACCCCAAATACTGTACTAAAGTCAAAGTAGACAAAGCAGTAGAAATTAGTCATTTTTTACTAAAACATTAATACTTCGTTAATTAATAAGATAATTTAAAAAATAGGCTAAATGAGTTTCTCAATGCAAGTATTCTGAAATAGCAGATGTCTTAATAGTCCATTAAAAATGCCTTCATAGGCCAGGTGTGGTGGCTCACACCTGTAATCTCAGCACTTTGGGAGGCTGAGGTGGGTGGATCACTTGAGGCCAGGAGTTCAAGACCAACCTGGGCAATATGGTGAAACTCCATCTCTACTAAAATTCCAAAAATTAGCCAGGCGTGGTGGTGGATGCCTGCAATCTCAGCTGCTCAGGAGGCTGAGGCATGAGAATCACTTGAACCCAGGAGGCGGAGGTTGCAGTGAGCTGAAATTGCATCACTGCACTCCAGCCTGGGTGACAGAGCGAGACTCTGTCTCCAAATAAATATATATATAAACAAATAAAAATTAAAAAAAGGCTTCATAATCATTTGACTCCAAAAGGAGAACTAGCAAACCAATCAAAGAGCTGTTTACTGATATGAGATTTATACTGATATGAAATGTATAAAACTCTTTAGTCTACATGCCTCACAAAGTACAATTAATCCGTGAAGAAAAAAGGTGTAAGAAGAGACAGAGAGGCTGGGCGCGGTGGCTCATGCCTGTAATCCCAGAACTTTGGGAGGCTGAGGCAGGCGGGTCACAGGGTCAGGAGATCTAGACCATCCTGGCTAACATGGTGAAACCTGCCTCTACTAAAAATACAAAAAATTACCCGGGTATAGTGGCATGTGCCTGTAGTCCCAGTTACTTGGGAGGCTGAGGCAGAAGAATCACTTGAACCCGGGAGGCGGAGGCTGCAGTGAGCCGAGACAGTGCCACTGCACTCCAGCCTGGGCGACAGAGCGAGACTCCGTCACCCCCTCCCCCAAAAAAAGAAAAAAAAAATAGAAGAGACAGAGAAATTTGTTTAAGAAGAGACAGAAATTTAATTACCTAATGAAACAGAATGAAGACTGTATTAGCTTAATCTGTTTAGTACTATTTCTGCTCAGCAGCAGTTATAGTAATCAACCCTCTAATTATTCATTATTTACCTATGATGGGTATAACTTTGAACTCGATGTTAGAGAAGCCATAGGGATGAATCAAGCCCCTACAGGGATATCCAATCTTCTGGCTTTGCTGGGCCACACTGTTTTGGGCCACACTTGCACTGTACTTTTACAGCACTGTCACACCTATTATCTCAATTTTTGCTGGGTTTAAACAGTTTATCTATACCTTGCCATCCAACTTAATGGCACAATTTAACATTATTATACTTTGAAGCATTATTTTGAATTGAAAGAAGGTTAACATAACAGTGGTGTGAGTTTAAGAGAATTTTAATAAGGGCTTAAAAATCACTTTTGTCCCCTTTCTTAAGTAGTATTTTCATGTATTGCTTAAAGTTTTATGAGGGCATAAACTATAGAATACACTGAAATACACTAACACTAATAATAGCTGATGAGCTTTAAAAAAAAAATCACAAAAAAACTCATAATGTTTTAAGAAAGTTTACGAGTCTGTGTTGGGCTGCATTCAGTCGTCCTGAGCTGCATGCAGCCCATGGGAAGCGACACTATACTAGTTTATCTATGGTAATGCAACCACAGCTGTAATCCATGATAGAATGTGCCAGGTTCCATAAAAGACACAGAGCTCTATTTAATAAGCATGAAGAAGTGGCAGGGAAGAGTTTCAGCCAAGAGATCAGGAAAGCTTCCCATAGGTAGTTACAGGCAATATAGGAGGTAATAACAAAGGCTCGTAGGTAGGAAAGCACTTGAGAGGTTCACAGAATAATTGGCCAAGTCAGATTTTTGCAGGATTGTAGAATGCATGAGGGGAGTGGTGGAAGGAAAGAGTAGAAAGAGTGATTTGGTCATGCTTGGGAGTGTGCACTGCATTCTCGCAGAGAGAGATGGGGAGACTTGGCATTTTTAACACTTTAGAAGCTTAAGAAACCTTAGCCTTCAACTCCATTATGGAGACACAAAAACTGAACCTCCAAAAGGTTAAGTGGCTTGAAGAGAACTACAAAATTCACAGATAGGGGTCAAGAACTAAGTTCATGCCTCCCACCAATGATAGGATCAGATATATGATTCAGGAAAATTATTTTAGCAGCAATGTGCAATATAGACTAGAGAGAAAACAAATTACCTATAGTCTAGTTTAGGAATAAAGAAAAATTGGATGTAATTGAGAATTCTTCTATTACTAAGATACTATCATAATGTGTTTTAAAAATCTTATTCACTGTGATGTGCCAGACTGAAATGTTAGCTTGGCCACAGAAAAATTCCCTACCTTGGCTATAGGGCTTCAGTGAAGGAGATAATAAGAAAACAGTTTTGTGCCAATTACATCAGTAACATACGTTGCCACTTGTGCCAGTTCAGCTCTTCATGGAGAGTGGTGAATCACTGACATGAATGTTGGAGGTAATTTCAACAACTGTGAATGGGAAAAGCAGTTTTTTCAAAGAAAGTAAATTTCACTGAAACCTGTGATCAAATATTATTTCTATAATAACAACTAAGAGTAAGATTTTCCTAAATGCCTACATTTCATTGCATTACCTACATAATGGTATACGCTTATACACAATGCTATGGAAACACGGGTGAAGCACATGATCATAAAACAGACAAGGCTGATTTTTATGTGTGGTTTGCAGAAAGCAGCCTTGTTACTTTATAATCATACCTTGTCATAATCACTAGCAGGACCACCCCAAGAAATGCCAAACTGAATCCATTAAACCTAAAATTAAAGAGCCTAACATAATACTTGTCCTCCTTGATGATAACCTTGAAAAGTTTAGATTAGCCCTATTTTCCTTTAATACCCTGTCTGGATCGATCATCTAAGAAATTATCTTACGATTTTCTGTATCTGTATTTTCTAATGACACTTGCATTGTACTTTTACAGCACTGTCACACCTATTATCTCAATTATTGCTGGGTTTAAACAGTTTATAGCTTGCCATCTAGCTTAATGGCACAATTTAACATTATTATACTTTGAAGCACTATTTTGAATTGAAAGAAGGTTAACATATCTATAACACTGGTCTAAGTTTAAGAGAATTTTAATGAGGCCTTAAAAAATCACTTTTGTCCCCTTTCTTAAGTAGCACATTTTCATGTACTGCTTAAAGTTTTATGAGGGCACAGACTATGACACTGTGTCCTCCAGTGTGCCCATATCACACAGGTGCCCAAAAGGCTTGCTCAAGTAATGAAATGAGCAGTGATAACAGGTCAACTTTGGGTGCAGCTGTGTGGTATAAAGATCACTAGAGCTGACTCGGCCTATCAGGATGCCTAGGCAATCTACTGTGTAGGTTTATCTTTCGCTGCTGGCCTCTTAGATGTTGACCAGGCTTCAGCCACAGACCTTCCCTTCACATTCTACACACCATCTAAGCAGAGTGCTCCACTCCCATAGCCTTACCTCCTATTATGTGTGTGGGTAACACCCAAATCATTGTCTTTGACTCTGACTTCTTTCCTAAGCTACAAATTATATCTCTTACTATTAACTATTTGCATTCCTATGTCTGACTAACCTCAACACAACAAGCCCCAGACTGGATGTCATCATCATCCCCTTAACCCCTGCCCCTTGTGAGGTGTTGTCATGTCAGTAAACAGCCCCACCCAATTGCTTAACAGTAAAACCCAGGTAAACCTCATTTCCTCTTTTACCTACCCACACTGAATCAATCACCAACTCCTAGTGACTCTACCACCAAAAATGTATCTTCAATTTATCCACTTCTCTCCTTACCTATTGAGACCACATCTCAGCCACACATCATTATAACTCACCAGAATTACTCCTAACTGGTAAACTTTGTCTCCAATCTACTTTCTAGCCAGAATTATCTTTCCAAAATGTGAATCTGCTTTAAAATCCTTAAATGGCTTCCTGCCATCTGTAGGATAATGCCAAACCTCTTGTCATGGCCTACAGGTCCTTAAAGAGCTGGAAACTACCTTGTAAGTTATCCTATACGATGGCAAAATGAATGAAGTACACAGTCTAGAGGAACCAGACTGACTTCTTGCTTTCCAGCTGTCTCATAATAGGCAAATTACTTGATTTCTTTGTCCCTCAGTGTCCTCATCTGTAAAATGGGAATATTAATACTCATTTCACAGTGCAGTTGTGAATATTAAATGAGATAGAATACAATGTTTGATATAGTATCTGACATATTTGACTTATAAATATTAGTCAATATTAGCTACAGTTACTATCTACTTAATTTCTCACTTACCTCCCATTTGTATTTGAGTTCTATCCACAGAAAACATCTTTCATTCTGACATATTTGACACATAAATATTAGTCAATATTAGCTACAGCTACTACCTCTGTACTTAATTTCTCACTTATCTCCCATCTGTATTTGAGTTCCATCCATAGAAAACATCTTTCATTTCCTCTTTTCACATATTTCCTCTTCCTTTACGTATCCAGTTCCTCCGACTGCAGTCTCCTCTCCCTTCAAGCCACCCCTCCTACAATTCAGATCTCCTCCTAAGTGCTACCTCCTTTGGAAAGTCCTTCTGCCCATCCTGTATGTGTTTGGTGCCCTTACTTTGTGCTAAGGTCTTGTATTTTCCTTGCCATGGCACTTGTCCCACTTTCTGTAAATTTCTCTCTCTTCACTGCTAAATTCTAAGTTCTGTGTGAAGCGTAACCATGTCTACCTTGCTCACCACTGTATTTCCAATGCCCAGTACCAGTGCCTGGCACACAGTAGGCTTAATAAAGAGTGTACATTTCCTCTCTCACAGCTCCAGATGTACTCCTCCGCAAACTTCAGTTAGTACAAAAGCACAGTGTTCCAATAACAGCTATCTGTAGAAGGAGGTTCAAAAAGGCTGCCACAGAATAAAGAACCTGGTCAAATAATACTGGGAAGTGCAGGTTTAAACAAAGTTAGGGTTCTGAACCATAGTAATTCTATAGTTCATAGTAATTCTATAGCAATTCATAGTATTCTATTCTAATAGAATAGAATCTTTTCTATTACTAAAGTGCGCTGGGAATTTCCAAGTTGGGAGGTGGGGTGGAGAAGTGTGTATTTCTGAAAATGTCTCCTGCAATCAGTGTTCTGCAGTGGCAAAGCTGGTTTGAGGAGATGCTTTCCGCTACTAGAACTTCCAAGTAAGCTGGTAGTTGAGGACGAGAAAATCTTTTAAGTAATTATTCTGCAGAGTTCACCGTTTTTAGGTCAGTAACTTCTGGACATAGAATTTGAGAGTTAGAAGAAATCTTATATATAATTCAACAAAGCTCCTTCTTTTTATAAGGAAACTGAGGCCCAGAAGCACAAAGCGACCAATCTATGGCCACGGAGCAGCTACATACAACAGGAAGAGCTAGGAGTAGAACCCGCACACCCGGTGGGTCCTAGCGACTTCTAAGACAAACGATGCCTCCGGTTACCTGGGTCGGCCAAGTGTTCCCACTTCAAGTTTTAGTTTTAAGCCATACCACAGTTAAGGTAGTTTTTCTCGGCCGCTTGCCCCCTTAGGCCTACAGTTACAGTCTCTCCCTCCTCCCTCCCTTCCACAATACACTTTCCCTGTAATCCCAAGCAGCTGGGGCTTGGCTCCTGGGGGGAAGATAGTTATTTTCTTTCCTTCAGAGTTTATGTTTGGAGTGTAAACTTTTTCATGTAAACAAAACAAACCTGTGAATTTTAAGGCCTCCGCCTAAATCCCCATGGGCGCTGCTCCGTACACGCCGCACCCTACCCTACCCTCCCTTGCGCTCCCTTCGGAGCTCGGACGCAGAGGCCCTGTAATTGCTCCTTACCTGGGACTGCCATGACGGTGGTAAGAGGGGTAACTCGAGCCTCTGGCTTTCGAAAAGGCGCTTGCTTCCCGCCAGCTGTGAGAACAAGGCACAGTCAAAGCGGCGTTTTCCTTCCCCCAGCGCAGCAGCACCCTCGCTACGGTCGGGAAGGGCCTGTACGCCTCTAGCGACGGCAGAACCAGTAGATGCGGATGCAGTTTCCGGACGAGTCATATTGCAGAAGACACATGGTCCGAACCATTACTGATAGTTTTGGAGGGGGAGTTAGTTTGATCTGCACACGAGAGTAGTGTAAACACCGCCAACACTTATGAAGTGTCCCTTCTAATATTGTAATACAAATAACATAAATAACATTAAGCTATGGTAACTTTACGGACTTTTCTCGTTCCCTGGAGTACATTGGAATAACCCTTCTCAGGGTTAGCGGTGCTCGGGTCCGGTAACAACATGGCGGCGTCCGTGAGGGGCTCCTTTGGGCAGGGGTAGTGTTTGGTGTCCCTGTCTTGCGTGATATTGACAAACTGAAGCTTTCCTGCACCACTGGACTTAAGGAAGAGTGTACTCGTAGGCGGACAGCTTTAGTGGCCGGCCGGCCGCTCTCATCCCCCGTAAGGAGCAGAGTCCTTTGTACTGACCAAGATGAGCAACATCTACATCCAGGAGCCTCCCACGAATGGGAAGGTGAGAGCCTCATCTAGGGAACTTGGGGTCCTGGGATCCCCAAAGTGAGATTTCCCGGATTTGGGGTGGGGAGTGGGTTTCAGGATCTCGTGGTAGGAAGAGACCACGAGAAGTGTTGTCTTTACTCCTGCATGTGGACAATGTTGCATCGAAACACTGATGTTGGTACTTTTCAGGATGTACTTGAAGAAGTCAAGTGGAGATTTCTCTACCTACCAGCATTCCGGTCCTATTTAATGCTTTAACCCAACTCATGCAGCCGATTTCTGGGGTCTTAGGTTTTTAAACAGACATTTTTGAGTTTGATATATTCTTTGCTTAACTAAGGTCATTCATTCTCCATTTCTTCTACAATCATTAATTGAACGCCTGCGAGGCACTGGGCACTGTACTAGGCGCCGGAGATACAAAGATGGATGGGTAAGGTAGTTGTTTTCCCGGAAAAGCTTATAGTTTAGTTTGTGAGACAGACAGGTAAACAAAAGCCTGTATGTCTGATAAGCGTGCTTGTGGAGAAGAGACCAGGTTGCTATGGCGGTACTGAGTAGTGAACAACTGGGGAAGTTAGGAAAAGCCTCATGGAAAAGATATCTTTTGAGCTGGTTTTAAAACCTGAGATGACTGTCAGTCAGAGAAAGTGGGAAATGGGGACTATTACCACATTAGAATGGGGAAAGGTTTCTCTGATTGATTTGATGGCTAATGTATGCCAATTCCCATCCAAGATGTTTGTATGCTGTACAAGGCAGAAGAGTCTGTTGTGGAATAAGTGTCACCTGAATTCTTAAATTGAGACCTAGCTTATATCACATATGAAATTTGATGAATCAGCATATTGGAGAAAATGAGATTGGAAGTATATAGTTGAATTAAGATAAGCTAAATTTACACAACATACCATCCTGTTTGTTACATGATTGCATCATAAATAATTTATACAGTCTTTTATTCATTGACATTTGATAATGTAATGAGAGCAATTTAAAAGTGAAACCAAAAATGCTGTAATTCCCAGCAAAAATGTAATGGATATTTTATGGGCAGACCAATTCTTTCAATTCTTTGTTTGAACTTCTCCTGGGCATTGTAGATTAGTATGTCCATCCCACCCCTCACCTATCTTATTTAATATCAATGTGAAAACCCAAAATACCTACCTCCTCCTATTTCCAAATGTTTCTTGAGGGCAATATCACCCCCAGTTAATAAACACTGGTAGAGATTGAATAGATTTACCATCCTGCCAGACAGGGCCTTCACACTTGCTGTTCCTCTGTCTAATCAAGTGTTGACCTTAGCAAAGAGCCCTTTCTTATCTACTTTCTATGAAATAGCAAACTTCAATCATGCCTTGCATCCCAGCAGTCTCTGGCCCCCTTAACCTTTTTAGTTTTTTTCATGGTATTTATTAATTATTTAGTATTACTGTATCCTTCCTCCTACCTTCCCCCTATAGAATGTAAGGAACATAAGGGCAGAGACAAGCATCTGGAACAGTACTTGATACATGATAGAAGGAGTTCAGATAGGTATTGAATAAATGAATGGATGGATGAATTAATACTATATTTTTCTTAGTTTTTGAGAAGTATTAAGCATCAGTGAGTTTGAGGTTATACTGCTGGTCAAGGACAGACTTAATTGCTTTATTCTAAAGCAAGATTTGACATGGTCATATAGATGAAAAGCTTTAACAAGGATACATTCCTGAATAGATTATTCATTCAACAAATAATGATTGAGCAAATCAATTGCCAGGCTCTATGCTAGGTTTTAGGGAGACAATGGAAAGAAAACACAGCATTGACTCAGTTGTCATGAGTTAGTTGAGTGAAGTATACATTGACTGAATAATCATGCAAATAAATGTTTAATTACAAAATGTGATAAATACTATCTTCTGAACAGAAATAGGCTGAATGATAACATAAGGGCCCAAGTTTTCATCCAAAAACAGCTTGGGACTTTTTCCAGCATAAGGCTCATCAAAGATATTAAAGCTTCTAAGTTCTGTAAGGTTAAGAGTGTGGACAAAAATTTGGTCTGTGAAGAATTTGAAGCACATGTAATAAGTCTGTTCAACGAATGTTTATTGCCTTTACTATCTAATGGTACATTAGGTGCTGAAAGCGTACAGAGACATTCAGAGTAAATGGGACAAAATTCCTCCCTTCAAAGAACTTAGTATCAGCTTGGGAAGTAATTGATACATGATACCAGTGCTTGGTCCCTGGTTGTCCATAAATGTTCTGTGTTTTGCTGTAACCCTAGCCCCTGAAGATGAGGCAAAGAAATGTAGTACTTGACAGAAAGTTTTTAAGCATAAGAGGTAATTCCCTGAAGATGAAATTTCCACATATTATGATCACTTATTCTAAATTGTGTCTGGCTTCTTCACTTAGTGTAATGTTGCTTTCAAATGATAGGGGTCTGTCTTCCTGTTGTACACACTTAGTTTTTAAATATCTTGAAAATCAAAATGGCTTTATAAGTATATTTGCATATATGTTTATAAGAAACATGATATTATCAAGGTATTAATTGGGAATTTTAAGAGAAAGAGCCAAGGAGGCCTACAAAGTAGTGATGACCAAAGAGAATGTATGGCCAGAGGAGGAAGGAGCCATATACCTTCTTTATTAATTCAGTAGCTTATTAATGAAAAGATTAAGAAACCCTGGTGAGCAAAGTGGCCCGATTATATATGCATTCTTTTTACTAGGTGTAAGTTGCCTGTGGCCAAAAAACCACGTAATAATGACTATCATTTTTTGAGCACTTATTATTTGTCATTTACTTTTCTAAGCAGTCTATGTATTACAGCTCATTTTGTCCTCACAGAAATCCTAAAAGATATTATTATCCCGTTTTTAGATTAGGAAATTAAGTGACAGAGATGTCAGATAGTGTGCGCAAGGTAACAAAGCTAGTAAATGGAAGGGCCAGTATTTGAATTTGGGCATCCTGATTCCAGAGCCTGTGGAGGGAGGGATGATGTAATTAGTGTGTTCATTAGAGCAGTGGTTTCTAAACCAGTGAGTGCATACTTCAGTGGGTGTGCAAAACCATCCATGAGCTGTGGGGAGAAAATCTATATATATTTGTATTTTTTTCCTTTGTTTAAATTCATTATTTAATATATATAAAAAGATGATGACTGGGTGCAGTGGCTCATGCCTATAATCCCAGCACTTTGGGAGACTATGGCAGATTGCCTGAGGTCAGGAGTTCAAGACCAATCTGGCCAACAGGGTGAAACCCTGTCTCTACTAAAAAAAATGCAAAAAAAGTAGCCGGGCATGATGTTGTGAGCCTGTAATCCCAGCTACTCAGGAGGCTAAGGCAGGGGAATTGCTTGAACCAAGGAAGTGGAGGTTGCAGTGAACTGAGATCACACCACTGCACTCGGGTCTGGGAGACAGTGAGACTCTGTCTCAAAAAAAAAAAAAAAAAAAAAAAAAAAAAAAGTCCAGGCGCAGTGGCTCATGCCTGTAATCCCAGCACTTTGGGAGGCTGAGGCGGGCGGATCATGAGATCAGGAGCTCGAGACCAGCCTGGCCAACATGGTGAAACCCCGTCTCTACTAAAGATACAAAAAATTAGCTGGGTGTGGCGGTGGGTGCCTGTAGTCCCAGCTACTCGGGAGGCTGAGGCAGGAGAATTGCTTGAACCCGGGAAGCAGAGGTTGCAGTGAGCCGAGATCGTGCCGTTGCACTCCAGCCTGCGCAACGGGGTGAGACTCTGTCTCAAAAAAAAAAAAAGGCACTTTTTTGGCATTGTGGTGTAATTTTTCATAACGACTAGCCAAATAGATTTATAGACCATAGTATTTAGATTAACTAAACCAGCCATCACAAATTTCTTATTGAAGATATTATTAATAATATAAACAAGCAAATCATAAGAACATGATAGAGCTGATACCTCAGCATGGGAAGTCTGTCAAAAAAATCAGAAATTATTATGAAGACCATTGGAAATATGGATTTCTATTTATTGTTTTCAATGGTGAACTTTGCCTTAAATATATATTGTGTCTTGAAATATTTACCAGTAAGAGTATAAAGTCATTGTGATTTTCAAGACATTTAAAAACTAGATGTGTAGAACTGAAAGACCCCTATATAATTTGAAAGCAACATTATGCTAAGTAAAAGAAGCCAGACACAAAAGGCCACATATTGTATGATTCTGTTTATATGAAATGTTTAATAGGCAAATCTACACAGACAGAAAGTAGATTAGTGGCTGCCAGAGAGTAGGAGTAGGGGTAAATAGGGAGTGACTGCTAATGAGTACAGGGTTTCTTTTTAGGGTGGTGAAATGTGACTTAGCATTGATGATACTGACCTATGAGAAACAGCCTCATGTTTTTGAACAGTTATATTGCATACTCTTTACTTGAAAGAGCATTCTAAAAGATTGTGATGGTCACAAATTATTGACACTGATCTACTTTGGTATACTAGGGGAGAAAAAAGAAGAAGTAATACTGGAGAAATTGGTTTCCAGCTATGCCACAATGTTCAAATTTAGAGCCTAACATTCTTTTTGGTTATTTGTGGTTATAAATAAGACAGTTATAAACTGTTTCCTGTGGGCCCAGCAGGGAGGGGTTCTAGTTGCAAAGTTTCTGGTTCTACCAAGGAGTATCTGCTGTTATGAGCTGGTGGAAAGGCTATCACGGGATTCTATTTACTATAGAAGGTGATTTTAAGACATAGTATTTTAGTAAATCACAAGCCAGAATTAGATTAAGAATGTTCCTTTGTAAATTAGGAATAGCATGATGTTAAATGAGCAGAGAGAGTAAAAGGTAATTAAAAAGGGTAATTATAAAATTGTCCTATAATGTCACAATTTAATGGGTTCATTATTCTTTAATTTCTTAATTTGCTACACAGTTTTATTGGAATTGATGCAATGGGAAACTCAATTATAACAAATTTGCATTATTGGGGTTTTGTCATGTTTTATTTTATTTTGAGACAGGGTCTTGCTCTGTCATCCAGGCTGGAATATAGTGGCATGATCATAGCTCACTATTACTTCAGATTCCCAGGCTCAAGTGATCCTCTCAACTCGGCCTCCCAAATAGCATGGAACACCACCATGCCTGGCTAATTAAAACAAATTTTCTTAGAGACAGGGTCTGTCTGTGTTGCCGAAGCTGTTCTTGAACTCCTAGCCTCAAGTGAACTCACTTTAGATATTACCGTTTTCTAAATGAATGAAGTTTTTTTCTGTGATTAAAAAAGATATATGCTATTGTTTTCTTAAATCCCAAACTTTTTCTGAAATGGTATTTTGAAAGATCTAAATGTACAATGAGTTGTAGTGAATATTTGACATTTTGTTGAGTATATCAACAAAAGCCAAACACAATTTTTAATATTTCTTTTAAAATTGAAAACTCACTAGTGATTGCTACAAGTCAAATAGTTATTCAACTGATTATTAAGCAAAATAATAATTTAATAAAATGTAATATTCTTTCTACAGGTTTTATTGAAAACTACAGCTGGAGATATTGACATAGAGTTGTGGTCCAAAGAAGCTCCTAAAGCTTGCAGAAATTTTATCCAACTTTGTTTGGAAGGTATGTTGACTTTTATTCTACTGGAGAAATTCTTGTTAATTTAAAAATAAACTGCAGTGTCTGCTTCACAACATTGAAGACTAGTGTTAAATAGTGGTCATGAATGACAGGTGTTGCTATGAGGATATGGTATTGAGCTGGGTGTCCGGAAGTAGAGATAAGAGATAAATGTTATCCCAAATAAATTTGAATACTTTCAACAGAGCAGTTTATCTCAACAAATAATACTGTGATCCTCTTTGGTCTTCTTTGCTATCTTACGCTTCTTCCTTTCATTCTCTAAATTTGGGTATTCCCTAAGATTGCCTCTAGTTCTCTATTGTCATCACTCTCTAGTTGTTACTTCAGTCCAAATGACTACCACATTAAGAACTTCAGTCATTTCTTCTCTTCCTAGTACTAATTTACATATCTAATTGCCTAGTGGACTTTTCAACTGGAGCCTTCCACTGTTAGCTATAACAAAACCAGTGTAAAACCAAATTTACCAATTTCTTCCCCAGTCTGCCTTTCACCTGTATGACTGTAATTGCCTCTTGCCTGCTCCCCTTCCTGTCTTTCATCCTTAATTTCTTTTCTCTCTTCCTTGTTTATATGGTATTTGAATCCTCAGGCAGCTTGGCTTCCTAGCTATCCAACTTTCTAGCTCATTGCACTAACCACATGGTTTTAGTTGGACATTATTTCCTAAGCATTTCCTTTCCGTTTCCACTTTCATACATGTCCTCATACTAGTTCCCCTTCTTTTGGTATGCTTTTTCTTCCCTTTTTTTACTGTTTAAGTCTACCCATTTTTAAATGTCTGTTCAAAATTCTAGTTTCTCCACACAGCCTTCCAGCTAGCATCCAGTGATATTATTATCAATGTCTCTAGTTTTTTTAGATTTGAGTCATAAAGTAACTATTTTTCTTTTTTTAAAATGCTGCAGAATTATACATCCACTGAAGTGTTTTTCCCTGCAGAGTATTCTCTTAGGGAAGTAAACCTTCCATTTTTAGAGCTTTTTGTTGGCTTCTAGAATACATTACATATGGTTTGGAATATCTCCAGCGGTGGCAAATCATTGTTCTTCTAAGTTATATTTGATTTTTAGAGACAGTTTTATTCAAGGTATCAGAAAACAACATTTTGGGTCAGAAGCAAGGTGTGAAAGAGAATCCAGTAGTATGGTATGATGAGATCTCTCTAAATAGACGTAATTATCAGGTGAAGATTTAAGAAATGAAAAATACCCAGATACCACCCCCTCTCCAAAAGAGAGAGGTGGGGAGGAGTGGAGCGAGAGAGAGAGAGAGAGAGAGAGAGAGAGAGAGAGAGAGAGAGAGAGAGAGAGAATGAAAGGACATCTGCAAAGACCATTATTAATAATTGCTGTGGCAGGCAGGAAGGAAATAGAGTCAGGTAGGTAGTTCAGTCAGAGAGGCCTCAAATATCTGTTAACCAAGTTGAGAAACACAGGAGACATGAAAAAGTCAGACTTGTTTCTGGTAAGAAGTTTTGAAGATTCAAAAGCTCAAGTTTTACAGAAGGAGAGTAAAATTACAAAAACATTAGAAAGAATGAATGGTAAATTGCAATCCATGACCAGGTGAATGGAAGAAGCAGAAAACATCTGGATACAATGTGACAGTGAAGAAGAAATGAGGTTCTTAAGTTGGGTGATGATAAAACTCAATTATTACAACAATTATTCCCCTATTTATAATAATGCAAGGAGAAAGAAGAAAGAATAGAAAAATAATTTTAAAAATAACCACAACAATTATCTTAATCAAATTCACCAATCCTCTTAATTGAATAGAGATAGAATTATTATTGGAAAGGCTAACATGAAGCCTAAGAAGACTGATTTAAACAAGGATACTCCTAAATAAGTTAAGTCAAGGTTTCAAAAATATAATCCAGAAAACCCCATTTTAGTTCTTTGCTTCTATGATTTAGACGAGTCATAATGTTTCTAGATCTTGAAACACTCATATTTATTTTTTTAAAGCATGGTTTCCAGAATTTAAAAGCAAATGAATAAAACATGAACAAGTAAGAGCGCAGTCTCAGATATGGCCCTCAACTAAAATGATGTTCATAGCCAAAGGATGGTTTATAGCCTTTAAAAAACCAAAGGATCTACATTATACAGACTTAATCTTAGATTTTTGGTCTTTGCAGCATAGTTAGGTGGACATTTAAAATGAGTGGAACTTTTAAAAACTTATCAATTAAAAAATAGAGCAAAAAAGATATAAAGGAATGAAAGGGAAGCTTATTAGCTTTGATAATTTCATTAGTTCCTCCAGTGTGAGGAAGGAGTATAATTTTATGTTTGTTTTATAGACAAGTGGGGAGCAGAGGGAGAAGTGGATAAGAAAATCAAAATGTTTAATACATTGTGTGACTACTAATCTCTTCACCTTTATTTCACATCATTCTTGTCTCATCATGGTCCACACTTCATTGCTTATCTTTTATTCTTTAATAATAGTTTACTAATTCTTTAGAGTGACAAATATAAGCATAAATATGCTATAAGTTAAAAGAAATTTCTTTACAAAACTAAAATATTTGTTTAAAAAAATACCAGATAGTGCAGACTGGTCGCAAGATGAGTGTTAGATAAAAAGTTATTAATGATAACATTTACATAGTTAAACACAAAACAGGATTCTAGAAGAAGAAACGTATAACTACTTTAAAGTGCAAGTATAAATTCCTCTATGAACTTGGGCAAGAAATATAATTAGTCAAAATATATGATAATGCCCATAGATTATTGTAGCCAGAAATAGAAACCATGTGACAAATACTAGAATGACAGCAATCAAATAGGAACTTTGTTTCATATTTAAGATACATTTAGGTATCTTTTTTCAATAGTGGAGAACATTCAGGAGGATATTATGAACGTGCATAATGAAATAATAAAGCTTTTTCAAAACACTTGTGATGATGCATAAAAATTTAAGAAAATCAAATAAACATTGCAAGCAGCAAAATATACAGTATTATAAACTATAAATACAACTATAAATGCATAGTTCAATAGTGATTACTAATAAATTACAAAGAAGTAGAAATAGTAGATATGGAAGATTTGTGGACATTGGAAATTCCAGCTATGTTAGAATACAAAGTTATAGTGTAGAGAGTATAGAAAATTTTTACTCATTTATATATAGTATAATAATTTCATGCATTCAACAGGAATATAACTAGGAAAATCATAAAGAAAATCTTAAAATAAAAAGCCAGCATCACTGAAATACTTAATGGGAAATAGGAAAAAGAAAGAAAATGGTGAAATTCTAAAATTTGAAAACACAAGTAATAAAGACCTCTTTCATGTCCTTTTTCCGTCACAGGTAACATATATCTGGGTTTTATGGATCTTGCTTCATAAGTAGTTCTTGAATCTGTGTATCTCAAGATAAGCCATAGTTATGTAATGACCTCAGGATAGTAGTTGCTTGCTTGCATTCTCTCACTGGCTCTCTGTCGCATGCACTTGCGCTGTCTCTTGCTTTCTTTCTCTCTCTCTCTCTCACTCCCCCTCTCTCTCCAGTCATGTCTCTTTCTAATATATTCACACTGGGTAAGAGTGACATTTTGAAAATGCAAATCTGATCATGTGCACAGTGCTCAAAAAGTATTGGTTGGCTGCTTATTATGGGTCTAGATGAATATTCATTATATGATATATACTGGGGTATATTTTATATTCAAATTTGAATATGAATTTGTAGCATTTGAGTGAAGATATTAGTTTGACCTCACATTTGTGTTGAACTTGAAAATGTGTAGTTTGCTTTCATATTATTTAATCTTCAGATTGACACTGTGCCTTAATTTATGTTATTAGATTTATGAGAAAATGGAGTTTAAGACTGTATAGCTAGCAAAAGGCAAGACTCAAACTCCTGACTGCTACATACAGTGTTAGTGTAACTGATGAAATGGTTACCTAGGAATATAGGAGAGATACTTTAAGACCTTTTGGTTTTTATAGTATCTATTTGTAACCAGAGGGAATTTGTCTGCACTAGGGAGCTCTTGTAAATGCAGCCCAACTGCCCTGCAATGGGAGAAGGGACTAAGCAAAAATCAGCTGGTCTTCCTTTCTACTTCTTATGTACTGTGTACTAAATACAGTTGTTAGAATACAGATTATAATTTTTAAAATATGCATTGTATATCCAGTTATACTTTGCAAATATAAATAATTATGAGGGTGTCTCCAAGACACTAAAATAGGAACTTTATAAATTATGTCAGTAACTGTATCAGTAAAATGCCTGGCCCACAGTAGATACTTGATAAATATTTTTCATTGAATGAGTTATATTCAGGTTGTATTCAGTTGCAGGTAATAGAAGACCCAACTCAAAATGATTTAAATAATAAAGACATTTATCCTCCTGTATGTCAAGAAATCTGGTGAAATCTTTAGGGAAGCTCAGTGAAATCTTTAGGGAACTGTGCTTTTTCCATCTTTCTGCTTTGTAACCCTCAGCATGTGATTGAATCATGACTGCCTAACTCGATGATTGGCTCAACCACAACCTGCTTTGTTGCTATTTGCTTTTTGTTTGTTTTTACAACAACAAAAATAATAGCTTTTGTTTATTCAGTACTTCATACTACATATGTTTTCCTCTTGTGCTTACCTAATGTAAGTACAGAACTAATTTCAGTGATGTAAAATTTCTTTCCTTCCACCTAACGGATTTTTTGAAAAAACTGTGGTGAAGTTTATATAAAATAGAACTAACCATTTTAAAGTGTACAGTTCAACATCATTTAGTATATTCACTATAATGTGCAGCCGGCACCTCTATGTAGTTCTAAAACACTTTATTACCCCAAAAGAAAACTCTGTATCCATTAACCCAGTCATTCTCTATTCTCCCCTTGATATGGTTTGGCTCTGTGTCCCCACCCAAATCTCACCTTGAATTGTAAACCCCATAATCCCCACATGTCTAGGGCAGGACCAGGTGGAAGTGATTGGATCATAGGGGCATTTTCTCCCTTACTGTTCTTGTGATAATGAGTGAGTCTCATGAGATCTGATGGTTTTATAAGCATCTGGCATTTCCCCTGCTTGCGCTCACTCCATCCTGCTGCCTGAAGAAAGTGCCTGCTTCTCCTTTGCCATCCGCCATGATTGTAAGTTTCCTGAGGCCTCCCCAGCAATGTGGGACTGTCAATTAAACCTCTTTCCTTTATGAATTATCCAGTCTTGGGTATTTCTTCATAGCAGTGTGAGAATGGACTAATATACCCCTCCTCCACCCACAGCCCCCAGCAACCACCAATCTATTTTCCATCTCTGCAGATTTACCTATTCTAGATATTTCTTATAAATGGAGTCAGACAATATGTGACTTTGTGTTTGGGTTCTTTCACTTAGCATGTTTTTGAAGTTCATCCATTTTGTAGCATGTATGAGTATTTCATTCCTTTTTGTGACAGTCATATTCCATCATATGTATATATCACATTTTATTTATCCATTCATCCATTGATAGACATTTGAATTGTTTACACCTGTTGGCTCTTGTGAATAGTGCTGCTATGAACATTTGTGTGTATTTGAGTACTTGTTTTCAACTCTTTTGGATGTATATACAAATATATATATTTTGGATATATATATAAACAATCGATTCTTTTGGATATATATAGAAACAATATATATAAATATATGATGTTTTGTAAAAGCAAATCTGATCATGTGCACAGTGATATATATATTATATATAATTTATATATCAAACAATATATATCAAAATTACTTATAACTATAATTACTTATATATTATATATTATTTATGTGAACTATATATATTTACACTTATAAATTATATATTAATATATAAACATATATATCACTTGTATACACACGCGCACACGCGCGCACACACACACACACACACCGGAATCATAATTGCTGGATTACATGCTAATTCTGTGTTTAACTTTTTACACTATTTTATATTCCCACCAGCAATGTAAAAGGGTTCCAGTTTCATCACATCCTTACCAACACTTATTCTTTTAAGGTTTTTGATGTTAGCCATTCTAGTGGGTGTGAAGTAGTATCTGATTGTGGTTTTGATTTGCATTTCTCTAATGACTAATAATATTGAGCATCTTTTGTTATGCATGTTGGTCATTATTGCTACTTCTTAATGTAAATTCTCTTATTCAGGCAAATTCTAATTCCTGCTTCCCACTCAATTTGTCGCTTATACTTTGCCTCACTGAGATGCCATGCTTCTGCCATTCCCAAGTTAACTTCCTTTTCTTCTATGAAGTATCCTAATGATTTTAGGTTCCAGATAATATATAGTATAGGAGGTCATATACAGTCTCTCCTGTATATTTATGAGTTCTAAATTATATACTCCAATTGTATATTTTTGAATTACATATAAATATTAATAATTTATTTCAATCATTTAGCAAACTGAGCTAATTGGACTCAAGTATGTATTGTGTTATTTGTTTTATTTATTCAAAGTTTCTTGAGGAGGGTGTATTGATGGTTCTAGACCTATAACTAATAAGTAATTTTGATATATTATGAGTTTGTGTGTTAATAAATTAATTTCCTGTGAGGAAAAGAGGAAGCAGTGGGAAATAAGGTATTTATCTTTGCCAGGGTTTCTCAGTCTCCATACAGTTGACATTTTGGGCTGGTAATTCTCTGTTGTGGGAACTGTCTTTTGCAGTATAGGGTGTTTAGCAGTATCCCTGCCCCCTACTCACTGGATGCCAGTAGTATCCCCCATTTGTGATAACCAAAAATATTTTCAGAAATTGACAAATGTCCCCTGGGGCACAATATTGCTTCTCCTCCCTATCAGAACTCTCTAATTTCTGTTTTGAAGACCAGTCCAGAGTTTGAGAGAATCCTAGAAATAAAAACAAGAAGTCAACAGTGATGGTTTCTGTAGAAATGTGTGCTGTTCTGAGAAGTAACTATTTTATAAGAAGGAGGATACAAAAGGTTTTGGCTGGGGAGCGTATTTAACATTCTGGAAAATAAATCTTTTGACTCTAGCTGTATTAATTTTGGTAACTGTAGAGATGATTAATTTTAGACATTGATAAATTATTTTTATTTTTTTTTCAGCTTATTATGACAATACCATTTTTCATAGAGTTGTGCCTGGTTTCATAGTCCAAGGCGGAGATCCTACTGGCACAGGGAGTGGTGGAGAGTCTATCTATGGAGCGCCATTCAAAGTAAGACTGAATTATTATTTTTATTATTATTTTTGTTGTTATTATTATTTCCAAGTCAGTTTGGATTGCTTAATCGAAAATGATTGTGTTCCACAAGAGGAAAAAACGTTTCACATTAGTATATAAACATCAGGCTGGGTGCAGTAGCTCATGCCTGTAATTCCAGCACTTTGGGAAGCCGAGGGGGGCGGATCACTTGAGGTCGGGAGTTTGAGACCAGCCTGGCCAACATGGTGAAACCTCATCTCTACTAAAATTACAAAAATTAGCCAGGCATGGTGGCACACGCCTGTATTCCCAGCTACTCAGGAGGCTGAGGCAGGAGAATTGCCTGAACCTGGGAGGTGGAGGTTGCAGTGAGCGGAGATCGCACCAATGCACTCCAGCCTGGGCGACAGAGCGAGACTCCGTCTCAAATAAATAAATAAATAAATAAATAAATAAATAAATTGTCTGTAAAAGATGCATTAATCAAGAACAGGTCAGTGATTTCTTAACTGCCAACATAGATCTAAGAAGAAAAGGAGTTAATGTCATAGTGAAGATAATAACAACAGCAGGTTCAAGTAAAAGCTAAAAGTTGTGTTTGTTATTAATTTGATGGCACCAATATCATGTTCTTTGAATGAGTAAATATTGGTATCTCTTAAAATATGGGAGTTTTTGAAAAATTCGTTTTTATATTAAGGGAATAGATTGCATTTTCCTTTCATCTTTTAATGAGTCATTGTGTGATTCTTGAAGAAAATACTTGAACTGTTAGCTTTAATTTCCAGATGATAATGGCCTTAGAAATGTGGAATAGTTATTTTAAAAGTCTCAGATGTCACTTTTAGACTATTTTATATTTTACCATGGTAAGACTTCTCATGATTTTAGATACTCCGTCTAGTCGGAAGCATTCTTTTATTCTTTTATTTGGTGTGACAGAATAGCTGTTTTTGACAATTCCTTCCTAATTTGAGATTTTTGCTTCATTATTTTCAGGTAATACAGTTATCTTGTTACATTTTTCAATTAGGTCATTTTGAATACAGTATACAGAGTTATGATCCATTGAGTTCAGATCTCTTGAGAATTATTTATTAAGGAAAAATATCTTCCTTTGTGAAAAGCATTTATGATATAACATGACTACATTTATAAATGAGTTCTGTATCAGGCTGGATGGAAATTCTGTTAACTAAGAGACTAATATATTTGTTAAGTAGCCCTGTCATGGTGAGAAAACCACCTTAGAAAGGCTTGTTCCTGCTCTTTTGAAAACTGGCAAATAGAATCAGTGCCATTTCAGAGAAGATTCAACTTAGGACTTTAAAAAGACATGGTAAAATTACATAACACAATCATAGTAGATTATTTGAATTAAAAAACAAGAACAAAGCAATTGTTTAATGACATTTAGAATGAGATGGGAAGGAGTAATAATTGAATACTCTGCAATGGCTCAAAGGTAGTTTTCTGGGAGAAATAATAGAAGATTTCAAAAGCATAGCTGACTTTGGGATGAGAATAGGGAAATGACTTAGAAATCCATTCCCCCTTGGGTACTCTTCCTTTAGATGTAACTAAGCAGCTTTCTACAAAATAGGGTATATTTCTGTCTGAGTATATTTAGAAGATACAGTCTAGTGAATTCAAGTTTAATAACATTGAAAGAATAGTAAATACTTGAAAATCAATTAAGTAAAATGTCTGCATTTTTTATTAGAAGTTGTATGGGACCTTGCAGGTCAAGTTGAATAACTGCATATGAAGGGTCTTATAACTGAGGACATTCACTAAATCTTTTTACATTTCAGGATGAATTTCATTCACGGTTGCGTTTTAATCGGAGAGGACTGGTTGCCATGGCAAATGCTGGTTCTCATGATAATGGCAGCCAGTTTTTCTTCACACTGGGTCGAGCAGATGAACTTAACAATAAGCATACCATCTTTGGAAAGGTTAGTGTCCAGTGATTTTAAACCTGTGGTTCAGTTTTTGGTTTTATGTTATTCCTTAGACTTCTAAGATACATATGATTAACTTATCTAAGAGCTACCTTTGTAAAAACATTCCATAGGATATGTTTATTATTTTCAAAAATGATGGAATATATTCCTAATATAGTGCACTATGAGGGAGCATCTAAGTTCTTTTTGGATCTTTCAATTCAGTCATTAGTTGTGACTTTAGTGTATTCCTTCTTTAAAATCATAGTAATGGTATGAGCTAAAATGTGCCACTTAGCCAATATTGATTTTACACTTTTGGAAGGACATTTAGGTAATAATATTTAGTAGTTTACAGTTTATTTTCTTAATGATGGATTTTCTTAAGTTTAAAGTGGAATTTGTGTTGACATTGAAACTTCTTACTGTAAATATTACTTTGAATAGTACCTATTTAATCCTGCTCACATTTAATGTCATATTAGGGAACGTCCTTTCTATAGAATTTTTAACAATTCCCTTTAAAAAGGGATTCTGAAGGTTTTCTTCTCTCACTCTTCTCCATTCTCATAAATATGTTTCTATATGTTTTAAGTCTTAGGCATATCGGACATCACTAGTGCATCAGCGCCCTCTGCTGGTTCAGTAAGAATGGTTTCCCCATATACTGGGCAAAACTGGATTTTTGTGGTGATGAAAGGGAAAAAAACAAATTCAGTACAATTGGAAAGCTGGTGTTGTTTTAAAACTCTTGAAAAACACTGAATGAAAGGAATCACACTAAAACTATATGTTGCAATGTTGTTGGTTAATACTTATTAATAACAGTGGGTTAGGAAATATGCATTGGCACATTCTTTTGAGCCACTCCAGCACAGCCTGTCTGATGTTTATAGATTCCCTCCATTTATTCCTTAAAAATAAGAGTGTGTAATAAAATGAGATTTAAGTTGCCATTCTGCATCAGTTTTTACAATTGGGTTATATAACTAACACATCAGAGACAATGTGTAGCATAGTTAGAAGTTAGAAAGGCCATCACTGTTGGTTTTATACCTTCTTTGATCCTCATTTTTCTTATCTGTAGAAGGATAATATTAGTTCCTACTTTTAGGTTGTTTGTGAGGATTAAATGAGATAATGTCTCTAAAGCATTTACCACATTGTTATTGTTATTTGCTTATTTTATCCTATTCCAAAGTTTAAATTTGTTTATGATGTTTGAATGAAAAGTTGTCATTCAGTAGGAGATTATTTGGCATTATATTATTAATAAAAACTTACATTAAATATATATTGGAAATTTCCAAAAAACTTATTGGGGGATTGAACTCCATCCATGCTTTTCTCCTTTAAGATAAAGTTGCTTTATTTGCATTATTAAATGCATATATTTTTATGTAATCACATGAAATTTTCTTTTAATTATTTGAAAGATGTTTTCAAAGGTTTTCTCTTAATTCAAAGGATGAGTGCAATAATTTTCAATTACATTATATTTTTAATTTGATAGGTTACAGGGGATACAGTATATAACATGTTGCGACTGTCAGAAGTAGACATTGATGATGACGAAAGACCACATAATCCACACAAAATAAAAAGCTGTGAGGTAGGAGCATGATTATTACGAGATACAGCACTTACATTGTCGTTTAAGAGGAATTGATTCTTAGTATTTTTAAACTATTGGATTAAGGCTTTATACTATGTTAACATCACAACTCAAATTTTATCTCTAATTTATTTGGGCACCGTTTCTAGTTAAGAATTTTTTTAATTAAAGATTTTAATTCAAAGATGAAACTTTATCTGATAATCCAATGACTGAAAAGCTTACCTCATAATGGAAAGTTAAAGGAATTAGGTTTATTTAGCCCAAAGTAGTGACTTCATAGGTAATTTAAGAGTAATCTGCTGGGCACGGTGGCTCACACCTGTAATCTCAGCACTTTGGGATGCTGAGGTGGGTGGATCATGAGGTCAGGAGATGGAGACCATCCTGACTAACACAGTGAAACCCTGTGTCTACTAAAAATACAAAAAAAATAGCTGGGCATGGTGGCATACGCCTGTAGTCCCAGCTACTCAGGAGGCTGAGGCAGGATAATCACTTGAACCTGGGAGGCAGAGGTTGCAGTGAGCCAAGATCACGCCACTGCACTCCAGCCTGGGCGACAGAGCAAGACTCCATCTCAAAAAAAAAAAAAAAAAAAAAGAATGACCCTTCATTGAGGAAGCAAGAATACTTGATTTGGAATCAAAGCATCTGAGTTGATCTTGTTTACTGTGTATCATTTACATTTTCTTAAATATTTTTCCCTTTTGTAAAATGGGGATAAAATATCCCTTACTTAATAGCACATAGGATTATTGAGAGAATCCAGTGAGGCCGTGTAAGTGGAAGCATGTTGTGTAGTAAATATATATCACTATACTAATAATGTTTATGTGGGGAAAAATATAGACACTATACCACTGGAATTACATACGGGGTTTGATTTTTTGTGAAATGTTAAAAATGGAATAATGTTTTCGAAATATTTTTTTTCATAGGTTTTGTTTAATCCTTTTGATGACATCATTCCAAGGGAAATTAAAAGGCTGAAAAAAGAGAAACCAGAGGAGGAAGTAAAGAAATTGAAACCCAAAGGCACAAAGTAATCATAGTGGAGAGATTTTTCTTCAGCTTGAAAAATGACACTCATTCATTTAGTTTACTATATTTCCTTTTATAGTAATTGTTTACTAGCAAAGGAGAGGCCAGTTTGAACCAGAGAGATATTGGAATTATGAGTGTGTGGTTGTATTAGTTCATTTTTACACTGCTATAAAGACATGCCTGAGACTGAGAGATATTGGAATTATGAGTGTGTGGTTGTATTAGTCCGTTTTCACACTGCTATAAAGATATACCTGAGACAGGGTAATTCATAAAGGAAACAGGTTTAATTGACTCACAATTTCACATGGCTAGGGAGGCCTCAGGAAGCTTCAATCGTGGAGGAAGGCGAAGCAGTCACCTTCTTCACAAGGCAGCAGGGGAGAGAGCGAGTGGGAAGGAGGAACTGTCAAACACTTATAAAACCATCAGATCTTATGAGAACTCACTCAGTATCATGAGAACAGCTTTGGGGACACCACCCTATAATCCAGTCACCTCCCACTAGGGTCCCTCCCATAAAACACATGGGGATTGTGGGAATTACTCGAGATGAGATTTGGGTGGGGACACAGAGCCAAACCATATTAGTGGTTTTGTTTGTTTGTTTGTTTGTTTGTTTTCCTAAATGAGCAACTCTTGTATTCAGGTGCAGTATATCTTAAACTTAAGCTACAAACATGTCATCTCAGTTGTTCACATGAAATCTGTGTTAATAAATAGATACATATTTTATGATCCCTGTAACAATTATTTATATAAATGAGTTGTTGAGAAACTTGTTTGTTGCTTATTTTAAAATTAATATGTGCTCACTCAGTATAAATAGAAAGTAAAGTATAAAGAATATTTTTAATGACTGCATGATTGCATTATGCAATTTAACTTGTATTTAACTTTTTACTCCTTTTATGTTGCTATTAAAAATAATATTATTATAAATATTTTAAAATATAAAGCTGTTTCATTCAGTATTCTGGTTTATTTCCAGAAGATAATTTTCCAAAAAATAGGAATGAAAAAATAAATTTCAGTATTTTGGACAATATTCTACATTATTAATACTGTCTGTATATACTGCAGAGTTAGATTTCAACGTACTCTTTTACTGAATCGTAGGATCCTTATTAGAGATTTTATTGTAAGTATAATTGTTAGATTTGATCAATTCTAGATATAATCCTGCCAAACCTAGTTAATAAAAGGCAAAGTTGATTAAACTTTCTAAGCTTCAGTTACCTCTTCCTATAAAATGGAGATTAGAATAAGTTCAACTCCTGGTTGTTATGAGGATTAAATGAGAAGAGGTATGTTAAAACACCCAGTAGTATAGGCATTCAATACCTATTAGTCTTTTTCCTTGATATCCTACAAATACAAAGTTAAATTGTTTTATAAAGTGTCAGATATGAGCCAGACACTTTAATAAGCAGTTAATTCCTTGTGGCAAAATAACTGCTTATTGGAATTATTTATTTGATTTTTAAAAATTCTTTGATCAGCTTATTTTGATTAATCTATCTCTGGATGAAAGGTCACTGTCACTGTATTCATATGCAGTGCGTCATCACTATGATTTATCTTAACAATAAACTCTAAAGTCTTTTTTTGGTGTGTTTTGCTTTGTTTTTGTTTCCAGCAAATATATTGGGGATGATATGTTGGTCGTTGCTTGCTTCTAGGCTTTGGGAAAAAAAAAAATCTGTTTCACTGCCACATCTTTAATTTTTCTATTTGAGAGACAGTTTTAGTAACTTGTTTATCTTACTTGAGATTACTTTTGTTTGATGAATCAGAGGAGACAAACCTAGTTTTTTCTCCTTGTGGGCTATTTTAGTTGTTCATTGCTCATATTTTTTTGTCTGACAATTTTGTATACATATTAATTTTAAAATATTAAAAAATATTTTGCCAAATACTAGATTAATTGCTTCCCATTTGTAGCACTCAGGGATATATACTTATTATTTTTCAGAAACCCCCATTTTGCTACCAGTTTTGATAAATATAAAAAAGCTTAATTATTTCTGTCATGCTTTACTCAGTAAATTTAATGGTAATGCTCAGAAGGGATTTTTGGTCATTAAAAGTTAGTATAATATAGGAAACATTGGTGCTGTGAGGCAAAAGCTTTAACATCATACTGAAAATACAGATCGTTAGAATACTTCTGCTGAATACTGAGTAATATGGTCTTTTTTAGAACAGTCAGAATGTATTTCTTCTTGTAAATTCTGTTCTCTTGCTCTGAAAATAAGGTATTTATAAGTTTGATTTGACTTTCTCTTTCTTTTTTTTTTTCTTTCTTTTTTTTGGACTAGAAATTTTAGTTTACTTTCATTTGGAGAGGAAGCTGAGGAAGAAGAGGAGGAAGTAAATCGAGTTAGTCAGGTAATCTCTAATTTGCCCTTTGTTCTAACTTACAAAAGAGATTGGGGTCTATATCTTACTCACTATTGTATCTCCTGCTATATCTGGCACAGCATGTTTTACATGGGGCAGGCTCAGTAAGTGTTCATTGAATTTGTAAATTGATTTGTGGTCAGTAATATTTGCAACTTTTGAGATTATCCTATTTATTTTTAATGTTGGCATTTTAAAAAAATCAGTTTGAACTAGACTTGCAGTTTTTTGAATGGTTGGACTTTATGATTCAGATCCTAACTGCTATTTTTTCAGGTAGTATGTTAGATGATAATGATTATTATCATTACTGATATAAACAGTCACAGACCAAAACTCTTATATTCATTTTAATGTTATTTATATATATTTTGTTTATTTCATTAATTCTCATTACAGCCCTTTGAGATGGGTGATATTATTATCATCCTCATTTTACTCATGAATACATTCAGCTATAGTTTATAATTTGCTCAAAGTAACATAACCAATAAGTAGCTACAGATGGGAACTGAACGCAGGTCTTTGTAACTATTAAATCCATGTCCTTGAATTATGCAGTGCCTCCTGGCCTTTTTATTCTGCTAGTCCTTCCTGTAGGCCTTTACATGTGGTTTTCTTCAATATTGCTTGCATCATAATACGCATTACTGAAACACGGTGTCATGCCATTGTTTAGAGCAGTAATTCTGGTGTGTATACTACAAGAAAACTGTCTTCAAGGGTTTCTACTCCTAAAGGTTCTGATATGCCTTTCTTTTTTGAAAATTAGTGAATACTGAGAACTAAAGGATTAGGTTTATAGTCTTTATTGTTGTAATTAAAACTTTATAACCTATAAGCCTTACTTGCTTAACATAATTATCTATTTCTTACCAACTCTAACAATAACATTGAATTAAAAGCATATTATTATTATTCTTGTTTTTACTTCTTTAGCCATATGTTCCCTTATTAGTGAGCACGGTTTTGCAGGCTAATGTTGGACGCCTAGTAAGCACTCTACTTAATACCCCTTGCATTAAAATGTAATTAAAATGGTGTGTATATGAAATATTTTGGTCATAACTTTTTGTTGCTTTTTATTGTATCCTTGAGTGATGTATTTGATGCCATGGATTCAATTTCCATTTACCTGTACACCAACATTCTAAACTCTAGGAGATAAGGCCAAATATTTCTCCTGGGCTCTTATCCCTTGTTCAGAGTTGCTTTAGGAAAGGTCTCTAGATGTCAAAACTAAATTCATTTTTTTACAAAAACTTCATTTCCCAATTCCTTAACGTCACCAATCACTCTGTCACCTCAATATCTGAAGAGTCATCTTCTTTAGATGTCAGTGCACTAGTCTTGCATTGTTTATGATTCAAATTTATGCCTCATCAAAATGATTTACTATGTGTCATGATTCTGTGGTTATGTTTGTGAATGGACAAAACCATGAATGTTAGATCTAGAAATTGCCAGGGTTCCTTTTCATTGATGTTTTCTAAAGATGTCAAGTTTCCTTGCATACCCATACTTTCCTCACAGTTCCCCCACCCCTGTTTTTCCTTTTGCCAGGAGTATGCTCTCTCCTTAAAGTGTTTTTCCTTTAAGATTTAGGTCTACTATCACCTTCTACTACTTCTACCTCCCCCTGCCACTGAACTCCCATCCAGGCTAAGCTAGGTACTTCTTTCCATGATAATCTGTCTATGCCCATCAAAACATTTATCCTACTGCATTACAATAATTTATCTTCTTATCTGCTAACTATACTATTTATTTTATGTAATCCCTATAACAACCATGCAATATAGATATTATTTTTCTTATTTTGTAGAATAAAGAAAGTGAAACTCAGAGAGGGTTAAATAACTCATCCATGATCATGCAATTAAGAGGTGGTAGAATCAGAATTTTGAACTGAGGGTTTTTTTAGCTAGTTAAGTCTCTCATATGATTATGAATGCTGTAGAAGCTGTCTCCTTCAAGCCCAAGACGTCTCAAAGGTTGGTGAGAAATTTCACTGGTAGCGTAGCATTCTGGGGTAGAAGGCAGCTGGGGAAGGCAGTTGGCCCGTTGTCCTTCCCTAAATCCCACAGGGTCCTGGATAGTTAGGTTGAGCAGCCTTGGAGAGCAAGGGCAGGAGAAAGTTTTTCTGTCAGTTTTTTGTTGAAGTTAAATTTCTAGTCTAAAGTAAGTTTTGTTCACAATTGCTTTGAGATAGACTTGACTAGGAAATTAGTTTGAATTTTTTCTATTTGTAACAGCAGCATGTGTTAAATGTTCAAAGATTATCTTCCTTCTGCTGCTTTCTACTGTACAAAATAGAAAAATGGTATGTTTACATTATACTGAATATTGTGAACTTATACTCCAAAAGCAATTTGCGTTTCAGATTGAAATGTACAAGGATAGCAGCACAGATAGTGCTGTCTTTTTTTTTTTCTTTCTTAAACCTGAAAAACACTTTAAATACTTTTAGAAGGACTGAGTAAAATCTTTTCTCTCTGCCAAGAAAATTACAACCCAAATACCGTTCATTATCAAATGAATATTATTATCCTAGTATTGTGTCATCATAGTTTTCTCATCTGGCTCTTTCGTAGGGGGTGCTTTGTAATTAAGTTATCATCAAATGCTTGTATCTGACTCTCACGTCTATATCTCTAGGCTGGTTTACTCTTCTTTTCTCCAGCTGCTTATTGGACATTAGTTTATCAAGCCCTGGGGAAGTCTTAACTCACTATCTTTTTCTTCTCAAACTTCTTATTTTGTGACTTTGTATTCCCTAGTGTCAATATCTTCCAAAGAAGGTCTTTAGATTCCATTGTGATTTTTCATATATTTTTTCATTGCACTGTCCTGGCAATTTTTTATCCAAGATGTATCTCAAATCTGTTTTTTCCTTTTAATTTATTGTTGCTACTACCCTTGTTCAGCCTTCATTATCTCTAGACTGGACTGGTGTGGTAGTCTATAGACCAGTTTCCCATCTCCCCTCTCTTCTTTTCCTTCCACTACCAGAGCAGCCTTCCTGAAGCTTAAAATGTTATTTTTACTGTCTCTTTACTATAGAAATAAGGCCAAATTTCTTGTCCTATTATTTCAAGATTCTGCTTTCATGACTGTCCTTCACCAACTCTGCTCTTTCGACTAGTACTTGTTAAACTTTCCTGGTGATAAAAATCACTTGACATATTTTTTAAAAATTAAGAATCCTAGGCCTTATCTGAGACCCACTAAATTAGAATTTCCAAGCGAGGGGCCTGGGAAGCTGTACTTTTAATGAATTCCAGAGGAATTCATACCAAGGAAATGTAGGAAACACTGCTTTAGCAGATATGAATGATTTGCTGCTCTATATGTATGCCTTATTGTTTCCATTTTTTGTGCCTTTCTTGATGTTCTTTTTCCCACCTGAAATGTCCCATCACACCTCTGGATATCCAAGTCATATTTGTTTTCAACACCTGAAATGCCATCTTTTCTAAATGTCTTTTCCAGCTTTTAAAAATCTTTTTTTTCTTACCCAACCTTTGCCTTTCTTGTAATACTGTACATTTGCCTTTTAAACACATCTTTTTTGCTTTATTACAGAAGAAGCATATGACTGTGTTTGCATTGTACACTAGTCCAAAGTCCAACATTATACCCTTTACTTTATAACTTATTAATTGTGTAGAGTCCTGGGCTGTGAGCTTGTTGTACATAGAGTCTGTGTCATCTTTGAGTGGCAGTGTGCTAGAATAGAAATAACATGGATTTGGGATCATACAAATTCATATTAAAACTTTAATTTCCCCTGACACCCTGTGAGCTTTGATAACTTAGTCTCTCTGAGCCTCAATTTTCCTTTCTGAACAAGAAAATAGTATGTCCCACTTACTGTTGTGAGTAAGGATATAGTTTTAATTTTGATTTATTATACAATACTGAAAAATGTCTTTGAAAGCCAAGTGCCTTAAAATATACTATACATTATAACTGGTATTTTAATCTCAGATAACTAAAGAATGTAAAATTTCTTTAATATGATCATAACCATTATGTAGAATCTTATGCCCTTATGCCCAATCTAGAGGGCTGGTGAGAAATTTCATTATCAGCTCAGCCTTTTTGGGTAGGAAGCCACAATCTTGACACAATTGGCCTAGTGGCCTTCATGAGCACTCCCATTGAGTCCTAGATAGTGGCTTGTGCAGCCCAGCCTCATTATTACCCACCAACAACCCATTCTTCACATGCGATTGGATCTTGGCACACTGCAGAATCAAAAAAGTTAAAATCTACAGAATTTAACTTTTTTGTCTGCTTTATGTAATGGACAAGTAGGTAAGTTTAGTTGGAGAAAATAGAGTAACAAGAACAATACTGTTGAAATTTACTGGCTTAGAGAAAGGGAAATTGTTTTTAAGTACATGAGATAAATTCTGGAGAGAATCCAAGTAGAAGTGTATTTTTGTTTATTTTGCTTATATACAGTTTTTTACACTACCAGCACTGTTCAAATACCTTGGTAAGAAGAGGGAAGACTAGCTTGAATGTTGGAAAACTGTGGCTAATAGAATATATTTCTTCAAAATTTAGCTTTACTATTTTTAAGTGTATGAAATGACTGGAGCCAAAGCCAAATAAGTGTCTGTTCTAATGACTAAGAATAATTTGCAGTTTCAGTGGTTGCATGAAATTAAATATTTCTAAAGGGCTTAAAAATAATTGTTTCATTCTTCATTTGTTTATCAAGTTTCTTTTTTCAGTGACTGCACAGTATTAATCTTTATTCCAGAACCTTTCTGCCCGATCACAAGTTAATAATTGGTAAAGTCTGAATTGAGGCTTTACTTTATGTGAAAGGAGAAATAAGATTAGAGTCCTCTCTGGTTTATGGATTATCAGTGTGGGATTACAGACACCCCTTCACCCCACTCACTTATTCATGACAAGGTGCCTCTCCCACATGGGTTAGCTTTCCTTCATTATTTATTTCAGTATCTTTCTACTACCTGATAAAATCTCTTAGAATCATAGAATTTTATAGCTCAAAGGGATTTTGTCCAACTTCTTTTCTTTATAGATGAGGAAACTGAGCCTCTGGTTAAGTGACTTGCCAGACTGACTTCATTTCCTTTTTGATAGGATTGCATGATAGGGAGATGCCATAATAATCGTATCTTGAGTTCAGAAAAGCAAATTGTGAGACTCTCTCATGATATTCTTGTAGACAACAAGAAGAAATGTGATCTGGGAGATAGTACAGTCAGATAGATTTATAGCTAATTGAATACTTCTGACCAAAGGGTGCTTTGTTGTCAACTCATGCCAATTTGAACTAGTAATTTGAAATGTAATAGGAGTACATGTAAATTCTGTACTTGAGTTCAATAAAATCAGCTGAATAGGTATGACATAATAGCCTGTGAGTCCTAGTTGAATTACTAAGAATAAGATCTCTGGAATAAGGATTTTAACATCCTCTGCATTGTTTAGATCATACTTGCAGCATTTTATCCAGTTGTGAACGTACTTAAGGAAGATCTTGACAAACTAGATGCATCCAGAGGAAGGGAAATGGTGGGGAAGACGGGAATGATGCCAAAAACCACCTAACATAGGGAATGCAATGAGGAACTGGATATAATAATACTTTAGAGAAATAAAACTAAGTGAAAATATGATCCTAGACTTCAAATATTTGAAATATTTTTATCTGGAATATTGCTCCCTTCATATTGCTTTCTTAAACAATGCTTTTATTTGAATGTCTGTATTGGTTTAAAATTTATTCAGGAATCTTTACATGTAACTGAAATATAAATGTCAGGAAATATTTTTCAAGTTAAAGCTTACAATCAAGATAACTAGTTTTTATGAGGTAAGTTAAACAACAGGCCCATTTTAAAAGTATCTCAATAGCTAGATTTTTATTCAGTGATCAAATTGTGCCACATTCACAGTGATACACAGAGCATTTCTTTCCTACAAGACGTAGTAACATTTTTACTTCAAATCCAGAGTTATAGAAGGGCTTTTTCCTCACTCAGAAAAAGTTATCTTGGTAGACCGTTTCGCCACTTTTGAGACTAAAGTAAGGATGTTTTGTCCTATTCTAGTTTATTTTATGAAATTAAACTTTCCCAAAAAAGTTGGGAGGCGGCCATGGCATGGAGAATGCTGCTAGGCTGTTTGCAAAGAGGAGGTCAGAAATGTTAAACAGTGTAATTTGTAAAATGTTTCTGCCTTATCAAATTGTATTCAACTTTAATTTGCTTATCTTTCTAGTTGTTTAGACTTAGCTAATTTTACAAAGGTGTTAACATATTTTATTAATTTCGTATTACTGTTTTAACAAATTGCCATAAACTTAGTGGCATTAAGCCACTTTAAGCAAAACAAATTTAGTGTCTTATATTTCTGGAGGTCAGAAGTCTGCAATAGGTTTCACTGGGCTAAATATCAAGGCATTTGCAGGGACTTCTTTCTGGAGTCTCTGGGGAGAATCTATTCCCTTGCCTTTTTCAACCTCTAGAGACTGCCTGTATTCTTTGGTGTGCCCCTTCTTCTATCTTCAAAGCCAGCAATAACTGGTGAAGTCTTTCCCATGCTGCATTACTCTAAAATTGACTCTATTGCTTCCCTCTTTCACTTGTAAGGACTCTTGTAATTACATTTGGACCCATCTTGATAATCCAGGATAATGTCCCCACCTCAAAATCTTTCATTTATATGCAAAGTCTCTTTTGCCATGTAAGGTGATATGTTCATAGGTTCTGAGGGATTAGGACATGGACATCTTAGGGGGCCATTATTCTGTCTAATGAATGTCTAAACTAACTTTATATAGTATGCCTAACAACAGGCCTTCTTTGTAGTTCTAGAAGGTAGAAGTAGGGTTGGTTGGATGGTTGGAAAATATACATAGATTTTTTTTCTCTCCAATCAGAGAATTTCCTAATAATAGAAGCCATTTAAAAAGAAATTGTGCGTGTGTGTGTGTGTGTGTGTGTGTGTGTGTGTGTGTGTGTATTAATAAGCTCATTTGAGGTGTTGAGACATGGTTGACCAGTCAGCAGTGATGTCAAGGAGATTTCCTGCATTGCCTGGGAGAATAGATTGTGGCCTCTAAAATATCTTTTTTAACTAATAAGTTTTTCTGGTTCTGTGCTGAAGGTCTCTTAGTGTATTAGTTAGGGTTCTACAGAGAAACAGAAGCAGCCAATAGGATGTGAGAGAGAAAGAATAAAATAGATCCATTTATCTATTAATCTGTCACTTTATCTCTTTATTTATAGGAATTGGCTCTTGCAATTGTGGGAGCTGGCAATTCCAAAATATGTAGAGTAGGCCAGCATGCTGGAGACTCAGGGAATAGTTGATAAATTCAAAATACACAGGCTGGAAACTCAGGCAGGGTTTCTTTGTGACAGTCTTGAGGCAGAATTGTTTCTTCCTTGGGAAACCTCAGTTTTTGCTCTTAAGGCCTTCAACTGATTAGATGGGGCCCACCCACATTATGGAGTGTAATCTGCTTTCTCAAAGCCTACTAATTTAAATACTAATCATATCTAAAAAAATATTTTCATAGCAACATCTAGACTGGTGTTTGACTAAACATTTGGGTACCATTGCCTAGCCAAGTTGACTCATAAAATTATCCACACAGAGTTAGAGATTGAGCCCCAGACCTTCCAGTTTCTTGGTCAATGTTGCTCCTGTGTCCCTTCCTCCTCCCTCCCTCCCTCCCTCCCTCCCTCCTTTTCCTTCTTCCTTCCTTCCTTCTTCCCTCCCTCCCTCCCTCCTTTTCCTTCTTCCTTCCTTCCTTCTTCCCTCCCTCCCTCCCTTCTTTCCTCCTTCCTTCCTTCTTTCCTCTCTTTCTGACTCCCTCCCTTCCTTCCTTTCTTCTCTTTCTCTCCCTGTCTCCCCCGTCACTTCCCCCACCCCTTCTCCTCTCTCCCTCTGCCCCCTTCTACCTGTATTCTATTTAGTCCCTACTGTTTTGCTGCCTCTTTGTTCTTGGATATGAAGTTCCAGATAACATAATTTTTCTGTGTCCCTCTGATTTTCATTTTTACATTTGTTTGCAGATAGTTTTGAATTTTCTGTGAAGCCCCTAACACTGAATTCACTAAATATATTTAGTATTTCATTCATCAGCTAAACCTTTTAATTAGTCAACTTATTTTAAGCAATTTTTAAAACATTTAAAAATATATTTGGTGTTTGTTCTTCCTTTAAATTCACTGTTACTTGACGGTATAAATAAGAACCTTAAAGTAGGTCATTAAGAAAGAATAGGCATTAAAGGGAAAAATGTCTGAATTCATTTTCACTCTCTTAAGGATTGTCTCCTAATTTCTTCAGTTCATCTCCAATTTGCTTTCTCTCCCTGCAGGATTCAGAGTCTACTGTAGTGGGAAGAGAGGCCTAACAATTTGGCTTTTCATATATTTCTATACTAATTTAATTTTAAAAGTTAGTTAAAATTTGAAATGGTAATGATTATTAAAATTAAACACAGGTTCCTCCTATTGTCAAGTCTTATTTTAAATTAGTGTAAAACAAGGTTTTTCTTTTTCCTTCCAGCTATTTAAAGTAAGTTTTGGAAGATAAACAAGAACCTTTTTAAAAAAATTAATTACTTTTTAAATTAGCTAAATGGAGCTAATTAACATATGAATTACCTCACATGCTTATCATTTCTTGTGAGGAGAAAACTTAAAATCGCTCTTAGTGGTTTTCAAGAATACAATACAAGAACCCATTTTAAAAATATATTAACAATGAAATTAACAATTGTAAACTAACATTCACAAGGAAGTGAAATAGTATAGCTCATTAATGGACCAAGAGCTTACTTAGAGATCTGAATTCTAATCTTGCTTTTGCTATTTATTAGTGTAAGTCATTTTCTGATCAGTGGACCAAAAGGCTAGAACAGAGGATCTGGGGCCAATTCTGACTGTGATGTTTATGATTGTGACTTTATAAGGGAACCAGGTGGGGAGAATTAATATAGGACTATTTCTGAAGGTAGATGAAAATAATCTGACGGCCAGAGATGCAGGAGGAAGGAATTTTAAGGAAGGAAAGCATGAACAAAAGATGTTCAGGCTTTTATTCTTGTTTAAGTTATTTGATGTTCACTGTACACTTTTGCAGATAATCTCATTTAATTCTCTTATGTGAAATAGGCAAGGCTGCTATGATGATTATTCCCATTTTGTAGGCAATGTTTCTGAGGTCTCATGAGATCACTGTGTTTCAACAAATGGTACATGTTTTAGACTAAACCCCATGGAATTGTGGAATACTACATTTTGAAACTCATTTGGTCCAACCACCATCTTTCTTCTTGTCCTGTCTTCTTTCTACTATACCACCTTCTGTTTTGTGAATATTTTCCCCCGTTTTTCATAGTCAGACAAACATTATCCAGTAATTAGATGACATTTTGCTTTTTCATCACTCCTTAGTTTAAGTAAGTTTATGAAATTAGATATATAGATTAATTGCATAATTCAGATTCTATGACTTTTTAAAACTACAAATAATAGCATATTTAGATTAACTGTTGGAGAAAATTTTGTATTATGAAATTGCACTATAAGCATGTTTTAATTGATTAACTCTATAGAGAGCTCCATATTAATACAGAAATTAAAATCTATTTAAGAGCCTGTTTTTCAAATTAAAAGTGGTGAAGGGAGCTTAAGGAAAAGAAGTGTTTTCATCTCTCTGTGTCTGTGTCTGTTTAAATGTCATTTAAACATTTTAGTTAACATACTTTGTAATAAATTTTCCCACATAAAATTTTCTTCAAAATTTTTCAAAGCAGAAATTATTCTTTCTGTCAACTCTAATCTCTTAACTATTCATTTTTATATGATTAGTTGGGAGTTGGGGTGGTGAGCATCTTCCCCCCTCAAGATACAGGGTGTAAGTTTGAGGTGTCCCACCCTGCAGTAGGGAAATCTGTAGAATAGGAGATTGCAGCTCTGAAACCAGGCCGGTATTCTGGGCCCATAGGGGCCTAGAGGAAAAGAAAAATGGATACATTTAGATTTTCGATATATGGGTACTATTGTCAGACAGACCTGGATTTAAACCCTAGATCCTCTACCACTGACTAGTTTTGTGACCTTTAGTAAATTACTTAATCTCTTTAACCATCTGTAAAATGGGGCTAATAATTCCCACCTCATATACTTTAATTTGGGAAGAGAAGAAGAGAGGGTTAGCAATGCTATTTGAAGCACAGTGCCTAGCACAAAGAATATACTTAATACTTGGCCAGGCACAGTGGCTCATGCCTGTAATCCCAGCACTTTGGGAGGCTGAGGCGGGCAGATCATGAGGTCAGGAGATCAAGACCATCCTGGCCAACATGGTGAAACCCTGTCTCTACTAAAAATACAAATATTAGCTGGGCGTGGTGGCGCATACCTGTAATCCCAGCTACTTGGGAGGCTGAGGCAGGAGGATCGCTTGAACCCCGGAAGCGGAGATTGCAGTGAGCTGAGATCACACCACTGCACTCCAGCCTGGTGACAGAGTGAGACTCCATCTCAAAATATATATATATATACTTAATAGCAGCAGTAGTTGTTGTTTTATAATGCTACTTCTTAAACCTTTTTATATCTTGTTTCCCTTCTAAAATGTACATTTTTTGAAAACATGAACTTTGAAATTAAAGCATTTAATAAATATTTGGTCACTGATAAATATTCTCATGCTCAAGAGGCTCTTCTATATCTTTTTTTGTTGTTGTTGGTAAGTAGTTCCTCGGGGATGCACTTATCTTTTGCTTGAGTAACATTTTAAAAAGTGATTCTGTGCAGTATAGGTGGCATATTTGAAGAATAATAGCATGCATTTATTTCAATACTCTTGTGATGTAGCTTCTAAGTTATAGGGGTCATAAAAATTAACTAGTTTCATAGTATGCAAATTATTATGAGAATTTAGTGCTTCAAGTTGGTAATTCAACAGACTTCTTTTAAATGATATATCATTTTTTGAAAGAAAAGGTGTTTCTAAAATACTATTTTCAGTCAATAGAAGAGTAAGATTCTTACTTATAAAACTTTAGTTTGTATTAAACTTTTCAGGAATACATCTTTTGCTAACCATATTATATCATTGCTAGGTTTTATGTAAATTTGTTAACTTGTTATTTAGGAATACTGTTTATTTCCCCCCTCATGATTATATTGTACATTCTTTGCAGAGCATGAAGGGCAAAAGCAAAAGTAGTCATGACTTGCTTAAGGATGATCCACATCTCAGTTCTGTTCCAGTTGTAGAAAGGTTAGTCCATTGTTGGTATGATCCTAAGTTCTTAATTTTCTGGCTCAGATAATTTTCTTGCTTCTTCTGTGAGTAAACAGTCAGTCCTCATAAGTCAAAAATTTTTAAGCCAGCCAAAAAAATAAAGCATTTTGATAACAGAGATAGAGAACTTCAAGCTTGATAGAGAGAAACAAACGCTCTAGTCACTTTCGCACTTGCTCTCTACCTCTGTTGAATGAATTACATTTAAAATTGTTTTACCATTACATGTTAGGACTAGAAACTGTTTGCTTTAACAGTGTAATGCTTAATTCAAGGTTGTTTTGCTACCTTTTCCTTGAAGCATTTTTGCCTTAATTGTATCATGAATGAACAAATTACAGTTAAAGGTTTTTGTGAAGAAGTTACCAGTTTGGGGGCCAGTCCACTGACTATAAATTCTCACATACTTTGAGGAGTTAACAGAAAGTTGTCTTGCTACCTTTGTTGCTTCTCTTTGAGAAGGGAAAACGTCTTGGTGTTAGATGTAATAGCACAAGATAAACTGGGCCAGTATCTCAAGGGGCACTACAATGCTGTTGTACTCAGTTTAGCTCATTTTCGAAACTCCTGTTTTAAGACAATCTTTTCTTAATACCCTTCTATTTGAAGGATTTGGGGGTTTTTTTAGTCAGAATATTTCAAGCCAATAAAAGAAATTGTTTTTTGCAGACCATTGATCATAAAAATAACACTGTCGGTTGTTGTTTGCTTTTTTCCTTTCAAATTCTAGTGAACGCATATATTTGCTAATGAATCATACTTATTCCACTTATAAAAAATGACTCTAAAGAATGTTTCCATCTGTTCTATAATGCCTTTCTTAAATTCCTATGTTGAAATACATTTTTGGAATGTTATTCCCAGCAAACTATTCTAGATTTTTGGGTTACAAAATAATTGTGTTAGTTTTACCTTGAAACTAAAATTTGTTTTGCTTATTTTTTTTATAGTGAAAAAGGTGATGCACCAGATTTAGTTGATGTAAGTATTTATTTTGGTATTAATATAGTTTGAACAATTCATAGAAAGTACAAAATTTTTACAAAAACTTAATTTTGTTCTTAAAAAGTAACGTATATTACTTTTATAGTTATATATGTCAAATTTTGGAAAAATATGAAAAACAGAAATTATTTAGGTGTTAGACTATTTCCTTACTCTAGGGGTGTGCGTGTGTGTGTGTGTATATCTCTCTACAACATTAGAATCTTATATATGAATTTCTAGTCTGTTTTTTTCTCCCCCTCACATAACATTACGTTAATACTCAAACTTCAGATGTTATAAATTTATTGTATTAAAAGTTTAAATATTGGTGTGTGGGCATCCTACATGATATATGGGAAATGCTTGGATCAGTAATTTATAGTAGTGTCTCCTTTTTATATACACATTTCAAAAGATTCTCATTCAAGAGTGTAGTGATCTTTATTAGTTGTAGTGGCTAACAAAGCTAACAAAACAGAAGGAAGATTTTCCTTTAATACATAAGAGTCAAGTTTTTCAAATTATACATATGCCACTTTTTATATAAAAACCCATTAATCTGTGCATTGTATAATTTACTAGGAAGTACATAACTTTCCATGCATGAACACAGATTTATCTATTATCACAGTCAAAAGAGAAGGCTCTCTATGGCTATCAGTAGTAGATAGAGAGAGGATGAATATCTGACCTTGTCAAGAAAAGCTTCCTGGAAGAGATGATGCTATTTATGTCTTATATGAGAGTTAGGAGTTAGCTAAGTCAGAAAAGAAAGTGATGAAGGGGGTGAGGTCCCTCTAGCTCAGAGAATAGCATATGCTAAAGCATGGAAATAAGGAGAGATCATACCTTATTTAGGAAATACAAACGGAAATTTAAAGTTTCAAGGAGTCTGTCTTGTGAAGAGCAAGGAAGAAGAGTATTGAAGGTAAGGGGAACTGCATATACAAAATGGTCCGAAGCAGGAGAGTTTGGTGTGTTCTAAGAGCTGCAAGCAGGCCAGCGTGAACAGGGTGTGGTGACAGGCCAGAGCTTCATTACAGAGCTTCATAGGCCATGGTGAGGGGTTTGAGTTTTTTCCTAAAAGGAAGTGAGGAACAGTTGAAAGGTGTTTGTTAAAAAGAAGGATGCTATGATCAATTTTGCATTTCAGGAAGATCACTATTGGCGATATTATAGAGGACAAATTAGAGGAAACAGACTGATACTGGGAAGCTATTGTAGGAGGAGAGCTTGATATAAGACCACAGCTGTGAGATGGGAAAGAGGTAGATTTGAAAGAGGTCTAGGAGGTGACTGATTCTACACTATGAGGTGAGGGAGGAGTAGTCCAAGACAACCACAAGGTTTCTGGTTTGAGCAACTTGTTAGATGGGTGCAAAAGAAAGCATAGGGTTGAGGTGGAGAAAAGGATGAAAAATAATGAGCTTAATTTTATACATTTCAAGATTGAGGTAATTTGGAGACATCTGTGTAACATAATATGGGTCTAGAAGTTAGGATCAATGTATAGGATAGAAAGTAAAAGTATAGATTTGCTCTTAATATCATGGGTGAGTGACTAAAACTGTGAATCCTTTCCCAGGAAAATGTACTACATTCACAACCAAAATTATATGAATTTGCAGGGAATTTTTTTTAGATCTCCTGAGGCCTGAGCATGGAAGGCCTAGGTTGGTGGTTGTCACCTTTTAGTGCTTAAGAATTACTTAAACATCTTGTTGAAAACATTCGTAATTCCTACCCCAGAGATTTTGGTTCAATAAGTCTGCAATGAGGGCTAGAATTTTAGGTGTTAATAAACAACTATGTAATACCATCTAAGGACCAGACTTTGAGGACCAGTGCTTTAGGGGTCCACAAGTCTCAAATTAAGAATCCTGCTTCACTACGACTCACCAGATCAAAGAAAGAATCACAAAAGAAAAATGATCCACTTGGGGTTATTTCTTCCTTCTTCTCTCCCCTCTTTCTTCCCTTTGTTCCTCCATCTGTCAATGCTGGGCACTATTCTAGGAGTTGAAGATACAGCAGTAAGCAAAACAGGCCAGAATTTTAGCTCTCATGGAGTGTTTGCTGTAATTGGATGACAGACAATACACATGCAAATAATTAAAATATATGGTGTATCAGATAGGTGATAAGTACTTTGGAAAATAAGCCAGGGAAGATGAAAGAGTACTGGAGGTAAGTGTGTGGTTCTACCATTTTAATAGGTTAATCTCATCACCAAGAGGGTAACATTTGAGCAAAGATCTGAAGGAGATGAAAGAGCAAGCAATGAAGAGATATCTGGAATAGAGTATTTGTTTCAGGCTGGAGAGAACAACAACTCCAAAGTTGGCTAGTGTTGGTGGGCTGGAGTTGTAGGAGATTATGTCAGGGAGGTTTAGATTGCATAGGGCCTTGAGTGAGTTGGGGACCCACTAGAGGGTTTTCACAAGAGAAGTGATTGCTGTGACTTGGATTATAGAAATCTCAGCTTCTGCACTACACCTCTTCTACTTGAATTGATCCCTGTTGAGGTCAGTATGCTGGCCAACTGCCTTCAAAAGCCACATTTCCCACTGAGATAAGAATAGGAATATAGACAGAATAGCCCGAGTGACACAGAGGGAGAAGTCTGCTGCACAAAGGAGCTGGGCATGAGTTGAGCGAACAGCCTTTCCTGGGGTATCCCATAATTACATAGTTGGCTTAGAGCAGAACCCAGGGCTATTCCCACCTGTAGCAGATTCTTCAAGGGCTTATAATTCAAAACAAAAGAAAACAAAATAAAAAAAAAAACCTAGTTTAGAATGCAATAAGGAGATTCAGTGGATGCAATAGATCTCTAGAAATGAAAGGGGAAATTGAGCACCTGGCAAATACTCATTTTCCATTTCTACAGGATGGAGAAGATGAAAGTGCAGAGCATGATGAATATATTGATGGTGATGAAAAGAACCTGATGAGAGAAAGAATTGCCAAAAAATTAAAAAAGGACACAAGTGCGAATGTTAAATCAGCTGGAGAAGGAGAAGTGGAGAAGAAATCAGTCAGCCGCAGGTGAGTCAGTTACTGTGCTAGATATCAGAGTTTTTGTCTTTTTATATTTCACTTTAATTCAGATTGAATCCTCTCTTCAGCTAATTTTTAAAATACTATTTTCATAATGTTTGATAAACATAACAGTTGTACAAATTGGCCCATTAGCAGGCCTAAAATAAAATACACCAAGCTTAAAGTAAACATAACAATGATCCTATGAGTTCAATTCCATTTTATTTCTCTCTGATCCTTTTTTAGAAAGGCTCTATACTTTCATATATATAGGGTAATAATGTATTAGCTAGATGTGGAAGAATGCATTTGTTAAATACCAATGAGAGCAGTAGAGTAATTGTATAGAAAGAAAAGAGACATCCTCAAATAATTTCGGTAAGCAAAATTTGTCAAAACTGATGAAGAAAATGAGTGAGCCTGAAAACATTCTTAAATATCTTTTCAAGTCTGATTTACCAAATACCATATACCTATCCTAAGCTCAGTAGTATCATAAAATAAATTTCAGCAAATGGTGAAAAGTTTACTGTCTGGTGATGAAAGTTTGTTGGATTTATGACTCAACATTTTATTCTCCTGAAATTCAACTTAATTGAAAAATTATCTCTTTTGTGATTCTATTTCAACTTTATAGTATACATTTTAAATAATATTGCTTTAAAAAACAATAGTATTTGTTTTCTTCAAATACTATTTGGGGATAATATGAATGTAACTACATTTAAATAACATTCTTTTTCCCTATCATGTTTCTCAACCACATGTAGAAAAACTTAAAAAGGATTTCCACGCTATCATTGCATAGCTCCCTCAATTTTTTCTTTATGTAATCAAATAAAAATGATTCCCAGAAATTTCCACTAAAAGCATAGCTTTTAACATTTAGAAATGGTACTTAGGAGTCATCTTAAATGTCTTTTTTCCAGCAATATTCACCTGACACTCAAGTAATCACTGTTGAATAATTTTACATACTAGATTATATTATATATACCATACATAGTAGCTAATATAGACTAAAGATTTTAGTGATCATATGCATGCTTCTAGATTCATAGAGTTGAAAAACCTCTCATTCACACTGTAACTTTTAGTTAAATCATGAATATAATTATGGATACATAATGTTTTATTCCTCTCATTCAAGGCATGTGTTTTCTGATTTTAAAAAATTATGAATTTTTTTAAAGGTTAGGTTTATAATGTAACAAAAATATATTTAAAAATTTTAATAGATGAGCCAACCAAATATTTATTTATGTTAGATTTAAGTGTTCCTTAAACTCCCAACTCAGTCTTGTAGGCTTTAATCAATTTCAAATACTTATATACCCTATAATATAAACTATAATTTAGCAATGCTAAATTTTGTATAAGAACTAAAGTTCATTTTTAATGTACCTTTCATAAGTGTCTTTAAAAAATTGTTTACCTAATATTAAGAAAAGTCAAAGTTTGCATTTTCCAAAATTGTGTTCACTCTTACAATTAAGGGTTATTCTTAAAAGATTTCCTTGGCTGTAGTATGGGCCTGATGACCAAACATGGCATTGATAGCTAGATTTAGGAATCTGATCTATCATGAGAATACTGGAGAGCCACTGAAGTTTTTACAGGCAAATGATATATTGAGATTGTATTTAGTATGGAGAATGGATTGATAGAGGAGTGTTTTGGGCTATTATACAAAATACCATAGACTGGATGACTTAACAGACATTTAAAGCTTAGTTTTTATGGTAATTTCTTACATAGGAACATATATATCCACTTACTTATGTAAACAATTTTTCTCTTTTTATAAATCAGTATAATTTGCAAAATTAAAATCACATAATTTGTATATTCACTGTAGAGGAAAAAGTTATATTCAAGTGCATTGCAAGTCTACTAAGAAAATTAAATAAATTTAAAAAGTACGTTAAATACTTTTCTACTTAGAAAAGTAAATTAAATAAGAAGTCTCCAAAGGTGGCTTGAATATTTTAGGTAAACATGAGTATTGTGGACATTGTTGGATTCTTTTAGGTAAAATAATTGGCAAAGTGTGCCTTTGTAAATGGTGCAGACAGCACACATTTATTTATAACTGTTCTGTTCCCCCACATTTTCATTATTCACATTCTCTACTCTCCCTCCTTCATCCTATCTGTCCTACCTACAAAGAGAAACAAAAGAAAAATAAGGTCAGGATAGAGGAGAAAGTACAGAATTTCAAAAGGAAGAAACAGTTTTTTCCTCTAGTGTAGAAATTTCCATGATTGTCTCATGACCACGTATTTTTTTCAGTTCATAAAGTTGCCAAAATCAGACCCTGGCATGGTGGCTCATGCCTGTAATCCCAGCTGCTCAGCAGGCTGAGGTGGGAGGATTGCTTGAGCCTAGGAGCTCTAGGCTGCAGTGAGCTATGATCCTGTATGGGCAACAGAGCAAGACCCTGTCTCTAAAAAAATAAAAATAAATTTTAATAAATTTCCAAATCATTAGTACTTTTGGTTATTTATACCAGCGAGTCTCTGAAGTTAACTTTATGGTTAAAAAATAAAACAACACAGGAAAGCTCCAAATGTACTGAAAAACTACAACGTGGTAAAAGGGATAATTATATTTAAAGGAAAGTCACTGCTCAGTTTGAGTTATAATGGGTATAGCTGCCAGCCAGATAGGATGTCAGTGTGATATCATTATCTATTCAAAAATGTGTACTCTTGATACATGAGTTTTCATCAGGGTGTGCTTGAAGTACTCTATTATCCTTTGGTCATTCTTCCATTTAAGCAGTAGGATCAGAAACTAGACTAGCCCACCAGCCCTTTAAGCAATGAGCCGTTCAAAGTATAATTTTACTGAAAACGTGTGGTATTGCTTCTATTGGTAAGGAAACATCTGGAATCTGTTAAAGCTGGTTATCACTTTTGGATGTTAAACCTACACATGTATTTATTGAGTGCTTAATATTTAAACTGGGGAATGATATTTAACAGAATAATTTTCAACAAGTTTACATATAGTAGGATCTTCTCCTAGTAATGTGTTCTCAACAATGTCTCTAGTTGTTCATTTGAAAAAAGAGCTCAGGGGAAATACAAATCCAAAACGCTTCCTAGTTTCTCTCCTTAGAGAATCGGCACCCTTATATCTATTCTGACTTCCTAGGATTTCTAATCCCTTGTCTCTTCCCTTTTTAAAATGTACCAATCCCACTTTCTTTCCAGCCCACCTTCTCTATGCCTGTATCTTGACTACTGGATACAGCTCAGCAGAATCACACAGGCATATACAAGCTGGTATTATTATGGATTTCTAGATTCCAGCCTCAGCTGTGTCTCCAGTGCTTCCTTATTACTCACTCGCCACAATGTTTACTTCACACTTCAAACTCACTCAACGGATCACCTGGCTGCTTGTTTTTTTATGAAATGAGAGTAAATTTCTTCAACCCGTATTTCTTTCTCTTCCCCGCTTCGAGAGTAAAAACTAACAAAACCATTCCATTTTATTTCCTGTCCCTACCTCCTTCCTATTTATTTCTAAATACATATCATCTAGCTTCTCACCTACCACTCCACTGAAACTACTTCCACTAAGGCCATCTAGTTGATAATCGACTGGCTACTTTCCATTTTTTTTTCTTGGTCTTCCTGCTCTGGAGATTTTTGTCTCTTTTCTCTTGAGACTAATCTCTCTCAAGAACCTTACTATTTAAAGTGTGATCTGTGAAGCAGTAGCATTAGTATCACTTGGGAACTTGTTAGAAATACCGAGTCTCAGGCCCTGTCCTACACATTTTTAATTAGAATCTGCATTCTAACAAGATCCCCAGGTGATTTTTGTGTGCATTAGTTTGAGAAGCAGTCCTGTAGAATATTAATTTTTATCCCTACTGCTCCTGGATGAGTTCAAGTTTGTATCATGTTAGTTCCAAGGTCAGCAAGTTGTCAGCAAGTTGGTACTATATTCCCTGACTCCTTAGTGCAAACCTATGTGCACCCTTTTCACACTCCTGTAATATTAGGTTACATATACATTTTTTCTTCTTTGTGTATCCTTATACTGTAACTTTCTTGAAGGTAGTGATCATATCCATTTACATTTGTATCTCCATGTTCAAACAGCGTAGGTACCCAAATATTTTTGTAAATACATGAACAAAAAATGAATAAATTCTTCTTTGGCAAATCACTTTCTCCTCTGGATCTTGTAAGTAGCTTGCTTGTATTTTCAATAGGGATTTATTGATTCGCCTCTCCTCTGCCTAAACTAAGCTCTTTAGAGACTATGTCTTATTTATCTTTATATCCTCAGAGGCGGCTAATATCTTAAGCATATAGTAACTGGTCATTAAACTTTGTGGAATGAGTGGATAAATAAAATATTTAATTAATTATGTTCCATTATAGGAGTGGTTTTCACTCCTAACCGCACATTAGGCTCACGGAGGAGGCTTTGAAAAATACTAATTCGTAGGCCCCTCACCCACAGATTCAGAATTGTCTGGTCTGAGGTAAAGTCTGGGAAGATCCTTCTTTAACTTTTAAACTTTTAATTTAAGTATAATATACAAACAATGTGTCTATTAACTATATTTCATAGTGCACATAAGTATACAGCTAGCTGAATTTTTACAAACTAAATATATCCATATACCCATCACCCAGATCAAGAAACAAAAAATTGCCATTACCCATAAATTCACCTCTTGCCCCATTCTAGTTACTTCCCCCTCATCTCCTAATAGTAACCACTTTTCTAACCTTTAAAACAATATTATTTTTAATTGACAAATAGTAATTGTATATATTTATAGGTTACTATGTGATGTTTTGCTGTATGTATTCATGGTAGAAAGATTCGATCAGGCTAATTAACGTATTTATCCACTTCAGCAACTTACCTTTTTTGTGTGTGGTGAAAACATTAAAAATGTATTCTTTTAGCAATTTTGAAGTACATTAACTGTGGTAAGCATGCATTACAAAGCTTATTCTTTTTTTTTGTTTTTGAGACGCAGTCTCGCTCTGTTGCCCAGGCTGGAGTGTAGTGGCACAACCTCAGCTCACTGCAACCTCTGCCTCATGGGTTCAAGCGTTTCTCCTGCCTCAGACTCCTAAGTAGCTGGGACTACAGGAGCGTGCCACCACGCCAGGCTAATTTTTTGTATTTTCAGTAGAGACAGGGTTTCACTGTGTTAGCAAGAATGGTCTCGATCTCCTGACCTCGTGATCCACCCGCCTCTGCCTCCCAAAGTGCTGGGATTATAGGCGTGAGCTACTGTGCCAGGCCACAAAACTTATTCTTCTAGTCTAAGCAAACTTTGAGAAATGTCTGTTTAGGTATTTTGCCTATTTTTTAGTTGGGTTATTTGTTTTATTGCTGTTGAGTTGTTTGAGTTCCTTATATATTTTGTATATTAGCCCCTTATCAGATGTATGATTTGCGAATATTTTCTCCCAATCCATGGGTTGTCTCTTCACTCTATTCATTTCCTTTGCTGCGCAGAACTTTTTTAGTTTGATGCAATCCTACTTGTCTATTTTTACTTTTGTTGACTGTGTTTTGGGAGTCCTATCCAAGAAATCATTGCTGAGTCCAGTGTCATCAGGCTATTCCCGCCTCTTTTTTTTTTCTAGTAGCTTTACAGTTTCAGGCCTTATCCGTAAGTCTTTTATCCATTTGGAGTTGAGTTTTGCTTATAGTTTGAGATAAAGGTCCAATTTCACTCTTCTGCAGGTGAATATCCAGTTTTCCCAACATTTATTGAAGAGACTTTTCTTTATATATTGTGTGTTCTTGACACCTTTGTTGAAAATCAATTGACTGTAAATACCTGAGTTTATTTCTATACTTCCTATCCTGTTTCATTGGTTGAGGTGTCTGTTTTTATGCAAATACCATGCTGTTTTGATTAAAATAGCTTTATAATACATTTTAAAATCAGAGAGCGTGATGCCTCCCACTTTGTTCTTTTTGGTCAAGATTGCTTAGGCTATTTGGGGTCTTTTCTGGTTCCATACTAATTTTAGGATTTTTTTTTCTATTTCTGTGAAAAATGACATTGTAATTTTGATAGAAATTGCCTGGAATCTGTAGATCACTCTGGGTAGTATGGACATTTTAATATTAATTCTTGCAATCCATGAATCCAGAATGGGATATCTTTCCATTTATTTGTGCCTTCTTCAATTTCTTTCAATGTTACATAGTTTTCAGCAGACAGATCTTTTAGCTTCTTGGTTAAATTTACTCCTCTAAGTATTTTTTTAATGCTATTTACTTTTCTCACATCTAAGAGCATACATTAATTTGGGGCAATATACTTTATCAAAGCTCTGTAGATATTCTAATATGCATTCAGTGTTAAGAATTCTACTCCCAAACACATACCTCCTTGATTATTTCTGAGGTATAGAATAATGTAAAAGTGGATGATATTTTGTAGGGTTACCTCAGGTCTTTCACAGAACTTTTGCAGTTCAACAGGGTTAAGACATTTATCTCAGCTGCACTTGATTTTAATCTTAAGAAAGATAAAAGGGTCAAGAAAGTGAGAATCAAGTAATTTTAGAGAAAGAAAATAAGATATTTGGGTGTTTCTAATGTTTTTTTAAAATGTGGCTGATAAGGAATAAAATCAGTATCTCTCAACCTTGTTTGTACATTTGAATCATCCCATTCCTGAACAAGCTGTTCATAAATTTTGGTATTCAGCCATAAGAAATTTTTAAAAACACTCCATGTAAGTCTAATATCCAGCCAAGGTTGATGAAAACTGGGGTAGTTTGCAGCTTGTTTTGGAAAGTCCTATTTTAAAGCTTATTGTAAAGAATCCTTTTTTGCCTGTAGGTGGAGCTCAGCTACTGCAAGTTGATCATGTAAATCAGATTGTGTTGTCTTTCCTGCTTGTTTTTAGCATCTGTATATTGATACATAATAAATGACTAAACAATAAAATCAGCTGTAATAAGTGGACCAGATAGTAAAAAATCAGTGGTTTGTTAGGATGATTACAGCATTATAGTAATGCTATCTTTTATTGTGCAATTTCTATCATCTATAATTTTATTGTGATTCTAAATTTTTATTGTGATTCTAAATTAATTACATCAAATTGAAATATAAATGAAAGAAATCTTAACATATACCTTAAAATCACAATCATTAAAAATTTCATGATAATCTTTACGGTTAACTAGAAGGGCATCAGTCTTAGTGTTTGAACAGGTTCTAACTTTATCAGCCATGTTCTACTTATATGCCATGTTTAGTTGACTGCAGCACTGTTCCATTTTTAAGAAAAAATGATCTTATTTGATAAAGTTAACTGGAATTTGTGTTTTGCTCAGGAGTTCTGTTAGGTTGACTGAATATGAGATATATAACTATAATGATAGCATCAGGAATTTAGATATGAATATTGAAGTTGAAAATAAAGATCTTATGAATTGATTAAGCTCTAAATTGTGGAGCATGGGATAATAGAGTCATGTTTTCATACCTTCTAAGGTCTGGATGAACACCTAAATTAGCTGTTAGTGTTTCAGATCTTCTTTTGTTGGGTTTGAAATATATGATTAGGAATTCTTATGGAACTTTGGATATTTTTTCCCCAGAATTTCTAGACTTCTCAGAAAAATTAATAAGCTTCTTCTCGTACTTAGATAATTTTTGACTCTTACTGTACTTTGTGTCTGGATTCTCTTACTTTATGGTTAGATTTAGGAAGTACAGAGTTATCCTTAGTAAATAAACATTGTTTGCTTTAGGAAATTTAAAAAGATAGTTCAATATTTAAATTTCAAAAATTTAAAGGATAGTATACATTTTTAAATGATAGTACAAATTAAAAAAAACAGGTTAGTAACAAACATTGAAACCCACAGATATTATAACAACCCAATTCAAACCATTGAAATTATCATCTCTAGGATGTGCCTCTCTTCATCTCACAGAAGATTTATAAGCAAAGAGTGAAATTAACTAGGACTAGAACATTTCTGCTTCCTTTCATTCTCTTTTGTCCCAACGTGTTGGACTGAAGCAGACAGTAAAAGAAAGGAAGAGAAATAGAAATCCAAGATCTATATACTGGGTAGTTGGTCTCTGAATAAAGAAAATTTGCAGTTGTTTTTTTGCTTTGGTATGGAGTAGTAGTAATCCAAATGTTGTATTTTCAGGAAATCTTTCTGTTTAACAGCAAATATTAAGCTTTGGACCAGTCTCAGGTTTAATGAAATTTACATGCTAATTTTTACTAGAACTTGATTTTTATTTTTGTATATTTTTTCCTAACCAATCATTCTATTCTCAAATATATGTTATTCGTGTTCCCAGCCACTGTGTAAGAACTGGTGCGTGCCAGGAAGTGGTAGGCTCCAGGAACATGAAAATAAAGGAGATATGGTTTCTATCTGGAAATGTTCACAATATAGTGTAAGAATAAGAATTGTCAACAATTAATTACAATTCAGTATGACAAGCGCTCTGCTAGACGTGCATACAAAGTGCTATGGATGTTAAGTAGGCAGTATATATTTCAGGAAAAGATCAAAATACCAGATTTAAAAGGGTTGAACAAAAATTGCCATTTTTGCAAATCAAAAACAGTCAAATATCAGCAATTTCATATGTATGACTCTGATGCTAATAAAATAAGTCATTTTTTGGAGCTACTATTTAAAAGGAATAACACTTTAACATTATATTCAATTATTTAAATAATGTTGCATAATCTCTCAATGTAGACTAGGTGGTTTGTTTTAATTGCCTTTACCAGTTATGGTTAAAATTTTGGAATAGTATTAATTGTAATAGAAACCATACTATATTTAGCATTTCTGGCAAGCTTCCATTTTTCTTCTGTTTGGACATTAATAGCAATAATTTTTGGATATTCTGGACTAAACTGTTTCTTGGGCCACTTGAAATAAAAATACCACTTTTAAAGTGCCTATTCAGTTCATTGAGAACCAGTTAATCCGTATCCAAGGAATCACCTTCAAAACAAACAAACAAAAAAAATCCTTGAACTTCAGCTATGTATATCAGAAATATGACAACCCTACTGTTTTTACAATTAGATTTTGTATGGCAGACAGGAAGCAGTGAAATGCACATGTGGGAGAAGCTTCTCTTGTCAAAATAGAAAAGAGGTATTTGCATCTCTTTAGAATGTATTGATTTATATTATCCTTGAGAGTTAGAATCCATTGATCTCACTGCATCAGTTTATAGGGAATAGAATTGTGCATTTGAAACATAGATTTGACATTATGTGCAGAAAAACATTCTTTAAGTTATTCAGCATTGGTCTCTACCCCGGAACAAATATAGTCATGTTGAAAAATTGTGAAATATTCACTGCTTTCTGGCCTTTTTAGGCCATATACTGTGAATTCCCTGTAAATTAAATTGGAAAGTATAGTTTGGGAAGAGAAGGGCCACTGAAGAAGTAAAGTTCTTCTTTGTTTTACACAAAGTTGGAAGTACATGAAGTTATGCAAGAGCCTGAGGGAAAATTATAATTAGTGATTTTATTTTTGCTATCTCTAGCTCTTCTTTTACTCCCCTTTTCCTCTAACTCAAGCTTGTCCAACCCGTGGCCCATGGGTCACATGCAGTCCAGGATGGCTTTGAATGCAGCCCATCCTGGGCTTTCTTGGCAAACTTTCTTAAAACATTATGAGATTTTTTTTGCGATTTTTTTTTTTTTTAGGTCATCAACTATTATTAGTGTTAGGGTATTTTATGTGTGCCCCAAGACAACTCTTCTTCTTCCAGTGTGGCCCAGGGAAGCCTAAAGATTGGACACCCCTGCAACTGTTCAGGGGCTTTACTACCCTTTGGATACCACTTCGGTTTTGCACAGTCATTTAGTTCTTCCTTTGAACTAGGTACTGCACTGGGGCCCAAAATACTGAAATTAGTAAGTATCAGTCTCCTTTCAAGTTGCTTAGTTTCTAATAAGCAACTTGAAAACAATACCTAACCTATACAAATGAATAAGGGCTGTGAAGGGTTCATAGGTGTTCTGGCTAGGAAATTGTTCTGTTATTCCACAGATATTTATTATTATTCTACCTTGGGGTCAGACACTTTGCTAAATCAACTTATTTCCCTAATATAACTTCCACAGCAAAGGTATAAGATATACTTTGTTTTATGATCCTTCTTTTACAAATGTAAAAACTGTACTTTAAGAGGTTAAGTGACTTGCATTATGTCCCATAGCTAGAAAGCAGCGACACCAGTACTTGAACCTGCAATGGTATGACACCTCTACAGAGCCTAGAGAGGGGTTGGCCAGAGCCAAGTCATGTGTGTCCAGCTAAAGAAAGACTGACATGAAATGTTTCTAGCAAAGATGTGACATTATTTCACATATATTATAATATAACTCTTTGTAAGCATAGGGGATGGATTAGAAGGAGACTGAAGCAGAAAGACGAATTAGATTATTACACTAGTCCAGGGAGAAGTAATAAGGGCCTAACTAAGGTGTAGTATCTGTGGGGATGGATTTGAGAGATATTAAGGAGGTAGATTTATTAAGACATGGTAACAGATTGGATGTAGGAGACCTGAAGGTATATTTCAAATATACCAAAGGTATATTCCAGATGACTCCTAGTTTTCTGGCTTGGAAGACTGGCTAAGAAGTAGTAGTAATAAGCATTGAGATAGGAACACTGGATATTCCTACTCCTCTCCTCAGATATTTTTGCCCTGTTGGTCCTTTCTGATATACCTCTGTTTTGCTACACATAAACGTATATCCTGAATTGTTTCTTATTCAATTGCTTTCTTTATTAGTCAGCTATATTAGGTTATGCACCCAAATCTCAGTGGCTTAAAAATCTCAGCTAATATTTGTTTTCTTGCTCTGGCTACATCCTGATGGGCAGCTGTGGATCTGCTCCACATCATCTTCATTCTAGGCCTGGGATGAAGGAACAGCTCCTCTCTGAAATGTGCTACTCTCATGGCAGGAGGAAAAGAGTGATGAAGGAATGATATGCTGGCTCTTAAAGCGTCTGCTTCGAATTGGCATATGCCACTTTATTTCACTGGCCAAAGCAAGTTATATCGTTAAGCCTGATGTCAATAGGATGAAGTATAAACCTTTCATAGGGAGGAGCAGTGAACTGTTGGAAAAGATAATGCAATCTACTACAGTCTCTACGATTTAAACAGAAATTGCTGTCTACATCTATGACTATGTAGTAAGTTTGATCATCATATTCCTGGCAGCCTGGAGGAAGAAAATGGCAAATATAATAAAAATTATATAATTACCATTACCTGAATTTTTAAAAAAACTATATATCAATTCCTAGTTATTTCAGACTTCTAGAAGTACAAAATTCTAAAGGAAATTTTATCTTATCAGTCTTTACACCCAAGGGTGGAGAAGAATACAGTGGATATCTTCCATAATTTCACAGATGAATAACACTTCATATACATACAACATTAAATTGTAACTTTCTTATTAGATATCTTAAGAATCCTTTGGTTATAAGGAATAGAAACCCACTCAAATTAGCTCAAGTAAAGGAATTTCTGTATGAAGGAATAGGGGAGTTGTATAGAATCCAGATAAAAGAATTGCATACAGTCTTTTCAAGAAAGCAAGTTGTCAGGAAGTTACATTTTCTCTCTTTTTTTGCAGCTTTTCTCTTATACTTTTCTTTTATTCATTTGTTCCATTATCCTCACATACCTGTTTTCTCCATAGAGCTCTAGTCTGCTACTTGTTGCAGTTGAGTTCTTCAGAAGTAAATTGACTGGATTTCTGTGTCCAAAATCTGAATATTTGGGAGAGAGAATCTTATTGGCGTGGCCCAGGTCAGGTGTCCACTCAATTATGCCATTGATAGAGGAAATGGAAAGCCACGAAGTATGCAGATGTGGCAAGGATGGGTAGCTCCTCCAACATCTATCCTTCCTTCCCTCTTACCAGAATGCCAGTGTTTAACTGGAGTCATGGCTGCTTAACTGAAACACATTCATCAGTCTCCTTCATTGTTAAGTATGGTCGTATGACCAAATTTTGGCTAAAGAGGTGAAACAGAAATGTGTCAGACATTCAGGCCGTCTTTTTTAAAGGAAGGAAGAAAGAAGCTAGCCCTCTTTCGTACCTGCCTCTTCCTGTCAGCCTGGCACACAGATTTGATGACTTGAGCTAAGGACGGTAGAATAGAGAGGAGCATGCGTCCTTGAAGACTTCGTGGAACCATTGTTGCAGCTTGAAATGCCTACCTCTGGACATTTCCTATATGAGATAAACTACCTTTCAGGTTGATTCAGTCACATTATTTGAAATTTCTCTTATGTGTGGTAGAACCCAAAATGATACAAGGCAGCTTTTTTTCAGGCCTGTGAATAGAGCAGGTTCTCTAAGATGGGAATACAGCAGGGAGGAAACGAATGGCTGCATCATTATTTCTAATAGTTTTTGTAGTTGATTTTCTTGTTTTTCCTGGAAGAGAGTCATATCACTTTGCAACACCCAGCATCTCTACCCCTCTTCTCACTTTTGGCTGATCACCTTGTATTTCATTAAGAAACAGAAGCAGTGAGAGAGAACTTGTTCCTTTTCCCACCACCAAATCTACCTATCTGCATCTGAATCTATTTTCTTCTGGCAAGGGCAACCCCTTCACTCTGTGTCCTGGTCCTCATATCCTTTTACTTTCTCATATGTTTTGGCCGTGCTATTACCCACTTTACTCTTTTTGCTCACTTTGCACCAAGCATATTCTTCTCATACCAAGGTCACTCCTCTTTCAGGCCTCTGCACTTCTAGTTACCTCAGCATGAAACTTTCTTCTCTGAGTTATTCTTAGTAGCCATTCATTCTTTTTGTTCAGTCCCTTGCTCAAATATCATCTTAACAGAGAGGCCTTTTCAGACTATACTATTTAAAACAATTTGCCTCTATTCTACCAGGGGTACTTATTCAAGTGACCTAAAGACAAATTTATAAAATTTGCTTGACTTTCATAAAATACATATGTTAGGATCTACTCCTCTAAAACAACAACAACAACAACAAAACCTCAGTAGGTTTAGTATATAATTTAGAAATCATTTTTTTCTACAAAGTTCTACAACTTTTTAAGAACTAACAACCACTGTAGTGTTTATCAACATTAATCTTCTAAATGAGTGGATTTGTTTAATTTTGTTAGTTTTACTGAATCTTGGCCTTTATGTGTAATTGTCTTATAACAGCAGACACAATATAAACCATTCAGTAATGACCTACTTTGAAGTCTCACAGAATTCATTATGATTATTTCCTAGCTTTTTGCTAGTTTTGATATGTTAGTGATATTTGATCTCTCCTCCCTCCTTACTCTTTATTATTTAGATATAGCTATACCATGAGTCTCAGTTATTTAATTTATGTGTGTGCATATATATTGATTTAATTGTTTTTACCATTTAAATGCACCTATGTGAGTGTTAAGCCTTCAGTAGGATTTCCATTTTTATTTTGAAGCACATCAGTGCCTTGTTATATCTTTAAATGTAATTTCACATTTGATTTATTTTTTGTGTACTCACATTTCTTTTAGAGACCCTTAATACATGTTACTGCTTTTTCTAATTCCTAATTTTATGTTGTGAACTTAGCCTGCTTTTCATTTTAACATTTATGGTGTTGATTTACCTACTTCTTTACAGTTATCTTATTTTAAAAGTCTAAAAATTATATGATAATTGGTGGGTTTCTGCTCTTTCTGAAAAGTACTTTTCTTAAGGTCAAAGGCAGATGTTAATTGGCATATGAGTTTAAGTTGCTGAATCACTTCTTTTTAATCTGTATTTTCAATTTGTTCTGGAAATTCATTAGATCAAAGGTATGTATGTACTCAATAGATAGGAAGTTAGATTTGTCCTTACTGTATATTTGATTTTCTTGATTCTATTGAAAAAAGAATGTTTTCTTAGCTTTGAAAGTTATATAATGACTTCCTGCCAATTTCTTCTTCCTTTTAGATAAGCGTTTACTTTAGTTTTATTAGTCATTACAAATTAATAGAATTTCCGGATATGCTTTTTTTGCTCACAATATTGACAGTAACTTGAAATATTTTAAAGACAGGCTTTGTTTAATGAAGTTAAAACGAAAAGCCTTTGGCTTGGCTCCAAAGCATCCAGATAAATATTACATAGGCCTGGGACAAAGACTAGGGTGTTATGGGACCTTGTATTTTATATCCTGCTGCTGTTTGGTAAGAGTAAGTTTTGGGTGAAGTATGTATGTACATGTCTAGTCACCTATAAAAAATGATATATGTAGCTGACCTGTGGAAATACATTTAGTGTGATAGAAGGTGAGGTTATCTAATCCTGATGGTACTGGAGAATAGCCCAGAAATCAAAGACCAGGATAACATTGCAGTTATTCAACAGCCTTATTGTTTGGCTTTATACTCATTCTCAGGTAGGATTTCTTAGTATTTTAGTGAAGTTTTAAAAATTATGTTTTGTTCCTTTTATTGTTTTAGCCTGTGCTGTATAGTATGAAAATAATTATAGAACAAAATGTGCTTACCTTTTAGTAGCTATTTAAAGATATTTGCTCCTAGGTTTTATGGTCAATTAATTAGTAATGAAAATACACATGTTGCTTAGCTTTTTCGTATATGTTGGGAGCATAGGTGAATAAAGGCAAATAAAGTTAAAAAGCAAGTTGGGATCTAGATTATTTTGTCTTTTTAATGCTAGGTTCGGATGTTTGCAGAAGACAATGGTCACTTGACTTTAAGGAGACAAAGTGAGAGGTTTCCTTTTGTTAGCCAAACTAGCTTTATTTCTAAATTGTGTCAGTGAACTATAATAATTTTCAGTGGGACAAAAGGGACATCATACTGGACTTAATAATACCTGGGTGATGAAGTAATATATACAAGAAACCCCTCTGACATGTATTTACCTAGGTAAGAAACCTTCGTGTGTACCCCCGAACCTAAAATAAAGTTAAAAAAGGGTGACTGATATGGTTTGGCTATGTCCCCACCCAAATCTCCTCTTGAATTGTAGCTCCCTTAATTCCCACATGTTGTAGGAGGGACCCAGTGGGAGGTAATTAATCATGAGGCTGGGTCTTTCCTCGTGCTGTTCTCATGATAGTGAATAAGTCACACTAGATCTGATGGTTTTATAAAGGGGAGTTCCCCTGTACACGCTGTCTTTGCCTGTCACCATGTAAGATGTGACTTTGCTCTTCCTTTGTCTTCTGCCATGATCATGAGGCCTCCCCAGCCATGTGAAACTGTGAGTCAGTTAAACCTCTTTCCTTTATAAATTATCCAGTCTTGGTTATATCTTTATTAGTAGCGTGAGAATGGACTAATACGGGGACAAAACACCTATTATAGTACTTAAGCATGGCCTGCAACACAAACTGACAACTTAGGACTCTTGCCTTTAGAAAGGAATTACAACCTAAGGATGGTTAAATTGCAGCATCACTGCTTTCAGTCTTTGGTATTATGGTCATAGTTTGGGAGAATGTTTGAATTACCTTAATTCATGCAGTTTAAGGTCATTCAGAGCTTTTTGCTATTAATATGTATAAAAACCCCTACTAAATAATTTTCATAAAACTGATAAATAGTGTTTATTCCAACAAAGACATATATGAGAAAATTTTCAGTTTATTCTTTCAAAAGTTTTAACTAATATTTTAAGAGTGTTTGAAAGTTGATGCTGTGTATTTATTTGAACTGTTCTTTTTTTTAAATACTGTAACTGCTCAAGATTACTTTAGATGAACACCTGGCACCTAAACCGGGTATAAACAAAATGGAAACAAATAAAACCTTACAAAGCTGTAAATCTGACATGGAAATATACTATGCCAAAGGGCACACTTCATCTGGGCTCTTTAAGGTGAAACAACTCCCAGTTTTCAGCCAGAGCAGTGACCTGGCCTTAGTATATTGTGCTATTGTACAACAGTCTTTATCTGCTTCACATCACTCAAGTTCTGTTTAACTTTTTGTTGTTGTTGTTGTTGTTATATTTTCATTCTAATTCTTAGAACAAAAAGAAATCCTTTTACAGAGTATGATACCTTGAACTAGAAGAGCCACTTAAGTATATGTGAACCAATATCTAGAGTGTGACATACCTATTAAATCTTAAAGAAGGAAAAAAAAAGAAAAGATGGTTAAAAGATAGAGAGATAGATCAGTGGGACAGAATACAGAGTCCACAAGCAGACCTACACAAATATAGTCATCTGATTTTTTTGACAAAGGTACAAAGATAATTGGATTGAAAAATGATAGTCCTTTCAACAAATGGTACTGGAATAATTGGAGATCTATGTGCAAATAAATAAATCTTGATACATACCTTATATTTTATATAAAAATTTACTCAAAATGGATCATAGACCAAAACATAAAACTATTACACTTCTAGAAGAAAAAGAGAAAATCTGTATGAACTTGGGGTTTGACAGTGAGTTTTTAAACACAAAAAGCATGATCTGTGGACAAAAATGATGAAGTAAACTTTATCAAAAAAAAAACAAACCTTTGGTTCTGTGATAGATGCTTTTAAGGAGATTAAAAAACAAGCCACAGACTGGGAAAACAATATTTGCAAACCATATATCTGATAAAAGACTTGTATCCAGAATATATAAAGAACTCTTAAAATTCAACTATAAGAAAACAAAGCAATTTTTTTTTTTTTTTTTTTGAGAGAGTCTCACTCTGTCGCCAGGCTGGAGTACAGTGGAGCAATCTTGGCTCACTGCAACCTCCAACTCCATGGTTCAAGTGATTCTCCTGCCTCAGCCTCCCAAGTAGCTGGGATTACAGGCACGTGCCACCACACCCAGCTAATTTTTGTATTTTTAGTAGAGACGGGGTTTCACCACGTTGGCCAGGATGGTCTCAATGTCTTGACCGCATGAGCCACCATGCCCGGCCAACAAAGTAATTTTTTAAATGGTCACAAGAGCTTAACAGATATTTCCCCAAAGATAATAGATGAGGCAAATAAACGTGAAAATATGTTAATATCCTTGCTGAGATGGACTATTAAGCCAAAAAGGATTTAACATTTTCTATGTATTGTTACTTCACACTTCAGCATATAGTGAATAAGGAACTAGAGGAAAAGAAAGTTTAAGGCATATTTGTTTTTAAAACTTACCTGTTTTAATCTTCTACTGCAGGGAACATAGAGCTTACATTCTAGTACTAACCCTTAGTTTTTTGTTTTGCAGAAAATCCTGAAGCTGCTCTCTTTACCATAGGATCAGAGTGGTATTGCAAAAAGAGTAGGGGAAGAATGGTGAAGTTAGAGAGCTTTCCCACCTTTCCCTAATTGTGTTTTTAAAAGTTTAACTTATTCAGGATTACTCTCCCAGAACTTGGCAATATAGGATTTAAACACAGATATCCTTGACTTAACTGCCATATTATACCTCCGTTGAGATGAGGGTTAAGGAATGGGATATTAGAATGGTGTACCAAGGATATAGAAAGTAGGTGCAAGGGGATAGGTGAGAGTTTGATATCCTGATAACTGCAGGAACTTTTGTACACATGGTTGCATGTCTGCCGGAATTGGTAGAAAGTGTTAGAAAAATAGACTGGGGCCAGGTCATGACGGGCCTTGTATGGCGTATTTGGAAATGGACTCTGTCCTTTAGATGGTAGAAAACAATACAAAGATTTAAAGTTGGAAAGTTACATGATTAGGGTTTGTTTTTGGGAGATCACCATTGTATAATAATAACATGGAAAATAAACTGGGAGGAGCCAAGGTTAGAGATTGAGGAGACAGACATGACATGATGAAAACCTTGAAGCAGTGTTCTGTTTGATAGGTAATTTGCATCCATCAAACAGTTTTTCAGACATCTACAATATCCAAGTGGCATAAAGCTCTCAGCTGAGCCAGATAGTTAGCTGTGTGTATACAAAGAAATCTATATAAAACACAAGATTAGAGAAAGTACAGTAGCTTCATGGAACATGGAGAGATTAATTTTGAATTTATGGATTAGGAAGTCTGCATGTATGCAAGTAGCATTAATTTTAGGCCTTGAAGAAGGGGTAGAGTTTGAATAAGAGGAAATGGGTGGGGAAGGGAATTTCCAGAAGAGGAAACTGAGAAAAGTACAGGGTGTATTTGAGGAATAATCTATTGTGACCAGAGGAGAGAATATAGTTGGAAATAAAGCTGGAAAAGATAGGTTGGAACCAGATAATGATTTACCTTCCTGTATAATAAACTGTAAATACAACTCATTTTGCTTTATTTGTGTGTTATTTCAAGTGTACAGATAAACATATTAATAGATTAATTTTTTTAAAACTAGAGTAAATCAATTTGAAGGATTCAAGGCTGGATTAATATTGAATTTCTGCATTTTTGGAAAAGAGTAATATGAGTAGGAAGGTTTGTTAAGATTACTATTTTAGATTATTATTTTACTTTTTACAATTTGAAAATGAATATCAAATCACTACAGTAAATGAGGTAATGGTTTAGTGAGAAGAATGAATTTACATAGCACGATTAAAACAAATTTTATTTCTAGCACTAGGCTAGAATTTATTTGAATAACAAATGTTACTCAAATTTAATGACAACTGTGATCTATGAATATTTAGGTTCTGATGCCAGCATTGTTTGCTAGAAATGAGATCTGAGTAAACCAATTTTTCTGAATCTCCTGCTTCCTCATCAGTAAAATGCAATCAATACCTGCCCTTCCTATTTCAGTGGTGTTTTGATAAGGTCAAATGAAATGTGTACATGAGACCACTTTTAAAACGTAATGCCATTGATGGCCTGTGATTATAAAGTTGAAAGTACCATTGATACCACACAGTCCAGTTCTGTCATTTAACAACCATAGAGCAGCTCACTGTCTGATACTCTCTTCCAACCATGGCGTATTTCAAAGTAAAATTAAAAATTAATTTGTCAGGTAATTGACAATAGTTATTAAGCCTATATGGCAACCAGAGTATTATCTTTTAAGCGACTGTATTTAAAGGGTGTAGTTCCAATGAAGTAGAATTGATGAAGCCAGTCTATAGGGATAGGGAAACAAGACAAGCCTACCTACAAAATTAGTAGCTATTATCCTTCATAAGCATCCTGGTTTTCCCACCTCCTACATCCCTCTGTTGGATACAGAGAATGACTTGGCATCAGATGCAATTACTGCCTAACTCATGCTCTGTAAAACATGAGCACATGAAATTAAGAAAGTAATACATTAAAAAGTACCAAATAGTATAAACAGACTGAGCACTCTAAATACATAGGGAATCTCTGTAAAATGTTAAGTCAAGTGAAGTTAAATAGAATTTTCCTGAAGGTGCGTTTTAAGGCAGGTTTATGCTGCCAACCAGCCGGAACTCAAACTGGAGTAAGTAGGATATAAGAGTAATTTTGCTAGTGAAAGGAATGGTCTCTTTTAAGATAATATTTGCTAATTGTATTTTATAAAAATTGTTAATTATTTTTATTTCTTTTGTTTAATTTTGAATGTTTATAAAAAATGAAAGCATTATATTTGAGAACATCCTGTTTATAATAAAAACTTTATGACAACCTCATAGAACAAAAATAACGTGTCTACCAATGTGATTATAGATATGTTCACTGAAGGAAACAAATTTAAAAGATAAAGTTCTAACTTTATCTAGCTAGTGAATGCAAGTGTTTTATTTTAGAAACATAAATGTCCTTGCTGAAAACCCAATGACATTTATTGCTTAGGAAAACATCTTGCTTTATTTTTTCCATCTATGTGTTTTTTAAATATAGCACTTATAGAAACACTTCAAATCTTACTAAAGAAAACAAACATAAAATGTCACTCTTTAAAAGAAAGCATTGGTAATAAAGTCTTCCTCTTTTAATATTATTATTTTACTAGAGTATTTACAATATTAGAACTTTGTTATGCCAAGAGTTTTAAGATATAGCTTAAGAGTTTTAAGATATTGTTTTAGAAGATTTTTTTCTGTATGTTATTCATTTATGAATGGAATATTTTTATGGACTAACATTACTTGATTTTCTGCATTCAGCAAGATGGTGAATGATTAGTAAGTGGACTACTAAAGATGGTTGTGCATATTGTGACCTGAAAAGGGAAGCTTAGTTATGGAATGTGAGTATGGGCTGAAATCTAGCTGGGGCTCTACTCACCAAGCCTTCTGCACTGGTGTGAGGGTATGTCAGTCCTAAGGGTACCTTCTTCTAATCCTTCAGTCTAGAAAAGTTTTGTGGGTTTTTTTTTTTTTTCCTCTAGAAGGCACCCCCCAGGGGAAGTGTTCCTTTCTTTTCTCTTTTTTTTTTTTTTTTTTTTTTGAGATGGAGTCTCACTCCGTCGCCCAGGCTGGAGTGCAGTGGTGCGACCTCGGCTCACTGCAACCTCCGCCTCCCAGGTTCAAGAGATTCTCCTGCCTCAGCCTCCCTAGTAGCTGGGACTACAGGCACGTACCACCATGCCTAGCTAATTTTTTCTATTTTTAGTAGAGGCGGGGTTTTACCCGATTAGCCAGGATGGTCTCGATCTCCTGACCTCATGATCCACCCGCCTCGGCCTCCCAAAGTGCTAGGATTACAGACATGAGCCACCGCACCCGGCCAGTAAGTGTTCTTTTCTAATTCACAGAAAGGTGCCTCTCAAGGTAGCCTGTGGATACATTTAAGAAGTAAAAGAAAATGAGCAAGTAGGTATAATGGCATGTTTTCCCAAAAGCTACAGCACAGTAAATCAGGTGTGTCAAATTTTTAGTAACATATAAGGCAACTTGGAGACCGTATGTTGCAATGGAAAGAGCTGTGGGAGGGAGTTTGGAAACCATGCTTATAGTTTTGCATGTCTCTTCCCCAACTATTTGACACTGGGTGTTCTTTTCTTAAAAATGAAAGAATTGAACTACCTGCTACCTTTAAGGGTGCATCTAGGTCTCAACTTCTGTGAAAGTTATATCTGGAACGTGGTAAGCAGGGAGAGGTTGGAACTAACAATTTACCAAATTGGCAAGTTTCCTATGTTATTAAAAGTCCTTGAGATATATGTTTACATGATCTGTATTAGTATGGCTTGAAATCATGTAGTTCTCCAACTTCCTTTTTTCTACTTATTTAATTTGCTCCTTCTGCTCTTCCCCTTTTTCTTCTTGTCTGTTTTGGGGTTTTGTTTTTTAGCTTTTAAAGATGGAAGTTTAGATGATTGATTCTGAACCCCTCTTCTTTTCTGATATATGCATTTAAAACTTGAAATTTCCCTCTCAGCACTGCTTTGTCTGCATCTCACCAATTTTGATATGTTGTTAGGATGGTTGGTTTTGTAAGTCAGCTTGGTGGGGCGATGGACTCCAGTTATTCCATCAAAAACTAATCTAGGTGTTGGTATGAAGTTATTTTGTAGTTGTGATTAACGTCTACAATCAGTGACTTAGGTAAAGCAGATTATCACAGATAATCTGGGGACCTGGTTCAATCATTTGAAAGTCCAAAGAGCAGAGCTCAGACTTCCCTGAAAAAGAATAAATTTCGTCTGTGAATAGTAGCTTCAGTTCATGCCCAAAAGTTCCAGCACGCCCTTCCTGATGGCTTGCTTGCTCTACAGGTTTCAGATCTGCCTAGGCAGCTCCCACAATTGTATAAGCTAATTCTTTGTAATAAATCTATCTATCTATCTATCTATCTATCTATCTATCTATCCATCCATCAATTATCTATTTATCTGTCTTCTACTGGTTCTGTTTCTCTGGTTGAACCTGGACTGACAAAATTGTGTTCTCATTTTCATTCAGCTCAAAATGTTTCTTAATTTCCCTTGTGACTTTTTCTTTGACCTGTGGGTTATTTAGAAGTATGCTGTTTAATTTCTAAATATTTGGGAATTTCTCAAATATTTTTTTGTTACTGATGTCTACATTAATTTCATTGTGGTCAGAGGACATATTCTGTATGATTTCAGTTATTTGACATTTATTGAGACTTGTTTTTTGTCCCATCATATAGTGAATCTTGGTGTATGTTCCATGTACACTTGAAAAGAATGTGTATTCTGCTGTGGTTGTTTGGAATGTCCTCTAAATGCCCCCAATATTTTTGATGGCACTTTAGACTTGCATGTTAATGTTTAGATTATACCTAGAAACTTGCAAATTTCCTTGATCAATCAGTTTTTTTGACAGGATTGCATTCTTGAGAAACTAAATGACAAGTAGTAAGTTCTGACTTTATAGTTCACTAATTATTTTGGTTAATAAGTTAGTAGTAATTTTTAACTTTGGTGTTTTTTTGTTTTTTTTTTTTGCTAATATCACAATGTAATACAACTGTTAGTTTCATGTCTTCTGCTTTCAGTTTTATCCTGTATAATACTTAGAAATCTTAGTTTCCTTTTCATTATCCAAGATAAATTTTTAGTTGGTAAATTTTCTTGGACGTGTCCTCCTTAATTTTCTTCAGAGCATTGTGTGTATATGTGTGTGGCAATTTTGTTGTCTCACCCTAAGAAAAGAAAAAGTAAATGGAAATGAAAAAGCAAATCAGCATATTCTTCTCTGGAACAATTTTTTCCCACTTTTAAGCAAATTGTAGTAACCTAGGTTAAAATTGCCTTTTGAATTTTCAATGTGTTTTTCTTTTAAACAAGCGCATTGAAAGAAAATAGAAAGTTAACATAGCAGGTCTTCGCATCCTTTCCTTAGAAGATTCCCCCAATCCTCTAAATAACATACTTGATATTTGTATTTAATTTACAATTCATTTAACACAAAATTGTAAACTTCTCTAATGAGTAGGAAAATGGAGTAGATAATCTGTTTAAGTTTCAATGAATTGAGAATATTATTCACATTTGAGATTTGGAAGGTACCTAGAACCATCTGACCCAGTATCTTACCTAGCCTCAGAACTCATCGTACTGGAATTTATCCCATGTCATAAGCTTTTATACCACGTTTGCATGAGTTTTATTTTTCCATGTTGTTTCTTTTCCCATTACCATTAGCAATTGAAACTTGACTATAAAAAAAGGACTTGTTTGTAGGAATCAGGAATACTACATTTTTATAGAGGAAGGAGTATTGCTTTGGAGTTAAACACATCCAGGTTGGAATACCAGCTGTACCACTTTTTAACTTAGTATCTTTGCCTGACTTATTTAATCTCTGATCCTCAGTTTCCTTATTTTAAAACAGAAATAAAAACAGCTATTTTACCAGATTGTTGTAATGCTAATATGAATTAGTAGGCATTTAATAAATTGTAGCTATTTAAATTATATTATATCATATTCTCTTTTTCTGTTTTCAAGATACTACATACTTATTGAGGACACAGTAGTCGACCTATATCCATGGTTTTGCTTTCCATAGTTTTGATTGCCCACAGTCCAGAAATATTAAATGGAAAATTCCAGAAATATATAATTCATAAGTTTTAAATTGCATGCTGTTCTGAGTAGTGTGATGAAATCTTACACCATCCTGCTTTGTGCTGCCCAAGATAAGAATCGTTCCTTTGTGCAATGTATCCATGCTTTATATGCTAGCTGCCTGGTAGTCACTTAGTAGTAGCCATCTTGGTATCAAATTGAGAAACATAGTATATATGGGGTTTTATACTATGCGTGCTTTCCGCAGTTTTATCCACTGGGAGTCTTGGAATGTATCCCTCTTGGATAAGGCAGGGGGACTATGTATTCTCTAATAATTTTCAGAATTTTTCAGGTGATTCTTTCTGAATGCGTTCATTTTACTATGTGACATTTTTAATTTAAGAAAAATGTATTAGGCATTTTTAAAGTAGCTAGGATGAGTCATTTATACTACCATTGTTTTCCTATTAAGTAGTACTTAATCCTCTGTCCCACTTAATCTTCCTATGCCAAATGTTTACAGCACCTAAATAGAATTATGGAAGTTTAAAGTTGAAAGAACCATATTAACTGTCTCCCAGTGTCTTAGTCCGTTTGGACTCCTATAACAAAATACCATAGTCCGGCTGGCTTATAAATAACTGAATTTTTTTTTTCTCACAGTTCTGGAGGCTGGGAAGTCCAAGATTCAGGCACTGGCAGATTTAATGTCTAGTGAGTGCTCACTTCCTTGTTCATAGGCAGCTGTCTTTTGCTGCATCCTCAAATGGCAGAGGGGGCTTGAGACCTCTCTTGGGCCTCTTTTATAAGTAGGATTAATGCCCTTATAAAAGAGGCCCAAGACAGATTGTAAACATTCAGAGAATAGTACCCAGTTTCCTTATTTTACAGATAAAGCTTTTATGAATAGAAGATAAGTGACTTGTTCAAGATTATTTTGTTATTGACAACCTAGGTCATCTGAGTCTGAATGTAAATCTGGCTTAGTTTTACCTGTACTATCCTCTGAAAGTTCCCAGGCCACTCACCAGTTTACAACAACACATCAAATTCAGAAACAGTTACTATATTCACATTATTTCCCTCTACCCATAAAATAGTTAATCAAAAGAGTACATGCAAGCAAAAGGGCAGGAAGCCACCTAGAGAAGCTGATCACAGCCATCTGTGGTATGAGGTATATGGTAAATATTCAACCATTTATTTAATGGAATGAGTGAATGTTGAATCTGTGATCATGCAAATGATAATATCAATGTACAAAATGAAAATGTGATTTTTAAAATTTCTGTATTTATTTGAACCAGATTGTATTATAACAGGATAGTTAGATTGCTAATGTCATTTCTTATAAAATGATTTTTCATGATTTGAATTTTCTAAAAACAAGCCTAACTTCTACCTTTTATGACTCATGTGTTTTATTCTTTTTCTTGTGAGATTATTTGTTAGGTCCAGGAAATTCAGTCAATTTCCAATTTTAGAATTAATGGCTTAATGTCAGTACTGACTCAACTTATGAATGGATCATGTTTGTAATTTTATTTGTATGTTATTTAGAATAGGTAAAATTTCCCTCCAGAAACAGGCTATAATTGATGTTAATTTTTCCCCAATTTGAAAAATTTAATTTGGGATCTGTTAGAACTCTACTAGTAAAAAAACAGGTATCGAGAAAGAAATATGTAACTTACATTTGTATACATATACAAATGTGTGTATATATGTAAAATACATGGAATACCGTTAGAACTACACAGAAGGCCTCATATACTTAATTGCTGAATATATGCTGACAATAACTTCAATGCTGAGAACTTCCTGAGGAAGGAAAATCACTTTAATACTTTTATTCACTTTTTTTTTTTTTTTTTTTTACTATAAGTTCTGGGATACATGTACAGAACATGCAGGTTTGTTACATAGGTATACACGTGTCATGGTGGTTTGCTGCACCCATCAACCCGTCACCTACATTAGGTATTTCTTCTAATGCTATCCCTCCCCTAGCCTCCCACCCCTCTACAGGCCCCATTGTGTGATGTTCCCCTCCCTGTGTCCATGTGTTATCATTGTTCAACTCCCACTTAAAAGTGAGAACATGCTGTGTTTGGTTTTCTGTTCTTGTGTTAGTTTGCTGAGAATGGTGGTTTCCAGCTTCATCCATGTCCCTGCAAAGAACATGAACTCATCTTTTTTTTTTTTTTCGCTATGCCATTTTTTTTTCTTTTCTTTTCCATTCTTTTTTTTTTTAATTATACTTTAAGTTCTAGGATACATGTGCACAACGTGCAGGTTTGTTACATATGTATACATGTGCCATGTTGGTGTGCTGCACCCGTTAACTCGTCATTTACATTAGGTATATCTCCTAATGCTATCCCTCCCCCGGCCCCCCATGACAGGCCCCTGTGTGTGATGTTCCCTACCGTGTGTCCAAGTATTCTCATTGTTCAAGTCCCACCTATGAGTGAGAACATGCAGTATTTGGTTTTCTATCCTTGCGATAGTTTGACAAACCTGACAAAAACAAGAAATGGGGAAAGGATTCCCTATTTAATAAATGGTGCTGGGAAAACTGGCTAGCCATATGTGGAAAGCTGAAACTGGATTCTTTCTTTACACCTTATAGAAAAATTAATTCAAGATGGATTAAAGACTTAAATGTTAGACCTAAAACCATAAAAACCCTAGAAGAAAACCTAGACAACCCCATTCATGACAGGCATGGGCAAGGACTTCATGACTAAAACACTGAAAGCAATGGCAACAAAAGCCAAAATTGACAAATGGGATCTAATTAAACTAAAGAGCTTCTGCACAGCAAAAGAAACTACCATCAGAGTGAACAGGCCACCTACAGAATGGGAGAAAATTTTTACAATCTACCCATCTGACAAAGGGCTAATATCCAGAATCTACAAAGAACTTAAACAAATTTACAAGAAAAAATCAAACAACCCCATCAAAAAGTGGGCAAAGGATATGAACAGACACTTCTCAAAGGAAGACATTTATGCAGCCAACAGACACATGAACTCATCCTTTTTTATGGCTGCATAGTATTCCATGTTGTATATGTGCCACATTTTCTTAGTCCAGTCTATCATTGATGGACATTTGGGTTGGTTCTAAGTCTTGCTATACATTTATTGAGCATCTGATGTGTGATTAGGGCACATTTAAAAATGATATGTCTCAGCTGGTTCTTCAAGGATTTGAATATGTTGTCTATTATATTATGTTATGCTTGTATCAGTAATTGCCTTACATTACAAATATGGTTTATTTTTGAGCCACACATTTGATTTTGTGTACTTCAGACATTCAGTAGTGCTCAAACAGGTTTACTCCTCATCAAACCTGTGATAGTTTTCTAGCTTATTATTTCTATTTTCTGCTTAGTGAAAATGCCATTTTTCAAAATGTTGTATGACAATTTCTTGAATTATAGAATTATAATTGCTAAGGTAATTTTCATGTTTGCTGGTTAGTACATTTTCTTCCCCTTAGGGAAGTTGAAAATCCCTACTTTCCTCCCCTCCCCCCACCACCATGTGTATATATACACACTCACTCACACTTGTAGAAGAGAGTGTAGTTTTATTCAGCATTTCTTAAAGTTTTTGGCCTCAGGACCCTTTACAATCTTAAAAATTATTGAGGACTCCAAAAAGCTTTTATTTATTTGAGATAGATAGATAGATAGATAGATAGATAGATAGATAGACAGACACATAGATAGATATGGATATAGATATAGATATTTACTTTATTAGAAATTAAAACAGAAATTTTAAAAAACATTTGAAAAATTACCTATAAGGTTTTATGTTGATTACCTGGGTGACAAAATTATCTATACACCAAACCCCTGTGACACACAATTGACTCATGTAACAAACCTGCTCATGTACCCCTTGAACCTAAAATAAAAGTTGGAAAGGAAAACTAATAATAAACTCCATTAAATCTTCACATAAAAAACATACATTTTAGAAAAAAATAACCATTTTGCCAAAAAAAATTGAGTGGTTTTATTTTACATTTTTATAACTAATAACTGGTTTAATAGAAGGCAGCTGGATTCCTATATCTGCCTCTTTATTCACTCTGTTGTATGTACTATGTTGTCTTGGTCAAGCTGTAGAAGGCAAATCTGGCTTTACATAGATATATAATGTGAGAAAGGAGGACTATTTAATAGCACATATATTTGTGGTTATTCTTTTTTTAATACTTAACCAAAACTCAACAAGTAGTAATTTCTTATAAGTTGCATGCAATGTAAAATCTAAAACCAAATAAATAAACCCTTCCTAGTCTCTTGTACATTAAAATCCATTGGTTTATTTTGCACTTTAAATGAATCTTTTACCCATGTGTGATTTTGTAATATTGTGCATTAGTCATGTGGAAAGCATTGATCCATCAAGTTATGCAGATCTTCCAAATGTTGATACATCTTGTTCTGTAATATCCAAAAAATCACATTTGTTAATGTCATCCCTTATTTTCAAAAACATCTTTCAGTGTTTCGGTAATTCCAAGGTAGTGGTTTTGAGTTTTCTAAAATTCCAACTTTTGCTTGAAAGCTCAAATTTTATTATTGTCTACTAATAGTTTGTCTTTTTTTTTTAAATGAGAAGTTCACTTTGTTTCCAGATTAGAATAACAAAGTTTGTCAGTTTTTCTTTCAAATATCGAGTATACCATAAAGAAAACCAGTTTTAGCTCACAATTCATATATTCGCACAAGTGTTTTTCTTCAAAACAACTATCATACTTATGTCTGCAGTAGAAGTGCTTTGTGCATACTTCTGTTCCATAACACAAAATACTGTATTCAAGTTGGAACTTCATAAAATTAATATTTTTTTTACTGCTTCATCAAGGATATTAAATGAAACTGGCATTTTTTAAAAACTACTGTGAGCAGAGACAAATACAATGACTTTTAGACTTTGCTACACCGCTTTGACTCATGCAGCAGTTGTACCCTCAGTACAAATGTCAAAACAGTGAAAGAGCAAATCACATTTAATATTATTAAAATACTATTTACCTCATAGACGCTCTTGAAATGATTTCAGAGTTTCCCAGGGTCCACAAACCATACTTATGAACTGCTTATATAGTGGCTTAAGAGCATAGAGCACAGACTCTAGGACCAAACAAATCTGGCTCTGCCGAGCTATGAAATCTAGAGATCTAGAGCAAGTTGTAACCTGAGTTTTCTCGTTTGTAAAGTGAACTTATAATAGTATTACATTATAGGATTTGTGTGAAGTTACATGATTTAAAATATGTAAAGCTCTTAGAACAGTAACTGGTAGATGGTAAGCCCACGTATTTCCAAATTATTTTGTATTATACACACATACCCCCCCACACAGATTTATGTATGTATTCCATTGGTTCTGGATATTTGAAAACTCCATTCAGGTTCATCTCACTGCTTTCAAATCAGCTCATGCTTAAACCAGAACAGATAAATGACACATAGTTTAGTTCTAAAGATCCTCAGATACAGTTCTTTCTGTATTTTGTTTATACTATTTTAGGTTGTAAAGCACCCACTTTGAATTTCTTTGATATCAGCGATGGAGGAATAAATGCCACCATCTGTATATAACTGGATTCTCTTATTGACCAATGCATGCTTTTGAGATTATTCCTTCAGCAATTTAAATGTCCTTGAGAGGTATTTGGTGTGGTATAAAGAGGTTGTTAGATTGTTTTGCACTTCAGTGTTAAGTGATGGCACAACTTGGTTAATCTTAGAAGTTAAACAACCACTTGTATTGTTCTATGTAGGCTTTTATTTTCAGTTTATGTATTCTTTGCAACCTAGATTTATTTGGAAGTTGGTAACTCAGGGACATACTCAAATAGTTTTGATTTTCTTTTTCCTGTGACCTTCACCCAGAACTTTGTGCTGAAGCTAGTTACCATTTTTGCCACACAATGTAGGAGAATGTTGAGTGTCTGAATATAATCAAAATTATTCTTTCCTTAAGTTAGACCCATCATTTATTCAGAACATATAAGCTCTTAATTGCTCCTGTCTTTCTTGAACATTTGCCGGAACTTCTGATTGAAAGTAAAAGTACCTAACCATACTTTTGGGGCCAACAGGAAACTTTATTATATTGATCATTAATAACACTGGATGAAATTGTTCTGTTAGAATAGTAAATGAGAATTACCAAAAATAATATGTATAGTATCACTAAACATGAGATGGAGGAAAAATCAGCTGTGAATTGTTTTATGGAAGCAATCTCAAAAGTTGTCATGCCCCTCGCTTTTTTTTTTTAAAGAAATCACATTATATCATGAATATTCAAATACATTCTAAAGAAAGTAAAACCAAATTAAGAAAAAAAACTTTCAGGCTTTATTGAATCATATCTGTTTGCGTAATAAGGTAACAAGTACAACTTTTTTCTGTGATTTTTGTAACCAGCTGCATAACTCTGCTCTTTTCTGATTTGAACTTTCAGTGAACTCCTCTGTAAAGCTCTGATATTAAGTCTCCTCATACTACCTTAGTATTCTTTTATGTATCATAAACACAAAGATAACTTTTTCTTTCTTTTTTAAACTAAGGGAACTTTGATGTAATTTTCTAGGTCCCTCCAAGAGATCTGGAATAACCTCATATTTTGTTTTAACCTCATGTTTATAATTTAGTTTTTGGAGTCCTATGAAACACCTTTCACTCTAAGTTAAAGTAGATGATAATCACTCTTGTTAGTTTGGCCAAAAGGTAATGCTCAGTACAGTGACACATTCAAAAAGAAAGTGGAGCGATTTCCAAGCATTTATCTTAACTGTATTTTTACTGATATCTGCCCTTCCTTGTCTTTCTGCTGTTTGTTTCTGTTGAAACTAGAGTGTTTCTTTGTAAACTCCAAGGACACATGTGTATTCTATACCTAGGATCCAAAAGTTTCCCATTCAAATGCTTATACTATCCTGTTTCTTCAGGCTGTGTACACCTAAGCTCTTAATCCTTTCCCCTGAGCCATCTCCAAAAGCAAGCTTTATATTTGGTGAAGCAAGAATTGTTTCTAAAGATTGTCCTTGGATTCAGTTGTAGAACAGGAAAAGAGTTTGCAATTCTGGGAGTGTCCCTGGGTCCTACCGCCAAAACAACTGAAGGTTTCTGGAGATTGCATAGTATAGAAACCTCTTACATAGTATAGAAACCTCTTGGTAGTATAGAAACACATCTTTTAAAATCCAAATTAACAAAACAGAAATGGATAATTTTATAAAAAATATTTTTTCTTACGGGTTTTACATTTATAAGGGTAATTTTATTTATTTTTGTGAATAAAAAGCTATCATTTCAGGCACATAATAGACTGAAGAAAGTTTTCTAACAATAGATGATTTCCACAAAAATTATTCACTGTGCATTAACATAATGTCTTTAGAGAGTTGTTCTAATATCAGAATTAGAAATTTTAGTTTTCAAAAATTTACTGAATAAATAAATATTTCTGTGTAAAGTAAAAGTCCAAATCACATTTTATAAAGGATTATAGACTAAGTCAGTGTTCCTATTTCCCTTTACATGGATGTCCATAAAGCAAATGTAATCCTGGCTATGGATGTCTTATGCATGCAAACCCTGTAGATTGCTGAATGTTTGGCAAAGATAATTATATATTTTGGCTTGGCATGTGGAAACAGCAAACTTTTCCACTTTCCATTATGTAAATTAGCAGTGGAAATAGCTCTATATTTCTCTATGATGTGATCTTGCTAAATATAGGTAATGTAGATTCATTTCTATTAGAAGGAATAATTTGCCACGAACTGATGGTCAAGTTTTTGGTATAACTTAAATATCATTTTGATATTTGTTCATTGTGTGGAACCTCAGTCTCTTTTAACAATGTATTTTTTTCTCCTGAACATCTAAGTCATTATAGGCTCTAGCAAAATTGATTAGACTTTTCTGATGACTTTTGTTTTATATCTTCATGTTTTATATTTTTTATGAAGAAAACCACTGTATTTTTGCCTAAGGAAAAGGACTTGAGTCTTGTCATGATATGTGTTGCTTCTATATCTCTTGTTTCTTTGTGAGCCTATCATAATCCTTGGGACTGCTGAAATGTGAGCAATCAAACTGAAACAAAGATTTAAAAACTATAAGTTTAATTTTGGTGATAAAATGATTAGACATTAAATTACCTAACCCAAGAAGAAAATATTTAATGAAGCAATAAAGTAGTTTATAAATTATATCCCACTATCAGTTTAGCAAGTATTTGAATATTATATTCAAATAAGTAAAGTTACATTTAAGCCACCCACTCAGATGAGAGTATATTCTTTTCACATTTATAGATAATAATGGTATAATTTAGTGAACCTTAAGCAAATAGTTTACAATTAAATTTAAATATTGCTGAAGCCCCTCTTTTTCCTCAAAGTGCTTAGAAATGTTACACCTTTGAGGTAACCTAATGTTCATTTGTGGCTCTAGAAGACAATGGACAGGAAAGAGAAAAGTTAATCTCAAGGCAGTCAGGCACAAATAGCACTGATTGCCTGTTACTTTGCAAAGCATTATGTGGTATGTTCTATTTTTAAATTTCACTTTACTGTTTTTACTTTCATTCAATTGTTAATCAGAAATATCTCCTCTGTGGAGATGTTTTTATCATTCTTGGAACTGCATGGAGATTTCCCTTTAATAATACTACTGTTTGCAGAAGTCCCAGGCATGTGACCTTAAAACAAAACAAAACAAAACAAAAAGGCAAATCATTTTCCTACTTTTAGTATGTGGTTAGGAATGAGTTGGCTCATTCACATCAAGCCTAATTTGATGTGAGTTAGTATGAACCTTTGACAAAATCCATGGTTTAGAATTTAGACTGGAAGGAGACAATAAATCTTACTGTTTAAATCACCCAACAGAGTAACAGTACTGTTTGTAACATTTCTCCAGCCTTCTTTCCCAAATCTGTTACTCTGTGATGTAAAGCCTTGGTTACTTTTCAGTACTTTTAAATTTGTTTGCAGAAGGTGGAACCCAGAAAATGTGCCCATCATTGAGTGCTCTAAGTTTAGCTGAGGAAAGCAAGGACGTGGTAATATTTCTGTTCCAAAGAGTTGTATTTATCTGAGTTACAGGACTGGTTTACATAAATGAGAAACTAAGATTTTCCATACACCAGGAAAAGTTTCAAAAGGATGGCTTTCGTGCTTGCCACTTCATACCCACCAAATGTTACAAACAAATACTCATGTCTGCAGTAAGACATTTGTGGGTGTGCGTAATTGCGGTTCACAAGTCATTCAAGCTCAAGTCTTTTCCAGGTACAAATGAGAAACCCTCAGAAAATGAGGCTCTCTCTGCATTTTTGGAATGAGTTCAGCTATTAGGTTTAAGAATTTATTTTTTTGCACAAAAGTAGATATATCAGAGGGTCTTTTGTTTCAAGAAGGAGTTCTAACACCTTTGGTGTAAAATGGCATTCTTGTAATCTTTATCATATGTAACTACATTTTTGGTTGTTGAGATTAGGAGTTGAAGATGTTAAGCTCTTCAATAGCCTGCATAGTTTTAATTAACTTTTAAATAAGCAGACCTTTTGTAGACAGTTAAGTTTTTAATGTGACTCCATTGCTTACTTTGGCTACTAAAGTGTCAAATTTGGTTCCAAAACTCATGAGAAGATTCAAAACTCATTCTCTTTTTTTTTTTGTGAAGAAACCAGAAAATATTTCAATAAAGTTACTGGGTTTAATATCTAGCATTAGTCTTATCTCTTTTAAATAGCAAAATGACTTTGTCTTAGCAAGAATATGAAGCAAGTTCAGGGTTAAAGAAATTCATTTTACCATTTTACCACTGTATTTTCCATTTTGACATTAAAAAAAAAGCCAAACCTCACCTCACGGGGGTCTCTCTTATTTAGAGGTTTACAACTTAGTTAAGCTATGTAATTTTGCTGAACATTTTCAAACTACAAAATATGAAATAGTTGTCGCCGATCATAGAAACCTCTTTACTTTCAAAGTATTTTTGAAGTTGAAAACTTTTCATAGTATTTCCTTCAGAAGACGTTTTAACCTTTTCAGTCTTTTGGATGTCATACCTAAAAAGTTGAAGTGTCCCTCAAAAAGCACCTTAGTTAATACTACATTTTTCCTAGAGATTTTTAGATGTCTACATTTATCCTGTGCAGAAGTTCAGCTCCTTAGTGACTTTTCAACTAATCAAATAAGCATTCTCTACAATTAGTGTTGGTCATATAGTTGATTTATTCCTTAGGAATTAGCATTACTTATTTGATCAAAGTCATTAGATTGCTTTTACTATCTTAGTTTTCCTCTAAATCTTGTACAGCATTTTGGGTAGGTTATGGATTGACAGGAGGAGAACATATACACATACATATGTACATTCACATGTGTGCTTTTAGCTTTATGTTTCCAATTTAGTTAACCAAAGATCCGATGTTTTTAGAAGTAAAGTCAGAGTTGAAACAGATGCAATATATCAGCATAATTTCTCTTCATCACAAAGGCCCTCAATAGAGATAAACAGCTGCTAATAACAATATACATATAGATTATGTATATACAATATACAGATAGGGTTCCTGAACCAGGAAAGTTCATTTCTTACTATGTCACTGCCCTTTTTAAGTCACTATTCTATAAGAGCTAACAATCTGTGGGCTATTGCATTTTCATCACTATTCCAGGGAACATGAACTAATAATCTGTGGGCTTCCTTTTAAGGGAATGTTTATAATTACCAGAGTTTCCTGGTTGTTGAAGTGAACTCAGTGTCAGCAAGGACATGTTCTCATCCAGAGGGAGAAAGCAGAGCTAATACCCAGGTGTTCTCTGCCACAAACTTACAAGTGCTCCGGAAAGCCCATTTCCCCATAGGTATTAAAGCTGAAATTTATAACTTTGAATTTTAGAGTAACCCAGTAAGCTCTTGATTATTTTATGTTAGAGAAAAGGACAGAGAAGTATGGCAAACAAAATTCACCAAATTTGTAAAATCACTTATGTTTGGATTTAGAATGATTTTTATACTCAGGTTTGAATGTAGCCATATCTGTCATATCTGCTTAGGGGATTTATGAAAAATAATCAGTCATACTATGAAAATAATCAGTCATACTATAAAAATTTGACCTAACAGGAAGTGAGAAGCTGTTTGGTCTATCTCTTTTTGATGAGAAAAGAATATCTTTCAAAAAACAATGGAAGGTGGGGCCATTTTCAGAACTTTAATGGAATCCTTTTTGTGAATTCCTAACTTCTGTCTGGCATATACTAGGTGCTCAGGAAATGTTTATTGAATGAGTAAATAAGTGAAGTACTTGTATTCATTGAGGGCTTTAAATGTGTGAGGTGCACAGAATTTAGATATATGAGGACAAAGTCTTGACTCTTAAAATATTTGTTGAGAAGAAACATTCATTCAGTATTCATCTACTGGATTTTGAATTGTGATGGCCGTGTGAAGCATTCAAGAATGAAGAAGATGAGAGTTTGAAAGGCTATAGTATACAGAAGTATGTAATGGGTGCAGGGTTAGAAGCTTGTGAGTAGTTATATATGATACAAGCAGTGTTAAGGAATTTAAGGCAAGAATAGTTGACTTTTGTGAACAAGGAAAGCTTAATGGAATAGGTAGCATTTAAGCTAGGCCATAAATGTAGCAGGATGAAGCAGGTAGGAAGTAATTTATTTTTGGAGGGGACTTGAGAAAGTACTTGGAAACGAGAAAGCACAGGGCCTGATGAGGGCAGGGCACTGTAAAAGGCCTAACTATCTCCACAGGAAAATACTGGGAATAGAAGTGTTGGGCTGGAATGTAGAGATCTTGAAGCAGACTATTTCGGCTTTCTTTTGGGATCTATTTAATATTTTTGAGTACTATCTTAATGAGATAGATTACAGTGGGGGAAGACTAGAAGCAAAAAGATCAGTTAGGAATCTGTGGCACTTATCTAAGGGGGAGATTAAAGCTCTTGAAAAAAACACAGAAAAGATGGGGAAAAGTTGGTTGTGAAAAAAGAAGTGGCAACTTGACATGGGAACTGATTGAGTGACCAAAGAGGAAGCAGCCAAAGAGGACTCCTGACACATCCTATAAAGGGACATTGTAACTTCAGGGTCATATGTGGCCAGAAGACTGTAAATTATAAACCCCCTTAGATCTAGTCTCTAGGGGCTCTCTTTGGAGGAAACTAGTGCATATAGGCTCCCTGCCAGGGACATAGCCCTTCAGGCTTGCCCTCTCCAGAGCTAAATCTCTGAGTCTGTGGCTGGGAATTAGGAGCCAAGTAGTCAGTGTGGTGGGAAAAAGTGGCTTAGTGTGCCAAGTAGAGAAGTGAGCACTGCAGAAGCTGAGATGACGAAGACCAACAGCAGGAGCCAGACAGTAGAGGAATTACTGCTGCACCCAAGCAATGTCCTCAAGGGATGGGAAGATGAAACTTTCCCAAGGACTGAGCAGAAGGAGTTGGCAGAAAAGAGGGTTGATTGTTGTTGGCCTTTGTGTGTTTTTATCCTTTTTCATTAAAAAAAAAAAAAAAAAAAAAAAAAAAAAAAAATATATATATATATATATATATATATATATATATATACTTATTAAGGACATTTTAGAAAACAGAGGCAGGTAAAAATGGAAAAAAAACTTTTTTTCTATCTGCATAGAACTCTTAATATTTTGGCATAATTTTACAAGTCTTTCTATGAGGCAGGTTTTTTTCAGCTGAAGGTAACAGTATGTACCACATAAATGCAAAAGATAGCTATTAATGCTATTGTTTGTTACTGTTAGTTTACAGTAAGTAGACAGTAGTCAAATCATAAAAGAACTTGTATTTTGTTGGGGAGCTACTGAAGAATTTTCAGCATGGAAGGGGCATGATCAGATTCATATTTTAGAATGGTTTCTTTGGCCTAAATATGAACAGTGGATTAGAAGGCCCTGAGGCTTGAAGTCTGGAAATCAGTTTTGAGGCCGGATCATAAGGGGCTAATCAAGGCATTGGGAATGGCTAGGCCAGGGGTAAGGGGACTGGATACCAAAGAAATTTGAGAGCTTTGTAAGGGAGAATTGACAGGATGTGGGGACTGACACATTGTGAAGGTAGAAAAGCATGCTATAGCTATCTCAATTAGGTGTCCCACAGGGACTTCAAATTCAACATTTCCAACACAGAAATTGTAATCATTCTTACCAAATTTATACCCTGTCTATCTTTGTCCATTTTCTGCTGCTATAACAGAATATGAAAGAATGGGTCATTATAAGCAACAGAAGTTTGTTTGGCTTTATAGCTCTGGAGGCTGGGAAGTCCAAGACCATGGTGCTGGCATCTGACGAGAGCCTTTGTGCTTTGTTAGCCCATGGTAGGAGGAGGAAGATGGAAGACTGAAAGACAAGTGAGGGTGCAAGACAGAGGGAGGAAATAAGTCCAAACATCTTGTTTCAGGAGCTCACACCCATAATGATGAACCTATTCACATGATAATGGCATTAATCTACTCATGAGGGCAGATTGCTCATGGCCTAATCACCTCGTAAAGATCCCACCACTTAATACCATCACAATGGCACTTGAATTTCAACATGAGTTTTGGAGGGGACATTTAAAACATAGCACTGTTCTAGATTCCCTCTCTCAGTGAATATACCCTTACCCACCTAGTTACCAAGCTAGAAATTTGAAAGTCATCCTGAAGTCTTATTTCTGTAATATCTATCACTACATCTAGTCAGTCACCAAAACCTATCAGATCTTCCACATAAATATTTAAGAGTCTTTTTTTATATCTTTGTTACCTCTGTATTTGCCAAGTTTAGGTTTTCTTTGTTTTGTGTTTTTGTTTTTGTTTTTTGAGGTGGAGTTTTGCTCTTGTTGCCCAGGCTAGAGTGCAATGGCACAATCGCGGCTCACTGCAACCTCCGCCTCCTGGATTCAGGCGATTCTCCTGCCTCAGCCTCCTGAGTAGCTGGGATTACAGACCTGTGCCACCATGCCCAGCTAATTTTTGTATTCTTTTTTAGTAGAGATGGGGTTTCTCCATGTTGGTCAGGCTGGTCTCGAACTCCCAACCTCAGGTTATCCGCTCACCTTGGCCTCCCAAAGTGCTGGGATTACAGGCATGAGCCACCACGCCCAGCCAAGTTTAGGTATTTACTTTTGACTTAAAATAGTAGTTGACAAACTGCAGACTACAGACCTAATACAGCCTGCCATCTATTTTTGAAATGTTTTAATAGAATATAGCCATTCTTTTACATTTTGTCTATTGCTGCTTTTATGCTACGATGACAGATTTGAGTAGTTGTGATTGAGACCATGTGGCCTACAAACCCTAAAATATTTATTTAGTACTATCGGGTCCTATACAGAAAGTTTGCTTACCCCTGGTTTACAATAGTGTAATATAACTGAATTCCCTACTTGTAGGCTTCAATCTGGCCTTTCCTACATTGATGTTTTATTTTATTTTTATTTATTTATGAGACAGAGTCTCACTCTGTCACCCAGGCTGGAGTGCAGTGGCGTGGTCTCAGCTCACTACAACCTCTGCCTCCTGGGTTCAAGCGATTCTCCTGCCTCAGCCTCCTGAGTAGCTGAGACTGCAGGCACCCGCCACCATGCTGGCTAATTTTTTGTATTTTTAGTAGAGACGAGATTTCACCATGTTAGCCAGGATGGTCTCGATCTCCTGACCTCGTGATCCACTCTCCTCAGCCTCCTAAAGTGCTGAGATTACAGGCGTGAGCCACTGCTCCCAGCCTATTTTTTTTTTTAATTAGATAGGATCTTGCCCTGTCACCCAGGCTGGAGTGCAGTGGCATGATCTTGACCCACTGCAGCCTCCGCTTCCCAGGCTCAAGCAATTCCTCCCACTTCAGCCTCCTAAGTAGCAGGGACTGCAGGTGCACACCACCATGCCCGGCTTATTTTTTGTATTTTAGGTGGAGATGGGGTTTCGCCATGTTGCCCAAGCTGGTCTCAAACTCCTGACTCAAGCAATCCGCCCACCCTCACCCTCTCAAAGTGCTGGGATTACAGGCGTGAGCCACCCTACCCGGCCTTTTTCAAGTTCTAATTGTTTCTCAAGATTCTTTTGCCAATAAACCCTAAATCTCAGTCTTCAAGTCCTTTGTAATGTTTCACCTTAAAAGGAATCATTTATGTAAGAATAATCAATCTCCATTAATGTTAATGTTACAAGGTTTACTCTTTCAAGGTTTTGTGTAAGGATTTTTTGATTTATCTGTGTTTTTCTAAAATGATATTTCTTGAAAAGCCTCAGTCCACTGGTTGTCAGTTGTATATCTCAGTACAAAGGAAGATAGTAAGTATTTTTGCCAGACATTAGCTTTATTTGTTCAGCAAGAACTCTGAGATTTTCTAAGATTTTAATACCTCTACTGTTTTCATTTATTTTGTGACTCTGAAAAGCCCACTACCATATGTTATCAGGAAACTCAAGAGAGCCTTTCTTTGACTTCCAGATTCACAACAATAGAAAAAGTTAAAGATAGCCACTTTCTCGGAAAGAGAGAATAGAATCAAGGATTTGCTGCACATATGTGGGAGTATTGATATTAACATCTCAATTCTAATTAACTCACATTGAGACAGTTTTTTGAAGTGTTAATGCATTTTATTTGTAGGTTTAGTCTCAAACAAATTCCACTAATGACATAACTCCCAGGAGAGATTAGCAGTATCCAGAAATCAGTCCACTTTTTATCCTCCACCCAATTAAAATATAATATTATGTAAATGTTTTGACATATCTATATCTAGTAGGAAGAATTATAACAGAAGAGAAAAACCTTATTTTCTAGGCAAACAAGTGAAATGAATTGGTAGATTTTAATCTGGAGAAGTTCACAGGCACTTAAAAATTACTTGCTTATCTTTTTCTAAACATTAACAGAATTTTTTATAGTGCTGGAAAATCAAAATGGAAGTATAGTTATAGTCATTTAAATACCTACATGATTTTTTAAAATGTACAGGGTCTGGTGCCTAGTGACATCAGCAAAATAACAGAAGAGGAAGTCTCAAGCTCCACTTCCATGCCCTGCCTCCCACTGCTGCCCCTCCGCCACCCCGCAGCCCCGACCCACAAAGTTCAGCTAGACTAGACTAGAGCATCCTTTTGAAAACTGCTACACTTGGAAACAAGCCTGAGATACCTGCATGATTTTCATAACTGAATAAAACCTGAATTAGAAGTGTAAGAACGGTCTTATTCCAACAGTGCTGCCCCTCCCCTTCCCTTAAGTCAAGCACAACACCAGATGGAGATTTTTTTCCCTGAACCCAGAATTTCAACAGGGGGGAAGGGAATTGGATGCAGTCATCCAGCATACCTAGCATTCTGATATGCTTCTTATGAAACCCACTCCGAAGCAATCAGCATGGCTAGACTGCCTGGAGTCGGGTAGAAATAAAGGAGGCAGAGGTCATATTGACCAGTGCATGGATCTTGACAGTACCTCTGTGTTCCTGACAGCTGTGATGCCTGGTCACAGATACCAGCCAACCTCATAGTTGACCCCCAAAGCTAAGCTAGTTGCCTTGAGAAGGAAGATGGGAAGTTCATCCTAGCTTGAGTCCTTAGGCTGCTAGTTTCCCACCCAGCCTCAGAGCCCACCTCTGTGACCTGCATATGCAGGGGGATGCCCACTTCCTCCCATTTTGGAGAAGTGAAGGGTCTATACCAGTTTGACTTGAGAAGTCAAGCAGCAGCTCCCCTCACCCTCAGCCAAAAAACCTGCTTTACAACCCCACCCAGGCAGAGAGACTCTCCACCTTTATGAATTTCAGAGAATTAAATGGTCTAGACTGACTTGACATGGGTGCTCAAGCAGTGGCTCCATTCAGCCAATAAGCCATTCCAGTGACTTTGCATAGGCAGGGAGATTTCCACTTTCACGCATCTTAGAGAAGCATAGAGCCTAGACCTGTTTGACCCAGGCAGTCAAACAGCCACTCAACTCTGCCACAAAGCAATCCCATGGCTCTACCCTGATAGGGAGGTAATCCTCAATTGTGCATTTCTAAGGGGTACAGCTTCTGGTATTTCTCCTCTCCCAGGAAATTACTCTGCCTAACCTTGGAGCCCAGCCTACAGCCCGGCCCAACTGCAGATCTCAAATAGCAGAATTGCCCATCCAGGGAATACAACTTGCAACTGGCCTGATGAGAAGCCATCACAGTTTCTAGCCATTAACTCTGCCTAATAGCAGAGCCCAGCCACTGATCTCACCAGACAGTGGAGTCTATCCAGCAGCCCCATGTAACATCAGAGGAAAGGCATCTGCCCAGCAAATTAGAGAACTCCCAACAAGCTCTGACTCCCTGGGATCATCACCAGCTGGCCCTTCCCAGGCTAAACTAAATAGTGAACCTCTATCCATGCCAAAGAACACCTATTGTAAAGGCTAGAAGAGGGGGCTTTCTCCTCAAATGCATAGACAATAACACAAGGACACAAGAACTACAAAGAACAAAAGAAATCCCAAAAGAAACTAATAAAGCTTCAGTAATGGACCCCAAAGAAACGGAGATATTTGGAATGACTGAGGAAGAATTTAGAATACTACTCATAAAGATGTTCAGTGATGTACAAGAATATATGGATAGAAAATGTAATAAAATTTGGAAACTGATACCTAACAAAAATAACAAGTTTGACAGAAATAGAAACAATATAAAAGAAACACATATAAATTCTAGAGTTGAGGAATACAATGACTGAACTGAAAAATTCAATAGAAAGCATCATTGGTGGATTTGATAGAGCAGAAGAAAGAATCAATGAGCTGGAAGACAGCATTTGATATTATCCAGTTAGAGGACCAGAAAGACAAAAGAGTGAAAAAGAATGAAGAAAGCTTATGGGACTTATGAGACACCATCAAGAGTTCAAACCTTTGCATACTAGGATTTGCAAAAGAAGAAAGAGAAAAAGGGTCACAAAGCCTATTTAAGGAAAGAATGACTGAAAAATCCCCTAATCTGGGAATAGATGTGAATATCCAGGTACAAGAAGCACAGAAATTTCAATCAAATTCAACACACAGAGGAGTACACCAAGGCATACAATAATCTAGCTGTCAAAAATCAAAGACAAAACATTTTGAGAACAGCAAGAGATAATAAACACATCACATACAAAGGAGACAATATGACTATCAGCAGATTTCCCAGCAGAAACCCAGTAGGCCAGGAGAGAGTGGCATAATATAATTGAAATGCCGGAGGAAAACAAACACAAAAACTACCAATCAAGAATACTTAACCCAGCAAAGCTATCTTTCATAATTGAGAAGGAAATAATACTTTCTCCCTCAGTTTCATGAAACATATGAATTGCAAAACTCAATGGTATATGTAAAATAGTGCCATATTCAGAAAACTGTAGGACTGTAATAATGGTGCATAAGGCAATTTCATCCCTAGTACATGAGTCAAAAAACAAAAATATTAATAGCAGCTATAGCTAAAATAAATTATCAAGGTATACACATTAAAAATGATGTAAATTCTGCCATTAAAAACATAATGTTGAGGGGGTATGAAAAAGTATAGAATTGTTGTATGCAAAGTTAATTGTTGTATGCAAAGTTAAGTTGTTATCAGCTTATACTTGATTGTTTATAAGCTGTTATCAGTTTATACTTGATTGTTTATAAGATGTTCTGTGTAAACCTCATGGTAATCACAAAGCAAAAATCTTTAGTGGAAATATAAAGCAAAAATAGAAAGGATTCAAAGCATACCACTATAGAAAACCATCAAATCACAAAGGAAGACAGCAAGGGAGGAAGACAAAAAAAATTATTTACCAAACATCCAGAAAAAAACTAAGAAAATGGCAATAGGCCGGGCACAGTGGCTCATGCTTGTAATCCCAGCACTTTGGGAGGCCGAGGCAGGCGGATCACTTGAGGTCAGGAGTTTGAGACCAGCCTGGCCAATATGGTGAGACCCTATCTCTACTAAAAATACAAAAATTAGCTGAGCGTGGTGGCATGCACCTGTAATCCCAGCTACTCGGTAGGCTGAGACAGGAGAATCGCTTGAATCCAGGAGGTGGAGGTTGCAGTGAGCCAGGATCACACCACTGCACTCCAGTCTGGGTGACAGAATAAGACTCCATCTCAAAAAAAAAAAAAAAAAAGAAAAAGGAAATGGCAATAGTACATCCTACATATCAATAATTACCTTGCTTATAAATGGATTAAATGCTCTAATAAAAAGACAGTTACTGAATGGATTAAAAAACAAGACTTAGCTATATACTGTATACAAAGATACATCTCACTTTTAAGGATACACATAGATGGAAGCTGAAGGGATAGATAGATATTCCATGCAAATTCAAACCAAAAGAGAGTAGGGGTAGCTATACATACATAAGACAAAGTTGATTTTAAGTCAAAACCCATAAAATGAGACAAAGGACATTACACAATGATGAAGGGGTCAATTTACCAAAAGGATACAACAATTATAAATATGTTTGCATCTAACATTGGAGCATCTAAATATATAAAACAAAGATAAAAAGATCTGAAGGGAGAAATAGATTGCAGCACAATAACAACAGGGGACTTCTATACCTCACTTTCAAAAATGGACAGATTAGCAATCCAGAAAATTAATAAGGAAACACTGGACTGTAACAATACTTTTGACCAAAGGGACCTCACAGACATATATTAAAACATTCCGTTCAACAGCAACAGAATACAAATTTTCCTTGAGGACACACAGAACATTCTTCAGCTTAGATAACAAAATAAGCCCCAGCAAATTTAAGATGATTCAAATTATATTAAGTATATTTTCTGACCACAATGATATGAAGGTAGAAATCAATAACAGGAAGAATTTTGGAAAAATTTAAAAATACATGGAAATTGCACAACATGTTTCTAAAAACAAATGGGTCAATGAAGAAATTAAATGGGAAATTTAAAAATATATTGGGAAAAATGAAAATGTAAATACAACATACTAAGACTTACGGGATACAGCAAAAGCAGTTCTATGAGGAATGTTTATAGCAAAAAAAAAATATCAAAAAAGAGAGAAAGATCTCAAACAACTTAATGTTACAACTCAAGGAAATAGGAAAAAGAACAAACTAAGCCTAAAGCTAGGAGAGAAAAAATACAATAAAGATCAGAGCAGGGATAAAGAAATAGAGACTAGAAAAATAATACAAAACATTAACAAAATTAAGGGTTGATTTTTGAAAAAATAAAATTGACAGATTTTAGCTAACTTAAGAGAAAAGGAGAGAAGGGTAAAATAAATAAAATCAGAAATTAAAAGAGAAGACAGTAGAACTGATACCATGGAAATACCAAAGATCATAAGAGACTATTATAAACAATTATGCACCAACATATAGGACAACCTAGGAGAAATGGATAAATTCCTAGACATATACCACCTACCAAGAAGCTGAACAGACCAATAATGAGTAAGCAGATTGAATTAGTAATTCTTAAGATCTCCCACCAAAGGAAAGCACAGCCATGGTAGTTTCACAGCTGAATTATAGTAAACATTTAAAGAACTGATATCAATCCTTCTCAAACTCTTCCAGAAAACCAAAGAGGAGGGAATACTTTCAAACCCTTTTTATGAGTCCAGCATTGCTGTGATACCAAAGCCAGACAGTGATGTTACCAGAAAAGCAAATTACAAGTCAATATTCGTGATGAGCATAGATGCAAAAATCCTCAAGAAAATACTGGAAAACCAAATTCAATTATACATTAAAAGGATTCTCTACCATGATCAAATGGGATTTATCCCTGAGATACACAAAAGACTCAACATACACAAATCAATAAATGTGGTACATCACATTAACAAAATGAAGTATAAAAACCATGTGATCATGTCACTAGATGCAGGAAAAGCATTTGATAAAATTCAACATTCTTTTATTATAAAAAGTCACCAAATTAGGTATAGAAGGAATGTGCCTCAACACAATAAAAACCATGTAAGAGAAGCCTACAGCTAATAATATACTCAATGGTGAAAAAGCTGAAAGCTTTTTCTCTTAAAATCTGAAACAAGGTAAGGATGCCCATTCTCACCACTTCTATTCAGATAGCACTAGAATTCCTTTCCAGAGCAGACAGCCAAGAGAAAGAAATAAAAGGCACACAAATAGGAAAGGAAGAAGTAACATTGTGAATGTTTGCTGACAACACAATGTTATATGTAGAAAACTCTACAGACTCCACCAAAGAGCTATTTGAACTAATAAAGTTGCAGGATACAAAATCAACACAAAGAGCAGTAGCACTTCTGTACACTAACAATGAACTATCTGAAAAAGAAATCAAAAGAACACTCCTATTTCCAATAGCTACCAAAAAAAAAAAAAAGATAAGAAATTAGGAATAAATTTAACTATGAAGGTGAAAGACCTGTACACTGAAAACTGTAAAAAGAAATTAAAGAAGACAAAGAAATGGAAAGATATCACATGTTCTTGTATTGGAAGAATTAATGTTGTTAAAATGTACATACTAATTGATATGGTTTGGATCTGTGTCCCTGTTCAAATCTCATGTTGAATTGTAATCCTCAGTATTGGAGTTGGGACCTGGTGGGAGGTGATTAGATCATGGGGGTGGTTTCTCATGAATGGGTTAGCACCATCCCTCTAGTGCTGTTCTCGTGAAAGAGTTCTCACAAGATCTAGTTGTTTAAAAGTATGCAGCACCTCCAATGGGAGAACACACTAATACACTACCCAAAGTCATTGATATGGTTTGGCTGCATGTCCCCACCCAAATCTCGTCTCAAATTGTAATTCCCCCATGTCAAGGGAGGGACCTGGTGGGGGGGTGATAGGATCATGGGGGAGGTTTTGCCCATGCTGTTCTCGTGATAGTGAGTTCTCATGAGATCTGATAGTTTAAAAGTGTGTGGCAGTTCTCTCTCTCTCTCTCTCCTGTCACCTGGTGAAGAAGGTGCTTCCTTTTCCTTTGCCTTCTGCCATGATTGTCAGTTTCCTGAGGCCTTCCCAGCCATCTGGAACTGTGAGTCAATTAAACCTCTTTTCTTTATAAAATAACTCAGTCTCAGGTAGTTCTTTATAGCAGTGTGAGAATGGACCAATATGGTGATCTATGGATTTAATGCAATCACTATGAAAAGTCCAATGTTACTTTTCTTAGAAATAGAAAAAATAATCTTAAAATTCATATGAAACTACATACAAACACACACACAAAAATCCCTTAAATAGCCAAGGCAATTATGAGCAGAGAGAGCTAAGCTGGAGGTATCATACTACCTGATTTTAAACTATACTACCTATACTACAAAGTTGTAGTAATTAAAACAGCTTGGTACTGGCCAAAAAAAAAGACCCGTCAACCAATTGAAGGGCATAATAGAAAACTCAGAAACAAACCCATGCATGTATGATCAATTGATTTTTGACAAAGGGCCAAAAACCTGCATTGGGAAAAGGATAGTCTCATCAATAAGTGGTTTTGGGAAAACTGGATATCCACATGGAGAATAATGATATTGGGCCCATATACAAAAATCAACACTAAATAAGTAGGCTTAATCTTAAGACCAGAAACTGTAAATCTGACAGAAGAAAACATAGGGGGAAAATGACATATTAGTACAGTTAATGATATTTTGGATTTGACAAGAGGTAACAAACGCAAAAATAGATAAGTGGGATTACATCCACTGAAAAGCTTCCACACAGCAAAGGAAACAATTAACAGTGTGCAGAGTCAAACTACAATCGGGAAAAAAATATTTGCAAGCCAGACGTCTAATAAAGGGTTAATGTCTAAAATATATAAGGAGCTCAAACAACTTAATAGCAAGAAAACAAAACAAAAAAATTAAAACCTGGGGACGGGACCTGAAAAGACATTTCTCAAAAAAAGACACAAATGGCCAACAGATACATGAAAAAATGTTCAACATCACTAATGATTAGGTAAATGCAAATTAAAACCATGATGAGATATCACCTCACACCTGTCAGAATGGCTATCAAAAAAAAGTAAAGTGTTGGCAAGGATGTGGAGAAAAGGGAACCCTTGTACACTGTTGGTGGGAATGTAAATTAGTACAGCCATTATGAAAACTGTATGATGATTCCTCAAAAATCTAACATTAGCATTATATGAATCAGAAATACCACTTTTAGATATTCACCTAAACGATTTGAAATTCATTTGTTGAAGAGATGTCTACACTACATGTTCATTGCAGCACTATTCACAGTCGCCAAGTTACGGACTCAACTTAAGTGTCCATAAACAAATGAATATGTAAGGAAAATGTGGTGTATTGTGTATGCACAACGGAATACTTTTCAGCTTTGCAAAAGAAGGAAATTCTGTCACTGGCAACATCGATGGAACTGGAGAACATTATGCTAAGTGAAGTAAGCCAGGCACAGAAAGACAAATACCCTGTGTTCTCACTTATATGTGGACTCAAACAGTTAAACTCATAGAAGCACAGTAGAATGGTGGTAAGAGAAGCTGGAGGGGTGGGAGGAATAGGGAGACGATGCTCACAGGGTTCAAAATCATACAGGAGTGATATGTTGTTGGTTTGTTTTTTAGTTCTATTGCACAGCATCGTTAATGTAGTTAACAATGGAGTATTATACATCTCAAAATGGCTAAGAAAATGAGTATCTAATGTTCTCACCACAGAAGTATGTTAAGTATTTGAAGTGATGGATGTTAACTAGCTTGATTTAATTTTTCCACATTGTATTCATAAATCATAACATCACTTTGTACTCCAAAAATTTATACAATTATAAATTATCAATTTACAATTTTAAAAAATACTAGAAAATGTTTGAAAGGCATCAAACTTAGCTATATGATTTAATTTAGATGCTAGCTAAGCAATACCAAGTAAAAATCTTTACTCATTTTAATTCAAGATGTATTGAATACTTACTAAGTGCAAGGAAGTATGCAGAATGCTCATTTATTTGATACTTTGTTGGAAAGTTAACTATATTGAATTTATCTCACTCGTTTTCTTTTGTCTTTTAAAGGTGAGAATTCTAACTCTTTTAGAAACTAATAACAGTTTCAATTAAGTTCTTGAAACCAGATTTTCAGAAAAGTTTATAAACAACTATTTCAGTGTATGACATAGCCTTTCAGTATAATTTGGAGAGCATGATATTGTTACCTGAATTACTTCTCTTTCTACTACTAGTAGATAATAATCTTCTACTAGTATTAAAACACAGAAATGTTCTTAGAGAGGGAAACATAAGTAACTGGTTAGAGTGCTTCAGTAATTTTGTATCTGCTACTAACTAATGCCTCGTATTTGGTCATGTTTTTATGTGCACAAATAAACCAAAAGATCACAGTGACTAAAAATGTTTTAATAACTTTAGGTTGTATACATACTGAATGGCTAAAATCTCCAGCATAAATGAAAATGAAATAAATGGCTACTAATAAAATAGTATGCCTCTATCATATTCTTCAGCCCAAAGCATTTTTGCTGACAGCATTTATTAGATATCTAAGATCTACTTCAGGGAGGGACAAAAGAGCCAAACAGTGTTTTCAGAGTCAGATGCTTAAAGGACGAAAACCTTTTTTTTTTTTTGAGACAGTCTGTCTCTGTTGCAGAGGCTGGAGTGCAGCGGCGTGATCTCGGCACACTGCAACCTCCACCTCCCAAGTTCAAGTGATTCTCCTGCCTTAGCCTCTGGAGTAGCTGGGATTACAGGCACCTGCCACCATGCCCCAGCTAATTTTTGTATCTTTAGGAGAGATAGGGTTTCACCATGTTGGTCAGGTTGGTCTTGAACTCCTGACCTCAGGTGATCTGTTTGCCTCGGCCTCCCAAAGTGCTGGAATTACAGGCGTGAGCCACTGCTCCCGGCCACCTTTTTTTTTTTTTAATTAAATTAAGGGCTTTTCATATTTTCATTTTCAAATAAAAGCAAACCCAAACATAAATAATTTGAAATAAATTACTGTTCCTTTGAAAACTTCTAATTACAACATTTTGAATTCTTTTAAGAGAAAATGACTTAGAATTGTATGGGTCCCATTCCCTATCCTTTAGGGCATTGATTCAATGAACTTGCTGACAAAGAAACTACAGACTATGGTATTATGGCATTCTCCCCTAACTCCTTACATTGAAAAGTATTCACATGAAAGAAGGACTTGGTTATTTCTATTCTCTCTAGGGTTCCTAAGGACAGAATCAGGATTGGTGAGTCAAAGTGACTAGGCGGCAGATTTGGGCTCAACAATATGGAAAAACTTTCTAACAGGTAGACCAGGTCCAAAATGGAATAAATCTGTGATATCAGAAAGCTGAAACATGGACAGTTTTATTTGTGGGTATATAATAAATTAACTTTATTGCTTCTTTTGACTTGAATCATGAACCTCTGTTTCTGCCTGAGGGAGCATTGCAAAACTTCTCGACCCTATTTCAACAGATGACCAAGAATTTAATTCTCTTCATATTTATTGAGCACTATCATATGCAAAGCATTGACATAATCTTCTTGTCCCCCCTTCATAGAATGCAAATTTTTTGAAATTTTTATTTTTAATTATGGTAATATACATATAACATAAAATTTACCATCTTAACCATTATATTAGTCCATTCTTATGTTGCTATAAAGAAATATTTGAGGGTAAGTAATGTCTAAGGAAAAGAGGTTTAATTTGCTTACAGTTCTGTAGGCTGTAAGCATGATATCAACATCTGCTTGGCTTCGGGTGAAGTCCTCAGGAAGCTTACAATTATGGTGGAAGGTGATGGGGAGCCAGCATGTTTTAAACAACCAGATCTCGTGAGAACTCACTCATTGTCAGGAGGACAGCAACAAACCATTCAGGAAGGATCTGCCCCCATGACCCAAACACCTCCCACCAGGGCCAACCTTCAAAACTGGGGATGACATTTCAACATGAGAGTTGGAGGAGACAAACATCCAAACTATATCAACGGTTTTTAAGTTAAGTCATGTTAGGTATATTCACATTGTTGTGCAACCAAACTCCGAAACTTTTTCCTCTGGCAAAACTGAAACTCTGTACCTATTAAATAACGCCTCATTTCCCTGTGCCCTCAGCCTCTGACAGCCACCATTCTACTTTCTGTTTCTATTAATTCAGTTACTCTAGACACTTCATGTAAGTGGAATCATGCAGTCTTTTCTGTGACTGGCTTATTTTACTTAGCGTAATCTTCTCAAAGTTTATGCAGGTCATACTATGTATCAGTTTCCTTTTTAAGGCTGGATAACATTCCGTTTTATGTATATACCAAATTTTCTTTATTCCTTCATCCGCTGATGGACATTTAGGTTGCTTCCACCTCTTGGCTGTTGTGGATAATGCTGCTATCAACGTGTGTGTGCAAAAATCTTCAATTCTTTTGAATATATACCTAGACTTGGGATTGCTGGGCCATGTGGCCATTCTGCTTTAAATATTTTGAGGAAGTGCTATACTGTTTTTCATAGCAACTGCATCGTTTTGCATTCCCACCATCAATGCATAAGGGTTCCAATTTCTCTACATCCTTACCACCACTTGTTATTTCTGCTTTTTAAAATAGTGACCATTTTAAGAGGTGTGAGAAATATTGACATAATTCTGACTTCAGTGCCCTGTGCAAAAAACTATACATAACAGCTACTGAATAAAAGCTTATGATTGAGATGGACTGAAACTTTTGGTTTTCATAATGTTTGCTTTATAAAGTTGATCTTGGATAGAGATTATTAATACAGTCTATGTTCTGTGCTTCAGGATGAAATAAAGACACATCTTAGAAATAGCTCTTCTTACGGCTGTTACTATATTTCAGTTTTCAGCATGGATGTTGATTTTTATGTGTTATTCTCATAAATACCCATCACTGTCCTAGCTTAGGGTCATAAGCCATCATGGCTTTAGTAATCTGCTTCTCTCCTTGATTCTAGGAATTTTTTTTTAATAACACTTGGGAAAGATAGACATGCTAATTCCTCTGTAAGAAGACTATTTAGTATACCCTGGAATTAAGGGTTTTGAAGTTCTTTTTTGAAAGATTTATCGTCAAAAAAAAATCTAGTTTAGTATGTCTAGAATTGTGTTGTTTACTTTTTCTCTTTTTGCTTCCTCCCCTGCAATGCCTACAGGCTGATATGAGATCACTGGTGCTGAGAGCCAAGTTTACAGTGAATGTGGTCATGTTTAAACTTTTGCTATCTTTAATAAATGCTTGGTAACCTCAATATTAATGGTCTAACAATTAGCAATTCTAGACCTGTTGAAAAAGAGATGTTGTTGTCATATTTGAAAAAAAAGTGATTTGGGAATAAATAAGAAAAGAGCAGGAAGTTTTCATCTCCAAGTAATTATTCAGAAGAGTGTTTTCAGTAGTATTTTATTTGCAGTGAGTGAAATCAGCATTCTCAGAGACTAGTGTTTGCAACTAGAAAACATGTCTTTCTCTGAACATGTCAGCATAATAAACAGCCAGGTGCTTTGTAGCTACTTCCCATTATATAGATAATGTTGATGTAGAGCAAGATTCAGTGAGTTCTATGTTTAAAATAAAGAGATTTCAGTTAATTTATTGCTTCTTTGAGAGCAATATAAGAAATGTGTAAGGTATAGTTGTCCTTTACCTATGAATCAAAACTAAGTGCCATGAGGAACAAGTAGAACGTCTTTTAAACTTACAGAAGTAAATGTTTGTTGAATAACTACCCAAGCAAGCCTACACAAAGAGGAGTTGGGGATAATCTGGTAATACTATTCCTACTTAAATAATGCCCATCATGACCATTTCACAATAACGTTTTGTTGAGTACAAGAAAATTTCTACAGAAAAACTCTTCAGGTTCTCCTTTTTTTATTTAAAAGAAAAAAAGACAGTTGAGGGTGTGGAGGTATGAATAACTACCAGATCAAATACATGGGAATAACCTTTTTTATTTGGACATTTCCCCTCATACTTGCTTTTAGAGAAAGAAATTCTTTCCTGTTTTAGGCCTCCAAGAGATAAACAGAGAAAGAAAATGGCTGTTCATAAGAAATCCATAATATGAACAAGTCAAACATAAATTCAGCTATCAGGAAGAAGATTGGCTTAAGGGGAGTGTTATTAGCATCACCATCCATCCTCATTAGTCCAAAAGCTTACAGATCATTCTTTTTGGATGCAGATTTTGTGGAGTTTTTAAGATGACTACAAACTCCAATATTAATTATATTTTAAAGCAGATAACTCATTTTCTTTTGAAAAAGCAAATAGATGTCTTTTCATGGGCCAATTTTATCACTAGCACCTAATATCAATATCAATACTTATGGACAATTGTTTTTTAAAATACTTTTTTTAAATGGTAATACACTTATATTTTAATTGAAGCTTTAGTAGACTATATTTCAAATGTGAATAGTTTCCCTAGTTAGGAGAAATATTATACTGTAATTTACTGTAAAACTGATGGAGTCAGTTTTATTAAATTCCCTGAAAACAATTTTCTGTATTTATATTTTGAGAGTTGTTATTCCACTTCTGTATTTGTCTTTAAGAAACTTAGTGTATGTGTGTGTGTATGTGTGTGTGTGTGTGTGTATGTGTGTAGTTCCCAAATTTTAATCTAAACTTATAATAGTTTAGCCTTTCAACAAGTTTTTTTGTTTTTATTTTTTAGTGGTGACATTTTGGAATAAGAAATTTGTGACTTATTGCTCTCTTTGTAAACATAATTTCACAAATAATTTAGGGACTTGGATCATTCAGGGATACCATGTTTATTGGAAGAAAAGATTATATTAAGTAGGTGGCAGTTTAAAGAGGTTGAAATTAAGTTAAAGGTAAGCATTTGGAAGAATATTTGGAAGCAGTAGAAATTGACTAACTTAGTTGTCTACACACAGCCATTTCTATAATAAATTCCATTTTTTTATAACTCTGAAAATCAATTCTGCATTAAATTTTACTATTTCGGTAAATGATCTTCATACAGTAACACTTTGTGATGGACCAGATGTTGCTAGCTTATGTAATTAACCCAGGTGAAAATATAAGTTATGCTGTTGAAAATCTTTAAATGTATAAAAGCAATAAAGAATAGTAGTATTTTAGTAACAAAGAGAAACGTGTAGGTTTACTGCATCTTCTAGCCCATTCTCCCTGAAAAGGTACCATATTGGAGATGTTATAAGCTCATGCTTGATTTAAGGTTTGAATAAGTTAACAGCTGGGCAATATGTTGTTTTAAAGAATAAAGTCTAGGCAGCACCATTTATTATTAGTTTAAATTTCAGTATTCAATTTATTCATCACTGCCTAATAAAGACCCTACTTCCTTTTTCACCAGTTTTACTCACTGACTGATGTTCTATCACTGTCTAAAAGAAGACAAAGACAGATGTCTCTGTGCAGGCAGAAGATGCTCAGTCAGGATAGCTGTGTGATGTCTACCAGGTTTAACAAATTTAGCAATACAAAGCATAAAAAAGTGGACTCCTGAAAAAGATCTGCTGTTAAGTAATTCAAGAATCACACCCTCAAAGATCCTGTTTGTAGTTTTTGGTAACCTGGAGGGCATATCGAGTAGGCACCTATTCAACATAATGTCTAATTTGTTGACACTGAAAAAAGAGTTCAAGATTATACTCAATATATTTGTATAAATAAGGTAGCCTTATTAAACTACAAGAGGCCAGGAAAAAGCAACCTAAAAATGGAAAGCCATTTAGTCAGGTCATATATATCAGAATAGTGGAAGATCAGATCAGAAGTCAGGGACAGATCCAAGTCTCCTGTTAAAAACTCATCGTTGGCCTCATGTTTTCTTCTGGATTTAATAAATGGTTATTAGAATTGTGATTGTGTTTTATATTATTTCAGTATCAGTTGCACTTTAAGGGAATAGCAGGAACTTCAACAAAGTTTAAAATTTCTGTGTATTAAAAGACACTTTTAAAAATGAATAGGGGCCGGGCGCGGTGGCTCACGCTTGTAATCCCAGCACTTTGGGAGGCCGAGGCGGGCGGATCACGAGGTCAGGAGATCGAGACCATCCTGGCTAACACGGTGAAACCCCGTCTCTACTAAAAATACAAAAAAATTAGCCGGGCGTGGTAGCGGGCGCCTGTAGTCCCAGCTACTCGGGAGGCTGAGGCAGGAGAATGGCGTGAACCCGGGAGGCGGAGCTTGCAGTGAGCCGAGATCGCGCCACTGCACTCCAGCCTGGGCGACAGAGCGAGACTCCGTCTCAAAAAAAAAAAAAAAAAAAAAAAAAAATGAATAGGAAGCCGGCCGGGCGTGGTGGCTCATGCCTGTAATCCCAGCACTTTGTGGGGCCGAGGCGGGCGGATCACGAGGTCAGGAGATCGAGACCATCCTGGCTAACACGGTGAAACCCCGTCTCTACTAAAAATACAAAAAAAAATTAGCAGGGCGTGGTGGCGGACGCCTGTAGTCCCAGCTACTCGGGAGGCTGAGGCAGGAGAATGGCATGAACCCGGGAGGCGGAGCTTGCAGTGAGCCAAGATCGCCCCACTGCACTCCAGCCTGGGTGACAGAGTGAGACTCCATCTCAAAATAATAATAATAATAATAATAATAATAATAATAGGAAGCCACAGATTCAGAGAAAATATTGACAACACATATATTTGATAAAAGATTTGTATCTAGAATCTTACCATTCAAAAATAAGACAATGTTTTAAGTGAACAAAATACTTGACCAGACATTCATGAGAAGACAAATTGGGGCCAATAAACACAGAGAAAATATTCAAATCATATTCAGGGCAATACAAATTAAACCACTATGAGATAACACTCACTAGATTGACATTTAAAAAAAAAATGAAAAAACCAGATGTTAGCAAGGATGTAGGGAACCAGGACTGTCAAACACAAGTCACTGGTTGGAGTGAAAATGTGACAAGCAATTTGACAGTCTTTATAAAGTTAAACACATACATATTCTTTATGACCCATCATGCCCAGATATTTATGATACCCAAGTTTTTATCGAAGATATGAAAACATTTGTTCACAAAAAGATCTGCACATGTGCATCATAGCAGTTCATAATAGCCAAACACTGGAAGCAACCCAAATTTACTTTAATAGGATAATAAGTAAACAATTATTGGAAATGTTTATGGAATGTATTGGAAATGTTTATGGAGTACTAGTTAGTAATAAAAAGATACAAACTACTGACACTACAGTAATTTCTGTGAATCTCAAAAATACTTTGTGTTGAGTGAAGAAGCCTGACATTAAAAAGAACATAGTGCATGATTCTATTTATTTGAATTGTTAGAAGTAGCAACTAATCTATGATGATAGAAAGCAGAACAGTGGTTGTGGGAGGGGGTGGTGGCAGTGGCAGGGAGGAGGGATGTTAGAGATTATGTGGAAAGTGGTACAAAGGAACTTTATGAGATGACAAAAAAACATTCTAGGAGGTTGGGTTAGACAGGTGTATCCATCTGTCAAATCTTGTTGAACTATATACACTCGAGATACAGCTGATTACACTATAAATTATATCTCAAAGGAAAAAAAGTTTTAAAAATGTTTCAAAGCAGCAAAACCTGATTAGAATTCCAAAATATTGGAGAAGAAGAAACACTTCTAAATTCAATCTGTAAGGCAAGTATTACCCTGATACCAAAGCTAGGCAAACACAGTATAAGAATTGATAGTAGAATGGCAAGTATGACTATAGTGATAAAAGTAGATATATCAGGAATGGTAGAGTGTTTTCAGCATATTACTAAAAACTAAAGAGATCATTTATATCAAGGTTTGTCTAAGGAAGGTACTGTGTGTGCAGCAGCATTCTAGAAGCAGAATCAGATGATTTCTTAAGATCCTCTCCTATTCTTTCCTATTAGGATTCTATTATTATGAGTGCTTATTATGTCTCAGGGGCTGTACTGAATCCTGTATGTTCATTTTTTTCATTCTTAGACCATTTCCAGAGAACATGAAAGTTTAAAATGTGATTGCTCTTTTGAAATAGTAGTATCAACATTTTATTGTTGACAAAGTTAAAATATAACAATAGTAACAAGTGTTTATTTGGCCCATCCTTGTATACACTCTAATATGTTAACTCTAAACCTTCACAACAACCCTACAAGGTAGTTACTATGGTTAGGCCCATTTTTAAATTGAGGAGTCACAGTCACAAGCTAAAAAGTGCCAGAGCCAAAATTCCAGCCCTGGAGTTTCACTTCAGATAACCATGCATTTAACTGCTATGCCATTCTTACCCACCATTACATTCTTAACCTTAACAAGTCCTTACAATTTAATAATGTTATTTATTTGCTGATATTTAAATGAATTAAAATTAATGGAAGAATTACAATATTTAATATGATACTAGATTTTTAAATATATTGAAAACCTCAATATGAATAAAATGCAAAAATTATTAGCATTTATAGTAAACAAAACACAAAACATCTCTATCTGTCTAAACAAAGCTTTTGTCTACCCCGACTGTTGGGGCTAAGTGCCTGTGTTACCCTATGAACTGCCCTTGGTTTGATTTCTAATCATACCACCATTGTGTGATAGATATCAGGATAAAGCTGAAATGCCAGGTCAGACTCCAGATTTTCTGGTTAGATTTTCAGTTTTACTTTTGGCTGTTTTGACCATGTTTTATGATGGGTACCTAGTCAACATAAGTAACTCATTAGGATCAGCTCTACTTTTTAATGCTGTTGATATAACATCAGTCTTTCTGGCTTAAAATTTCTTATAAAATTTTTGAATGAGTATTTTGCATATATAACTGTGTTTTAAAGTTATACTGTAAACACTTGTATTTCTTCATAACTTTAAGTACTTTGGTCCAACTCTTTATCTGCAGAGTTTGAAATATTAATGAATTTCATCAAAATATATAATTAGTTGATAAACTGTGAGTGCTCTTGGTATGTTATCATCATACAAATAACTATACATTATAGTATAATCCCGTTTCAGTTATCTATTGCTGTGTAAAAATGACCTCAAACTCAGTAACTAAAACAAGCAGCTCATAATTTTTTTAGGTCAGAGATTTGGATAAGGTACAAATTGGATGGTTCATAATGTTCTGCAATATCTGGGACCTTAGTTGGGGCTCCTCAAATGGTTAGGAGCTGCCTAGAATACTCCGTGGATGTTTCAACCCGTAGGGTCATATGTCTCAAGCCTTGACTCTGCCTGTTGGACCAAATGCTTAGTTCTCCATGTGTGGCTTTTCCATGTGCTACCTTTGGTTTTTTCACAACATGGTGGTCTCGGTTTCTAAGAAGACATATTCCTAAAGTATCAACTCTAATGTCCTAGCAGTTATCAAGCCTCTTCTTATTTTTTTTTTTCACTCACCACCATACTAATAAGGATCAAGCCTCTTCTTGCATCAGAATTTTTTTGTGTGGCCAAATCAGATATATATATATATAAAACCAATCTTCTCTATTATAGAGTTATGTTTTTTCTTAGCAGGTATCTCATGGTCAGGCCTAGAGTCAATGTGGGAAGAGACTATACAAGGGTATGAATCACTTGTACACTTATACTTATGTGTAAGTGATGGTTCACTGGAAACCACCAATGTACCAAAACAGTTGACTAAACATGCTTAGCACACTTCTGTGTTCATATCAGGTACTCTGTACTTAGTGATTGATTTAAAAATCAAGGACATTTTTATATATGCTTTTTCTATTTATGTGAATTGTTACATTTTGCCACATTAACCTTTAATATATGAATAAAGTTAAAACAATGAAGAGACTTGAGTAAGTACTGTTTCTAATGGATATCCTAGAACTGAGGTCCTTCTATGTGCTTCCATTAACAGCAACATAATACCAGGTCTCAACTGCCATTGTGCTGCCTTACATTATACTTCCATGTAATAGTTGCATTGCTATAGGAATATAGGTTACTAAACTATCATTCTCATTACTTTCCAAAGAAATGTTCAATATCATGCTATTTAAAGACTAAATATGATAACGATTTTAATACAATGTCATTCTTCTAATGTTACATAGATACATGTATTTATCCTGTGCATCTTGGTATGAGGATTTAAAAATCCATTTTAGGGGAAAGTTTTGTGTGCAGAGCACAGAGCGCTAGATATCAAGTAGGTTTATGTAAATAGTATATTGCTTCATGTTGTTGGTGCCATATAACAGAATCCTTTCTGCTAATTTAAGTCACAAATGAATATATCAAAATGATATCAGCAAACCCACGGAATGTACGGGAAGGCCAAAGAGCCAGGCTGAGTCAGGATGCAAGGCACTGCCTACCTGACAATGTAACTACTAGGAATCTGCCTCTGCAGTTGCTGACACAGCCACACTGCATATTTATGGACTCCATGCTACTATGGCCAGCGCAAATAATCTTTTATCTTATTAAAAATAATTTAGGCATATCAGGAAGTAAATATAATATACCCTTCCTCAAAAACAAACAAAACCCTAGAAGAAAACACTCATATACTTATCACTTGGATTAAACAATGATTGATAGTTTGCTGTATTTGCATTAAAATACTTCAACACAGAAATAAATTACAGAAGTCATGTTTTACCACTAAAAATATGAATATGAATACCTTAAAATGGAAAAACTTATATAACCATACTAAAATTCATATATGTAATGAATTAATAATTCCCTAATAATCATCTAATACCCAGCCCATATTCAAATTTTCCCAGGTGTTTGCAAAATGTTTTTTATAGCTTGTCTGTATATGTCCAGATCCAGTCAAGGTTTACATGTTGAATTTTTTTTAGTCTCTTGAGTTTTGCTTTAGACCATTCAAGCTACTTTAACAAAATACCATCAACTGGGTGGCTTATAAACAAGAAAAGAGAAATTTCTTTCTCTCAGTTCTTGAGGCTGAGAAGTCCAAGATCAAGGCATTAGCAGATTTGGTGTCTCGTGAGGGCCTATTTCCTGGTTCATAGATGGCCATCTTCTCATTGTGTCCTCATGTGGTGGACAGGATAAGAAACCTTTCTGGGATTTTTTATAAGAGCATTAAACCCATTTGTGAGGGCTTCACCCTCAGGACCTACTCACCTTCCAAAGTCCCCACCTCCAAATACCATCACACTGGGAATTAAGTTTCAACATATGAATATGGGAAGGACAAAAATATTCAGTATCTCCTACCCTTTTAATTTTTCTCATACCTTTGACTTGATAAAGTTGGGCTAGTTGTCCTGTATAGAATGACTCACGTTCTGGACTTGTTAGATTTTTTTCTATGTAGCATCATGTAACTTGTTCCTCTATCATCTGTATTTTCTGCTACCTATAAGTTAGATTTAAAAGCTTGGTTCAGATTAAACATTCTTGGGATGGGTGATACTGTGATGGGCGACACTGCTTACAGTGTTAAATTAAGGGTTTGTATGATGTCTACTTACCTCTCTTTTACTCAAGACTAATAAAATACATTCAGGTATTTTGTTTCTTTTCTCTCCTCCTCTGTTCTCCCCTACTCTGCCCTCCCCACCTTTCCTCTCCCCTACACCCTCCCTTTCCCTGTGCTCTTCCCATCCCCTCTCCTCCTCTCCCCTCCTCTTGTTCTTCTTTACAACAGGATATCACTCTGTTTCCCAAGCCGGAATGCAGTGGTGTGATCATAGCTCACTGGATTCTTGAACTCCTGGGCTCAAGTGATCCTTCCACGTCAGCCTCCCGAGTAGCTATGACTATGGGAACGCACCATCATGCCTTGCTACTTTTTAAATTTTTTGCCACTCCTCACTATGTTGCCCAGGCTGGTCTCAAACTCCTGGCTTCAAGTGATCCTCCCACTTTGGCCTCCAAGAGTGCTGGGGTTACAGGCATGAGACACTGCATTCAGCCCTTCTCTAATTTAGAGTTATGCTTTTCTTAGCAGATATTCTATGAAGTAATACTTTGATATCACATGAATATATAGTTTCCCATCAATCCTTTATGTAAAAATTTTGCCATCCATTGGTGATTCTTGTCCTGAATCAGTTACTTCAGTAGGAGTTGCAAAATAATTATTTTCTGTCGTTCCATTTATATTTATTATCTTGCATTCATCTATAAAGAAAAGCTTTCACTCATCAACTGAGGCTTTGATTATTTTGAGATATGCTTCCTGTAGAAAAGCCTGCATAATTCTTATTTTTTTATTACCAATTTTTTATAATAACAATTGCGATAGTCACCTCTAAGGGTGGCAAATGAGGTTTTCTTATTTGTATATCTGGCTTTATCTTTTATGAGTATTATTTATGCCTCGTGGATTTTTATATTTTCAATATGATTACATAAATGATAGCCATTATTCTTTTTGAAAGTCAAATCATCTCAACTTCGGCCTCTTTTACTTTTCCAATATTTCAAGATTTAGAGTCCTGGGCAAGAGCACCTCCTTGGCTCTGCCAAGGTCATCTATGCATGCCCTGGCTGGCAAGTGAATAAGATAAGATCTTTCCAGGTCATGGGTTTCTGAAGTGGGTGGCAGTTTTGCCTTCAAACTACCTTGGGATTCTTTTAAAATACAGAGGCTATTTGGGTGCTGCTTGGCCCAAACAACAAATGCTCCCACTACAGTATTAGAGCCTCTGAATTTATATTTTCTAATATCTTCCTTTAGAGCCTGAAAAGTTAATTTCCCAGATGTCACCTACCCATATGTTAATATGTTTTATGGCATAATTAGTGTTATTTGTTATAAATTTCCGAATTAGGATAAGTAGTATTTTTACTTAAGTTGTTTTTAGTAGGTCTCAGGTATTGTGGATTAATCCTAATCCTTGGTTCACAATGCATTTCGTCACTAAGAAATACATTTTTAGAAAAATTTTAAGTGACAAATAATAATTGTGTATACTTATGGGGTACAATGTGAGGTTTTAATATATGTATATATTGTGGTATGATTAAATCAAGCTAATTAACATATCCATCACCTCATATCCTTGTTTTATGGTGAGAACATTTGAAATTTACTCTCAGCAATTTTGACATATACAATGCATTATTATTAACCATGGTCATCATGTTGTGCAGTAGATCTCAAAAATGTATGCCTCCTATATAATTGAAATGTTGATCAAAGAGAAAAATGTTTAAGATTATTTTTGAAATAGTTATTCCACAAATATTTATTATGCATCAACTGTGTATCTGGTACAAAATACAGTGCAACATGCTAAGGGCATTAAAAAAAAAAAAACTTGGGGTAACAGCAAACATAGAAAAGTATTACTTTGTTTGGCTGAATAGACTACATTAACATTTACAGTGAGACAGGATGTGGCCCTTGGTTGTTAAATATTCAGGGAATAAATAACCTCAGAAAGACTGTGATTTCATCAAACTCACACAAATAACTAGTGGAGTGAGCCCAAATGGCCCACTTCTCAGTCTTTTTCTAAGAATTGTGTGTTCAGTTTTGGAAGAATTATTTTGAAGTTCCATAGTAGAAGTTAGTTAGTATTCACCTATAAGTGTTCTGTGGTATAAATATATAAAGGGAAAGAAAGGATATTCATGATATAGCATAGGATTTGACATAATTTTGCCTAATTTATATAGATTGGTATGACATAAAGTAGGACTTTGGGAATGGATGTGATTGGAAACGGTGATGTCAAATAGGGGAATTTAAATGATTGAATCATTGGTTAATTTTGTTATTGGGATAAACTTGAGAGTAAATTTGCCTTATTTTTAGAGGGAAGATGGTTTAATTTTTGGTTTAAGGGCTAAATCTCTCGATTTTTTACTTTATAATGTTAAAGTTTTATTCATAAAGCTACGCATTACTGGTAATTATTCTGGGCTCTAACAGCCAACAAATGAGCAAAGAAGAGTCACGTTGGGCATATTTTTCAGGATGTGATGAATCTGTCTAGTCATATATATAAACATTATCTTCTTGAAATATTAATGTTAAAATAACAGTACATCTTGAATCATCTTTTAATGGCTCTGCTTATTTTGAAGTCTTCCAGCCACATCTGTCATATGGTGTGCCTTACAAGAAAATGAATCTGGTTTTAAAATGTTTAGAACTCAGAATAAGTCATTTTAACCAAAGCATATTAGAAAGCCTTAGTTAAAATAATTACAAATGTACATAACAGAGATTTTACAAGTCACTGGAACTTGAGAACCCGTCTGTCAAGGAGATTTTTTAATTAGAGGCTTGGTTTTCATATCTATAAAGCAGATGATAAGCCCATGACCTGCCCACTCTCTGAGACTCCAGTTAGATTATATGTGTACACATACTTTGCTGATATGATTTGAACGTATGATTCAGAAACCAAAGCTGGTGATTTTTCTCCCCAAATCATCACATTAACTTGTAGGACTCCCAGAAGTACAGTTCCCAATTGGTAATTGACAAGAGAGATCACTGGTTGATTCTTTTCTAAATATGGCATATAGTACCTAGCAGGAAAAAAATACCAGGAAAGTACTAGGCTATAAGAATAACTGTATTGATGACTTATGTTTTACCTAAGGCTTAAGATGTGACAAAGCAGTACACTGTACTTCTCTAGTTTTTTAGGGTAGAAGGTTATGTTATTGATTTAAAATCCTTCTTCTTTTTTAACATAGGCATTTACTTACAGGTATAAATTTCCCTCTAAGTATGTTTTAGCTGCATCCTGTAAGTTTTAGTATGTTGGGCTGTCATTTCATTCAACTCAGAGTACCTTGATTTCCCCGTGAGTTCTTCTTTGATCCATTGGTTGTTTAGGAATATGTTGTTAATTTCCACGTATTTGTGAATTTCCCAAATTTCTCTCTATTATTGACTTCTAATTTCATTCCATGTGGTTGGAGAACATCATATGATTTCAATGCTTTAAATATATTGAGGCCCATTTTATGTGTTAGAATATTGTCAATCTTGAGACCGTTTCATATGCATTTGAGAAGAATGTATATTCTGTTCTCATCAGATAAAGTGTTCTATAGATTAGAGCCCACACCTTTGATCACTCACTACAAGGTATGAGGAGGAATGTAGGAAAAATGTATGACACTTTTGCTTTGACATTTTCTACGTGAATATGTATAAACATTTCACACACCTGAGGATTATGGATATATATAATTTAGCAGCTCCTAGCAAAAAGGGAAGCAATTTGGGTTAGTTTTAAGAATGTTCAAAAGAAAAGAGAATCAAGATTTGTTCAAACTCCCAACACCATTGTGGATATTCCTCCTTTTCACATATAAGAAAGCAACCTCAGGAAGTTTTGTATAAATTTTTCCAATGTCACACAGCTAGTGCGGTGTTGAGCCAGGACTTTAACCCATATTCTGGTTGCAAAGCTTATGATCTTCCCTTGCAGGACTTAGAAATAGGAGGATATAACTGATGCTTGCTTTTGGTATTATTATATTATTGTTGGTTTTACTGTATATTGATATATTGTAAAGTTTTATGATAGATATTACAGTGTGAATTTTTACTTTAACAAGAATAAGTTTCTATTTTATCGACACACTTTTCAAGTAGATGTTGAGATCTCCTAATAAAGCCGTCAGTGCTTCTTTGTTAACTTATTCCTAACAACTAGCATAACGGAGCCAATCAGAATCTGAACCATGCGGTAAGACTGCAGTGAGTCTAAGTTTGTAGAGTAAGTCAGAGGTCCTGGCAAAGAAAGCCTTGTTAGGCATTAGGACAAGCCTCCTGTGAGTTATAAGGAATTGCCTTGCAAATTGATGGAACATGAGAAAGTAATATCAGCCATGATATTCCAGCACTTTTTAAGAAGACCTGACCTCATGTGTGAAGTCTGAGCCATAGTCCACTGAAAGACATAGCAGACCCCACCTAGGGTACCTAAGCATAGTGAGGGTTGGAGGTTACTTTTAATTCACAACATTAGGGCTTATCTCTAACACTAACATCTTCTTTCCCAGAGCTAGGAAGGCTCCTCAAAGGAAGAAGGGGAATACAACTTCAAGAGATAAATCCAGAACCCATTTGTTGTCAATCTTTGTTGTGTTTGGGGGGGGGGCTGTTGTTGTTGTTGTTGTTGTTTATATTAGCTTTAGATACTGACATATCACATACCAGATTTATTTCCTTTTGAACTACAATAGTATTGTGCTGCAGATTCTGAATAAATGTAAAATCAGAGTGGAGTATCAGCCACAAAGCTAATAGCAATACATTGAAAATTCATCAAGAAATTGCCAAGATTCTAGAAGACTACATTCTTCACCCAGAATATACCATCCCCATCTAACCCACATATAAGAAAAGTCGTTCTGAAAACTCTATGCTAACTGCAACAATGAAAGAACATTTAGCTTATAAAGGGGCACCTGTGTTCCTCTGGCCCCTGGAAAATACCTGAGTTTGTTTATTATTGAATTTACCTGAAAGCAAAACTTTCTTAAGTATTTCCTAGTCGCCTCTTAAGTTTTTAGTGTTTCCAATGATAAATATTGAAGTTTGATCAAATGTAAAGTAACTAATTCTGTTTATCTCCTAAGTTTGTTTTCAAAGCTAAGAAAATATTAATAAAGTCTCAGACTTACATACGTAACATTGTTCTTGTTCTATTGGTTCTCAGAGTGTTGTCCCCAAAGCAGCATTCTGTTTCTCAAGGTGTAGGCCCCACCCCAAACCCACAGAATCAGAAACTCTGGGAGTAAAGACCAGCAATCTGTGTTTTAACAAGCCTTCAGGTGATTCTGATATCAGCTAACGTTTTGGAATTACTGCTTAAACTATATTCCATTGAAACTGCTTTCAACCTGACCCTATTTTCTTAAGTGGTCTTCAAGTTCATATAGCCAATAAAACTTTTTTTTTGTATTGAGTGTGAAATATATCAATTTTTGTTTCCTCAGGTGTATTTTTTGTAGTTCTAGTTGTCGTATAGCATGTTTCACGTAAGCTGAAGCGTTGCCTCATTGCCTTGCTGTTTCTTACCTTATCATCTTTGCATATACCCTTCCCTCTGTCAAATTTCCACACCATTGCCTCTCTTCAATTTCCCACTTGTAAAAATAACATCCCTTTAGAATTTGATGTGAGGATTCAATGAGAAGGTATATGTGTATGTACACATACTTGGAACAGGACTTGGAACATTTTTGGAATAGAGGAAAAGAAAGCCATGTGAAATTCTAATTAATTACTTTATCAATTACAATTTTTAATAAATTTACTTCATAAAAGAAAATTTTGGTTTATTCATAAAATTAAGGGCAAATACTGAAACTTGCCATGTATCTCATTTTGGTTTAATGAAGAACAGTAGAGGTATATGTAGGCCAGCTGTTCACCGTATTCTATAAAATGGTAGTTTTCATGCATGAAGCATGAATCAAACCTAAGTTAAGAACCCACATAAATATAAATAAAGCATCTTTTCTATTTGGGCTGAACTACTTTGGATTTTATATTAGCTAAATTAAAAATATGTTTTTATTAGGTGCAAGCAGTTTCCAAAGTGCTTTTCCTGGCTCACATCTTGTCCTTATTTTCTTGAAGGGTCGGTCTAGCACAGTTCAAGCAAGTTTTCTGGTCCTGTTTGTCTGCCAGGTGGTAACAGAGTAGGAAACCCACAGAGAAGTTAAGTCTATGAAGCCTTATGGAAAAGAAAAACTGACCTTTTCTACAGCAGTGACCTAGGAATGAGTCAGCTCTTGCATCCAGTCACTAGTGACTCTGAGGATAAAGCTTATTTTCAGCTAAATGCCAATTAGGGTTTCAGAGGCAGAGAATGTGCAGATTCATGTAGAGCAAATCTTTAAGCCACTATAATAGGTGAGAGTTTTTACAAAAGTCAAGAAACACAGATGATGACCCCTGCTGTGGCTTTGTGTCTATTGTATCCAAAAAGCTTTTATACCATATTATGTGTTTTATGTGTCTAGATGGCTAGAGAGGAAAGAAAACTCAGTTTGGGATTTTTTTTTCCCCTTAAAGTAGGAGCTTTCTTGTTACAGTTGGAAAAATACAAAAACTTCCCTTTTCTCTCCTTACTGATTCCTTGCCTCTGCCTATCCCCTGCCCCCATGGCTCTTAGGATGGGGAAAAAAAACTAAAAAATGAGAGTGAAAAGGTATTAATTCCCCAAAAACACCCTTGTAGTGGCATAGTGGCCATATGCAAGAGCTGAATAATTCCCAGAACAGAAGCATATATCAGTGTAGTTCCCAAAATGTTGAATTTTGGGAGGTGATATCAAATTTGAGCAAAATGTTTTTGAGTGATTTGGACTTGCAGTTTTATTAAATTCATACAGCCAGTTTATTCCTCATCATGGTTAATAAAATTGCCATGGAAATATTAAGAAACCTTTTTAAAAGTCTCAATGCTGTCATTGTAGTTATAGATGTGTTACTTAGTACAAATTGAAATACACCCTGTGGTAAAATTTATTCTGCAAAAATAAAAAATCTGTGTTGCATAAGCATTCAAATATGTCACACTTTTTGTTCTTAACGTAATATAGTCACTCCAAAATATTTGAGATTTTGCATGAGATCATGGTAGAAATCAAAATGTTTTAACAAGTGGATTCTTAAATTGGTTAAAAAAAAAAAAAAAAATACATGATCCATTAAGTGTCTTGAACACTGGAGTATTTTTATTTGATTAAATTTAACTTTACAATGATGATTTCTTTTAATTTTAGAAATGAGCACAGAAAGAATGATGAATCATAATGTCTACCAAATTTGTTCAAGGAAAATTATTTGAAATATTCCCCTCAAAAAAGAAACTTCTTTTTTTCTAAACAGAAATAAATTTTTCTTTATAACCAGAATTAATAGTTTATTAAATCATTAAGTCATGTGATATTGCATTCTACAGAGCTAGCCATTGTTTTCATTTTGGTAAACCACCTTGCAAATCTTTGTTTTTGTTTGGTGGCATGTACACATATATTCACAAACATACAATTTTATATAAACTGAATAATTATTTGCTTTTATTATATTTATAAACAGTGTTGTCATGAACACCCATTACATTCTTCTTTTGTGCTTGACAAGGAGCTTGAGCACTTTGGGATTCTTATGATAAGTATATAGAATTGCTGAGTGGAAGGGTACACACATTTAGCAATGATACATTTTGCCAGTGCTTGAGAGAACTGAATTGTTTTTCATACCTTTAAAAAAAATCCCATGATATTATAATAACAAAAAATTGCAGCTTTAGGCAATCTCAAAGAATGATTAGCACTACCAACAATTTAGTTTGGTTTAATGTATTTATTGAGTATTGAATGCTGATTTTATGTCAGATTTGGTGCTAATTATTGGAGTTGCAAAAGTGAAATGAATACAGTTTTATTGGACTACTGGAGATTACAAAGAAAATAAACAGCCTGCTAAAATACAATATGATAAGCTTGATGGTAAGGATAATATAGGGAGCTTGTGCATCAGTATTGAGAGTCCAGTAAAGTCTTTATGGAGAACATGGCATGGAAGCTATGATCTGAAGGATGACTATGAGTTATGAGCAGAAGGGAAGTGGAAGAGAGAGGAGTGTTTTAGGTCATGAGGAATAGATGTTAAAGATTATATTATACATTCTGAGAACTAACAGGATTTTAGGATGTGGGAATGCATGCAAAAAGTGAGGCAAGAGATAAAGATGGAGAATGAAGCAGAGCTGAGACCATGAAGAACCTTGCAGTCTTAAGGAGTTTGGACTTTGAGAATTAAGGGTCACTGTAGCATTGAAGTGATGAGATCAAATTTCTCATCACTTTAAATATTGTTTAAAATATTGTTCTGGCTCTAGTTTGGGCAGGGACTTCCAGGCAAGCAAATCACAGAGCCCCAAGGCCAAAAAGATGTGATACACTTGATTTGGGCAGGCATCTGTACCAAAAGAGTCCAAGCCTATCAGTTAGACAAGGCAGTAAGAAAAGGCAAATTTTAAGGTCAGGTGAGCAAAAGCACTGTTTATCTAATTGCTCTTCTGTCTTGAAAAAGCAAGCAAAATACTTCCTGGGAGACTTGGAAACTTCAACCCATGCAGTGAGGAAAGAGCCTGGATTTAGAATTTGAAAAATGCATCATAACAATAGTATCATCATCAACATCATACTGTGTTGTTATTATCAGGAAGGCCACATTTAGGTATACTTGATTATAGACCTAAGGTAAGGATAAATATAGGGAGCTTGTGCATCAGTATTGAGAGTTCAGAAAAGTCTTTGCAGAGAATATGGCATGGAAGCTGAGATCTGAAGGATGACTTTGAGTTATGAGGAGAAGGGAAGTGGAAGAGAGAGGAGTGCTTTAGGAGGAATAGATGTGACTCAAACAGAATGACTCATTTTATGCCTTATTCTTGAATAGATGCTCATGATAGATCTCTCATGCATAACTGGTTCAGGACCCAGGTGGAATGGGCTTGCATGGGAAGGAGGCACTTCAATGTCTGTACCTGCACTGTATGAGAGAGGCAGGGCCAAAAGTTCCTAAACGTGAAAAGCTTCAGTAATTCAAGAGGATCACTTATATGCAGCTTCATTTGTGAAACGCTTTGTAAAGCTTTATGATATCCTAGAAGCCATTTTATATAATTTTGATACATGCCGATGAAAGTCTAGATGAATGCCAGAGAAACTTCCACCTCATTTTTTTCTTATTTAATCTATACCATGTACTATATTTAAATCATTTGTCCATATATTCATTTTTTTACATAATGTTGAAAGTGTTTTGATGTCGGTAAAGCAAATTTAACAAGGCAAGAACACTATAGGAAATGGGAAATCTTAAAGAATTTACATAATGCTTATCTGTTACCAAGTATGGCTTTCACAAAAATGACCTCATCCTCTTTAAATCCTGATCGACATCATTCTATCTGATGCTCTTATCTCAGTGATTTTTATTCTGTGTGCTATATTTTAGACGTCTGTCTTCACAACAAAATTTCTCCTCTTCCCAAACCCCCACATTTCCCTCTGATGGGTCCCAGATTAGTATTCTGTACTCTTTCTCCCTTAGTGTATGCCTATATTTATTTAGCACCAACAACATACTGAGTCACAGTGTTGGATACTGTGATAAATGTGGTTCATTAATATTTTTCCTAATGACTTCAGTTTTTCATGAAAATGATGCCTACTCAGTATAAAAAATTAAGGCAATAGAGCAGAAAGAAAAGAAAATAGAAACCCAAAATAACAACACACCTAAAAATATTCTGTGAACACGGAAGGTGTACAAAAGGAATGCATAAGCTTTTCGTTTTGTTTTGTTTCGTTCACTTAGAAGCATTATTTTAAAAATAGCCAAAGAAAGAAAGCTTTTTTCCAAGGACAGTAAAGGTCAGTCAATTAAAGGAAGTCTATTAATGTAATATAGCATATTAATAAATTGAACAATAGTATTTCAATTTTTAAAATACATCAATTAAGTAACAAAACAACATTCCTTCTAATAAAAATATTAAATATAAATAGGTCTTCTCTGTGATAAATAGTAGTTCCTTTTCTAAACCAAAATTCAAAGTATTATAGCAATAGACCCTTCTCTCTTAAATTAAGGTAGTGTATATCTTCTTTTAAGAAATGTCTATTCCTATCCTTTGCCCATTTTCAAATAGGATTATTGGGTTTTTTTATTGTTGTTTGAATTCTTTGTATTTTCTGGATATTAGCTCCTTGTCAGGTGAGTAGTATGCAAATATTTTCTCCCATTCAACAGGTTGTCTGTTCACCTAGTTATTTCCTTTGCTTTGCAGAAGCTTTTTAGTTTAATATAGTCCCATTTGTCTATTTTTGTTTTAGTTGTTCTGTGCTTTTGAGGTCTTAGATGTAAAAATCTTTGCCCTAAACCAATGTCCTGAGGTGTTTTCTCTATGTTTTCTTTTAGTAGTTTTATAGTTTTAGGTCTTATGTTTAAGTCTTTAATCCATCTTGAGTTGATCTTTGTATATGGTTAGAGATAGGGGTCTAGTTTTATTCTTCTGCATGTTTTCTCAGCACTATTTCTGGAAGAGGGTATTCTTGTCCCAGTGTATGTTCTTGGTGCTTTTGTTGAAAATCAGTTGACTGTAAATATGTGTGATAATTCACATGTTTTGTCAATTTATGGTGTCTCAAGTGTCATGAAGGCTTTGCTCATTTAAAAATTCTTTTTCCTTGATATTTGTCTGACCAGGTTATTTCAAAAGATCTGTATTCAAGTTCTGAGATTCTTTCTTCTGCTTGATCTAGTCTATTGTTGATGCTTTTTTTTTTTTTTTTTTTTTTTTTGAGACAGAGTCTTGCTCTATTGCCCAGGCTGGAGTGCAGTGGCACAATCTCAGCTCACTGCAACCTCTGCCTCCTGGGTTCAAGTTATTCTCCTGCCTCAGTGTCCTGAGTGGCTGGGATTACAGGCATGTGCCACCATGCCTGGCTAATTTTTGTATTTTTAGTAGAGATGGGGCTTCACCATGTTGGACAGGCTGGTCTCGAACTCCTGACCTCGTTCGTGATCCTCCTGCCTCAGCCTCCCAAAGTGCTGGGATTACAGGCATGAGCCACCGTGCCCAGCCGATGCTTTTTTTTGTTTGTTTTTTAGACAGTCTTGCCCTGTCACCCAGGATGGAGTGCAGTGGCACAATCCTGGTTCATTGCAACCTTCACCTCCCAAGTTGAAGCGATTCTTCTGCCTCAGCCTCCTGAGTAGCTGGAGTTACAGACACGCACCACCATGCCTGTGATTGTTAAAATCTCTATTTCTAGGTTCCTGAGACCAGTAACTCAGAGTGTTCAACTATCAGTTCCAATGCTTATTGCTCTGGTTTTCAGTCCCCCTCCTCATTTTCCAAACCCTGGATATTGCCCTTGATTTCTAGTGAGCTAAACATATGTATTTAAAGGTGTTTTTAAAAATGTACTCTATTCAGCACTTCTATGTGTTGAGTCACAAGAGAGTTTTCAGGTTATCTAGTATACTGCCTTACTAGAAATGGAAGTCAAATTTGTTTTTCATGTTGAATTAATATCATTTGTAAAGTTGGATTGTGAAATAGACATTTGGCTAAAGACTGGGTTTCTGCCACAGCAAATGTACTCCACTTCTGTGAAATCTTGGCTAAGCCAAGTTTTTGTTATGAAATAACATATTTGATTCTGAGATTTTTACTTGGTGCTTAGACAGAATAGCAATATCACCTACTGATATTATTGGCACTTTATGATTTTGTTTAAGATACACTGTTTAGTGTGTTTTGAAAAAAAGAATAAAATTTTCTAAGATTTGAAAGAGATCTTACAAAGATTAGGGGTCATCTACATTAGACTTCTAATCTTTTCATTAAAAATACATATGATCTTTCATATGGAAGGAGTAAGATTGTAAGTTTAAAGGCTATATACAAGTGTGTTTAGATTTCTCCTTTTCTTTCTAAATTACAATATATTTAAAGATATGGATATAGTCTTTTTATTCGTAAGTAATGGTGTAGCAGATTATAAAGGGCACATAGAACATTAGCTCTCAGATTAAATGTTATCTTTTGATAGATACCTTTCAGGATCACTTAGACTAAAATAAGGTAGGTTCTCTGTTAGCCTCCCTCATAGAATTTCTAAGTATGTATGCATTTCTTTGTTGACTCGCTTATTCCTTACCTTTTCAGCTAGGTTATAATGAAAGAAAATAAGCAATTCACTTTGAAGCATTTAGTGACCAGAGTTAGGATATGGGAATTTTGTAATTTTTAGTTTTTTTAAAACTGTTACATTTCTCACTTGCATAGCATATATTTAATCTAAGCAGTGCCCCAAACACAAAAACTAATCACTGTGCTTTTGAAATCTGTATCTCCATGGAAACAATGGAAAAACTTGCCTTTTTAATCTCTTTTGTTAGACTGAGATCTCATTTTGTCATTAATAGATTCTGTAAATAGCAAGAATAGGAATAGTGGTAGTGGTGGAGGTGAAAGCAATAATAATAAGAGAAGCAAATTTCTGTTTAGTACTATCTTGGGCCAAGTACTATGCTAAGTATGCTAAATAATTTCCATAGAATCTTAGTTCTTTCTTACAACAACCTTACTATTCTTTTCATTTCTAGGTGAGTGAACTGAGGCTTACATTGGTTAACTTAGTTGTCCAATGCGGTACTGCTAGTAATAGGTAGAACAGAGCTTCGAACACAGAGTGGAGTTTTATTGACTAACTTTTGTTAGATATTTGCATGATATAAGTATACATTTTCAAAATGTGTGTATAAACTACAGTACATTTTGGCACTTTTTGAAATATGGTGAACCTACATCTCTGCTACAGCTGATGATACTGTAAGTCTAAAAATTGTATGAAACATCTATAATTTTAATACATATGATGGGCTTTTATTACAGCTATTTTATGATTTTATCAACAGCCAAGCTGCTGTTTCACTACAAACAGATTGGATATCTTTGTGATTAAAGCAGCAGGCTAAAGACCATGAAGGGTATACTGTTTGGTTTTCAATCATTTCCATGTGTTATGAATTCTTATCAGATGTTGGGAAATAGCAGGCTTAAACTAACTGCAAGTGCTACATCCGTGGTCCAAGAAACAATAGTCTGTAATGGGCATGTGTTTAGCCATCAGCTTGTTTAACAAGGCCTCTAAGCAAGTTCATTTACCATCATATATAAGAAACTAACACATATTCCATTTATGTAGATTTAAGATCTCTCCAACAGCATGTCACTCAGGTCTTGATAATCTTCATCAATTTTTTAAATGTGAATATTAGAGAAGATCAGTGCTTGACTTCATCACCCTTATATTAAAATAATATTTCTCGTGACATAAGAAAAAATAATAGATATAACTAGAAGTTTTCCTAAGGCACATTCCTAGAAACTGGAGAAAATGAAAAAAGCATCTGGGAAAAAATAAAAACTAGACTGACAGTTATGCAAGATACTTGACATTTCCATTTTAAATCCTCAATCGCATGTTCAAAAGCTGCACAGTTAAAAAATAATTGCAGGATTTTAAAAAACTACTTCAATCAAGTAATAACGAATGATCTTATAAAAATTGTAAATATGTTGACATTGTAGTAATAAAAATTTTCTTATGTAGTTATTTATTTATAGTATCTCCTGTTGTATAGAAGATATTCAGCTTAAATCCCTCTACTGGATATTATTTAAAGAAAAGGAAATTGTTATATCAAAGGGATACCTATACCCCCATGTTTATTGCAGCACTATTCACAATAGCCAAGATGTGGAGTCGACCTTAGAGTCCATCATTGGATGAATGGAAAAAGAAACTGTGGTGTACATACACAATGGAATATTACTTGGCCATAAAAGGATGAAATCCTATCATTTGCAGCAACGTGGAAGGAACAAGAGGTCACTGTGTTAAGTGAAATAAGCCAAGCATAGAAAGACAAATATCGTATATTCTCAGTCATATGTAGGAGCTAAAAACCTTGATCTCATGGAGGTAGAATGCAGAATGATAGATACCAGAGGCATCTGGGTTTGTGTGTTGGGGGGGATGAAGAGAGATTGGGTAATGAGTATAAACAGTTGAATAGAAAGAATAAGCTCCATCCTCAATAGCAGAGTAGGTTGACATAGTTAACAATAATGGATTGTATACTTCAAAACAGCTAGAAGGGAGGACTTGAAATTTACACAACACAGAAATGTTAAGTGCTTGAGGTGATAGATACCCTTAATATCCTGACTTTACCATTACGTATTCTATAGCTGTAACAAAATACCACATGTAGCCCATAAAAATGTACACATATTAGAAATCAATAAAAATTGTAAATAAATAAAATATTCAGTTTAAAGGTAAGGTATGAGTCTAAAAGTACTTTTCACTTATTAGGTGGTTAGCAGGTTGAGTGAAAACTGCATGAAGAATTAAGATGTCAGTGTCATGTTGATAATTCTATTATTTTCTTGGATAATTTTGAAAAATCTCTTGCCATCTCTATACTTCAGCTTTTTTGTGTCTAGGATGAAGACGTCAACACTCAGCATCTCGCTGCTTCCTTAGTGATGTGAATGAAAACCAAGGAAATAATTTTAATTCAAAATGTGCTTTAAAATGCCAAATCAAAAGGAATTAAAATGATCTGCGTGGTATAACTTTTTACACTTATAATTTTGATTATGCATTTTAGAAACATTATTTTTTGCCTTACTTAAACTATTTTTCTGTGATGATGAAACTGAGGCAAAGAAGGAGAATTAATTGCCTTTTCATGGCCAAATAATGCTGTTTAGTCTAGGTCTTTTGGTAAACACATTTCTTCCCAAGACCCCCACCCAAATACTTTGTCTAATCATTTGGAATGCTATAAGTTGACATTAGTTTTAAATGAAGAAAACAACTCATCACTGGCATTAGAGTAGATATCTTTAGCATTAATAATTAGTGTCATTTTATCATTAATTTTCACAGTTTTAATTCTTTAAATTGCTAATGTAATTTAACAGTCATGAGTTGGTTGTAGTATATTTTGAATATAAAAATAAATGCCTTCTAAGCACCAGGTAGTCAGCACTGTCCTGGGTTACAGATTAAAAAAAAAAAAAAAAAAAAAAAAAAAAAAGCACCTGTTAGTGTGCCTACTCATATTAATCCTAAATCTTTGCATCAGTTTTGCATATTATATATGTTGAATATAGACACAATGTATAGATGAGAAAACTGAGGATCAATGAGGTTGACAATTTTCCAAAGCTATACTCAAGTGCCACTTTTTCCATGAAGGCTTAAAAGATGTGGAAGATTTTAGTAGACAGAAATAGGGGAAAAACACCATTTTAAGTAGTGGAAATGGCATGAACAAAGGAGTATGTGTACTGAATCTCAAAGTTTGCCATGGTAATTATGACTAGTATGTTTTGACTGAAATTTAGAGTAACTGTAGAGGATATGTGGGGGATAAAGTTGAAAAAAAGTAGTTTGAAGTTAGGTCATGAGAGAGACTTAATTACTTAAGAAAGAAATTAGTGCATAATTCAATAGGATTTAAGGAGCTGTGAAGATCAGGGGAGTAGAACTGTAGGATTTGGGGTATGTGTTATAAAATGAATGGAAGAAAGGTCAGACTGGAGGCACGTAGACCAAGTAGGAGACTGTTAACCAAGTGAAGTCCTGATGGCCCAAACTAGATTGCTGTCACTAACCATAGAAAGGAAAAGACTTTATAAAGGAAAAAGGAAAGATGTAGTAAGTAAGCGAGTGATAACTAGAAGGTGGGCTTGACAACCAGCATTGTGGTAGCTTTATCAGAAATAGAAAAGAGAGGAATTAGTTGGTGTTCGTTGAGGAGCTAACATTATCAATCTCACTTTTAAAATGGTAAATTTGATGCATTTGTGGTATGTCTAGTGGAATTTTTCATCTGGCAGTTAGAAATGTCAATTTAATCTTGAAAGTGGAAATAGGTAAAAGATAGGCTAATAATCTTGATTTTATATGTTGGGTGCATTAAGACAGAGAGAATTGCAGTCCTGAGTGTTGATGAAATTTATAGAGAGGAAAAGAAGGTTGAGAAGCATCTAATTTTGAGGAGCAGAAGGTAGAAAAGTAGAACCAGTGGAAGCAGAGAAAGAATATCAAAGAGGTAGGATAAGATCCTAAGTGTCCTAAGACACTCATGACACTATTTCTGAAATAGCAGAGGGGCAAAGTGGGGTAAGATGTTCAACAAAGTTGGATTCTTTTCAAGGTCTAAGTTACAATCTAACCAGAAGCCATTGAAATTTGTGATTAGGGGGTCATAAGTTACTTTTGAGAGAGCCATTTAAGGAGTGTGTGGATTACAAGTCAGGTATTAAAATGGGTGGATAGTGGGTTAAATGAAGACACTAAGAACAGTTGAGAAATCGGTTGCAAAAAAAAAAAATGGAAAAGCCAAAGGTGTGAAAAAATTGAGGGAAAATATTGTCACTTTACTCACAAATGCTTGGCATTTATACTTTACCCCAGATCCTTTTCTCAGCTCTATCTTTCATTACTAGTTACCTTGCCCCACTTTAAATTATTTTATACAATAGCCAAATACCTTCATGTTTTAGCATGTACCCTGTTTTTCCACCTCTCTTTCTTGGTTTAGACACACTGCTTGGATGCGTCTTCATTCTGTCTGTAAATAGCTAATTCCTACTTATCACTTATCTTTCACATCACAGTTCACATGCTTCCTCTGTGAGGCCATCTCTTATTTGTCCTGCAGTACTCTTTTCTTCACTGAATTTCAAAATGCTTCAATCATTTATTTGTCATGGAAGTTGCTGCTTTTTATTATGTACTGTTTTTATTATTGATGTACATGGCTTATATCCCTCCTTGGAATTTAGGCTCCTTGAACATTTTCTCAAGGTGTCCATGAAACAACATGGAAAGAGCATAGACCTGGAGTTCAGATAGTCACATTTTTAATTTCTAGCTCTGTCACTTACTCACTATGTGACTTCTAAAAAGGTGTTTATTTTATCTTCATAAACGTCAGCCTTTTTACCTATAAAATGCCTATATCACAGCTCATTAAAAAGATTATTGAGGGATAGAGGAGGTAACTGATTTACAGAACCTAGCAAAGTGAGGTTCCCTTCCTTAATCATTTTGATTTCTGTGCCAGTACCCAGAATGTTACCATATAAATATTAAGTGCTCCAGAAATTGCTAAATGAATTAGTAATTTCTTTGCCAATACTAAATGTATAAAGCTACTGTAATTTCTAGGCTGCTGATATTTTATTGGGTTTTTTTTTAAGAAATTCTTTTTTCCATTAGGGAGTAACTTATTGCAGATTTACTAGATAAAAAATATATTCAATACAGAAATATCTGGTGGATAAATGCTGATGTCATACAAAGCATATTAAAATTCAAATGAAATATAACTGTGAGGAAAACAATAAGTGGCTTAGAGTTAGTAACAGTTTATAAAAGCCATTTTTTTTTTTTTTTTTTTTACCATTTAAGCAGAGACTAGGCTTTGAGGAGGCCAAGACAATGCTTTCTGGACTCTAAAGTAAGCCCATAGTTTGGCAGTATATGGTGACATATACTCCAAGCTTACAATTTTAATTCTCATTTGAACATATTTAAATATATTCTGATGCCAGTGGATAGGATGATATTCCAAAGAATGTAAGATTGGGAATCCTAAATTTAGACTGTGATCTAAAAATTGGTTTAAAAACTTGCACTTCGTTTCAAGAGTTATGGATTCCACAGTACTAACAAATGGTGTTGCTTGAATGGTCTCAAAGATTTTGACAACATTGTAAATCTTCAATCACTTGAAACATTTAGCATAATGAAGCAATTTTTAATAATCTGTATAGACCTACCCTTCTCTGTCTCACCTTGTCATTTTTGAGTTTTTATTCATCATTGCTCAGTTTGTATATGATATGACTACATTAATATAGTGTGTCTAAATCTTTGACTATTTAAGGATAGATTTTTAGAAGCAAGCATTGTGCATTCATTGCCCTCTTAAAATGATGAACAGAGTTGTTTGCTGTATATAGTAGAAATAACATTCATTTATAATAAATAATAAAGAACTATGCCCATATGACAGACAGCTCTTAACAGTGGTGCTATTTTAAATAGAGGACCTAAATCATAATAGCTACTGTTTGTTGAACATGTCTTGTGTGCTCAATATTTTACATAACTTACCCCTAATTTATAGTTGAATAAACTGAGTCTCAGAGAAGTTAAGTAACTATTCTCAGGTCACCTGGCTAATAAGTGATAGAGTTGGCTTTTAAATCAATACTTTCTGAATCCAAAGTTAAGTCTTATAATAGCTATGTTCTACTCCCTCTACAATAGTATCGTAAACAGTCTATACTTTCTTTGCCTCATTCTTTGTGTACTTCAAATTATTCTCATAACTAGTTTGTCTACCCTAGAAATGCACCATTTCCTCTTCAACTCTCAAAATAATCTCTACCTCAAAGACCTTAGTGTTCGGAAAACATCATCTAAATGACTGAATTACTTACCAAATTGAAAGCTATACAAAGTAGCATAATAAAAAGATAGGAATGTTTGATGGAGTAAATGGAAGATGTGTTTGCTGTTCCCTGTGCAGCGGCTACCCAGTTCCATTTTTATGTCATGCCAAGTAAATATGGGATATCTACAGTTGTGTTCATATAGCTTTAAGAAATAGGAAATAATTGTACTTACCTGAGAACACATAATGACAGCCTAAACTAGGCATTGATGGTTAAAGTCAAGAGGAGCTGTTATATGTGAGAGAGATTAGAAAATGATGTACTTCAACACTGATTCAATGAAAGGAAAGGGAGAAGAGTCCAAGGGAAATTTAAAGTCTGGTCATTCAAAAGATTATGGTTCCATGATCAAATAGAGACTTCAGGAGAAGGAACAAATTTGGGCAAGAAGGAGACGATTTCAGGTTTGGACATAAAGAATTTGTAATTATGTTGAGATGTCCAGCCTGCTGTTTCTCTAGAGTTGAGTCCTTGAAATGAGGCTAGTCTCAATTGAGATTTGCTATAAGTGTAAAATGCACACTGTATTTTGAAGACTTAGTACAAAAGAGAGTGTTGAATATCACATTAATATTCTCTATATTGGTTTTATGTTAAATTGGTAATATTTTGGATATATTAAGTATGTAAAAATTAATGTTTCCTTTTAGTTGTTGTTGTTGTTGTTGTTGTTTTGAGACGGAGTCTCGCTCTGTCGCCCAGGCTGGAGTGCAGTGGTGCGATCTTGGCTCACTGCAGGCTCCGCCTCTCGGGTTTGCACCATTTTCCTGCCTCAGCCTCCCGAATAGCTGGGAGTACAGGTGCCCGCCACCCCGCCTGGCCAATGTTTTGTATTTTTTTTAGTAGAGACGGAGTTTCACCATGTTAGCCAGGATGGTCTCGATCTCCTGACCTCGTGATCCACCTGCCTTGGCCTCCCAAAGTGCTGGGATTACAGGCGTGAGCCACCACACCCGGCTCCTTTTAGTTTTTAAATCTGTCTACTAGGAAACTTAAAATTGTATGTGTATTAGTCTGTTCTCATGCTGCTAATAAAGACATACCCAAGACTGGGGTAATTTATAAAGAAAAGAGGTTTAATTGACTCACAGTTCTGCATGACTGGGGAGGCCTCAGGAAACTTACAATCATGGTGGAAGACATCTCTTCACAGGGTGACAGGAGAGAGAATGAGTGCCAGCAGTGGAAATACCAAATGCTTATAAAACCATCAGATCTCATGAGAACTCACTCACTATCATGAGAATAGCATGGGAGAAACTGCCACCATGATCCAATCACTTTCCATGAGGTCCCTCCCACAACACATGGGGATTATGGGAACTACAATTCAAAATGAGATTTGGGTGGGGATACAGCCATACCATATCAGTATTAAATTTCTGAGTTAATCTACGCAGAAATTTGTAGAAGATAGGTACAAATGCAGGACCATTAAGGCAAAACATCTACATTTGGAAATAACCTATATAGGAGTGATAGTTGATGTTATGAGATTAGATTAAAATGCCAGTGTACAAAGTATAGAGATGAGAAAAATGTCAACAATTATAATATGGGAAGAAAAAGAGTAACCAGGAGAAGAATTGGAGATTCAAAATGCTAAAATGGTATATAAGCCTGACTGGGATAGAATTCTAAGAAGAAAGGAGAAGGAAGGAATAATTAACATCATTGAATGATAGAGGCCAAAAAGGAAGAGGAGAAATGAGAAAAGGCCATTGAATTTGGTTGATATAGAAGCAGTTTCAGTAGACTGTAAGAGGGATAGATTGCAAGAGATTAAGAAGTTAGAGGTTAATAAAGCAGACTGTATAGGTAAACTATTCTTTCAAGAATGGAGTCCATTTGTGAAGATAATAATCACTTGATTTGAGCCAAGTCCAGAGAAATTTGAGCATTTTTGTTTGCTGAATAAAAGGATCAGTGAGGTGGGAGTGTTTGAAATTGTAAAAGAGAGAAGATAATTTCTATAATAAGATCCTAGAGCATTGTATCCCAAACCTGAGTACATACTGGAATCATCTGGGGATCTCGTTACAAGGGCAAATTTCCAGGCAACATTCCACATCTAAAGTTATTATATTCCCTGGAGGTTTGTCTCCCCCAACATGTTGCTAGCAAGTTCTTCCAGGTGATTATGATGTATCCACAGGACAAACAAGGAACTTATGAGTGCTGATGAGGTCATCAGTGAAATGACTGGTCATAGCATCCAGTTTGAATAGATAGCCAATTAGGGCTAGAATGGGGCTGATGGACCATGAACTACAGTTAAGGAATTGGCTTTCATTATTATGGGAATATGTGCAAGCTTAGTAGAAATGAAAGGCTGAAAAAGTTAAAAAGGTAGTGGATTTTGATCACTGAGGGAACTTTCAGAATTCAGGATCTTGGAGGCCAGGCAGATGCAAAATGTGGCTGTGTGTGTCTGGTGTGGAAAAAAAGATAAAAAGAACTGAGTTACACACATCGTAAGACCCAGCAGTTTGGTAACTAATACATGGCAGTGGTAAAAAGGTATAGGATTTGGGATAAGGAAAGAAGCACTAAAGGTTCAATCACATATGTAATTATCTAGACTTCAGATTCCACTAAACCTTGGCTTTAATATCTTTGATAAACATTTTCAGAGTGGAGTGCCTACTTGGGTTTATAGCCTTTGAATTTCCATGATTCACTCTAGATTTTGTTGAAAATACCGTGGGTACTTGACTTTCATAGATAATATATGCACAGTCTTGACCAGTTACAAGTAACCCTAAGGGTTTATGATAATGAGTAGTTAATAATTCTTTGCAAGGCATGAATTTGAATCTCCTGCCCTAAAACTGGCATGGAGAAGCAAGTCACTTAGCTAGTGCTTTGTAGTGAAGTCAACATTTACTTCTAAGTTTGTCTTTAACACATGATTATATTAATCATCAGACCTCACCCTGGTAGATTTAACTACCAGGAAATTAAAAGGAAATGTATATGCCAAACTGTAGTATTAAATGAGTTAAAAACTTGGGTTTAAAAATCAAATGAGTTAAAAGTTTGTAGCGTGACACCTACCGTGTAATAATTACTTAATAAATGGTAGTCACTGGTACCAGTTCAGGAATTCAACCATTTTTGAAGCCAAATTTTTTGTGTATGTCCATGCTTAATGAGTAATATTTATATTAAAAATTTTGTTTTGATCCAGTATCTCCGTAAATTATTAAACTGAAACTAGAATGTTAAATTTGTTAGTGAATTAGGAAGATAATGGGTCATTTATCACATATTTGATAGGGGGTATATTTTATAGTAATTCGTATTGTTATTATGAAAAAATTAGAACTCTTAAAATCCTTTAAGTGTATTTCTATAGCACAAGTATACATACACAGAAACAAAATGAATGAATTACATTATTCACTTTATTTTTCTTAGATGTAGTATACCAATGATTCTGTTTTTGCTAAACAACTTTTACTCTCAATATATTATATACTTATATAACTCTTTTTGCTTTATAGTGAAGAGCTCAGAAAAGAAGCAAGACAATTAAAACGGGAACTCTTAGCAGCAAAACAAAAAAAAGTAGAAAATGCAGCAAAACAAGCAGAAAAAAGAAGTGAAGGTAAGGGCATTTATCACGCTTATTTTTTCACTTGATACTCCTCCTTCTCTGTTTTCTTAGCTCCTCCCTGCCCGCTCCCGTATTCATCCCTTCCCTTCTCCTTTCCTTCTCATTTTTTCTTCCCTCTTTCTTTCCCTCCCTCTTGAGTTAGGGTGTGTGTGTGTGTGTGTGTGTGTGTGTGTGTGTGTGTGTTTTTAATACTTTCTTTGAACAGTTAGCCAGGAAAATAAATTTCCACCCAGGAAATTTGTCTAAGAAGTAAATTCAGTGCAAATGGGATTGTAACTATTGTTCTTAAGTAACCTTCATGAAAACTAACAGAATACTTGAAATCTAGCAAAACTTAAAGGTTGCCATAGCATCTAACTAGATTAAAAGTGCACAAGGGTGGAATGTTTATATATATATTGCATATTCTTTAAAACATTTTTAAAAAGTGTTTGAGCCCTGTGGTTGGGACTTAGGTAAACATTTGTGTGTTGGTTTGAATAGTATTAAATACCTAATTTTGTTTTTTGTTTGTTTTTTGTTTTTACTCTTATGTTAAGACATAGAAAGTCTAAAGTATTGATAAAGCTGATCAAAATAACATCTTGCTGTTTATACAGGTTAACTAGCTTCTTTGTTTCACTACGATTTTTATTAAGCTTCAAAAAAAAAGCTTTTTCATTGATGATCTTTAATTTAGTTTAAAATTGTTTCAGCTATAAAGCATGTAATGTTCAGTTTCTAAAATAACAGCTTGGAACCCACATCTGTTTTCTTTTTACAGTGATAAATTGTATTGTCCATTCAGTGAATATGATCAGAAATTTTATTCAATTGCCTCTTATAATGTATACTAAGTTTGATACATTTGATACTAAGTACATACATGTACACATTTGCTTGTACATATATATTCTATATTTTTATGCTTTTGAAAGCTTGAAGTGTTTTACCTACTAGATTCTATTAACAGTCACTGGAAGTATATTAACAAATAAGATGTAGCATCTAGCCTTAAAGACTACACATTCTAATACAGTGGCACAATGTTTGGCCATAGGTATTATTATTGTTTATTTTAAGTAGCATGAGTAATACCAGATAACTATTTAAAGGGCGTAGTTCTCAATTCTAAGATTATTTGTACAAAATCCCCAATGACTATTTTCATAAAGGCAGATATTATACATACTTCATGAAGATTTGAAAGTCATTGAAGTATATATTTGAATGAAACATTATTTAAAAATTAACTGAAGTATAATGGCACAAATAATAAACAATTTAGAAGAAGGGATAAACTTATTTGTGACTAGATCATGAAGGCAAAATGTAACCCAGAATAGAAACAGTATCTTAGCATTAATGAGATTTGAAACAGGTACAGTCAGGATTATTTTATTTTTAGGTTTATAAGTAATTTTCTTAGAAGACTGTTTCTTATAATTAAAAGTATTTTAAATATATGAAAATAATTTCAACTAGAAAGATCTTTCAACTAGAAAGAATAAAATATAAAACTTAAATATTTTATTTGCTTTTGAGCTAATAATTATTAGTACCCTCATGTCTTAAACACTATGCTGGATTAGGAGTGTAACACTGTGACTTATAGTTACGATCTAGTAGGAGTGAAAGAAATGCAATAGGTATACTATAATAGTGCCATACAGGTAAGGCCTATATTAGACATAAGCAGTGCTAAGTTTATTTATTTGTCTCCCTTTGAAATAATAAATAGGTAGGTAAAGACATTAGTCTTAAAGACTGATTTCTTAATGCAAAAGAGAAGATTCTTAACAGAGCTCATTTCAATCTGCTTTTATTTATTTATTTATTTACTTATTTTTTGAGATGGAGTCTCACTCTGTCACCCAGGCTGGAGTGTGGTGGCGCGATCTTGGCTCACTGCAACCCCCGCCTTCGGGTTCAAGTGATTCTCGTACCTCAGCCTCCCAAGTAGCTGAAACTGCAAGCATGCACCACCACACCTGTCTGATTTTTTGTATTTTTAGTAGAGACAGGGTTTCACCATGTTGATCAGGCTGGTCTCGAACTCCTGACCTCAGGTGATCTGCCTGCCTCAGCAGTGTCAGAATGTTCTGACACACATTCAAGGATTCCTAAAATTTTACTATGTTTCCATAATGCTATGTAGTGAGAAAGCTCATGGTATCATTTTTAATCATGAGGAAAGAAGAATTTCAAATATAATGTGGTATTTACTAAAATCACACATTTTTCATAATAAATTCATAGTCAATTTTCTACCATTATAACAGCAATACTTGCCAATTTTAAAAGATCACAGTAACTTTAAAGGAAATACAATTCTAAGAAAAAGGTAATCCATAATGTACATCATAGATGGTTCTAAGAAAGAATTTTGCTAAGCACTCTAACAAAATACTGATAATAAAACATAATAAAATATTGCTCCTAATAGCACTCTAACAATATTAGAATCAAAATCAAATGGTCTACTTAGTGCCCAGCTCTTGCTTTCTAAAAACAGTACTCCGATTAGAGTAACCACAGCTCCTCAAAGAAGTGGTTGATTGCAGGTCTGGAGAACTGAAAATACAAGATCAGCCGGAAGTATCTTGTGGTACCAGAAAGTAAGAAAGTGCTCAAAGGATGGGGACAAGCTAAAAGGGCACACAAGCTAACCTGAAAGAGCTACCAATGGCCAAAGCTGGAAAAATTTGAAAAAAATAAATAATAATAGTTTCATATAATTAACTAAATATATAATATAGTTAATATAATTATATATAATATAGTTAATATAATTAACTATATATAGTATAATAAATAATATAAAGTATATAAATAATTTGTTTATATATAAATATATAAATAACATATATTATTTATTATTATAACTTTATAAATGTCAACATATATAAATAATGTATATTTTGGGATTATAACACTATATAATTTACATTTAAATATAAATATACAAATAGCATATATTATTATTTATTATTATAACATACATGTCAACATATTATATAAAATATATTTATAAATATATTGGCATACTTATAAATAATTTATAAATAATATAAATATTCACAGCTCATACTGAAGTAAGGATGTAAATAACAGAAGAGAAAGTTCTTTCTTACAGAATTCCAAGTAATTAAAATAGAAATCAGAGAACTAGAAAGGCACTATTAGAACACCACAGTAAATAACTGTTGCCAATAAGCAAGATCTACCATCTACCAATAGATGCTAAAGTTAGTAGAGAGAAACTTGAAGAGAAACAGAATATTTGTATAGTGTCAAAGTATTTTCCCCTAAATATTTATAAAACTCAAAGGTAAAAAGAGTAACTTTATAGTACAGCAACTCAGCAGACACCATTTTAACCAAGGGATCGAGGTAATATCACCAACAATAAGACAGAAGACATTGTGTTACTCCTGATATAATGCACTGAGAAGGAATACTACTTCTGTGGTAATCTTCCCAAAAATAAATAATCATAATTCAATTAGAAAACATCAAACTCAAATTGAGAGACATTCTACAAAGTATCTAACCAAAACTCTTCAAAGTGTCAAGGTCATGAAAGACAAGGAATGATTGATGAATTGTCATAGATCAAAAGAGACTAAGGAGACATGGCAAATAAATGCAGTTCAATCCTAGATAGAATCATAGAACAAAAAAAAAGGATATTAGTGTGGAAAATGGTGAAATTCTGATAAGGTCTATAGTTAGTTAATAGTATTGTTCCAACATTATTGGCATGGTTTTGATCACTAATCTATGGTCACGGAAGGCCTTAACATTAAAGTTATATGGTAACTGTATTATTTTTGCAACTTCTGTGTAAGTCTAAAATAATTTCAAAATAAAACAACGAAAAGTAAATAAATAAAATGGCACATTTTGAGATGAGAAAATACAATATCAATCAAATGACCCAATTTTGGGTGAAGCTAATTTTAACAGTCATTTGGATTTAGAGAAAATCCAGTTATTTCTATATGATATAAGGAAAGTTAACAGAAAAATACTTACTAATATAATTCTCTTTCTAATTATGGCATAAAAATATTTTCACATGGTTAACAATCATAAAAGCAAATTGAGGCCGGGCGCGGTGGCTCACGCCTGTAATCCCAGCACTTTGGGATTGAATATAGAATTTGCAGTAGGCTCTAACACCCTAATTTAGGTAAACAAAAAATGTGGTGTTTTACTATAGATACCAGCAATGTCAAAAGAGATGTACTGCAGGACAATCCTGTTTACAGCCTTGGAGTGTCTTTAGTCCCATTGTAAATCATCAAGGCCTGTGCATAAGGTTGTTGTGGGGGGTGGGAGGATAATAAATTTTGAATAAGATTGATGGTTAATTGGAGATAGAGTTGGTTTCCTGTCTTGGCTCTGTCAGGTTCTTTAATAAACTATATAATCCTTTTCATTAAATCATGTCTCTAAGTCTTTTCCAGATTTCTTTAAGTTTCATATCAAAACCAGTACCAAACTGAACATAGTCACATAGAGATGACAGGTTTGGACATATTCTCTAATCAGCTTTAAAGAGATAAGGTGTTAGGTCCTCTTTCAAAGTTCTAAGCAGACAATTCCTGCTCTATGACTGGTGCCAGAAATTAGAGGAGAAGGGTCAGGCTGAGCTTGTAAATCAAGAAAAAATTTTAAAGCCTTTTCATGAAACATATCCCTGAGGTGCCTAGTACCTCTCAAGTTGCACTGGGTTATTTCACATTTCTTCAGACTATCTTTTTAATACTGGATCAAATCAGACTAGAGTCCCTCAGGCTTGATAGGTTGTGAAAGTATATAGTTTTTGAGTACTTTTCATCTGGGTAATATATAGTATTAAACTAGCTTGGTCTTAGTTGGTATAAGAAACAAAAACCCTCTTTGAGTGTTAGCTCTGTGTTCTACTTAATACCATGTAAAATTTTCTTATTGAGCAAACTGGTTCTCTTTTCCAAAGCAGTTAACTTTCTTTAGGTACTGTTGAGTTATTTTTTTTTTCTTGGAACCCAGAAGTATCAGACCTATTTTTCTTCGTAGTCTACTCTTAATCTATGTGCTAATTTTTACTTTATTTACATAAAGTGAAAGTATATTTGCACTTGACTCATTGGATGCATCTCAGGCCAGCCATCATTTTCTAGTTCTTCTTACTTTGGGCATAGCCACTAATAAATTGATTATCTGGTTTTCTAAGCTAAAAACCAATTAAAGTATAAAAGTGAGGGAGCGTATACTCTAAAAGGGTGAATTTTATGGAAAGTGAAGTATATCTCAATAATTTAATAAATAAATAAACAAGCAAAAGAGAAGCCAGAAAAGGCACTGACCTGTGGACCTTTCTAGCCCAGTATTTTATTGGGCTAACAACAAATTTTTTTTAAGTGTGAGAGAAAAGCATGGCTAGAGACATTCATTCATTTTGGTAGCAGCAAGAGGTGATCGCCAACCAGCTGACACTAGGTCAGGAAACACAAGAACATAAGAGTCAAATATTATGGAAATACTTGTTAAACATACTTTACTCTGAATGTGTATATCTTTAAAAGATAAAGTTATCCCTACCTATTGTAATGGGCCTGATTCATTAAGAGAAGTTTAAATTGTATTTATTATTCTTTAATAAGATAGAGAATGGGCAATGATTCCAACCTAATTAGTTAAAAAAATTAATCATTTTAATCAATTAAAGATAAAGTTCTCTTATCTAGACTATTCAGTTGTGTGGAATACCTCATTTCCTGAAAGTCCTGGAAAAATAGAGCTTTATTCTGTAGCTAGGGCAGTCGGCCTCTCAACTGAAATTTTCTTGAACCCCTTACTACCTTTAAGTGCTAGAAACCATGCAATATTTTAAACAAGATATCTTTCAATAATATAATTTCTTAAATAGTAAAGATTTTTAAAGGTCTGTAGCAAATATGAAGATGTACATACCCTCACAATTACATGAAGAATTTAATCTTTTGGTAAAGTAAGAGATGATCATCTTTAAGAGTCCATAAAGTACTTTCTTCTTTTTTAGACAATCTATCTCAAACTTTCTTCCAAGTCATAATTAGCGAATCTTGTTGAGCTTTACTTTGTGAACCCTACATTATAGGCATATTTAATTTTTATGAGCAATAAAAAATAAATTCTAACCAATTCACATATTTTTATGTCTTAAATTCTGGGTCATCTTGCAGACCTCCTAGTGTTGCTTGGGATACTTTGTTGTTGTTGTTGTTGTTGTTGTTGTTGTTGTTGTTGTTGTTACAGAGTCTCTCTCTGTCTCCCAGGTTGGAGTGCAGTGGTGCGATCTCAGCTCACTGCAACCTCCACCTCCCGGGTTCAAGCAATTCTCTTGCCTCAGCCTCCTGAGTAGCTGGAATTACAGGCACGCACCGCCACACCTGGCTGACTTTTTTATTTTTAGTAGAGACGGGGTTTTGCCCTGTTGGCCAGGCTGGTGTTGAACTCCTGACCTTAGGTGATCCGGCTGCCTCAGCCTCCCGAAGTGCTGGGATTACAGGCATGAGCCACCACTCCCAGCTCTGTTGCTACTCTTATTAAGAACCAATGTATTTAGGATATCTCTCTGCATCCCTTTGCTGTCTTAACACAGTTTTCTAATAACCTTTCTTTCTGGCCTGGTGGTTGTAATTTCAATGTTGAGAATTTGACAAGAGCCTTTAGCTATATTTTTAGTAACTGCAATTTGTCCTCCTATTACTAATATCTGTGTCATTCCTGACCCAGTAAAAATAGATTGCTTAATTCATACAGGTAAATATTAGTTGGGGGTCATTACTGTCTCTTTATTTAAAAAAAAAAGCTGTATTTCTTACATTATAAAAGTAACATTTATTCTTTGCAAAAATATCAGAAATGTAGAAAGGCATAAAGGTTAAAAAGAAAGATTACCCCATAATACTTCGCCAAAGATAACCAGTTAACTTTGTGATATTTATTTTTTCTGGATTTGTTTCTTTTCATGCTATAAACACACGTGTTTTTTTCCCCATAATGTCATTTTGTTATAATTTTGTTTATAATATTCCTTTTTAAAAGAATGTTTATATTGAAATTGACCAAGAATTCTTAAGGGGGCAACTTGCTTTAGGAGTATGTCTTCTTAATTATCTTACATCACACAACGTGAGATATAGAGGATGATGGATGTAAAGACCGTACAAATGCAGTTGAGACATGAAAAATTCCCACTATTTCAGCTCTGGGGTTTAGACTATGTGGGAGCAATGATAGCCAGGGACTACATTTCCATTGCTGATGAGAATTCTTTATCTCTCGTTCTTTAAAAAAAAAAAAAATCATTTAAAAAGTCATTAAAATAAATCCTGAGCTCATGTTGTAGTCTGTTACCTCTTTCTCAGCTGGCCACTAAAAATTCTGCAAGGAAAGATTACATTCAGGTTAGGTATTTGGAGCCTACATTGAAATAATTACAAATTTGTCCACTCTTGGAAAGTAGAAGAGGTGAAGGGTATGTGTATGTGTGTGCGCACATATGCACGTGTGCATGCGCACACACACGTGTTTTATTGTTTTGTTTTGTTTGGATATTTAGATTGTCTCCAGAGAGGAACTAATATCATCATTAAAAGTTTGATTATAACCAGTGTTCCCATTTGGGAATGGAGTTGTTAACTTTTCCAGACTGCTGTCAAGACCTTATTTTAAGTAAGATGTTTTCCTTTTATGTGACATTTTCTGAGGTTTTGCCAAAAATGACATCAAACATATAATTCATTCGAGTGCTGAGTTTCTTCAACATCTTGCAGCACTTAATCAAATTTGGGAAAGATATTCTTTTCACAACTTTATAGTGTAAACCTGTGAATATGTTGCATTAAACCTTACTTTGTACAGTTTAATCTGCATGGTATCAGGTTGATTTTTAAAAAATGATTAATGCAATAGCTGATAGTTTTTAATGATTATATTTTCAAATTCTGCACATAAACTCCAGGCAGATGGTACAGTTGCAGCTTTTGAGTATTAGTATTTTTTCACACAAAACTCAGATAATCCCTAAATTATATTAATAGCTACATTAAACAATGCCAGAAAGAACAAAAGGAATACTGAAGTTCTCAGAAAACTAACAAGATGCCCAAATACTGAGAAATCATTGAGAACCTATTTTGATATACAAAAATATTTTAGGTTTTTTAAAGAAGACTATGGCCACGCCAGAATGTAAGTTTGTTTAAAACATTATGCTGCAGTATGTTAAAATGTGAAAGTAAGCTAGCCTTAACGAACGTCTTACTCATTAGAAACTCTGATCTTGCGTGTGCTCTATTTATATTTGTTACTTCTGTGCAATAATCACAGTCCTGAAGGGATCATCTGGGCCAATCCCTCCTTTTTTTTTTTTTTTTCCTAGATGGAATCTCGCCCTGTTGCTGAGGCTTGAGTGCAGTGGCACGATCTCCACTCACTGCAACTTCCTCCTCCCAGGTTCAAACGATTCTCCTACCTCAGCCTCCCGAGTAGCTGGAATTACAGGAGCCCGCCACCATACCCAGCTATTTTTTGTATTTTTAGTAGAGACGGGGTTTCACCATGTTGACCAGGCTGGTCTCGAACTCCAGACCTCGTGATCCACCCGCCTTAGCCTCCCAAAGTGCTGGGATTATAGATGTGAGCCACCGCGCCTGGCCCCTCCATTTTATATATAAAGGAAACCTAGAGCTTGCCAGTTAAGGTGCTTACCCAATATTACAGAGCAAAGTAATAGAACTAGAACTCAGGACCCTTAGATTTGTGTCCAGTGCCCTTTATACTACTTGTTTTTCAATGTGATCCAACCTTGAGTGGATGTAGTCTATATAAAGTTTTAATTGGTATTTATTAAAATCTACTTTGGTTTTGGCTAGACTAATTGTTTCTAAAACCCCCCTAGGCAAACTTAGAGTCTTTTGGAGAGCACATTATTATCATAAATCTACACCTTTTTAAAGATTACACATGTGATTTGGGAATGAATGACAAAAGATTATTATGTAATGGAACACATCAATTTCTGTCACTATGGCAGCCTAGGAGTCCAAACTGATCCCCTCACTAAAAACAACGAAAAATGTTGGATATAATACAAAAATATCTTTTGATATGTTCCTATGACTTGCAAAAATGCAAGGAATACTTAAACCAGGGAATAAGTAAAGGTATGAACTAAGATAAGTTAGTGGAGCACTAGGTCAGGCTTTAACCCTAAGGACATTTGTTAAATTGAGTGAACTGGAACATTGCTTTTTGAAATCTCACAAAGTTCATGGAAGATTATGTAAAACTTAAGGTTTTCCCAAGGTAGCGAGGGTCTAACAAGACTATTCTGTGTAGTTGAGGGCCCAAAGGAACACATCCTTAGTGGCAGGAATAATTAGAAATAAGCAGGGTCACCTCATTTCCATCAGTGGGCTACAAGGGAAATTACCTATCTTGAATCATGGCACAAAATATTTGGGAGCAAGAGCATCTCTTGGGAACTCTAGCAACAAGGCAGCCCTCCCATCAGTTAGGAGTCTAAATTCACACTGCCTGAGTGGTCTCCAAATCTTCCAGCCAAGAATTTAGTTGCAATGATAGTCTTGGAGAAAAATATGAGCAATATGTGTTCACAGATAATATGTGAACACCCTATACAATGTAACAGTCTCCTTATGCATCAGAGAAAAATATGAACAGCATCTATAGCATATGATATGTGAAAAACTGCTTTAAATCTGTAATAAAAGACCAACAACCTAACAGAAAAAAAAAAAGGACCAGAACACAGAAAATTCATATAAGAAAAAATTTGAGGGACATCATGGTCACTTTCAAGTTTTGACAATTATGAACAATTTTGTGTGGAATAACAAACAATAAAAGAATTTAGTTGGAAATGGCCCTTGATCTTAAGTGCCTGTAGAAGCCTGATACAAACAAACATAAATTTTTCCTGGAGAATCCTACTTTCATCCCAGTCCTCAAGGAAAGTATAAAAAGAAAAAGAACAGCTCAGAAGACACATATGCACTGAATTCAGACATCCTGACCAAAAGCTAGTAGAAACATCAGACAACAGAATGAGATCCACAAAAAGTTCAGATTTTATTCAGACACTAAATGTTAAGTAAGTGTGTGTAATATATTTCAAGAAATGATAGGCTTGAAAATATAAAGAACACGTGATTTAAAAACAAAGAAGATATAGAAATGAAAAATATAATAGTTAACATTAAAAACTTGATATATTTTATAGCAATTTGCCACAGCTAAAATGAACATTAGTGACTTGAAAGATAGCATTAAAAAATCATGTAGAACTCAGCCCAAAAACAGATTGGAAACCTGGAAGATCTAATAAATGTTTAATCAAATTCTAGGAGGAGACCAAAGGGCAAATAGAGGCAATATTTAGAGAGATGATACTGAGTGTTTTATATAACTAATGAAAAGATCGATTTTACAGAATGAAGTCTCCCCAAAACTAAAAGAGGATAAAGAAAAATAAATTCAGTCCTAGATGCATTATGATAATACATCAGAGCATTCAACACAAAGAGATCTTAAAAGCAGTCGGAAAAGATATTACCATTAAAAAAGCAAGAGCTGATTTCTCAACAGCAACAGGTGAGGACATAAGGCAGAATCTTATTTTCAATGGACTGAGGGAAGTGTCCTTCAGACAAACAAAAGCTGAAAAACATTGCTACCTGTGGACCTTCACCAAAGGAAATTCTAAAGGATATACTTATGGCAAAAGTTAGGTGAGCCCAGATGTAAGACCTATAATACAAAGAGTTAGGAACATGGAAAGTGGTAAATATATGAATAAATCTAAATAAATATTGAAGGAATAAAACAATGATAATGTCTTATGTTGAATAATAAAGGTAAAATTAAAAATACATAACAACATAGTATATAACTTTGGTGAGCAGGTAAAGGGTGCTCGGAAAAGCATTCTACGGCCCTTTTATTGTTTGGGAAGAAGGTAAAGACACAAGATAAACTGTGGTTTTTAAGACATTAATTATACATTTTAAAATTTTTAGGGAAACTACTAACAGGATAAGGAAGGGTCTTAACTTCCAAACCAGTAGAGAAAAAGATGGAATTAGGAAAAAAAAAAATCAACCCAAAGGGGATAAGAAAGGAAAGAAAAATAAACATGGACTGGCAGGATATTTTTTAAAAAAAAGAAAAAAGATGGCATGAGAGATAGGAGAAATAAAATGCAGCTGTATCAATAGTTGTATTGAAATAACACAAAAAGTCTAATACTTCGCCTAAAAAACTACGTTTGTCAAACTGGGCCAAAAAAGAAATTCAATGCAACTTATGTGAGAAACATCTTCAAAATATTGGACAATCAAGCCGCGCACGGTGGCTCATACCTGTAATCCTAGCACTTTGGGAGGCTGAGGTGGGTGGATTGCCTCAGCTCAGGAGTTCAATACCAGCCTCGGAAACACAGTGATAACTCATTTCTACTAAAATACAAAAAAATTAGCCAGGTGTGGCAGTGTGCACCTGTAATCCTAGCTACTGGGGAAGCTGAGGAGAATTGCTAGAACCCGGGAGGCAGAGGTTGCAATGAGCCAAGATTGCTCCAGCCTAGGTGACAGAGTGAGAATCTAGAAGTAGAAATACCATTTGACCCACTGATCCCATTACTGGGCATATACCCGAAAGATTATAAATCATGCTACTATAAAGACACATGCACACGTATGTTTATTGCAGCACTACTCACAATAGCAAAGACTTGGAACCTACCCAAATGTCCGTCAATGATAGAATGGATTAAGAAAATGTGGCACATATACACCATGGAATACTATGCAGCTATAAAAAAGGATGAGTTCATGTCCTTTGCAGGGACATGGATGAAGCTGGAAACCATCATTCTTAGCAAACTGTCACAAGGACAGAAAACCAAACACCGCATGTTCTCACTCATAGGTGGGAGTTGGACAATGAGAACACATGGACACAGGGCAGAGAACAGGGAACATCACACACCAGGGTCGGTCAGAGATGGGGGATAAGGGGAGGGATAGCATTAGGAGAAATACCTAATGTAAATGACAAGTTGATGGGTGCAGCAAACCAACATGGCACATACATAGTTTGTTACCTATGTAACAAACCTGCACATTGTGCACATGTACCCTAGAACTTAAAGTATAATAATAAAAAAAATTGGACAATCAAATCGTTAAGGCAAAATGTATTACTAGGCCTAGAATCTCCACATAACACAGAAACTTCAGTTTACCAGGAAAATGTAATAATCCCTAACTTGCATAGACCTAATAACATAAACTCAAAATCTATGAAGCAAAAACTGATAGACCTAGAATAAGTAAGCAATTCCATTATAGTGAGAGATTTTAATACATTCTCTCAGTAACTGATTAAACAAACATGTAAAAATTTAATAAGAATGTAGAACATTTGAACCACACAATTAACAAGTTTGATATAATGTACAAAAGGGAATATTGCTTCAGAATACATATTATTTTCTAGCTCTCTTGAAACATTTATAGAAAGTGGCCACATAATGGACCATAAAGAAAGAAAATTTTCAGAGGATTGTTTTCAGACTACATCTTCTGACACAATGCAGTTGTTAGGAATTAGAGTTACTGATTTCCAAGTATGTTAATGCAGCCATAGCAGTACTTATAAGCAGTTATTGCATTAGATGCTAGTATTTCAGGAAATTACTATAGAAGTTCCCCACGTAAAGAAGCCTTAAAAAAAAAATACAAAACGCAGGCAAAATTAGCCCAATGAAGTAGAAGGAAGAAAGGAATAAAGAGCAGAAATCAGTAAAATAGAAAACAGTTTTTAGAACTGGGTTACAATAGTTAAAATGACCAGAAGTATAACTTCTTAAAACTTGCACATAGTAGATAGCCAGAAAATTGATTTGACTTTGTTGTATCAGACATTTGTCACTTGTTTTTTCCCAGATGTCCTTCTAATGCAGAGAAAGCAAGATCTAGTTGCTACGTACAAGGAGTGTCATTAGTGAAATTTCTATTGATAGTGCTAGTTTTATTAGCTACAAAAGAAGTTGCTGTTAAAAAAGAAAGAGGGAGAGAGAGGCAAGCAGATGGATAAAGACTCAAAAAATGCCATGTTTAAATAAGATTGAGGATTATTTCTCTCATGCAGAACAATTCAGGGTGAGCACTTCAGGACCAGCAGGTATTTAAGGACCCAAGTTTTTTTCATTTTTGTCTTTTTGGCATCTTCTGAGGTGTTATCATTGTCTGCATGATTCAACCCGACCCACCTCCATGCCTATATTCCAGCAACGGGGAAGAGGAAAGAGCAAGTACCAGACTGGTGACTTCATCTTTGAGGAGATGACCCAAAAGTTGCACAAAAGCACTTTCACTCTTATCATATTATACTGAAATCACATGGCCATACCTAGCTGTAAAAAAGGCTGAGAAATAAAGTCTCCAGTTGAGTGTCCAAGTGGCTGGCTAACTAAATATCAAGGATGGGAGATATATGGGGTTGATTCCTTTACTAAAAGGTAAAAGGGATGACTGAATTCAGGGAGAAAATTACTAGATTCTGTTATATAATATGAACAAAATCCTAGGAAGAACCAAATAGGCGGTAGTCCATTGGGTCAGGAAAAGCTTGACCAAGTATCTGAGCTATGTTTTGAGAGATGAATAAAATTCCACTGCAAAATGAAGGGCAATAAGTATAACAGTAGTTGGAAAGGTGCCTGGCAGAGCAGGAGCCATAGATTCATCTCTATATGCCTAATACTTTGCATAGTAATGGGCAAAATAATAAGCATTCAACAAACATTTGCTGAAGTAATGAATGAAACTGGCTTTTGCTTAAGTGAATAATCACATTATTTGTAAACTAAGGAAAAAAAGAATAACAATGAAAAAGACAATTTTTTGAGTATGAATCTATGACAACACGAAGAGCACAGATGCACATTTAAATAATGGGCAAAGTTTCAGATAAGAGCTATGAACATATTATGAAACAGGACAATGTAATTTGGTGGTATGTACCAGAAAGGGCCCAGTCAAAAGACAGAATCCACAAACAAAACTTTTGAACAGAAACGAAAACATTTGTAATAGCTTTATTGAAGAATAATTTAAAGTGAACTGTTTGACATGTTTTGACGTATGTCTATACCTGTGAAAACATCACCACAATCTAGATAATGAACATGTCCTTCAAGGCCCAACATGTTCTCATGCCCCTTGTTAACCCCCTCTCTGATCCCCTGGCAACCACTAAAGTCTTCTATCACTATAAAATAGTTGTATTTTCTAAATCTTATTTAAATGAAATCATATTCTCTATGTACTTTTTTGTCTGACTTCTTTCAATCAACATATGCATTTTCAGATTTATCCATGTTGTATATATCAGTAGTTTGTTCCTTTTATTGCTAAGTAGTATTCCATTATATAGATATACCACAAGTATTTTATAACCATATGCTATTATTTTGCTTGAGCAAATGTCTGGAAGTGGAATGGCTAAGTCATGTGATAGGTGTATGTTCAACTTTTTGAAAACTGCCAAACTGTTTTCCAAACTGGTTGTGCCATTGTACATCCTACAAGTAGTGCATAAACTATCCTGTTAACTCCATATCCTTGTTAACACTTCGTGTGGTCACTTTCTAATTTTAGCCATTCTAATAGTTTGCAGTGTTACTTTGTGGTTTTGATTTACATTTAATTAATAATGATGTTGAGCATTGTTTCATGTGCTTATTTGTCATCCGTATATATTCTTTGGTGCAGTATATATTCAACTCTTTTTATCCATTTTTTATTGTGTTGTTTGTTATTTACTATTGAATTTTTAGACTTCTTTATATTCTTTGGATACAAATCCTTTATCAGATATATGATTTGTAAATATTTCTCTCAAACGGTGGCTTATATTTTTTGTCCTCTTAATGGTGTCTTTCAAAAAACAAAACTTAAATTTTGGGAAAGTCTAACTTATTAACTTTGTTCATTTTTGAATCTAGTTATTGGTTCTAAGAAATCTTTGCCTGACTCAAACTCAAAAAGATCTTCTATGTGTTTTTTTTTTAGAAATTTTGTAGTTTTAAGATTTTACATTAAGATTTGATTCACTTTGACTTAATGTTTATATATACAGTCACATATCCCTTAACAATGGGGATACAGTCTGCGAAATGTGTTGCTAGGTGATTTTATCGTTGTGTAAACACCATGTGAGTGTTCTTACACAAAGCTTACTCAAAACTAGATAGTATAGTTTACTATACACCTAGGCTATATGGTGTGGCCCAAGCTTGTCCAATCTGTGGCCAGTGGGCCACATGTGGCCCAGGACAGCTCTGAATGTGCCCCAACACAAATTCATAAACCTTCTTAAAACATTATGAGACTTTTTTGTGATTTTTTTTTTTTAGCTCATCAGCTATCATTAGTGTTAGCATATTTTATGTATGGCCCAAGACAATTCTTCCAGCGTGACCCAGGGAAGCCAAAAGATTGGATACCCCTGGTATAGGCTATTGTTCCTAGGCTATAATCCTGTATAGCATATTACTGTACTGAACATTGCAGGCGATTGTAATACACAGGTAAGTATTTGTGTATTTAAACATATCTAAACATAGAAAAGGTACAGTAAAAATACGGTATAAAAGAGATGGAGACCATCCTGGCTAACACAGTGAAACCCCGTCTCTACTAAAAATACAAAAAATTAGCCGGGTGTGGTGGCAGGTGCCTGTAGTCCCAGCTACTTGGGAAGCTGAGGCAGAATGGCGTGAACCCGGGAGGTGGAACTTGCAGTGAGCCGAGATGGCACCACTACACTCCAGCCTGGGTGACAGAGCGAGACTCCATCTCAAAAAAAAAAAAAAAAGGTATAAAAGATAAAAAGTGGTATACCTGTATAGGCACTTATCATGAATGGAGCTCACAGGACTGGAAGTCACTCTAAGTGAGTCAGGGAGTGAGTGGTGAGTTAATATGAAGGCCTAGGACATTACACTGCTGTAGGATTTATAAATACTGTGCATTTAGGCTGCACTGAATGTATTTAAATTTTTTTCTCTCTTTAATAACAACTTCGGCTTACTGTAACTTTTTTACTTTATGAACTTTTTAATTTTTAACTTGACTGTTTTGTAATCACACGTAGCTTAAAACACAAATACATTATACAACTGTACAAAAATATTCAAAAATATTTTCTTTATATCTTTATTCTATAAGCTTTTTTCTACTTTTAAATTCTTCTTTTTCCTTTTGAAGTTTTTTACTTAAAAAGAAGACAAAATCACACAAAAGCCTAAGCCAACACAGGGTCAAGATCATCAATATAACTGTCTTCCACTTCCACATCTTGTTCCACTGATGGGTCTTCAGGGGCAATAACATGTATGAAGCTGTCATCTCCTATGATAACAATGCCTTCTTCTGGAATACCTCCATACGGACCTGTCTGAGGCTATTTTACAATTAAAATTTTCTTTTTATAGGTAGGAGTACACTCTAAAATAACAATAAAAATATAGGATAATAAACATATAGTCATTTATTGTTATTATCAAGTATTATGTACTGTACATAATTGTATGTGCTATACTTTTATAAAACTGGCAGTGTAGATTTGTTTACACCAGCATAACTACAAATGCATGAGTAATGTGTTGCTCTACGAAATTATCATGGCTACAGTGTCACCAGGTGATAGGAATTTTTCAGCTCCATTATAATTAATCTTATGACACCACCTTTGTGTTTGCAGTCCATTAGTTACTGAAACATTGTTAAATAGGGCATGACTGTAGTGCAAAGTATGGATCGAAGTACACATATTTCCATATTGATGGCTGTTTGTTCTAGACCATTTGTTGAAAAGACAATCCTTTCCCTACTGAATTGCCCTTCAACTTTTGTTGAAAATGAATTGCCCATATATACATGGGTTTATTCTATATATTATATATGGGTCTATTCTGTCCCATTCATCTATTTATCTATGTTTACAGGAATACTAGTATCTTGATCACTATGGTTTTATAAGTCTTGAAGTCAAGTGTAAGTCCTCCCACATTTTTCAAAGTTGTTTTGTCTGTTCTACGTCATATGCATGTCCATGTGAATTTTAGGATCAACTAATCAATTTCTACGAAAAAAAAGCCTGCTAGAATTTTGATTGGGATTGCATTGAATATATAAATCAATTTGAAGAAAATTGACATCTTACTACTATTGGGTAGTACCACCCATGAGTGTGTTACATCTTTCCATTTATTAAGGTCATCTTTAATTTCCCTGAGCACTGTTTTGTAGTTTTCAATGTAGAGGTCTTGTATATATTTGTCAGATTTCTTCATAAGTATTTTACATTTTTATGCTACCATAAATGGTATTGTCTTTCGTAATTGATAGACTTAGTCAGGAAACAACAAATGATGGTGAGGATGTGGAGAAATAGGAACACTTTTACACTGTTGGTGGGAGTGTAAATTAGTTCAGCCATTGTGAAAGACAGTGTGGCAATTCCTCAAGGATCTAGAACCGGAAATACCATTTGACCCAGCAATCCCATTACGGGGTATATACCCAAAGGATTATAAATCATTCTACTATAAAGACACATGCACACGTATGTTTATTGCAGCACTATTTACAATAGCAAAGACTTGCAACCAACCCAAATGCCCATCAGTGACACACTGGATAAAGTAAATGTGGCACATATACACCATGGAATACTATGCAGCCATAAAAAAATAATCAGTTCATGTCCTTTGCAAGGACATGGATGAAGCTGGAAACCATCATTCTCAGCAAACTAACACAGGAACAGAAAACCAAACGCTACATGTTCTCACTCATAAGTGGGAGTTGAACAATGAGAACACATGGACACAGGGAGGGGAACATCACACACAGGGGCCTGTTGGGGGATCGGGGCAAGGGGAGGGAGAGCATTAGGACAACTACCTAATGCATACGGGGCTTAAAACCTAGATGATGTATTGATAGGTGCAGGAAACCACAATGGCCACATGTATATCTATGTAACAAACCTGCATGTTCTGCACATGTACCCTAGAACTTAAAATAAAATAAAAAATAAAAATAAAAAAAGAAATTGATAGACTTTTAGAGGAGTTTAGACCTATAGAAAAATTAAGCATAGAGTTCCCACATACCGTCCTTTCTGACGCCCCTCACAGTTTCACCCATTATTAATATCGTGCATTAATTTTTTTGTGACTGACTTCTTTTACCTGCCTTAATGTTTTCAGAGTTTATCCACATTGTATCAAGTATCAGCACTTAGTTCCTTTATCACCAAATAATATTCCATTGTATGCATATAACACATTTTGTTTATCTACTTCATCACTTGAAGGACATGTGAGTTTTTTCCACCTCTTGGCTATTATGAATAATGCTATACAGTGAACATCCTTGTGCATTCACTTTGCTTTAAGCCTTCATGAGCAGTCTCCTCAAAGACCACCATGCTTCTACAAACAGTTTAAGACTCTCCAAGTTTTCATTAACAAATTCTTCCAAATCCTTCCAGCTTCTGCCCACTACAAGGTTTCAAACCATTTACATATTTTAGGTTTTTCTTTAGGTCAGCACCCCACACCTGGATACCAAAATTCTGTATTAGTTACCTATTGCTGCATAACAAGTGACTCCAAAATTAACAGGCTTAAAAAAACATTAAGTTTTTCATAGTTTCTATGGATCAGGAATTCGGAACAACTTAGCTGAGAAGTTTTGCAACTTATGAGGCTGTAGGCAAAATGTTGACCAAGGCTATATAAATCTGAAGACTTGATTTAAGTAGAGAATCTACTAAGATGACTCATTCTCATGGCTGACAGGAAGCCTCGGTTCCTTACCATATGCACCTCTCCATAGTGCTGCTTTCATATCCTTATGATATGGTATCTGGGTTCCCCAGAACAAGTGATTCCTTTGGTATGGTGGGGAGAAGAGGCATGAGAAAGCTACAATGCCTGCTATTAACTATTCTGTAAAGTGACACATGTCACTAAGTCTAGCCCACATTCAAGGGAAGGAGAGTTAGTCTTCATCTTTTGAATCCCTTCAAAGAAACTGTAGACATACTTTAACTACCACAGATAGCAACCCAGAGTTCCAAAACGGACTGATAAACACACTGAATGCAACCATGACTCAGATAAGGATTGGAATAGATGACTTCCTAAGATATCTTTCAGCTCATAGGAATTTAATTGTAAGACCTACCTATATGCAACCTCGAGATACTAGAACAGCTCTGTATGCCCTTTAAACTGCTAATAAATATGGGCCAGGCACAGTGGCTCATGCCTGTAATCCCAGCACTTTGGGAGGCCAAGGCAGGTGGATCACCTGAGGTCAGGAGTTTGAGGCCAGCCTGGCCAACATGGTGAAACCCCATCTCTACTAAAAATACAAAAGTTAGCCGGGCATGGTGGTGCATGCCTGTAGTCCCAGCTACTCAGGAGGCTGAGGCAGGATAATTGCTTGAACCTGTGATGCAGAGGTTGCAGTGAGCCGAGATTGCACCACTGCACTCCAGCCTGGGCGACAGAGCCACACTACATCTCAAAAAAAAAAAAAAAAAAAAAAAACACCTAATGAATGCATATCTTTTCTTTCCTGGCCAGGCTTCATGATTACTACCTTCTCCACACTCAAGCTAAGATGCCCTTAATAGGAACATGTTACTTACCATTAGATCAAGTCTTTCAACCTCCTCCTGCCCCACTTTTCTGGCTTCTGGTCCATGCAGGGCCAGTTTCTTTACTTTCTGTCTTTTAGAACAGTGGTCTCCAAAATGGCACAGAGATGACCCATTACAGTAAAGGGAGAAAGCGTCTGAACTTCTATTTCTGTTTATCTTTTAATCTGAAAATAAAAGACTGAATGAAAAGAACAAAAGAAATAAAGACTAGTAATGCCCATAATTTATGTAAATTTGAATAAATATACAAATTTTTGAGGGTGAATGCTCAAAATTTTTTTACAAATTAAGATACATGATGAAAAGTCTAAAGAACATTGGTCTAGATGTAGCACTGAAATTCTTTATATTATTATTACACTTTAAGTTCTAGGGTACATGTGCACAACATGCAGGTTTCTTACATAGGTATATATGTGCCATGTTGGTTTGCTGCACCCATTAACTTGTCATTTATGTTAGATATTTCTCCTAATGCTGTGCCTCCCCCTGTCTCCCACCCCATGACAGGCCCCGGTGTGTGATGTTCCCCGCCCTGTGTCCAAGTGTTCTCATTGTTCAATTCCCACCTATGAGTGAGAACATGCGGTGTTTGGTTTTCTGTCCTTGTGATAGTTTGCTAAGAATGATGGTTTCCAGCTTCATCCATGTCCCTGCAAAGGACATGAACTCATCCTTTTTTTATGGCTGCGTAGTATTCCATGTTGTATATGTGCCACATTTTCTTAATCCAGTCTATCATTGATAGACATTTAGGTGGGTTCGAAGTCTTTGTTATTATGAGTAGTGCTGCAATAAACATACGTGTGCATGTGTCTTTATAGTAGCATGATTTATAATCCTATGGGTATATGCCCAGTAATGGAATCAGTGGGTCAAATGGTATTTCTAGTTCTAGATCCTTGAGGAATAGCCACATTGTCTTCCACAATGGTTGAACTCCCACCAACAGTGTAAAAGTATTCCTATTTCTCCACATCCTTTCCAATATCTGTTTTTTCCTGACCTTTTAACGATTGCCATTCTAACTGCTGTGAGATGGTATCTCTTGGCAGTTTTGATTTGCATTTCTCTGATGACCAGTGATGATGAACATTTTTTCACGTGTCTGTTGGCTGCACAAATGTCTTCTTTTGAGAAGTGTCTGTTCATATCCTTTGCCCACTTTTTGATGGAGTTGTTTGTTTTTCTCTTGCAAATTTGTTTAAGTTCTTTGTAGATTCTGGATATTAGCCCTTTGTCAAATGGATAGATTGCAAAAATTTTCTCCCATTCTGTAGGTTGCGTATTCACTCTGATAGTAGTTTCTTTTGCTGTGCAGAAGCTCTTTAGTTTAATTAGATCTCATTTGTCTATTTTGGCTTTTGTTGCCATTGCTTTTGGTGTTTTAGTCATGAAGTCATTACCCACGCCTATGTCCTGAATGGTATTGCCTAGGTTTTCTTCTAGGGTTTTTATGGTTTTAGGTCTAACATTTAAGTCTTTAATTCATCTTGAATTAATTTTTGTATAAGGTGTAAGGAAGAGATCCAGTTTCAGCTTTCTATATTCAGCCAGTTTTCCCAGCGCCATTTATTAAATAGGGAATCCTTTCCCCATTTTGTGTTTTTGTCAGGTTTGTCAAAGATCAGATGGTTGTAGATGTGTGGTGTTATTTCTGAGGCCTGTGTTCTGTTCTATTGTTCTGTATATCTGTTTTGGTACCAGTACCATGCTGTTTTGGTTACTGTAGCCTTGTAGTATAGTTTGAAGTAAGGTAGCATGATGGCTCCAGCTTTGTTCTTTTGGCTTAGGATTGACTTGGCGATGCGGGCTCTTTTTTGGTCCCATATGAACTTTAAAGTAGTTTTTTCCAATTCTTTGAAGAAAGTCATTGGTAGCTTGATGGGGATGGCATTGAATCTATAAATTACCTTGGGCAGTATGGCCATTTTCACGATATTGATTCTTCCTATTCATGAGCATGGAATGTTCTTCCATTTGTTTGTATCCTCTTTTATTTCATTGAGCAGCGGTTTATAGTTCTCCTTGAAGAGGTCCTTCACATCCCTTGTAAGTTGGATTCCTGTGTATTTTATTCTCTTTGTAACAATTGTGAATGGGAGTTCACTCATGATTTGGCTCTCTGTCTGTTATTGGCATATAGGAATGCTTGTGATTTTTGCACATTGACTTTGTATCCTGAGACTTTGCTGAAGTTGCTTATCAGCTTAAGGAGATTGTGGGCTGAGACACTGGGGTTTTCCAAATACACAATCATGTCATCTGCAAAGAGAGTCATTTTGACTTCCTCTTTTCCTAATTGAATACCCTTTATTTCTTTCTCCTGCCTGATTGCCCTGGCCAGAACTTCCAACACTATGTTAAATAGGAGTGGTGAGAGAGGGCATCCCTATCTTGTGCCAGTTTTCAAAGGGAATGCTTCCAGTTTTTGCCCATTCAGTATACTGGCTGTGGGTTTGTCATAGATAGCTCTTATTATTTTGAAATATGTCCCAGCTCCTGGATTCATTGATTTTTTGAAGGGTTTTTTGTGTCTCCATCTCCTTCAGTTCTGCTCTGATCTTAATTATTTCTTGTCTTCTGCTAGCTTTTGAATTTGTTTGCTCTTGCTTCTCTAGTTCTTTTAATTGTGATGTTAAGGTGTCGATTTTAGATCTTTCCTGCTTTCTCTTGTGGGCATTTAGTGCTATAAATTTCCCTCTACACATGCTTTAAATATGTCCCAGAGATTCTGGTACATTGCGTCTTTGTTCTCATTGGTTTCAAAGAACATCTTTATTTCTGCCTTCATTTCGTTATTTACCCAGGATTCACTCAGGAGCAGGTTGTTTAGTTTCCATGTAGTTGTGTGGTTTTGAGTGAGTTTCTTAATCCTGAGTTCTAATTTGATTGCACTGTGGTCTGAGAGACAGTTTGTTGTGATTTCTGTTCTTTTACATTTGCTGAGGAGTGCTTTACTTCCAACTATGTGGTCAATTTTGGAATAAGTGCAACGTAATGTTGAGAAGAATGTATATTCTGTTGAATTGGGCTGAAGAGTTCTGTAGATATCTATTAGGTCCACTTGGTGCAGAGCTGAGTTCAAGTCCTGGATAGCATTGTTAACCTTCTGTCTCGTTGATCTGTCTAATATTGACAGTGGGTTGTTAGTCTCCCATTATTATTGTGTGGGAGTCTAAGTCTCTTTGTAGGTTTCTAAGGACTTGCTTTATGAATCTGGGTCCTCCTGTTTTGGCTGCATATATATTTAGGATAGTTAGCTCCTCTTATTGAATTGATCCCTTTACCACTATGTAATGGCCTTCTTTGTCTCTTTTGATCTTTGTTGGTTTAAAGTCTGTTTTATCAGAGACCAGGATTGCAACCCCTGCTTTTTTTTGTTTTCCATTTGCTTGGTAGATCTTCCTCCATCCCTTTATTTTGAGCCTATGTGCGTCTCTGCACGTGAGATGGGTCTCCTAAATAGAGCACACTGATGGGTCTTGACTCTTTATCCAATTTGCCAGTCTGTGTCTTTTAATTGGGGCATTTAGCCCATTTACATTTAAGGTTAATATTGTTATGTGTGAATTTCATCCTGTCCTTATGATGTTAGCTCATTATTTTGCCCATTAGTTGATGCAGTTTCTTTCTAGCATCGATGGTCTTTACAATTTGGCATGTTTTTGCAGTGGCTGGTACCGGTTGTTCCTTTCCATATTTAGTGCTTCCTTCAGGAACTCTTGTAGGGCAGGCCTGGTGGTGACAAAATCTCTCAGCATTTGCTTGTCTATAAAGGATTTTATTTCTCCTTCACTTATGAAGTTTAGTTTGGCTGGATATGAAATTCTGTTTTGAAAATTCTTTTCTTTAAGAATATTGAATATTGGCCCCCACTCTTCTGGCTTGTAGCGTTTCTGCTGAGAGATTTCAGTGGAAACCTCTGCTGAGAGGTTTCAGTGGAAACTGAGACTGACAGTTTCCACTGTCAGTCTGATGGGCTTCCCTTTGTAGGTAACCCAACCTTTCTCTCTGGCTGCCCTTAACATTTTTTCCTTCATTTCAACCTTGGTGAATCTGACGATTATGTGTCTTGGGGTTGTTCTTCTCAAGGAGTATCTTTGTGGTGTTCTCTGTATTTCCTGAATTTGAATGTTGGCCTGCCTTGCTAGATTGGGGAAGTTCTCCTGAATAATATGCTGAAGAGTGTTTTCCAACTTGGATCCATTCTCCCGTCACTTTCAGGTACACCAATCAAACGTACAGCATGGTCTTTTCACATAGTCCCATATTTCTTGGAGGCTTTGTTCGTTTCTTTTTACTTTTTTTTCTGTAATCTTGTCTTCTCACTTTATTTCATTAATTTGATCTTCAGTCACTGATAACCTTTCTTCCACTTGATCGAATTGGCAATTGAGGTTTGTGCATGTGTCACGTAGTTCTCGTGCCAGCTCCTTCAGGGCATTTAAGGTCTTCTCTGTGCTGTTTATTCTAGTTAGCCATTCATCCAATCTTTTTTCAAGGTTTTTAGCTTCCTTGCAATGGGTTCGACCATCCTGCTTTAGCTCAGAGAAGTTTGTTATTACCGACCTTCTGAAGCCTACTTCTGTCAGCTCATCAAAATCATTCTCCATCCAGCTTTGTTCCATTGCTGGCAAGGAGCTGTGATCCTTTGGAGGATAAGAGGCACTCTGGTTTTTAGAATTTTCAGCTTTTCTGCTCTGGTTTTTCCCATCTTTGTGGTTTTATCTACCTTTGATCTTTGATGTTGGTGACCTACAGATGGGATTTTGGTGTGGATGTCCTTTTTATTGACGTTGATGCTATTCCTTTCTGTTTGTTAGTTTTCCTTCTAAGAGTCAGGTCCCTCAGCTGCAGGTCTGTTGGAGTTTGCTGGAGGTCCACTCCAGACCCTGTTTGCCTGGGTATCACCAGCGGAGGCTGCAGAACAGCAAATATTGCAGCACAGCAAATATTGCTGCCTGATCCTTCCTCTGGAAGCTTCGTCCCAGAGGGGCACCTGCCTGTATGAGGTGTCAGTCGGCCCCTACTGGGAGGTGTCTCTCAGTTAGGCTACACAGAGGTCAGGGACCCACTTAAGGAGGCAGTCTGTCCATTCTCAGAGCTCAAACACCATGCTGGGACAACCACTGCTCTCTTCAGAGCTGTCAGACAGGGATGTTTAAGACTGCAGAAGTTTCTGCTGCCTTTAGTTCATCTATGCCCTGCCCCCAGAGGTGGAGTCTACAGAGGCAGCAGGCCTTGCTGAGCTGCGGTGGGCTCCACCCAGTTCAAGCTTCTCCAGCTGCTTTGTTTACCTACTCAAGCCTTAGCAATGGTGGACACTCCTACCCCTGCCAGGCTGCTGCCTCGCAGGTCAGTCTCAGACTGCCGCACTAGCAGTGAGCAAGGCTCTGTGGGCATGGGACCAGCCGAGCCAGGCACAGGATATAATCTCCTGGTGTGCCATTTGCTAAGACCTTTGGAAAAGTGCAGTATTTGGGCAGGAGTGTCCCATTTTTCCAGGTACAGTCTGTCACAGCTTCCCTTAACTAAGAAAAGGAAATCCCCCTACCCTTTGTGCTTCCCAGGTGAGACAATGGCCCACCCTGCTTCAGCTTGCCCTCCGTGGGCTGCACCCATTGTCCAACCAGTCCCAGTGAGATGAACCACATACCTCAGTTGGAAATGCAGAAATCACCCGTCTTCTGCATCGATCATGCTGGGAGATGCAGACCAGAGCTGTTCCTATTCGGCCATCTTGGAACAGACAGCACTGAAATTCTGTTAACACTTTGGACGTCTCTCTGATCTGCAAACTTGAGGATTGATTCTCAGCTGCCTGCCCTTTCCTCCCTCCGTGTTAACAATCATTCCATTTTATCTCTCTCTTGTTCTTCAGTTTTCTCATTTGACCTGCTTGGACTGTAGATTGCTGTCCAGTGCACCCATAGCACCTCTAACCTGTAGTCACAGAGTAAAATATTTTACTATTTTACAAATAAATAGAAATATTAGTATAGAGTGGAGGATTAACTAAGGCATATGGTTTAATCATGAAAGGCTGAGGCAGTGTGAGGAGTCTTGTGCTTTCAGGAAAGGCAGACCACATAATTTGGACTCAATAACTAGAAGAGCTGGATAAATATTTAAAATCCTTTAAAAAATAAATCTCTATAAGACTTTAGAGAACTGATAAGAAAAGTGAAGAATTTCAAGGCTAAGGGCCAGTGGAGAATGGAGGATCAGAGTTTGGGGCAACCCTTTCCCTGGGAAAATCTGCTGAATTTAGAGGGTATAGTGGTGAGTCTAAAAGGTACTGTGGTGTTTTTAACAGTCTCTTGTTGAGAAGAGGGAATAGGGACTGAAGTCCAGGGTCTGCTAAGGGGATGTTTGTAAATATATCTCACTTTGGGTCTGGCTATCTCAAGGCTTTTCTCTAGTAGTAAAGGTTAACTGAAAGTAGACAGACCGGCTGGGCACGGTGGCTCAAGCCTGTAATCCCAGCACTTTGGGAGGCCGAGGTGGGCGGATCACAAGGTCAGGAGATGGAGACCATCCTGGCTAACATGGTGAAACCCCATCTCTACTAAAAATACAAAAAATTAGCCAACCGTGATGGCGGGCACCTGCAGTCCCAGCTACTTGGGAGGCTGAGGCAGGAGAATGGCGTGAACCCAGGAGGCAGATCTTGCAGTGAGCCGAGATCGTGCCACTGCACTCCAACCTAGGCAACAGAGCGAGACTCTGTCTCAAAAAAAAAAAAAAAAAAGAAAGAAAGAAAGAAAGTAGACAGACCTGTATAGGTATATAGCTTCAAATAATCTCAGTACCTGAAATTGAATTAAGGTGGTTCTGGATTGCCAGTGCCTTTAGGCACTGGTAGAAGCCATGTGAAAATCCTCCCTGGGAGAAAATAATATCCTAAGCATCACTTTTTCTGCACTTTGGCAAATGTGGGCCCAACACACAATAAAAAATAGCCAGGTGCACAAAGGGACAAAATTAGTTGACCAAAACCCAGCAGAAACAACAAATAGAAAGAGTCCTAAAGGGACTCCAGATATTGACATTATCAGAAACAGACTTTAAAATAAATATGCTTACTTTTTACAAGGTGTTCAAAGGCAAGATTGAGTAGACCTTTTAAGAAATTTTTTTTATACAGAACAGGAAGTTAAACCTAAAGAAAGAAGGAACTAATAAATAATAAAAACAAAACTTAGTGCAGTAGAAAAAAAAATGCATGTAGTGTAGGAAAGACCAAGCCAAAAACTGGTTCTTTTAAGGACTAATCATATTGATAAACTCTTAATGAGTTTGAGTAAGAAAAAACAATGTGCAGATAATCATCATGAGTTTTAAAAAGGATTTAATTACAGGACCCACCAACATAAAAATGCTCTCAAAATGCTATTATAAACAACCTTCTGCTCCTTAGAAGTACTTCATTTACCAAGACTAATCTAAGAAGAAATAGGATTCTGAATTTTGCTGTTGGAGAGCTCAAATTCATAATTTAAAACTCCCAAATAACACCAGTCTTACAGAAACTCATCCAGAGAATAGGAAAAGAGCAGAAGAGCAATTTGTTATTCGGTTTATGAAGCCAACATAATCTTGATAATAAAACCTGGTAAAGATATATGAGAAAATTATAGACTGCCCTCCTTAAATTAAAAGCAAAATACTTTCATATTAAATGAGGCAATATTTTAATAATACATCATACATCCTGACAAATTTGAATTTATTCTAGGAATGCAGTTTTGGCTTAGCAATCAAAATAGATCAATGTAATTTATCACATTAATAGAACCAAAGGAAAAATCATTTCATCATTTTGATAGGAGAGAAAACATTTAACAAAATTCAGTATGCATTCATGATTTTAATAAAATGTTCTAGCACACTAGAAATAGGACAGTAGTATGCCCTACAAAAAACCTACAGCAAGTATTATACTTAATGGTGTGGTAGGAACTATCAAATAACACACACTATAACCTCTTTTATTCAACATTATTATATTCATAATGATTTACTGGAGATCCCAGCCAGTGTAATAAGGCAAGAATTAGAAACAAAAGATTTGAAAAGGAAGAAACTGTTTTCTTGCTCAGGTACAATTATGTACATACAAAATCCAAAAGAATCTACAGAAAAATTATAAAATTAATGTGAGTATACCTGATAGCTGAGTATAAATTCAGTATACATAATTCAGTTGTATTTTCTATATGGAAATAACAAAGATTTAGAAAATGAAATTTTGAAAGAAATTCTATCTACAGTACCATAAAAATGTCAAATACCATGGAATTAATATACAGACATACAAGACACAGAACACTTTTAAGCCTTATTGAATAATATTAAAGATTATCTATAAAATGGAGGGACATATCATGTTTATGGATTGGGTAGATTCAGTACTGTAAAGATATTTCCCCTAAACTGTTCTATATTTTAAATGCAATTTCAATCAAAATCTAACAGGTTCTATAGAACCTGATAAGCTTATTGTAAAGTTTATAGGGAAATGTAAGCAGCAAAGACAGTCAAGATTGAGGAAAAAACAAAAGTCAAAAATGAGATAGACTATTTTATCTATCTAATATCAAGACTTGTTATAAGACAGTGTGGGATTGATATGATGACTGACAAATAGACACGTGATATAGAATAGAGAGCCTGAAACAGACCCACACACATAAAAGATAGTGCTGAAAAGCAAGGAAAAAGGAGAATGTTTTCCATGATGGTGCTGGAATTAGAGGATAATTAATTTGAGGAAAGAAAAATACTTGACTTTTAACTCACACCAGACATAAAAACTAATTCCAGATAGACTGTTGATCTACATGTGAATGACAAAGCAATAAAACTTCTAGAAAATATTTTAGGAGAATGTCATTATGACCTTCATGTAGCGATTGAAGGATTAAGATATAAGAAGAAGTAATCGTAAAGGAAACATTTGCTGAACTTTTACTCTATTAAAATTAAGAACCTCTGTTCAGCAAGATACCTGACATAAGTGAAGAGGCAAGCCACAAAATGGGAAAGGAAATATACAGCATAGCCAGGATATCTAAAGAGTGATTATTAATCATAAGAGAAATAAATAACCCAAAGAAAAACGGGCAAGAGACTTCACGAGGCGCTTCACAAAGGAAAATATCTAGTGTCCACTAATCATAAGAAAATTTGTCCAACTTCATGAGTATTCAGGAAAATGCAAATTAGAGCCAAACCACACATTCTTCAGAATAGCTAAAAAGATTAACAGTAGCAATTGTTACTGAGAATGTGGAGCATTGGAACTCTTATCCTCTGGTGTCGGGAGTGTAAATTGATGCAACCACTTTAGAAAACAGTAGACATTTTCTGCCACAGTTAAAAATACACACAGTCCATGATTCACTGATTCTACCGTTACATACCTAGTTATCAGACATATGTGCACATGTACAGGAGTGTTCAGTATTATTATTTTTAATAGTGAGAAACAAGAAATAGCACAAATATCTATCATCAACAGAGTGGTAAAAATTGTGGTATATTCATCCAGTGGGATACTATATACAAGTGAAAATGAAAGAACTATAGCTGCACACAACAATGTAGATAAATCTTACAAACATAAAGTTGAGCAAAAGCAGCTAGACACCAAAGAATATAAATGATGTGATTTCATTTTATATAATATGCACAAGAAAACAAACAAAATTAAGTAGTAGTGTGTTTTGGGTTTGGGTTTTGTGTTTGTTTATTTAGTATTACTAGGCACATATCTGAAAAACATTAATGTAGTTTGTTTTTGTTTTCAGAAGAAAGTTTGTTTTTTTCCTCTATCCCCTCCTTGTTTGTTCAAGAACTCACTGACTTGGTGTTCAAATACTTTTTGGAAGTGGTAGTATGGGCTTGTATATTTACAGTAGCAAAAATTAGGTAGTGCTGTTTAGTAGCACATGCTTAAGTGATAAAATTATATAGAAAATAATGTTTGTGATTATCCCGTAGGGAAAGATAATGGTTACTTTTATAGGGAAGAGAGAGGTTAACAAATGGGACATGCAACAGGGATGCTTCTGCAAAGTTGGCAAACAACAGATTTGCCTGATCTGAGTGTTCACTTTGTGACAAATCATTGAGCTATACTTTTTTAACTTGTGTACTTTCCAGTATCTCTGTTACATTTCAGCAATGCATACAAGATTAAACACACACAGACAGGCAAGAGATGCTAATAAATAACTAAACATTCTTATGCATTAGATACTTTTATCCTTTTGGTTCCCAACTATGTCTTACTCCCAGGGTCCTCTCAGCAGCCTTCTCTGGTTGGCCCTGTAAGCATCATCACATGACTCAGTTTAATGACAGCTCCAAAAATAGCAACTACCATTTCATAAATGCTTACTATATGCCAAGCTTTATAGTAGAAGCTTTACACGTATTATTTACTTTAATTCTTACCCAAAAACCCTATAAAAATACATACTATTTTTCCATTTTACAAATAAGAAAACCTGTATCATGGAGAGAGTGATTTGATTATGTAATATAATTGTGGAGCTGGAAGAATCTGAATGTTTTGTTCTTTCTATTGTATTTACCTGTAACAGAAAGCCTGTGCTCTTTTCACTTTGTTCATCTGCTACTCTGGAAGGTTTTTAAAGGTTTTGTTCTCATTTCATCTCACTGATTGAGAAAGAGCAAAGCTCAAGTACCATTTTCTTATACCTTTGGCTGTTCCTTTTATACAACATCCAAATAACCCAAGTTTAATATGCCCACTAAAGATTTTCCCGTTCAACAATGAAATTACATTTTATAGACTAATTTTACAAGATTTTCCATATTTGCTTAACTATCTTCCAAAATTTTGCAAAAGAATCCAAGATATAAAATCAAGAGAATGTTTTACTTTCTTTTGGTGGCAGGTAGCATTACAGAATACCAGTTTTCAAAAGCCAATGGAGTATCATGGTCAAGAGTACAGCCTTTAAAGTCAGAAAAACCTAGGTTTGAGTCAACTTTTCCAATTTAGGCCTATGTGATCTTGGATAAATTATACAATGTATCTAGGTATTCATGTTTCGTGGCCATAATGAAGTACAATTTAAGCCATAGGATGGGATACTTAGGTAACACACAAAATGGAACTAAGCACTAAATAGTTACACTTTAGGAGGGGCCGAAAGACCAGGGGCAACCACAGAGCCTTCAGTGCAGAAACTCTTCTACTAGTTCTGGGTTCTATCATCAGACAGCTCACTTAGCTTCTTTCCAGCCTGTTTGAACACCCAGCTCCCCAGAGACAGATATTAATTGCTGATTGATCATGGGTCACTCTGTCATCAGGGGCAGAACCTGTTATCAGAAGAAGGAGTCAAAAACACACTTGGCAAACAAAAACATACCTATAACACTTGGCCTCTCTTAGCCTCACTTTCTTCATCTGTAAAATTGGCATGTTCATTTGTTTATTGCGAGGTTACAGTATGTAAAGTATGTAACCTCTGAAATATGTGGTAACTTTTGGTGGCAGTAGTAGTATTAGTAGTAGTAGTAGTAGTAGTAGTAGTAGTAGTAGTAGTAGTAGCAGTGGTAGTAGACGACTTGTACTGACTAGTAGCTCTTTGTTGCAAGGTGATCTTTGGGTTCAGGACCTCAGGTGGTATTTTTGAAGGATTAATAGGGATGTTGTCACCCTTTTTACCCTGAGCTGGCTAAAGAGATAGTCAAAGTCCCCATGTACCTATAAGGCTTGTGTTCTCATTCCTCTACAAAACTGACTGTGTTCTCTAATAACTATATGATGGGCTGGGAGATTAATTTTGCAGTATTTTGTGATGTCCAGCTCTTCCCCTGCATTTTCACTACTTCTACACGTGTTCTTATCCAAGGTGCCATCCATCTTCGGTAGGCCTCTGCATACATATTGTGACTAGTGGAGACAAAGTGAGGCACTAGAGCCTCTGGCATTAGTTGGCATATTTCCTTGTCCAAGTAGGGAATCTGGCAGTATCTTCTTTTTATATATTATTCCATTGCTCTCAACTGCTTCAGGAAAATTGAATTATGTTAGTTTTTCCAAGGAAGGAACAGAGGCCCTTTTGTCTGATGTGTTGGTTAATTCTATATGTCAGCTTCACTGGGCGATGGGGTGCCCAGGTATTTGGTAAGACATTATTCTCTGTGTGTCTGTGAAGGTGTTTGGTGATAAAATTGGCATTTGAATTGGTAGACTGAGTAGAGCAGATTACCCTTCCTAATGTGGGTGGCCCTCATCCAATCAATTGAGGGCCTGAATAGAACAAAAAGGCTGATCCTCCTGCAAATAAGGAGGAACTCCATCTGCCTATCTTCTTTGAACTGGGACATTTGTTTCTTCCTTCTCAGACTCAACCAAAATATTGACTCTTGTTGGGTCTGAAGCCTGCTGGCTTTCAGACTGGAACTTACACTATCAGCTCTCCTGGGTCTCAGGCCTTTGAACTCAAACTGGAACTACATCACTGGCGCTCCTGGTCTCCAGCTTGCTGACTGCAGACCTTGAAACTTCTCGGGCTCCATTAACCTCTTTTATATATAGAGAGAGATACATACACACACACACACAAACATACACACACACACACATTGGTTGTATATCTGGAGAATCCTGATTAATATACCCGATAAATTCAAAACAAAACAAAACTTGAAAAAAAAATTTTTCAGGTGAATATTTGTTTTTTAGCATCTGAGTTTCAGTCCAAACAGGGAAGGAAAGAGAGGAAGTGTCTTCAAAAAATATAGACACCCCCCAAAAATATATTAAATCAATAATAATTTAGATCCAAGATGTTATTGATGGTTGGAGTATAGACCACTACCCATACAAAAAGCACTGTAGGAAATGGAGTTCTTCAGAGAGTAGAATTGTGGTTACCAAGGGCTAGGCAGGAAGGCAGATTGGGAAGATGTGGTCAAAGGATTCAAAATTTCAGTTAGAGAGGAGTAAGTTGAAGAGCTCTATTATACAAAATGGTGACTATGGTTAATAACAATGTATTATATCCTCGAATATTGCTGAGAGTAGGTTTTAAGTATTCTTGCCACAAATAAAAAAAAACTGTGTCAGGTATGTGAGGTAATGTATGTGTTAATTAGCTTGATTCAGCCATCCAATATATATTTCAAAACATGATGTTGTACACCAAAATATATACAACTGTTGTATATATATTCAAAAAGGGAAAAAAAGAAAATGGAGTTCTTAATTTAGCAGATGATGCTTAAATTCTTTTTAATCTAGAAAGTATCTATATTATTCTAAGATACAAAAATTAAAATAAGACCAGTTGGTCTTTACTGTTTTTCTCAGTTTTAACAAATGTAATGCAATCTTAGCTTGGATCTTCTCTGCTCTTTTTTCTTCATTTTTTCTGTTTAATATAATAGTATCTCTCACTTTCTTAAATGGTTGTATGTTACTGCTATGTTCTATGGAACATCTACCAGAGTCCTGTCCAATTCTCTACCCACCCACCTCCACGTCCATCCCTCAGTGATTCCACATTGAACATGAGCAAAGCCATTCTTCCGGAGTTTATAAAACCCTTCAAGATTATTGAAAATGAATGGTGTTATATAAATGTCATGTTGTTTCATAGCAGTTCTTAAAACAATGAGATAATGTCTGTTAAATAATTTTAAGTTCCATGGAGAAATGCAGGGCATAAATACAAGTCATTTTTTATTATGTGATTTCCATATATTTTTGCTGTACAATTTAAAACATTATAATCTCTAAAGATATAAATGCTTTCTTTGTGTTTCTATATGTATGTGTACACACGTATATGCTGCCTATATAAAATTAATAAATAATTTTGTTGCTTCGTTTTGTCATTTGGGCCCAGTAAATTTGTCACCATAAATACTGGCCAGAGAAAAATTAGAAATCTAAAGCAGTTTCTTTTAGTATTAGACATAGTGTTTACTTCTTAACTTTGTACTTGTGTATTACTGAAATTTTTTTCTTTTCTACTTTTATTTTAGGTTCAGAGGGTGCAAGTGCAGGTTTGTTACATGGGTAAATTGGGTGTCATTGAGGCTTGGTGTACACATGATCCCATCCCAAGGTAGTGAGCATAGTACCCTATAGGTAGCCTTCCAACCTACACCCTCATCCTACTCCCCACCTCCAGCAGTCTCCAGTATCTATTGTTCTCGTCTTTGTGGCCATGTGTATTCAGTGTCTATCTTCCACTTATAAGTGGGAACATGCAGTATATGGTTTTCTGTTGCTGTGTTAGTTACCTTAGGATAATAGTCTCCAGTGCCATCCATGTTGCTGCAAAGGACATGATCTCATTCTTTTTATGGCTGCATAGTATTCTTTGGTGTCTATGTACCACACTTTCTAAATACAGTCCACCATTAATGGGCACCTTGGTTGATTCCATGTCCTTGTCTGTTCTTGCTTTGGCTCTGAGCTTGGTTGTTATCAATGTATAGAAATGCTACTGATTTTTGTGTGTTTGTTTTGTATCCTGAATGTGCATTTGTCTTTTTGGTAGACACATTGATTTTCTTTTGGATATTTACCCAATAGTGGGATTGCTGGGTCAAATTGTAGTTCTGTTTTAAGTTCTTTGAGAAATCTCCACAATGCTTTCCACAGTGGCCGAACTAATTTATATTCCCATCAACAGTATTCTATGCATTCCCTTTTCTTCTCTCAGGTTCAAGTGATTCTTCCACCTCAGCCTTCCGAGTAGCTGGGATTACAGGCACCCGCCATCATGCCCAGCTAATTTTTGTACTTTTTTTTGTAGAGACAGGGTTTCACCATGTTGGCCAGGCTGGTCTCAAACTCCTGACCTCAGGTAATCCTTCTGCCACGGCCTCCCAAAGTGCTGGGATTACAGGTGTGAGCCACCACACCCACCCGTCATTTATTGGCTTACGTATATTGAACCAACCTTACATTCCAGGGATAAAGCCTACTTGATTGTGGTGAATTAACTTTTTGATGTGCTGCTGGATTTGGTTTGCTAGTATTTTGTTGAGGATTTTTACATCCATGTTTATCAGGGATATTGTCCTGAAGTTTTCTCTTTTCATTGTGTCTCTGCTAGGCTTTGGTATCCGAATGATGCTGGCTTCATAGAATGAGTTAGGGAGGAATCCCCGTCCCTCAATTTTTGGAAAAGGTACTAGCTCTTCTTTTAGGTCTGGTAGAATTCAGCTGTGAATCCATCTAGACCAGGGATTTTTTGGTTGGTAGGCTTGTTTTACTAATTCAGTTTCAGAAATTGTTATTGATCCATTCAAGCTTTTAGTTTTTTCCTGATCAATCTGAGAAGGCTGTGTGTTTTCAGGAATTTATCCATTTCTTCTAAGATTTCCAGTTTGTGTCCATAGAGGTGTCTCTAATAGTTTCCAAGGATTTTTTGTATTTCTGTGGGGTCAGTTTTAATGTCATTTTTGTCATATATGATTGTGTTTATTTGGATCTTCTCTCTTTTTTTTCTTTGTTAATCTACCTAGGGGTCTATCAATTTTGTTTAATCTTTTGAAGAACCAACTTTTAATTTTATTGATCTTTTTTATGGATTTTTGCACCTTGATTTTATTCAATTCAGCTCTGATTTTGGTTATTCTTCTGCTAGGCTTTGGGGTTGGTTTGCTCTTGTTTCTCTAGGTACAATGTTACGTTATGAATTTGAGATCTTTCTAACTTCTTGTTGTAGCTGTTTAGTGCTATACATTTCCTCCCTACACTGCTCTGTGTTCCAGAGATTCTGGTATGTTGTGTCTCTATTTTCATTAGTTTCAAATAATTTTTTATTTCTGCCTCAGTCTTATTCTTTACCCAAAAGTCAGTCAAGAGCAAGTTGTTTAATTTCCATGTAAGTGTATGGTTTTGATACATCTTGGTATCTATTTCTTTTTTATTGCTCTGTGATCTGAGAGTGTAGTTAGTATGGTTTTGATTTTTTTTTAATTTGTTGAGACTTGCTTCATGGCCTAGCTTGCGGTCAGTCTTAGTGTAGCTCCCATGTGCAGATGAGAAGAATGTATATTCTGGTCTTGTTGGGTGGAGTGTTCTGTAGATCTCTATTAAGACCAGTTGGTTAAGCGTCGAGTTTAAGTACAGAATAACCCCTTCTCTTTTTTGTCTTCCATTTGCCTGGTAGATCCTTCTCTTTTTACTTTGAGCTTATGGGTAATCCTACTTGAGATAGGTCTCTTGAAGGCAGCAGACAGTTGGGTCTTGCTTCTTTATCCATCTTGCCAATCTGTGCCTTTTGAGTGAGGCATTTAGACCATTTACATTCAGGGTCAATATTGATATTTGAGGATTTGATCCTCTCATCATGTTGTTACCTGTGTGTTATGTAGACTTGATTGTATAGTTGCTTTATAGTGTCAGTGGGTTACATGCCTAAGTGTGTTTTTGTGGTGGCAAGTAGAATTCTTTTGTTTCCATATGTAGCACTCCCTTTGGGACCTCTTGTAAGGCAGGTCTAATGGTAACAAAGTCCCTTAGCATTTGCTTGTCTGAAAAGGATTTCATTTCTCCTTCGCTTATGAAGCTTAGTTTGGCAGAATATGAAATTCTTGGTTGGAACTTCTTTTATTTTATGATGTTGAAAATAGGCCCCCAGTCACTTCTGGCCTGTAAGGTTTCTGCTGAAAGGTGTTAGCCTGATGAGGTTTCCTTTGTAAGTGACCTGCTCTTTCTAATTGTCTTTAAGATTTTTTCTTTCACATTGAGTTAGAGAATCTCATGACTGTGTCTTACATAGCTTCTCACTGGGGTTCTCTGAATTTCTTGAATTTGAATGTCAATCTCTCTAGTGAGATTGGAAACATTTTCATGGACTATATCCTCAAATATGTTTTCCATATTACTTACCCTCTCTTATTCTCTTTCAGGAATGTCAATGAATTATAGGTTTGGTGTTTTTACATAATCCCATATTTATCAGAGGTTTTGTTCATTTTTTACATTCTTTTTTCTTTATTTTTGTCTGCCTGTGTGGCTTCAAAGGAGCAGTCTTCAACCTCTGAGATTCTTTCCTCAGCTTGGTCTATTTTGTTAATGCTTCTGTTGTATTTTGAAATTCCTGTAGTGAATTTTTCATATCCAGAAGTTCAGTTTGGTTCTTTCTTTAAATGGTTATTTCATCTTTCAACTCTCGTATCAGTTTACTGTTTTCCTTGGATTGGGTTTCAATCTTCTCTTGTGTCTCAATGAGCTTCCTTGCCATTCAGATTCTTAATTCTGTCTGACATTTCAGCCATTTCAATCTGGTTCAAAACCATTGCTGGGGAGCTAGTGTGATTGTTTGGAGATAAGAAAACACTCTGACTGTTAGAGTTCCCAGAGTTCTTGCACTGGTTCTTTCTCATCTGTGGGGGCTGATGTTCCTTTATCCTTTGAAGTTGTTTTCCTTTGGATAGAGCTTTTTATTTTTATGATCTTCATTGTCCTTGAGGGTTTGACTGTGGTGCAAGTTAGGAAAGTTAAATGACTTCGTTTCTGGATGCTTTTGGAGGGCGCGGGCTCAGCTTCACACTCCTGGGCTGCGTGCTCTAACCCTGGGTGGCTGGGACTGGGTCCATGGCTTTGCCCTCTCATCTCTCAAGGTTAAGCCCCAGTTGGGCTGTTGGTGCCAGATGTTCTCAGGCTGCTGGCAACAGTACTCTGTTGAGGGTGCTGTGTGCATAAGTGCTCTGATGGAGGTGCCACAGGTAGGAGGTGCTGCAGCAGGGGTGCAAATGTACTTCAAAGGGGCAGTGGCAGGTCAGAGGTGAACACTTTCCAGCAGGACGCTGTCAGCAAAAGTGCTGAGGTGGGGCAGTGGGGGACTCCAGTAAAAGCACTATTGTGGTAGTCACTGGCGAAAGCACTCTGGCAGGATATCTGAGGCTGTGCTGCATTCAGACATGGCCAAGACCAGACTCTGAGAGGGGCCACTGGACAACAGGATGTACAGATCAGACCTGTCTCAGCAGGACTGGGAAAGACAGTCGGGCTCCCTCCAGGTCCAACAGCTTACACAGATCACAGCCACCCCTTCCTTAGGAGCCATTAAGGGCTTGAGATGCATCTCAGCACTCAGCAACCTCATGTGGGGTTTCCAGCTTCCTCCCTCTTCAGTCCTGGTGTCTGAGTCATCTCTCTAACCTCTCTCGGTGCATCTGTCAGAGGGTCTGTGTGGACTATGCTAGTTTACTCAATATTCTGGTCTGTCTCAATGGGAGAGGTTTTTCCTGGCTGTATCTAGTCGGCCGTCTTTGTTCTATTTCTCCCAGTTGACATCTGAATTTTTTAAAATCTGTATTCATGCTATATATTGATTTACTGAGTTTTGAAAAGACTTCCGTGAGGTCACTTCTTTACAAATATTTCCCAATTTCATTTTTCTAACTCTAGCTTCAAGCTAACATTTTCAGCTCTCTTTTTAAAGTTTCCTTAAAACCAGTAGCGACCCAAATTAACTGTATTTTCTTCTTCATAATAATAATTCCCAGACCTGAATCCCTACTACTATTACTAGTTGTACCACTCTTTTTCCAATCAGCCAAATTAAATTTTTTTAGTGTCATCTTTGGCTTCTTTCACTTTTTTGCTATCCCTCATCCCTACCCTTATAGACAATCTTATACACTTTTTACCCACTTCTTCACTTCTGTTAACTCATCCATTGCTCTAACTGCATCACTCACCATCTCTTCCTAAAATACTGTAATTAATTCCTAATTGGTTTCCTTGTCTCTGGTATATCCCTATTCCAGTTAGTCTTATACATGTGGAGTTAAGATACATCAACCTAGGTTTTACTCCCAGCTTCATCTCATTCTAGTTGTTTCCTTGGGATATTTACTTGAACTCTCTGAACCTATTTCTTTATCTTGAAAATAACTACCTCATGGGTTGCTATCATATTTCACTAAAATGATATATTGTTCTAGTCTGTACTTTATTGATTTCATGGTGCAAGAACCCTTCAAGCTAGCTTATGTAAAGGGGAGATTCTTCTAAGCATGCATTGGAATCTCATGAATACCAAAAGACAGAAACCAAAGAGTAGAAATATAAAATGTGATCAGAATCTGAGACTGAACTCCTTGCAAAGCTATGTAATCTACGTCTCTGTTTGCATCTCTGATTCTTTCTGTATATCTGCAGCAGCCTCTTCCTTCTAACGGCAGTCTTCTTTTATCCTCCTATAGAATTCTGTGTAGCTCCTGGTGTCAAATTATCACCCCAAATCTAAATGTGCACATCCTTTTGCTACCACCAACTAGTTCATATTTCCAAGAAAGGAATCCAATTGGCCTAGCTCATATTTTGACTGGCTACCACGTTATAGTCCCTGGTGAGCACACATGGCTCATGTGCCACCCTTGGCCAGCTTCTGAGGCTAATAGAGGGAACAGCAGTTATGGACAAGAAAGATTCCATTAGAAGTGAGTATGGACAAGCTGTTAATGATTGGCATATATAGAAATTTTATGTAAAGCATTTAGCATAGTGCTAATGAGTGGTAGTTATTATTTTTATATACCGAAAGAAACTAACCAAAGTTATTTTGATGTACTCTTTCCCTCTCTGTCTTTCTTAGACACACACACACACACACACACACACACACACGAAAATTCACAAAATAAAGAAATGTGTAGTTAGCAACATGGGCTTGAAGTCATCTAATATGAGTTAAAGCAATAAATCTGTTATTTAAAACATATGTGATCTTGGACAAATTATATTTTTCCTAACCTTTAGTTTCTTTATTTGTAAATGGGAATGATATTCTGTCAGTTAAGAATCTTACAGTTTCAAATGGCTAATCAGGCTTATGCTGAAAAGATTACACTGGGGCTACAGGTAGAACTGATTTCAGGCACACCTTTGTCAGAGGCTAAAATGATGTCAAGTAGACCTGAATTTCCTCTTTTTGTCTGCATCACTTGATTCTGCTTTTACACATCTTCACCCAAACCTCCACATACCCAGCCTTATTTGTTCCATTCTGAGTCATGCTTTCCCTTTCATGGGTTTGAATAGTCAAAGCAACTCCTCATGTCTTCCCAGATTCTAATCCAGTAGAGAAGAATGTTCGCCTTAGTCCTAGAGGTCTCAACAAAAATCTCTTAGCATCTCATTGTTGATTATTCTATCATGTGCCTATTTCTGAATCAATTACTATAGCTGGGAAATTAAAGGCTCTTATTGGCCAGTGCTGAGTCACGTGCCATTTATCAAGCCAAAGATAGAGGCAGCACGACTAGAGTCACGTGGAATTAGGGATAAAGGGAGAGGTGTGTTCATCACAATGGTAATACCAACTTTACATGATTTTCAGAAGGATTAAATCAGTTTTTACATGTATACAAAGTCCTCAAGTTCTGCAGTAAAATCTGTATTTCAAGTCTTTTCCTCCATTACTTCCCCAGACAGATTCCATATTCTCCCCAATCTATTCTGATGGGTCCTTGACTATACTCCCACCCTTTCTTATGTGTGTCATGTTGCTTTTGTGATTCCATTGGCCTGAGCACCTTCTACTATTTTTGCTTATGGGATTTTTGTCCTTCATGTACCATCTCAAACACCTTCACCTCATGAATCTTTCTTAAACTACCTTAGATCCTATCCAAAATCCCACAAAAGATATGGTTGCTGATTCTTTTGAAAGATGATTCACCAATCTTCAGTTCTAGCTCCCAGCATCAGACATACATTTTAAAAGACATTTTTCTGGCTATCCCAGTGAACTTTCTTTGCTACTTACCACATTCTGCCTTGTATTAATCTTCTGCATCAATCTGTATCATAAACTCTGAAGGCTCACAATAAGTATTTCATTGAATTAAACCTAATTTCAACTAAATACACATTATTTATGAAATTTTAAACCCCTATATTTTACTCAAGACAAAATTTTAACCTTACTTTAATAAGGAATTTTATAAATTCTTGACTCTCATATATCTTAGATATTTAATACTGATCTAGTAAGCCAAACATATAGCCAATTTTCAGTAATCCACAATACAGATTTCAGTCATATCAGTAAGACCTATTTTGCCCAGGCTTGCTTGCTGTACATTAGGATTTTGTATTTGACTTTCTGTTAATTAATCCATATTTATTGAATGCTTACTATATTATATTCTACGCATTTTTCAAGGCACGAGAAAGTATCTATTCTCCTTCCAGCAGGCTTGGAATGAATTCAGTCAATGAAGACGTAAATAAAAAATGTAATGTTAAATAATGGCAATTCTAGTTTTTAGTTGCCAGAATGTATGTTTGTTGGTTTATGTGTTTTTAAAATCTCTGTGTTGTAAGATTAGTGTTGGAAAACACATTATTGGGGCAGACTTCAAATAAAGAGAAAAAAAAATACTACTTTCTTCCCAGACAGTGCTATTTCAGCTTCTTTAACTTTCCTACTATGAGCAGGTGGGTTCCTTTAGTTTGCCCTGAAAATCAAGAAGCATTCCTAAAAACTGTTCCTAAACAATGGTGAGTTTTACTATGTAATAGCAATATTTATGGAAAATTAAACTTCAATTCAGTTTGTTCTATTAGGTGGTTGCAAAAGTGAATAGAATTCTTTAAATAGTTATTATCATCACTAGTTTAAAATAATGCATTTAATAGAATGTGTATATATCATCACAAATGTACATATTTCTAATCCAGATTTACCATGTGCTATATTTTTTTAAAATTCAGGTTTTAGTTGAGGTTGATGTATTATTATTTGTGACTTTATGGGAAAGCTGAAAAATTTTAGTTCAATAATAGGATTCCAACAGTTTCAGAACAGTTACATCATTTAGTAAATCTGGCAAGTATTCTACTAAAATAGGGAAAAATCAAGAGTTTACTATTATTTACATCACCAATTTTAACTTAGATAAGTATACATTACATTACTAAACTCTCAAAGCTGAATAAATTCCACTATAGATGGTGACGTTTATATTGTTCATTCTCCAGATGGCCTCTCTGTGCCAGGCATTTTCCATGCCTTACTTCTCCAGTGCCAGCCCTGCCTCCTGCCCCTCTTCTTCACAGATTGCCTCATCCTTACTTTTCTGAAAAGGCCATATAACATGAGCTTCTTCAGCTTTACTCTTCTCTACCACCAAACTTCTGTTTCCCCACACATTTCTCCAGCCTGTCTTTTGTCTCAGGGCAGGGTGCCTAGTTCTTCTTAAGGCTAATCACCCACCCCACTTTCCACATCTTCAGGAACTTTCCCTTCTCCTTCTTTTGCAAAAGTCTGTCTGTATCCTCTTGCTTTTTCCCCTCTGCCTCACCCCTGCTCATTTCTTCCCTGACCTCAAAGAATTTTTTTATCCTTGTGTCTGTGTGCTCCCTTGCAAACTCTGCCTTCCACTATTAAACCTACTGCTGAAGAGTAGTCCCAAATCATTGTCCACAACTCCTAATCATTTCTTTGGATTTCTAGATTATTAACTTCTCAACCTTAATGAAATTGTTCTTTTAAAAGTCAGCAGTCAGCCGGGCACGGTGGCTCATGCCTGTAATCCCAGCACTTTGGGAGGCGGAGGCAGGTGGATCACCTGAGGTCAGGAGTTCGAGACCAGCCTGGACAACATGGTAAAACCCCATTTTTACTAAAAATACAAAATTTAGCCAGGCATGGTGGCAGGCACCTGTAATTCCAGCTACTTGGGAGGCTGAAGCAGGATAATCAGTTGAACACGGGAGGCCAAGGTTGCAGTGAGCTGAGATCGCGCCATTGCACTTCAGCCTGGGTGATAAGAGTGAAACTCCTTCTCAAAAAAAAAAAAAAAGTCAACAGTCACCCACATTCACTGTGTTTCCTCAGTCTGCATATTCCCTTAAGGAACTTGATTCTTTTTCTTATCACCATTGACTCTTTAAGCTTACAATGTAGGGATCTCAGTTGCTTCTCTGAAATACATTTTTTTACTCTTCAATAGCAGAAATAAACAGTTGAAAACTCACTTAAGTATACAATATAATGTTAGATAATGACAAGTCTGCTTGGTTTTAATTGTCAAAAAGTTTTCTTCTTCTTTTAGCAATCTCTGTGTTGCAGGCTAAAGACTTCAAATAAACTTAGGGGAAAAGTCATAATTTAACCACTTCCTTAGTGATCTGAGAAAATGCCTTTTCAGGATCTTAATTTTTTTATTCTTTGTAAGTAAGTGGGAAAAAAGCCAAGTGCACAACAAAGTGTGACACACACACACACACACACGTTTGCAGAAAAACCATGGGAATGATAAGCCAGAAAATAATTAAGTTGCTTATTTTTATAAGGAATAGCAGCATAGAGAAGAGGTAGAAGTGATAGGGAGGCAATGATACCTGAGTTTATCTTTTTTTGTAGTTTTGTCTTTTAAAAATGTATTCCTGTTCTAAATATTTTAGAAATTAACAAGCATGGAAAGGAAAGAGAAACTAAAACTGAATGTAAGTAGAAACAAATAAATCCAAGTTTGTTTCAAATAAGTAATGTTACACTGCTGGGAGGTAAAAGAAAAAATTTGATTATGTTATTCCACAAGGGATGTGGAAAGAACAGTAAACAAATCTTGAACTTTTCTCAGTAGGCTTTGTCTTTTTTTTTTTTGTAGTACTATAGACATACTAATTATAAAACTATTTTATGTATATGGTAAAGTTTAGTTAGTTAATAATACATGTGTTGATGTTGTAGGGAGCCAAGGTTCTCATTATAGAAGAAAGGAGATAAAAATGTGGAATGAGGGAAGATGAGGAAAAACTTTTGGGAATGGATTGGTATATGTGGATGGATTGGGTTTGAATGAACTTAATGATTTCTTAGGCATATCCTACCTCTGACTGCTGAAGGGACTTAAAAGCAAAGAATCAGTGGCAATGAGTACATTTAGCACCCAGATCTTGGTTTCTAACACCATTTCCCTCTGAAAGGAACCAGGGTAATTTGAAGAAATGACTGATTCCCAAGACCAGACCACCTGTTCTACAAAAAAAGAAAGGGGGGTGGGGAGAGGGCGGAAGAGTGCTCCTGAAAATGATGGTGGCACATCAAGACAACCTAGAAGCCATCTTGAAAGGGCCTCTCCTCCACTGTTAAATCTGGAATTACTTGGGTTTCAGATAATTGAGAACACACAACTCAAGAATAAAAAGATAATGCAATTTTTAAATTGGCAAAGCATTTGAATAGACATTTCTCTGAAAAAGATATGCAAATGGACAATAAGCACATGAAAAATGCTCAGCATCATTAGCGATCAGGGAAATGCGAATCAAAACCATAATGAGATATTATTTCACACCCAGTAGGATGACTATAATTTTTTTTTAAGGTAACGGAGGAACCAACAAGTATGGGCAAGGACGTGGAGAAATTGGAAAGCTCATACATTACTGATGGTATTGTAAAATGGTACAACTGCTTTGGAAAAAAAGTTTAACAGTTCCTCAAAAACTTCAACATAAAATTATCATATGACCCAGCAGTTACACTCCTAGATATATACCAAGAGAATTGAAAGCAAGTGTTTAAAAAAAAAAAAACTTGTACACAAATATTCACAGCAGCATTATTCACAATAAACAAAAAAGGGAAACAACCCAGACAAAACAGCCTAAACAAACTGTGATGTATTCGTACAGTGAAATATTATTCAGCCATGAAAAGGAATAAAGTACTGATTCATGCTACAACATGGATGAAGCTTAAAAACATTACTCTACATGAAAGAAGCCAGAATACAAAAGACCATGAATTATATGATTCCATTTATATGGAATGTCCAAAATAGGCAGATCCAAATTTGTAGAGAAAGAAGGAAAGTAAGTATTTGCCAGGGAATGCAGAAAAATGAGAAGTGGGACTGATTGCTAATGGTATTTTTGCTAACAGGTAGTGTTTTTTTTTAAGGGGTGGTGGAAATTTTCTGGAATTATAGTGGTGACGGTTTTACAACATTGTGATTATACTAAAAATCATTGAATTACACCCTTTAAAATGGTGAGTTTCATGTTACGTGAATTTTATCTTGATAAAAAGTGCAAAAAACAATCATTGAAACCAATAAAAAAAATTTGAACTATTGGGTAGAAAAATAGGAATTCATGAATCCATGAGGATCTGAATGAATGAATGAATACTTAGAAGAGAAGGAAAGTCTCCTTACAGTAAGATAACAAACAATAAATGTGAAGAGAGTGGTGGAATTGGAAAATCACCATTGTCATAGTAAAGATTAGTTTGGGCAAAAATGATCAATAGATACTAAATCTAGAGGGAATGCTGGATGAAGAACAGTATATTGGCATGATCACAAACTGTCTCCCCACTAATTGCTTATTAGTTGCACACTGATCTGTAATAGAGAAACCGTAAAACACCTTGACTGACTGATCAGAATTAACATCCACAATGAGAAGCGTATGGACACCATATGTCTCTTAACAGTACCCTGAGAAGAACATACAATCACTTGTGTGTTCTGCCTAGGGCTGCATAACCTGACTCTAATCATGAGACAGCATGAGACAAACCAAATTAAGGAATATTTTATTAGAAAAACAACTGTCTTGTATTCTTCAATAATGTCCATGTTGTGAAATAAAAAGAAAGGCTTAGGAGTCTACAGAGACATCAAAACTAAATGGCAATACATGCTCCTGGACTGGATCCTGGAACAAAGGAAAAAATAATACTAAAAAGGACATGGTTGGGGAACTTGACACAATGAAATATGGATGGTGTAGTAAAGTATTGCATCACTATGAAATTTTCTGAACTTGATATACCTGAATTTGAAATACTATAGTTACTTAAGAGATTATTCTTGTTCTTATGAAACACAAACTAAAGTATTAAGGAGTAAAGGGCCATAATATATGCAACCTAGTCTCAAATGATTGAGAAAAAAATTAATATATATTTATGCACTGGGAGAGAGAATAATAAAACATGTGGCAAAATGTTAAGAACTGGTGAATTTAGGTAGAAAGATATGAGTTTTTAATATTATTCTTTAACTTTTCTGTAAGTTTAAAATTATTTCAAAATAGAAATATTAAAATTAGTTTTTAAAACTTATTTAAATTGATAAACTCTTTTTTTTACATTTTTCTTTTTTATCTTATAAAATATTTTAAACATACAGAAAGGTAAAGGGACTTAACCCATTTTTTTACCCAACTAATCTTAATTTTTTTTACATTTTTTAAAGTAAATCTAAACTTTACAAATATAGCTTAAGTCCCCTGTATACTTTCCAATTTTATTTCTCCCCCTTCCCAAAACTACTCACGACTCAGAAGTATGTTTCCTTCCTGTACATGTTTTTAATCCTTTATTGCATGTGTATATAGCCACTAAAAATAATAATATTGCTACTATGCCACTCTATAAAAGTGGTATCAAATGGTATGTATCCAATTACACCTTGTTTTTTTATCATTATGCTTTTGACATTTGTCAATGTTTTTATGTGTAGTACATATTTATTTTAAATGATTTATAGTAGTCATTGAATGCATATTCCAGCTTTTCTCCTGTTCATGGACATTAGGTTCCTTTTATATATTTCCTATTTTAAACATTTTGCAGAAAGCATCCTTGTACACTTCTGTGTACACAAACAAGAGTTTCTTTAGGGTACGTCTTTAACTGGAATAGCTGGGTGTGGGTAGTTATCGTGATTATGATACATAATGTTTACTAACTCTCCTAAGTGATTTATATGTATTAATTTATTTAATCTTTAAAACAATAAGTAAACACTATTATTATTAACATTTTACTGTTGAAGAAACTGAGATTATTCTTGTTCTTAGGGTGGTTAAATAATTTGTCCAAAATCCCACAGGTAGAAAATGTCAGAGCCCTGATTCAACAGATGTAACAAACCTGTAGAGTGTATGCACACCTTCAACTCCTCCAGATATTGCCATTTTGTTTTCCAAAGTGGTTATTACCAATTTATAATCTCAATGGCCAATAGGACTTTTTTTTTTTAATTCTTAACTTGTAAAATTAAAAAGCAACTCATCCATTAAATTTTGTTTGGGATGTTTACAGACCTCTAAAATCTAAAAGTCTGAAAACCACTTCCTTACATGGCACTGTTTAGAGGAACATGGTTTATAGAATCATAAGGCTGAAATCACCACTTCCTTACTTGACATTGTTTAGAAGAACATGCTTTTACAGGATTATAGGGCTGGGATCCTTGGTCTTTAAAATGCCCAGCTATAGGAGGTTTTCATGAATTCCTCTGGATCCAAACAGTTCAATCAACCATCCAGGCTTTATAACCTTTCATTGTTCTTGTCTCTTCTTCACCTCTTCCCCAATCTGCCATTCCCAATTCTTTACTCTGTCAGTATTGCTATATTCAGCCAATTGGCAAGTCTTATTTACTCACCCATTGTAGAATCTCTCATCTGTCCTATTCTAGTTCCAGGTTTGTATCACATCCTTTTTTGACAGTATAATAAAAAACCTAAACTGATCTTTTTCTCTGAAATCTCCCAGAAGTGATTCATCTATACACTGCTACTTAAGTGATCTTCTTAATATAGTTATTTTATTATTCCTCTTTTCACAAACCTTTAGAACTGTCTTATTGTATATTAAATTAAGTGTAAAATTATCTAATCATCTATGATTTTTCTCCATAATCTTGCTTTCAAGTTGTTGACCATCTTATCCTCTATTACTGCCTGTATTCTATCAGTGGAACACAGATAGATCTTGGGTAAAATGGAAGATTTTTCAACTCTTACATTTTCAGATGGTGCTGATACTGCAGATCCAGTCTGGGTAACACACTCTGAGAATTGCTGCTCTAGTTGATCTGTAGGAGCTGGCATAGGGTCTTATAAATTAGCTGATCATGATATATATTTAATAGAATTAAATCCCATTTCTTAAGGTTTAGAGAAACTGACTTTCCACACTATTCAATCCAGAAGAGATAGTTACTTTTAGTTTTGAAAAAAGTTTTAAACTTGCAGAAAACAGTACAATGAACTCATATATCTTTTACCTCGATTTGCCAGTCATTTACATTTTTTAATATTTGCACATTGCATTGCTCTCTGTATGTTTGTATACATATGTACATACATTTTTCTTTCTCTTTTTTTTTTTTTTTTTGAGACGGAGTCTCGCTGTCACCCAGGCTGGAGTACAGTGGCGCGATCTCGGCTCGCTGCAACCTCCACCTCCCAGGTTCAAGCTATTCTTCTGCCTCAGCCTCCTGAGTAGCTGGGACTACAGGCATGCACCACCATGCCTGGCTAATTTTTGTATTTTTAGTACAGATGGGGTTTCACCATATTGGCCAGGCTGGTCTCAAACTCCTGACCTCATAATCCACCCACCTCTGCCTCCCAAAGTGCTGGGATTACAGGCGTGAGCCACCACGCCTAGCCACATGCATACATTTTTCTCTTGAACTATTTGAAGGTACCTTAGTGATACCAGGTCTTTACCCTAAATACCTATGTGTATATTTCCTAAAGAAGGACTTTCTCTTATATAAACATTGATTGACACTGTTAAGTAATTTACAAAGTCCAAATTTTGTCTTTTATTCTAATAATGTCCTTCATAGCTGTTATTTTTTCCCATTCCAGGATTCAATCCAAGATAATGCAGAAAGTATAGTTATAGAGAGATGTTTTGAGATTATGTAAATATATCATTCCTTATCAAGCTTTCACCCTTAGTTTTTTTGTTTTGTTTTGTTTTGTTTGTATTATACTTTAAGTTCTGGGATACATGTGCAGAACGTGCAGGTTTGTTACATAGGTATACATGTGCCACCATCGTTTGCTGCACCTATCAACCCATCGTCTACATTAGGCATTTCTCCTAATGCTATTTCTCCCCTAGAACCCCACTTCCCAACAGACCCTGGTGTGTGATGTTCCCTTCCCTGTGTCCATGTGTTCTCATTGTTCAACTCCCACTTATGAGTGAGAACATGTGGTGTTTGGTTTTCTGTTCCTGTGTTAGTTTGCTGAGAATTATGGTTTCCAGCTTCATCCATGTCCCTGCAAAGGACATGAGTTCATCCTTTTCTATGGCTGCATAGTATTCCATGGTGTATATGTGCCACATTTTCTTTATCCAGTCTATCATTGATGAGCGTTTGGGTTGGTTCCAAGTCTTTGCTATTGTGAATAGTGCTGCAGTAAACATAGGTGTGCATATGTCTTTATAGTAGAATGATTTATAATCTGTTGGGTATATACCCAGTAATGGGATTGCTGGGTCAAATGGTATTTCTGGTTCTAGATCCTTCAGGAATCACCACACTGTCTTCCACAATGGTTGAACTAATCTACACTCCCACCAACAGTGTAAAAGCATTCGTAATTCTCCACATCCTCTCCAGCATCTGTTGTTTCCTGACTTTTTAATCATCACCATTCTAACTGGCGTGAGATAGTGTCTCACTGTGGTTTTGATTTGCATTTCTCTAATGACCAGTGATGATGAGCTTTTTTTCATATGTTTGTTGTCTGCATAAATGTCTTCTTTTGAGAAGTATCTGTTCATATCCTTTTCCCACTTTTTGATGAGGTCATTTGGTTTTTTCTTGTAGATTTATTTAAGTTCCTTGTAGATTCTGGATATTAGCCCATTGTCAAATGGATAGATTGCAAAAATTCTCTCCCATTCTGTAGGTTGCCTGTTCACTCTGATGGTAGTTTCTTTTGCTGTGCAGAAGCTCTTTAGTTTAATTAGATCTGATTTGTCAATTTTGGCTTTCGTTGCCATTGCTTTTCATGTTTTAGTCATGAAGTCTTTGCCCATGCCTATGTCCTGAATGGTAATGCCTAGGTTTTCTTCTAGGGTTTTATGGTCCTAGGTTTTACGTTTAAGTCTTTAATCCATCTTGAGTTAATTCTTGTGTAAGATGTAAGGAAGGGGTCCAGTTTCAGTTTCCTGCTTATGGCTAGCCAGTTTTCCCAACACCATTTATTAAATAGGGAATCCTTTCCCCATTGCTTGTTTTCATCAGGTTTATCAAAAATCAGATGGTTGTAGATGTGTGACATTATTTCTGAGGCCTCTGTCCTATTCCATTGGTCTGTATGTCTGTTTTGGTACCAGTACCATGCTGTGTTGGTTACTGTAGCCTTGTAGTATAGTTTGAAGTCAGGTAGCATGATGGCTCCAGCTTTGTTCTTTTTGCTTAGGATTGTCTTGGCTATACAGCCTCTTCTTTGGTCCCATATGAAATTTAAGGTAGTTTTTTCTATTTCTGTGAAGCAAATCAATGGTAGCTTGATGGGGATAGCATTGAATCTATAAATTACTTTGGGCAGTATGGCCATTTTCATGATACTGATTCTTCCTATCCATGAGCATGGAATGTTTTTGCGTTTGTGTCCTCTCTTACTTCCTTGAGCAGTGGCTTATAGTCCTCCTTCAAGAGGTCCTTCACATCCCTTGTGAGTTGTATTCCTAGGTATTTTATTCTCTTTGTAGCAATTGTGAATGGGAGTTCACTCATGATTTGGCTCTCTGTTTGTCTATTATTGATGTATAGTAATACTTGTGATTTTTGCACATTTATTTTGTATCCTGAGACTTTCCTGAAGTTGCTTATCAGCTTAAGGAGATTTTGGGCTGAGATGATGTGGTTTTCTAAATATACAATCATGTCATCTACAAACAGGGACAATTTGACTTCCTCTCTTCCTATTTGAATACCCTTTATTTATTTCTCTTGCCTGATTGCCCTGGCCAGAACTTCCAATATTATGTTGAATAGGAATGATGAGAGAGGGCATCCTTGTCTTGTGCTGGTTTTCAAAGGGAATGCTTCCAGCTTTTGCCCAGTCAGTATGATATTAGCTGTGTGTTTGTTGTAAGTAGCTGTTATTATTTTGAGATACGTTCCATCAATACCTAGTCTACTGAGAGTTTTTAGCATGAAGGGCTATTGAATTTTATCGAAGGCCTTTTCTGCATCTATTGAGATAATCATGTGGTTTTTGTCATTGGTTCTGTTTATGTGATGGATTACGTTTATTGATTCGCCTATGTTGAACCAGCCATGCATCCCAGGGATTTAGCTGACTTGATCGTGGTGGATAAGCTTTTTGATGTGCTGCTGGATTTGGTTTGCCAGTATCTTATTGAGGATTTTCACATCAATGTTCATCAGGGATATTGGCCTGAAATTTTCTTTTTCTGTTGTGTCTCTGCAGGTTTTGGTATCAGGATGATGCTGGCCTGATAAAATGAGTTAGGGAGGAGTCCTTCTTTTTCTATTTTGTGGAATAGTTTCAGAAGGAATGGTACCACCTCGTCTTTGTAGCTCTGGTAGAATTCGGCTGTGAATCCTTCTGGTCCTGGCCTTTTTTTGGTTGGTACGCTATTAATTACTGCCTTAAATTCAGAACTTGTTATTGGTCTATTCAGGGATTTGACTTCTTTCTGGTTTAGTCTTTGGAGGGTGTATGTGTCCAGGAATTTATCTATTTCTTCTAGATTTTCTAGTTTATTTGCATAGAGGTATTTATATTATTCTCTGATGGTAGTTTGTATTTCTGTGCAACCAGTAACGATATCCCCTTTATCATTTTTTATTGTGTCTATTTGATTCTTCTCTTTTTTCTTCTTTATTAGTCTGGCTAGTGGTCTATTTTGTTGATATTTTCAAAAAAATCCAGCTCCTGGATTCATTGATTTTTTGAAGGGTTTTTTGTGTCTCTATCTCTTTCAGTTCTACTCTGATCTTAGTTATTTCTTGTCTTCTGCTAGCTTTTGAATTTGTTTGCTCTTGCTTCTCTAGTTCTTTTATTGTAATGTTATGGTGTCGATTTTAGATCTTTCCAGCTTTCTCCTGTGGGTATTTACTGCTATAAATTTCCCTCTAAACACTGCTTTAGCTGTGTCCCAGAGATTCTGGTTCATTGTGTCTTTGTTTTCATTGGTTTCAAAGAACTTATTTATTTCCACCTTAATTTTGTTATTTACCCAGTAGTCATTCAGGAGCAGATTGTTCAGTTTCCATGTAGTTGTGTGGTTTTGAGTGACTTTCTTAATCTGGAGTTCTAATTTGATTGCACTGTGCTCTGAGAGACTGTTATGATTCCTGTTCTTTTGCATTTGCTGAGGAGCATTTTAGTTCCAGTTATATGGTAAATTTTAGAATAAGTGTGATGTGGTGCTGAGAAGAATGTATATTCTGTTGATTTGGGGTGGAGGATTCTGTAGATTTCTATTAGGTCTGCTTGGTCCAGAGCTGAGTTCAAATCCTGAATATCCTTGTTAATTTTCTATCTTGTTGATCTGTCTAATATTGACAGTGAGGTGTTAAAGTCTTCCACTATTATTATGTGGGAGTCTAAATCTCTTTGTAGGTCTCTAAGAACTTGCTTTACAAATCTGGGTGCTCCTGTATTGGTTGCATGTATATTTAGGATAGTTAGCTGTTCTTATTGCATTGATCCCTTTACCATTATATAATGCCCTTCTTTGTCTTTTTTGATCTTTGTTAGTTTAAAGTCTGTTTTATCAGAGACTGGGATTGCAATCTCTGCTTTTTTTTTTTTTTTTTTTGCTTTCCATTTGCTTTGTAAATATTCCTCCATCCCTTTATTTTGAGCCTATGTGTGTCTTTGCACATGAGATGGGTCTCCTGAATACAGCACACCAATGGGTCTTGACTCTTTATCCAATTTGCCCATCTGTGTCTTTTAATTGGGGCATTTAGCCCATTTACATTTAAGGTTAATATTGTTATGTGTGAATTTGATCCTGTCATTATGATGCTAGCTGGTTATTTTGCCCATTAGTTGATGCGGTATCTTCATAGTGTCGATGGTCTTTATAATTTGGCATGTTTTTGCAGTGGCTGATACCGGTTTTTCCTTTCCATGTTTAGTGCTTCCTTCAGGAGCTCTTGTAAGGCAGGCCTGTTGGTGACAGAATCTCTCAGCATTTGCTTGTCTGTAAAGCATTTTCTTTCTCCTTCACTTATGAAGCTTAGTTTGGCTGGATATGAAATTCTGGGTTGAAAATTCTTTTCCTTAAGAATGTTGAATATTGGCCCCCACTCTCTTCTGGCTTGTAGGGTTTCTGCAGAGAAATCCACTGTTAGTCTGATGGGCTTCCCATTGTGGGTAACCTGACCTTTCTCCCTGGCTGCCCTTAACATTTTTTCCTTCATTTCATCCTTGGTGAATCTGACAATTATATGTCTTGGGGTTGTTCTTCTCAAGGAGTATCTTTGTGGTGTTCTCTGTATTTCCTGAATTTGAATGTTGGCCTGCCTTGCTAGGTTGGGGAAGTTCTCCTGGATAATATCCTGAAGAGTGTTTTCCAGCTTGGTTCCATTCTCCCCATCACTTTCAGGTACACCAGTCAAACATAGGTTTGATCTTTTCACATAGTCCCATATTTCTTGGAGGCTTTGTTCGTTCCTTTGCATTCTTTTTTCTCTAATCTTGTCTTCACGCTTTATTTCATTAAGTTGATTTTTAATCTCTGATATCCTTTCTTACGCTTGATCGGTTCTGCTATTGATACTTGTGTATGCTTCATGAAGTTCTCGTGATGTGTTTTTCAGCTCCATCAGGTCATTTAATGTCTTCTCTACACTGTTTATTCTAGTTAGCAATTCTTCTAACCTTTTTGTGAAGTTCTTAGCTTCCTTGCATTGGTTTAGAACATGCTCCTTTAGCTCAAAGGAGTTTGTTATTACCCGCCTTCTGAAGCCTACTTCTGTCAATTCATCAAACTCATTCTCCATCCAGTTTTGTTCCCTTGCTGGCGAGAAGTTGTGATCCTTTGGAGGAGAAGAGGTGTTCTGATTTTTGGAATTTTCAACCTTTTTGTGCTGGTTTTTCCTCATCTTCCTGGATTTACCTACCTTTGGTCTTTGATGTTGGTGACCTTCAGATGGGGTTGTCTTGTCGGCGTCCTTTTTGTTAATATTGATATTGATGCTATTCCTTTCTGTTTGTTAGTTTTCCTTCTGACAGTTAGGCCCCTCTGCTGCAGGTCTGCACGAATTTGTTGGAGGTCCACTCCAGATCCTGTTTGCCTAGTTATTACCAGTGGAGGCTGCAGAACAGCAAAGATTGCTGCCTGTTCCTTCTTCTGGAAGCTTCATCCCAGAGGGGAACCCGCCAGATGCCAGCTGGAGCTCTCCTGTATGAGGTTTCTGATGACCCCTGCTGGGAGGTGCCTTCAAGTCAGGAGGCACAGGTGTTAGGGACCCACTTGAGGAGGCAGTCTGTCCCTTAGCAGAGCTCGAGTGCTGTGCTGGGAGATCGCTGCTCTCTTTAGAGCCAGCAGGCAGAAACATTTAAGTCTGCTGAAGCAGCACCCACAGCCGCTTTTTCCCTCAGGTGCTCTGTCCCAGGGAGATGGGAGTTTTATCTATAATCCCCTGAATGGGACCGCTGCCTTTCTTTCAGAGATGCCTTGCCCAGAGAGGAGGAATCTGGAGAGGCAGTCTGGCTACAGCGGCTTTGCCAAGCTGCACTGGGCTCCGCCCAGTACTAACTTCTGGTCGGCTTTGTTTACACTGTGAGGGGAAAACCGCCTACTCAAGCCTCAGTAATGGTACACGTCCCTTCCCCCACCAAGCTGGGGTGTCCCAGGTCAACTTCAGACTACTGTGCTGGCAGCGAGAATTTCAAGCCGGTAAATCGTAGCTTGCTGGGCTCTGTGGGGGTGGGATCCACTGAGCTAGACCACTTATCTCCCTGACTTCAGCCCCTTTTCCAGGCATGTGAACAGTTCTGTCTCACTGGCATTCCAGGTGCCACTGGGGTATGAAAAAAAACCTCCTGCAGCTCTGTGTCTGCCCAAACAGCTACCCAGTCTTGTGCTTGAAACCCAGGGCCCTGGTGGTGTAGGCTCCAGAGGGAATCCCCTGGTCTTTGGGTTGCGAAGACTGTGGGAAAAGCTTAGTATCTGGGCTGGAGGGCACCGTTCCTCACGGCACAGTCCCTCAGGGCTTCCCTTGGCTGGGGGAGGGAGTTCTCTGACTCCTTGCACTTCCCGGTGAGGCAGCGCCCCACCCTGTTTCGGCTCACCCTCCGTGGGCTGCACCCACTGTCTAACCAGTCCCAATGAGATGAACCAGTTACCTCAGTTGGAAATGCAGAAATCACCCGCCTTCTGCATTGATCTTGCTGGGAGCTGCAGACCAGAGCTGTTCCTATTCAGCCATCTTGCCAGCTACCACCTGCACCTTAGTTTTAGTATTCACCAGTGATTTTCTACTTCCATCATTTCTTTTATATTTATAGTTTTGCATTCCACTCTAAAAAAGGGCTTTCCTTTGTTCTCCATTTATTTATTATGTCAATATAAACTCTTGGAATCTTATTTTATGAGTCACAGTCTGCTTTTACCATTATTTCTTTTGATGCTCAAAATAAATTATTTTATTTCATTTTTACTTGGCCAGTGGGAGCTCCTTGAAGCTGGCTTTTTCTTTCTTTCTTTCTTTTTTTTTTTTTTTTTTTTTTTTGAGACAGTCTTACTTTGTCGCCCCGGCTGGAGTGGAATGGCACGATCTTGGCTCACTGCACCCTCTGCCTCCTGAGTTCAAGCGATTCTCCTGCCTCAGCCTCCCAAGTAGCTGGGACTACAGGCATGTGCCACCATGCCTGGCTAATTTTTGTATTTTTGTAGAGATGGGGTTTCACCATGTTGGCCAGGCTGGTCTTGAACTCTTGACCTCAAGTGATCTGGCCCATGTTATTTTGATATGTTCCTATTATTTGAGCACTTCCTTGTTTTCTGATTTAACAAGCTGTTCTAGGTTTATATTATAGTTTATTTCCCAAGCCCAGAAATCACCCTTTTTCCTAAGGAGCTCTGGTTTCTTTAAGAGGAAAATCATATTTAGAAAATCAAGATCTGGGTGCTAGATTGCTCAATCCTATTGCTTCTAGGCTCTCTCAGTAAACAGCTAAAAGATATACTGGTAGTCTAAGTACAGTACCATACTGCAGGGCACATTTTAGTCTTTGCCCCTTTCCATATTTAACTTTGTTCTCCAATAGTGAGAATACTTGCTTCTTTGCTACTTTTTTTATTCAGGCAAATATATTATTTAAAAATTTATCTACATATTTATTACAGAAACATATTTATTACAGAAATATAAAACATTTATTACAGAAAATATAAAACATTTATTACAGAAAAAATTTATCATAAAACAAAAAGAAGAAAATAAAATCACCTTTATTCTCACCTAACAATAGCCACCACAGAATATACTTCCATTCCTTTTTATTTTCTGAACATATGTGTATAGAAGTATAGAAATCATATTTTTTACACTTTCATTTTTTAAATGAGATTGGACGTTAAATTGCTAAATGTAAAATCTTACACTTGTGAGGTGTTTTTGCCCCTCTGCCACACTATCAGGAGTATGATTTCAGAGAATCCTGCTATATCAGATAGATATGGGCTTCATTACTTGCTCCAATTTGGAGGCTGAGAAATCTTGGGCAGGTCATTTCTGAGCCTCAGTTTCCTTATCTGTAAGATGAGAGTAATAATAAATAAATAAATTTATTATATTAAATAATGTACAAAAATCACCAATTATAGACTTCTTGGCATGACAGGCAGTCAGCAAATTATAACTATTTTGCAGATTATCAAAGCAGTTATTTACATGAGTAGATAAATAATTTGTTAATAAATGTTACATGTTGAATATATTATATGAGATTAAAGCATTTTTGAGTGCAGGAAGTGCTTTATTTTATACTAATAAAGAAAAATATTGCCTGGGTGCAATGGTTCATGCCTATAATCCCAATATTTTAGGAGGCTGAGACAGGAGTATGCTTGAGGTCAGGAGTTCGAGACCAGCCCAGGCAACATAGTAAGACCCCCGTCTCTACAAAAATAAAAATAACAAAATAGCCGGGCATGGTGGTATGCACCTGTAGTTGTAGCTACTCAGGAGGCTGAGGTGAGAGCATCACTTGAACCCAGGAGTTCAAGGCTACAGGGAATTATGATTATAATCATGCCACTGCACTCAAGCGTGGGTGACAGAGCAAGACCCTATCTCTTTAAAAAAAAAAAAAAAAAAAAAAGATAAAAGAAAAACATTGCAATAGATCTCTTTAAAATAAATGGCCAATATGAAAACACACATATATATGTATAATATATTTAAGGCAAACCTGGATGTACCCCCTCTGCATATAAATCCATAAATTAGGAATCACAGTTTTATACGCACCAAAAGATTGATGAATACATGTGTTATTTTCTGTCAGAATGTGCTTGGTCAGCCTGTTTTTAGCTTTTTTGCTTGTAACGAGTAAGGAAAACATTGGCTTTCCACAGTCAACCAAATATTTGTTCTGCTGCTACTTACTCGTTACTGTAGACTAAATAATTTTTCTTGCCTTGAGCAGCATAAATATGGCTTTACTCCGGACTTTAGACACTTCAGCTTTAATTTTATGCCTGTGCATATAATGCCACATGTGTGCCTGTATAATAAAATTGTAAATACTTTATCTTCTGTTGTGTGGTGAAGAGGCTCATTGTACTCAGGTATACAAAAATGATTCCAGAAGAAAAAGATAATGATATCTGCTAAAATGAATGGGGAGAGGGGAGAATGCTGGCATGGAACATAGAAATATAACTCTCCTAAAGAAAAAAGCAGACATTGAAAGTCTTAAATGTTTAAAACAGGGCATCAGGTATGCTTTTCAATAAAAACTGGTGATAGCAGTGGTAAAATGTTTCATCAGTATGATTATACTCCTAGGTGAAAAAAAAGATGGAGACAAGGGAAAAAATGAAGTTAACGAATAAAACAAATGTTATTTCAGATCACGGCCCTGTGTGTGTTACTAAGGAAAGATATAAGGATTTATAACATATATTTGTTTTCCATTTATTTTTATGAAGGAATTAAAGAAATTATCAGAAAATACTAAAAGGGAACAAAGCATTTTAAAAACATTCCAACAATGGCATGCTGCTTTTTATACAGTATGCAGTGAAGTTCCTTGCATTTCAAAGGCAAGGGTAGCTAAATCTGCCTCAGCCCCTTAGCGTTCTGTACTACCCTTATCTTGCCATTTACAACATGAAAGTATAATAATCTATTTACATGCTGGTATATACCACTATGAGTTTCTGACAAACATGGCACATCTTGGTGGTAGTTCATTTATTCTACAAATACTTATTCAATGTCTACTATGTGCCAGGCACACTTTTGGACATTTTGGATACATCAGGTAAGAATATAAATACCTCTGCCCCATGAACCTTACATTCTACCTATATTGCAAAGTTCCTAGCACATCGTAGATTTCTTCTCATGGTCATAAGATGTCTGCACCAATTCTAAGCATCACATCTTCATAGAAAAGCATCCAAAACAGGAAGGAAAAATTAGAAGCAAAAGGGCTTTCTCCTTTTGGGCCTTTCTTTTCATAGGAAAGAAAATCTTTCCCAGAACCCTCAAACATGTGATCTGGACCAAACACTGGCTGGCAAAGAGTGGAATTTCTTAAGTCTGAGCAACAAGAAGAAAACCGTTACCATAACTACCAACTCACCTGCATCTGTGCCATGTGCTTGCCTGCCCACCTATAACTAAGGATGAGCTGTTTGTAGTCTTAGGTCAACTCCTCCACTTGTGCCTTGGATCCTGCCGCACGCCCCCATCACCTACTTGCGGACATTACTCCAACAGTTCTTTTCTTTCTGTCCTGTATTATCAAATTTCTGTTCTTACTGGATTTTCATGCTCTTTCATCATTATGAAAGCATGCAGTAATTTCTTCATTAAAAAAAAAAAGTATATCTTGTCTCCACATCCCCCTCTAACTACTGTCCTTTAGCTCTGCTTCCTTTTCTAGAAAAAAACTCCTTAAAGAAATATACATGCTTGTCATCTCCAATTCCCCTTTTCCTGTTTACTCTTAAATTTACTCCAGTTAGACTTCCGTTCACACACAACTGCTTAGCCCTCTTAAGTGACCTATTACCAGATTTTACACTGTTGGTCACTCCCTCCTCCTTGAATTATTGTTTACTTGGCCTCTAGTTTTTTCTCTCTTATACTAAATTTATTTGAAAACATCTTTAAATCTCATGGATTTACATATCATCTATTGCTAATAATTTCCAAAGTGTTTAACATGCATCTGAAACTTAACATGTCCCAGATTAAGCTATTGATCTTATATTTCAAACCTGCTCCTCCTGAAATCATCCCTGTCTCAGTTAATTTTGGAATCGTTTTTTGTTCCCCTTTCTTTTCTACCCCATCAAATTGATCAGCAAATCCAGGATCTGTAGGCCAACAATTTCCACTGGTAGTACCTGGTCAGCCACAATCATCTCCCGTGTAGATTAGTGCAGTCGTTTCATAATTGATCTCTTTGTTTCTACAAGTGACCTCTGAAAGTCTATTCTCAACATAGTATCCAGGATGGTCCCTTAAAAATATGGCAGATCTTGTCACTCTTTTTTTTAAACCCACCAATGGATTTCTTAAAAGTTAAAGCCTCTATGTTTGTCTAGTAGACTCTATAAAATCTGTACTCTCTCCCCTTCTGTTTACCTCTCTGATCTCATCTCCTTATACTTCTCTCTCATTCATGCTGTTCTAGGCACAGTAGCCCCTTTGCTTATCTGAGTACACATTTGGCATGTTCCCTGCCTCAGGGCCATTGCTCATGCTGTTACCTTTTCTGGACTGTGGTTCCTCCAGATGTTCACATGGCTCATTCCCTTACCTCTCAGGTATTTTCCCAAATGTCACCTTCTCAATGAGACTTTCTTTGACCACTTCTACCTGACACTCCCAAATTGTTCTTCTCCACTTTGTTCCTTGTGTTACTACCTTGTAATATACTATATGTCTTATTAATTTGTTGTTTGTTTTCTGCCTTCCCCAGTAAAATTTTTGTCCGTTTTCTTTATTGTTGCTTTCCTAACACCTATAACAGTGTTTGACATTCTCCAAAATAAAATTGGAGGCTGAATAAGTGAACCAATGAAAGATGAACTCTAAAAGGCTTAAAACATTTATAATACATCCTTTGATACTGAGCATTAAGTTGCCTAAACCACTTCTCCTTTTGTTAACAAAAAAGAAGATAGAAGAATTATTACTTGGGCAGTCTACTGTGTCTAAGTTCATACTTGTGAAAAACTTATTTTTTCCCCTGCCTTTTCCTCTCATTTCTCTCTGACAAGAGCCCATGAGAAAGGTAGGATAACAGGTATTTTGCACAAAGAAGTTGTGACTCAGAGAAGTAATTGATGTTTCCCCAAGAGCACTAACAGAGCTGATAGGACCTAGATTGCCTGACAGCAACTGTAGTCCTCTTTCCATAATGGTAACAGTCAATATGAAGTATGATATTTTGTAGAATACTGTATAATCCTTCATGTGAGCTTAGAGACGAAACCTACCTTCAGAAAAGTGATTATGAATTGACGTTAGTGGGGTTTTTTAACCTGTCATTTGAATGAAAAAGAAACTTGCTGCATATTTAAGATTCTGGGTTTTTTCTATATCTTGAATCAACCAACTTTCATAATAATTGATAAGTTTGTTATTGATATCTTATTTACTGCCAGTATATTCTTTTAATAGAGCAGAATAGAGAATATGTTGCTTTGCTATCAGATTTCTCCACATTTTGCCCACATCATTCCCATCTTTTCCCAACCAGAAGTTATCTCCTCCAGCAACTGTTTAAGCCAAAAGCAGTCAAATTACTCAAAATGCTAATTAGATTTGTAATTTTTAATCAATTGAGTAAAGTGAGGAGGCATGATTGTTAGCATTTTGTTAGGTGATAGAAAAAGATATTTGTAAACTCTTTTACCTAGAAGGAATTCTTTAAAGTAGCCAGGTGAGCTAAGATGCTAGTATATTAGCTATGTACATATACAGAGACATATACCACAAATGTGTACACATTATGTAATGCATATAGCAAATAATATATCTAGCACTAAAACTATATTGAATGCAATTTATTCTCTTTGACATTTCAAAATGCATTTCTAGATTTTGTGGCACCTTTGGTAGATACCAGGGACATCACTTATCATTGCATTGTGGATAAAATAGATGTGCATATTCACAAAACTTGGAGAATAGTGTGATGGGCATTCAGATTCACTGTTCAGTGACAAAAAGACTGGCTACCTTCATGTTCTAAATGGAACTAGAAGATGGAGCAGATGAAGGCAGATGAGTTATTCATCTGGGCCTTAAGAATGAATACATCTATGTTGAGATGTTTATTAATGAAACTACTGTTTCCATTTACCCGTATTAGCTTTTCCAGTTATAGAAAATTACCTGTCAAGTTTTACTTCTTTCCTGTAATTAGACAATTTCTTTTCCATGTGCTTTTTATATTGGCATCCTAGGTTAAAGGTGATTTTTGATTGGCAAGGTAAGTAGTCAATCCTTGCAGCTGATGAGGACTTAACATTTTTGTCATTACTGTTCTTCTAATGGTTAATCTGCCTGATGAAAAAGAGCCAAACAGCATCTTAACACCAACCAGAGCTCAGCTCAGCCTAGTACATAGGTCTATGTGACCAGTTATTATTTCCTTTAGACTTGCATTTCTCATCTGTCTCTGAGCACCTTCTTGTATCTATTGGCCATTTATTTGGCTTTCTTTGATCCTTTGTTTTTTGAAAACTAAAACATTTCTTGTATCAGCAACCTGCTATAGTCTATTCCAACCATATTTCCATGTATCGTCTTACTGCTGCTTCCTAAAAAGGAAACATTCCCTCCAGCCAGCAACTGTTCCACCTTGTTTCTCATCAGTAGGGTTGGCACCAGTTCAAGTTCTGTCAACACTGTTCCATCAGATAAAGCTGTTACTAACATAAAAGATGAGGGGGCTGGTATGCATACACACTATTCAAGCACCAATGAGCAGGCTAATAGCATTCTTATTGCTCCTGTGTTAGCCTGCCTGCAGTCTAGTCTAACTTGGCTGTACCTTAGTGCTGGTGGTGATACTTGCCCATGCATATATCAGCATCTGTCTGATAATAGTTGAGTCCTTTGGATGAGAGTGTATGTTTTCTGGTTTTCATTGACAAAATGGTTAATAATTAAGCTTCTGTATAAGATCTTTATGTAAACATCATTTTAATAAGCTAAAAGTCTAATCAGAATATAAGCAGTATGTCCACAATCTGTTATTATCTGTACCATTTCACTAGTTATTAACAGAATTGGATAAGCTTCACTTTTACAAAATGTTATATGGCATGCTTAATTTCAGCTCATTCAGCATAATGGTGATCTTCTAGAAAGAGAGAAAAGAAGTATCAGACAGAAATATTTCCTATGGGCCTCCCCTCTTTGTAGAAAGAAATCTGGCATTACATGTTTTTGGGGAGCAGGGAATATAAGAAAGGACTTTAGGGAGAGCCTTATATATCATTTTGTTCCAAAGGATAGATGTTCATTTTGGGCATTATCAGTCAACCACACTGAATCACCTTCTGTGTTATGTGATCAGTTTAGTTGTGTCAAATCAGAAAAGATTTAATCAAAAGCTCCAATCTTTTAATTCCCTGCATTTATTATGGTCCTTGTCAGTTCTGCTAAGTGCTCAGGTATGCACAGAGAATTTCCAGACACTTATATCATCTTGATTACTTGCTTCATCTTTATCCTGCTGCCCTGGACCATTTGTGAGCCATTAAAAATCTTTTATCCTGTTTAAGGCTTAAGCTAGAGGCAGGTCTAGTCTCTAGGTTAGAGTTTAGAACAGGGTTTTTCAAATTGTAGGTAGTAATTCACTGGTGGGTTATGAAATCAATAGTGTATCTCAGTCAGCACTTTTTATTTAATGGGATGGCATCGACTAGAAAAAATCAGAGTATATCACATGTAATAATGGTTTTAAATATTGTTTTATGATATTTCAAATTTTTTTGTATTTGGTTAACAATATGAAATTGCCATTTTTGTAGGTAAAAGCCAATATAATATCATCAATTTTTTATGGCTCAACCTTATATATACAGTTTTATCTAGTAGATGTACTAACCGTATATATATGTAGAGCTTAGATGAAAAAAATTTTTTCTACATATTTCCAGTCAACAGTTCAAAAGCCATTGGGTTACAATAAATGTCTAATATATTGCACCATGCTAGACCAAGAAGAAATCCATTAGACACTTACCTCTAGATCTAAAAGAGCTAGTTTCTACTTGGTAGAACAGGACTCATTCATGAGAAACAAATATTTTGTAATTAATAGTCAAACAGTGTTAATAATTAATAATCATAATTTAGCAGTATTCATAGTTAACAGGCAGCATTTGTGTTTCAAATGCTAAAATTGAGTGTGCAGATGAACTGTAAGATTCAGAGACATTCAGAGTAGTGAGAACTAGTATCATCAAGAGACTCTTCCTCATTGAGGGAGGTAAAATGTAGAAATGAGTGTGACTAGAGGGGAGAGGATAGAATATTCATGCTTCATCTCTGTAACATGAGTTTAATAATAGTCTACAGAACCTTGATTCCATAGTAGAAGCAGAAATCATGAATAGTAGATAATTTTGATGAAATAGGATCAGAAAATAGTTTAACTTTGAAAACCACTGACTTAAATGTAGATGTGTCTAAGGGCATACTGTTTGGGAAGACTTTTTAAATCTCACTTAAGAGCTTAAGGTACTTTATGGAAGAGCTTTAACTTTATTTAGACTTTTTAGATATGATTTTTTTTTTAGGAACCTTGGGAAATGGAGAAATTATTACCTCAGGGAAATTGTTATTTTACTTTGCAAATAAAAATATCTAGAGGTATTTTTAGAGACAAACAACATTTATCATGTGTTAATGGGAGCTTAGTGTTTGTGTATTTTTCAAAGTGAAATGAATTAGATTTAGATAGCAAAATACTGAAATATCCTCAAAACAAATCTGTTCTTTGTATATTTCTCTTGCAAACTCCATCCCTCTCCCTACAAGTTTCTAGTCTGAGCTTTAATGTCCTACCATGACCATTTTAGTCACAGTTTTTTTGTTGGGCTATTTTAACAACCTGCTAACATGCTGCCAACAATCTCTGTTGCTAATCTCAAATCCTGCCAATACATTCTGTGTGTGGCTTTTCTGAAACACAAACACGATCATGTGTCAATCCCCTTCATAAAGTTCTTTAATGGCATCTCATTTCCTGTAGCGTAAAGTCCTTTGCGTGGTATGCAAGGCCCTATATGGGCTATAATTTGCCTGCCACACTAAGCTCATCTTTCACTATGGATCCCATGTTCCATGAAGACTAGATTTTTCTACATACAAATTTATTTCACACCTTGGCTTTTACTGTCATGGCTCCCTTTTCCTGGAATGCCTTTTCTATCTAATGAATATTACCTCAATATTCAAGTAGTTGTTTAAGATCATTTCTCTAAGATTCCTGTCCTGATACTCTTTCATCATTGGACCAGTGTTTCTCAAACTTTTCTGCACATTAGAATCACCTAAAAATTCCAAAGCCCAGGGGCTGAAACCCAGGCATCGGTACTTTTTGAAGCTCCCCAGGTAATTCTTAGCTGAATTGAAATGTGACCAGTTTAAACTGAGTTGTGCTATAAATGAATACCAGATCTTGAAGACAATACCAAAAAATATAAACTAGTTTAGTAATAACTTTATATTGATTACATAGTGAAATAATATCTTTATATGTTGAATTAAATTTTAAACTTATAATTAATTTCATTTGTTTTCTTTTAGGTTTTTAATGTAACTACTAGAAATTTAAAATTCTACTTATGCCTTACATTATATTTGTGTTGGATATTGCTGGTCCAGAACAAATCACAATGATACTAAACTATTATATAAATTGTAACTAATAGTAATATATGGTATCTGTCTAATGTACACATATAAGTGTTTTTTTTCCAATCCTTTTCTGCCTCATTGAAAAACTAAACTTAACATAAATTTTATTATACTAGAATTTTATCATGAAGTATTAATTCATTAAGTTGTTAATTCAGGAAACATTTGATGCTTGTTATACGTAAAATACTCTACAAGGAAGGCAAGGAAAATAAAAACCAAAATAACTATGTAAAATTGAAAAGTTACCAAATACGGATTTCAGAGGAATAAGAGATTAAAACCAATACCATTATAACCATTTGAATTATTTTGCTATTTTACATTATGGAGAATAAGGCAAGGTGTGGTATCTTTTAAAATCAGCTTTATTGAGGTATACTTTACATACAATAAAGTTCACCAATTTTAAGTAGGCAATTCAATGAGATTTGACAAAAGTGTACAGTTATATAACCACCAGCACAATCAGGACATAGGACATTTCTATTGTCCCTCAAAAGTTCCCATAAATCCCTTTGCAGTTAATCCCCTCTAGTCATAGACCCAGCCCTGGCAACCATTAATCTGCTTTCTCACACTATAGTTTTCCTATTTTCAGAATTTCATGTGAATGGTGTCATACAATGTGTGTCTGGCTTCTTTTACTTAGCATAATGCTCTTGAAATTCATCTATTGTATCAGGTTTTTTTCCTTATTTGTTGATGAGTTGTATTCCACTGTATGTGTATACCATAATATGTTTATCCATCCATCAGTTGATGAATACTTATGTTACTTTTGTTTTTTTAAGTATTATGAATAAAGCTGTTATAGCACTAATTTATTTTGGATAAATACCTAACAGTGTGATTTCTGGGTCATATGGTAGTTCATAAGAAACTGCCAACCTGTCTTCCAAAGTGGCTATATCACTTTGCACTCCCTCTGGCAATGTAGAAGAGTTCTAGTTGCATCAAATCCTTGTCAATTAATGGTATTATCGGTGTTTAATTTCAGCCATTCTAAGGAATGTATAATGGTATTTCAATGTGGTTTTAATATGCATTTCCCTAATGATCAATGATGTTGAACATCTTTTCATGTGCTTAAATCAGGTTGTCTTTTGTTATTTTAATCATATTATTTTAATTGGATTGTTTGTTGTCTTATTTCCTTGAAAGAGGAATATATTCTAGATTATATATTCTAGCTACAAGTCCTTTATCAGATAAATGTTTTGAAAACAGTTTTCAAAGTTCATGTGCCATTCATGTGCCTATTGAAAGTATACAGTTCAATGGTTTTTAGTTTATTCATAGATATCTGCACAGTCTGTTTTATTGGAGAACATTTTCATGATCTCAAAAAGAAACCCTTACCCTTTAGCTATCACCTGTTACAGCCTCAGCCCCCACTTCCCCTGTGCAACCACTAATCTACTTTCTTCATATATAGATTTCTCTGTTCTGGACATTGCATATAAATGGATCATATAATATGTAATCTTTTGCAACTGACATCTTTTCACTTAGCACAATGTTTCCAAGGTCCATCCATGTTGTAGAATGTATCAAATACTTTGTTCCTTTTTATGCCCAAATGACATTCCATTTTATGTCTATATCACATCTTATTAATTTTTCAGTTGATGCACTTCCAAATATGTGTTTATAAAATGTATTTATGACTCATATGTAGGTACTACTGAATGAATATGTTGTGTACTATATATAACATATACCAAAAAAAAGAATACAGTTGTCCCTCAGTATCCATGGAGGATTGGTTCCAGGACCTCCTGCAGACACAAAATCCTAAGATGCTCCAGTCCTTGATATAAAATGGCAGAGTATTTGCATATAACCCAAGTGCATCCTTCCATATACTTTAAATCAACTCTAGATTACTTTATAATACCTAATGTAATGTAAATGATATGTAAATAGTTGTTATACTGTATTATTTAGGAAATAATGACAAGAAAAAAGTCTGCACATGTTTAATACAGAAACATTTTTTTCCAAATAATTTTGATCTACAGTTGGTTGAATCTATGGATACAGAGTCCATGGATACAGAGGGCCAACTGTAGTTTAAAAGATACAGTAAAATATAAATAGCATTCTGACATTTTCTTTTCACTTCTTAGTGGGCCATTTTGTGCACTAGAAACCCTTTACATATACAAATTTTTGAGGTTACTGGTTCAGACAAGTAAGTTAGGTGAATGAAGGTGTTCTAGATAGTATACAACATGAACAAAAGCACAGATTTAAGAGAAAGCATGGGGCCTTTTCTTATCTTGCAAATTGTGTGTCTAGAACCTGGAGAGGGGTATGGAATCTTTCATCCCGTCATTTTTATCCTCTCCCTCACTATAGTAATTTAAGGTTTATTGACAACATCTATATACTCTTGGAATGCCTGAGAAATAATATTAAATAAAAAATTTTTATACTATTTAAGCCTATGGTTTTGTTAATACTATTTGGCAGTGGATACTAGACACTCTATTACTACACTTTCCCTTTAGAAGCAAGCTTACAGTTTGTGCTCCTTTCAGATAGTCTCAACCAAGAATTAGCAGTATTAATTTTATTTTTGTCCACTCTTCTAGCTTATTTCTGAACATCTTAGTTGCATTATTATTTGAGACTTCAGGAGACTGACTTTAGTCTGCTATAGAAAACAACATCAAAAATACGTTTTTTGTACTTTCCATTCTACAAAACCCATGGAGAAGTCCCTTGTACTTTATTCCATGCTTTGCCAAGTTGCCATGTGAGGCATTTATAGAAGAATAATTATGTTTATTCTCACCCATTTGGTTATGGTTGAATAGAAGAGTGTTGCAACATTTACTATATTATTGCTGAAGATTTTGCCAGTCTGTGGTATGTATCTTGTGAAAATGCTTGGCAGACTATTAAGAAAGAATCCAGTAACCTTAAGTTTCTCAGAAATATTTCTCAATGTTGGCTTGCTTGTTTTTCTCTTATTCACACTGTTATTATTCTGGCCAATTTAACAGTATATTACACTAATTCACTACATACCTTGAAGGCCATAGTAGTTAACAGTGTGTTTTCTATATCAGAAAGTAGAGACAAAGCATTTGAGACAGACTCAAACCTTCACCCGAGTGAGTGACAGAGCTTGGAATAGAATGTGAAGCTACTAACTCAGAATACTGAACCCAGTTCACTCAATATGTTGGCTTTGTTTAGTGACTAAGCCAAAGAAAAAATTTAATCAGTGAGAACGTGTCTGTAATTATGTTCTAATCCAAAATAAGAGGGTGAGAAATTTTTCACCTCACCGAGAAGAAAGTGTAAGATTGCTTTAGTGACTAATTCACTTTATGGAACTTAATCAGACAAACCCAAATAATCCTTCTACAATAAAGGATTAATTAATGCCATTTCAAAACAAAGGCACTTTTTAAGTGTTTATTTTTTTTCTTTCCCCCAGCAAATGTGTTTTTGTAATACAGAGTTCAGGGACTTTTATTTAACAAGTTGCCTTGATGAGCATTATATTTCTGTTGTTTCTTGATCATTCCTTTGGCTTTCTAGATCTCATTAGAAATGCTCACAGACATTAAGCCTAACATGGCACTTGATGATCACAGTTTTTCAAGGCTTGGGACAAGGAAAGCCAGTTACTCAGCCAACTCTGCTTTGTCCTTGCCATCTTCCCACTCACTCTTTCAGTTATTTTCTCAAGGAATACATTTTCCACTAAAAAATTCCTTTCCTTTTTTTTTAAAACAAAAGTTAATCTTTCATTTAAATGATATTTATCAAATGTGAGATAGTGTAGGCACTATTCTAGGCTCTGGACATAAAATAGTAAATAAGACAGAAAAGTCTCTGCCTTCGAGGAATTCACATTCCTGTGTCTAACTTCGGTGCCCTTCTCAGTCAGAGTTCACAGACATCTAGTGATCACATCATTTTCTACAGTTTTCAGCTTTTACCAAAAGCATAGGTCTCCAAGTGTAATATCCTGGTCTTTCCAGTGACAACTACTTCCCTGATTTATTGTTCCTTTGTTTGTTTTTTGAGACAGGGTCTTGCTCTGTCACCCAGGCTAGAGTGCAGTAGCACAATCATGGCTCACTGCAGCCTGGTACTCCTGGGCTCAGGCGATCCTCCCGACTCATCCTCCCAAGTAGCTAGGACTACAGGTATATGCCACTATGCCAGGCTAAAATTTTTTTAAAGACATGGGATCTCGCTATGTTGCCCAGCCTGGACTCGGAACTCCTGGGCTCAAAGGAGCCTCCCACCTTAGCCTCCCCAAATTCTGGGATTACAGGAATGAGCCACCGTGCACAGCCCCCTATTATATTTAAGTGAATTATTGCCTAAAGCACTTAGCAGGCTGCCTGGCATATAGAAAGCACTATATATATATATATAGTGCTTCTACCTATAACATATATATATATGCATATAGAAAGCACTAAATATATAGCCACAAGCCACAAACCACAAGCCACAAGCACTATATATATAGTGCTTTCTATATGCATATATATATATATATGTATGTATGTTAGTTATAGGTAGAAGATAGGAGTAGCAAAGCATTTTCCATCATTAGGCCAACAAATACTGTTTATTCTTTAATCAAATTCAGAATTATAGGTAAGCCCCATGATAAGCAGTGCTACATTTGAACATCCAAATTTATAGAAAATATAAACTAAGTTTTGATAATTCACAAAATAATTTTCTATGTTTCTCTCAATTATGAGTTTTATTGGTACTTTGGAAATAGGATTTAATATAGAGAAATATTTCTTATTCAAACAATCTATGTTAATAAAATGAAAAATATGATATCTACTCCCTGCTTCTTCAAATGATACTTAATCAGCTGAAGGCAGTCATAACTATAAAGTACCTTACAGACATAAAATATAGTGCCTTGTATTCACTGCCAAATAATAATAATACCTCATTTATATAACATCAACACTTTACAAAGTCATGTCACATGCTTCATTACATTTAGTTCTGTAACAGTCCTGAGAAGTAGATTAAACAAATATTATAGTTTCTACTTTGCAAATGAAGAAACCAAAGTATTAAAGATATTTAGTACTCACCCTAACTTAAATGGTAGATTTGAGATTTTATCCAATATTTTTTCCACTGTAAAACTGCAAAGTGCTGTTTCCTCAAAAAATAAAACAAGCCACAAGCAATATGACCTGTTAGCTGTATGCCAGAATCAGCAGTCTGATTGCTAGCCTACAATTCACAGCATTACCACTAAAATTGAGCAGGGCGACCCCCATTCAACTCACCATCCGACCTCAGGTTCCAGAAAGCCCATTTGGACACAAGTAGACTTCAAATGGAGCATAGTTGGATGAGCTTTTCCCCTACCTTCACTCCATCTCAAAACTTAATTTGTCAGAGATGTCATTAATCTGACATTAATCTGGTCTGGTTGGTCTAGGCAGGTAAAAAATAAAAATGAAAAAAAAAGTCAAGAGTGAAACACAGTCAGAAACAACTGGATATGGTGCTTTCAAATAGTTGTACATATTTTCATATTTCAATTAAAATATTCTCATAGATACAGAAAAATAATTTTACCAGGATATTTTCCAAAGTTCCTTATTAAAATTATTAGGAAAAAAAATCCCAAGATCTTGGGGAGTCAGTCCCTCTCTCTCCCTGTCTCACCTTTGCACTTGCAGTCACTAAACTACTAAGGAATGCTTTGTTCACTGATAAGAGGTGTGTGGGCATCAGGAAACTTGAAATTTTACTGCCATTTTATCAACTAACTAAAGCTAGTACTATGATAGAAAATAACCCTTAAAAAATTCTTAGACACGAGTCCAAACAACATAACAATCTAGAATGGTTCAACACATTTAACTTTATAAAAGGCTCACAAATAATCAATAATTAGGTATAGGAATATTAGAAATAAAAATTTTTATAAGAGGCTCACAAACACCTATGAATTATTTTTGGCAGTATAGGACCAACAAGATATAAAATGTGGCTGCTCATTGCTTACCAAAATAAAGTTCAAATTTCTTTATTTGGCATTCAGAGACTTTCATGATCAGAGTTTTGTCTTATTTTCTTTATTCCCCATCTTATTTATACATTCTTCATTTTCAAAGAATAATTTTTCTCTGCCTCCTGTGCATCCTGCCCTGTATTTCCTTTGGTTGTTATGTCTTGGTTATTATTTCTCGTTTACCTGCTATTGCCAAATCTTATTTCTCCTTTAATGCCCACTTATGCTGCCACTTCCTCTACCCAGCTTTCCCTCTCCCTTCTCTGCATGAATTTCCTAAATATCAGAACCTCTCATGTTATTTGTACCACTACACAGTAATAGTGTATGTCTTACCCTTTGTCCAGTATATAAGCTCCTAACCTGGAAAACTGTCATTGGTTTCCCTCACTCCTACGCATAATAGTACCACCTACCACCATAACTGTTTGCACTAAATAGAGTAGAAAAAGGATGAGCTTTGAAGTCTGACAGCCTTGGATTCAAATCCTTGCTTCATCATTTATTAGCCATATAAACTGGGGTAAGAGATAACCTATCTAAACCTCTGTTTCCTCATGCATGAAATAGGGATAATAATACCCCTTCTGTTGTTACAGAATTAAGTAATAAAGCATGCACAGTATCTTAACATTGTGTCTTAGACATGCTAGATCCTAAAAAAATGGTGATGGTGCTGGCAGAAGTGGTCATACTTATATTTTAGAAGCTACTTTATTGCTTCAGTTTCCTCAATCACATAGGAAATCTAAAGAATACTCTGCAATACCACACATGCAAGTATTTTAAGGACTGTTTTGAACAGATTTGTAAATTCTTATAACTACTTGGAGAAAATTACCTTATGTTACAAAACAATAGAACCCTCCTTTAAGTACTGTTAGAAACACAGATATTCTGCAATGCTTAATTCGCCTTGGGCAATTTTAGGTAGTACTTCTTGAGTCTCCTTTCTCATTGGCTTCATAAATTCTTTTTATCTTGAAGAATTTTTTTTTTCTTACTGCTACAACACGGGGTACATAATTTGTAGTTTCCACATCCAGAATGGCAGGGCAACATGGAAATGTTTTCAAAATGGCCATCGAGCTACAAGAATTGCGGATCACACCATCTGCAGAAGCACAAAGTGTGCTCTCTTGAGGTACCTGGGGGGCAACATCAATCAACCTGTGTGCTAGTCCAGAGGTTTGCGTGAGGGAGAATGAGCAAATTTAAACAGGAACAACAAACTACAGCTGATAGGTAGAAAGCTGGAGCCCCCAAAAGAAAAGCACATATGCCCCTCAACAATTCTCAATAATCATTTATATATTGCAGTTGTGTCTTGTGATCATTACTAAGAATACAGAAACATCTGTAAAAAGCTGCTTATCAAGTAGTCTATCTGACAGGCTCCCTGATAAGTTTATGTAGTAGACCCACTGTTTAATAAAAAACGTTATTAGGGAGACTCTGGGCACACTGCCCATGGGTTAACCCTGCTCCTCAAGGAGCAGTATAAGAAAAATTATTAGTAAAAATAAGACAATTAAGACCAGTTTTAATGTTTTGTGTTCAGAACCTGTCTTTACTGATCTAAGTTCTCTCTATCCCTTAACATGTTAGGTAAGATTACTTAAATTTATTTGAATTGATTTTTAGTATAATACTTTGTGGTATCCTAAATTATATGCTGTCATGACTATAATTTATTACCAACATAACTGCTATTTGAATTATAAACTCAACAAAGCCCTTTACTCCTGAAAAGACAAGATAAAATTTTGTATTTTGATAGGAGTAGGGCTTTAAAACAGGTTTTTTTTTTAATTTCCGACATCTTAAGGGAAAATAGCAAAAGTAAAAATTTTAAAAATTCCTAATTTAGAGAGTTAAAACTATATTAAGGATACATTCCATTTTATAAATGTCACACTATGCTGTAAATGTATATAACCCCAATGTGATTACTAGTTTGTTATGAAGCATATGTGCAGTGAGAACGTGCTACAAAGAGAAAGTGTATATGGTAGTGTGTGTAGAAACGAGACACTGGCTTCTCGTAAAACCTGTTTTCTCATACTCCCAGTTTAGCACAATCATTGAACTTCTCCAAACCTCAGTTTTTTTATCTGTAAAATGAGCAGGTTGCTGATACCTAAGAACTTCACAGTACTCAAATTTTATGTTGTGATTCTAGACATATTCCTTTTATGCAGAATTTAAAAATCAAGATTAAGCATTCAGTAGCATGTAAATATATAAAACTCCTAGATATGAACTCATATATTCACAAGCTACCCTTCTCTAATGGAAAATACAGTCGAAAATCAGTGAGTATTTTCAAGTTTATATTTTAAAACAGAATCCAATCTGAAAAACTGCATAAATTTTAACTGTATTATTTATTCCATGAGACAATTTGTAACCTGCACATTTCTCAAATTCTCTAATGGAAAAACACAGAGGAAAACGTTCTGTATTATTTTATTTTGAGAATTATTTTAAGCCCCTCATAACATGAAGCAATGAAGCTAGGATAAACTATAGAAGAAAAAAATAACACTTCCATGTAAATTAGACTGAATTACACATAATCAGTGTTCAGTGTTGAGGCATACTTTAATGTTCAAGTATATTTCAGATAACCCCTAAATTATTTAACCACTTTTAACTAATTTTCATGAACCTTTAGGAGGCTTATTGACCACCAGATGGAGCCAGTATTGTTCAATTTGTAGCATAAAAATATGCTGAAAATGAAAACTGGTGAAACAGAATGAATAAATGGTAGTTTTTTTATTGTAGTCCATAGTATAGAAAAAATAAACTTTAGCATCCTTCTGTCTAGTTTCTGTAAAATACACATGTATAGAGACCCCCCCATTAAATTATTTTTTATTATGAATAGGTTTTTATTTTGGCAGCTCCATTGGACAAGTTTTCTTCTTATTCACTATTTGAATATATCACCTTAACAACTTTCAAGTATCTTTAAAACAAAGTTAGTAAGGCTTTAGTCTCTGGTCACTAAATAAATATTATGGGTTGTAATAATGAAAAAATGATAGTATAGAATATATTGCCTATAGGCTCTCATTTTATTGTCACAGAATATTCCCATTATAATTTCCACGATGGATTTTCTTAATAAAGCAAAAGAAAAGGCATTCTGACTGGGAGAGGGAGAATATGTAGTTTATCACCAGTAGCTCCTCAGGAGAGATGGTAAAACCACAATGAATGGCTGCAACTCTTACCCAGAAAGCTTAGTGCCCAGTGGCCCTAATCAGGGGTAACTGCCTTAAAGCTGACTTCATGAACTCCTCTCACCTTTATTTAACAAGTGTCAGGAATTATCTAATCCCTTATACCTCAACTTAATTAGGCAACCATCTATTGAAAAAGTATTTGTATGCTAAGGGCCCTAAGGCCCTACAAGTCCCTCCAGGAACTTTTCCATTCAGTAAAAGCAGTAAGGTGACTGTAGACACTGTTGTAATTCAGGACCTAAAAATGATCTATCTGTTTATTTGTCCATTCAGCTACTATTTATTTAGCACATACTATATGCAAGGCATATGCTAGGCCACAGTTCTTGCCATGTGAGTTTACAGCCTGGAGGGCAATATAAACAAAGAAGCAGTTATGATACGGTGTGCTTGGGAGCCACGAAGTGTTTTGAAGGTTCAAATGAGGGGAAAATTTGATTAATTAAGGAGAATCGAGAAAAAGCCATAAGGGATTCTTCCTAGGTAGAACTTAACTGAGTAAACCCACTGTTTGGTCTTTTTTTTCCCCTCATTATCCATTAAACCATATATTATGGTCTGGGGGAGTTTAGGGCCTTTTTTTGAAGGATTTTATTTCATCGGGATATACCCAGTTGGTTACCTGATGCATTTTTGTGTCAGATTGGAATTGTTTTCCTAGGGATTTTTTTTTTTTTCTCAAACATGAAGAAGAAACAACCAAACTGGTTAAGCGCTTGTACTTTAGAGCCAGACTACATAGGTTTATATCCCCAGGCTTATAATCCATGTGATAAATTATTTAACCTTTTCCTGCTTTCGTTTTCTCATTGGCAAAATGAAGTTCATAACATATTTTCCTGACAGAATTGTTAGTTAGAAGATTAAACAAGTAACTCAGTTACCAGTGTCTGGCATATAGTAAGTAATTGAAATGTTAAATGTTAGCCATCGTGTTAGCTATTTTCAAGTCTGATACTTTTCCTTGAATTAATTTAAGATCTGGTATATTAAAAAAAAATACAAATTGACTTTGTATTTTCCAGAAAGTATGAGGTACAACTAGACATTAGTAGCATTAACATTTTTTATATCCATCAAGTCTATTTTGTTAATCAAATGATGTTTACTGTTATTACCACATCACCTTTATTTAGTTAGCAAAAATTTTCTTGAAATAGTAAATCCAGAGACATTTAAAATCATTTATAAGCAGGCTTATTAACAGTTGCTGTCACAGAATAGCCACTCAGTACACTTCTTTTTTTTTAAGAGATTGTCTCGCTATGTTGTTCAGGCTGGCTTTGAACTCCTAGGCCCAAGTGATCCTCCCACCTCAGCCTCCTGAGTAGCTGTGACTACACGCCTGCACCACTACACCCAGCTCAATACACTGTTTTTTTTTTTTAAATGAATGAATTTGCAGCTACTTAGAGCTGATAGCTCCTTGACTCTGGTCCTGAGACAACAGAGGGTATAAGTATAAGCTCTTTTAATCTATACAGTGAAAGCTGTGGATAGATAACATTGGTTCATTAGGTAGGTAGCCAATGAAGAGACTCAAGTGGATTGAAGATTAAGTTTCTGACTAGCTCCTAGGGAAAGGATAAGGGACATACTTTATAACATGCAGGAACAAATGTGCAGTACTTAACTTGCAGTCTTACAAACTAAGAGTTGGAATACAAGTTTTAGCCCAGGCTCTGCTGATAACTCACATGAGACACTAGCTAAGTAATGTCACTTACCTGGTCCTTAGTTGCTTCATCTATCAACAGGAAGTTAGATTAGAAGATCCTCAAGCTACTTCCTAGCTCTTGTGCTCTAGTAAACTGATGGTTATAGTGATGTTGGACATTTCCTTCCCAAGCCCTTTCATATATATATATATATCTCCTATTTTTATCTCATACATAACTAATATATTTTTTTAATTTTATTTTAACGCCATAGCATAGGTAATCTTTAAGTCCCCAAGATGCTTGTATTATATCCGTGAATCCACATTTTGATACTTACATTGTAAGTGATATTTTTCATGTATGTTAAGTTCATTTTACCCTTTAATTTCTGGAATGAAAAGCCTGTATCATATGTTTTACATTTCTTTCAAAGCATCTCTTAGCATAAGAGGCACACAGAAGACACTGTGTAATTATGAATTGAAGTTTTAATTGAAGACAGTAGGACACAGTGTGGACCTTTGTATCATACATACCTCAGCTCATATCCAAGCTTTACTATATTCTAATTTTGGTCATATCCTGTTTCCTCACTTGTAAAATAGGTTTATTGATACTTTCCTCATAGATAATCAAAACACCCTAGCATAGTGCTTGACATATAATAAGTTCTTAGTAGATATTCTTTTTTAATTCCATCCTTCATTACTATCTGTTTAGCATGTATTTCATAGAAATTTCAGGTAATGATGAATAGTCATTATAATGCATCATTATTGTTTATGAATCATCCAGTGTACATTGAGATTTATAAGAAAAGTAAAAGTAGAGCACTCTGTATTAGAAAAACAGAATTATTTTAAATGTCTTGTGTATTTTATTAGCCAGTTTTACTTCACTAAAATCATCTAGTCACTTATTGAATTTTTGTTTATTCAGGAGGATTCAAGCACATGAGAAATAGATGTGCTACTTCCTGTTCTGGCAACATGGACTGAGCTAACACAAAACTTTCTTCTCCTACAAATCTATAGAAATGCTGGATAAAATATGATCCAGCCCAATTTAAATACTTAGCTAGGCTTGAGGAAGAGAGAAAAGAAGGTAAGAAAGAAAGAAAAGGAAAATCATAAGTACCAGAAACAAAAGGAAGGCATAACCAGACATTGAGTAAGCCAACACTACAGTGGCCCAAGTGGATTTTGGACCCAAATGGAGGCTCTAATATCTAGAAGATAGGGTTTTAATCTCACATTTGGATGGAAGATATGGCCTTGGGTTAGAGAGGTAGGAACTAAAAATCTGTCTACCTGGTCAGGAATGCCACAAAGAAGCTTGCCATTTTTCAGAACTCTATGTGGCAGAAAAAATGAAAGACTCTTATGAAAAAGCCAAAACTCTAAACCTCTACCAGGCATAAATATAAAGTCTGAATGTATGCTATTTATATGGTATAGGATTCCTAAGTCAAGAAAATAATGGGAAAAAATGGCTCTGGACCAATGGAACCCCTTGATTGTCTGGTAGAAACCAATGCAAAACCTCTCTATAGGAATACTTGAACAATCTTGGTGCCTAGGATTCCTATGGAGTGTGATGGAGATGCAGTCCTAGCTGAAAATAAACTCACAATAAAAGATTAGAAAACACATAAATAAATGACCACCCTAGAGAGAGGGTCAGAAGACAGAACAGAACAATCCCCAAGAACAATCTGAGTGATAGAACATAATAACTTTGTTTTAAATAAAGAGTTTCTATTTTGTGAGACAGAGTCTCTCTCTGTTGCCCAGGCTGGAGTGCAGGCACAGTCTTGGCTCACTACAGCCTCCACCTCCTGAGTTCAAGCAATTCTCCTGCCTCAGCCTCCTGAGTAGCTGGGATTACAGGCGCCCGCCACCACCACACCCAGCTAATTTTTTTTTGTATTTTTAGTAGAGATAAGGTTTTGCCATGTTGCCCAGGCTGGTTTCAAACTCCTGAGCTCAGACAATCAGCCCGCCTCCGCCTCCCAAAGTGCTCAGATTACAGGCATGAGCCACCATGCCTGGCCAGTAAAGAGATTTTTTTAAAGAAATAAAAATCATAATAAAAAATTAAGGCAATAAAAAAGAGTAGGTGATTTGTAAAAGAGCCATATGGAATATTTAGAAATAGAAAATATAGTTATTAAATTCAATGACCCAGTTTATGGCTTAAATATTGATTAGATACAACTGAACAGAGAATTAGTGAACTGAAATACAGAGCTAAGGAAATTACTCAGAGTATGCTGATGATTAAATTATGAAACATGAACGTACTATGACCATTCATAGTTGATCATACTGTAAATAGAAGTACTTTATACTAATATGATACACCAAGTTAGGAAATAGAAGACCAGTTTTTTCAAATAGTTGGGTTTTTGTGGCAAATGTCATTGCATTTGGCTGTGTGTACCCTGTAAAGTGTTTGAGTTACAGTTTCCATGCAGTCCAGGTGGAATCTTAACAGGCTTAATCATGGTATCACAGATGAATATAATGAAACATCAGCAGACGTCACAGCTATTCTCAAACTGTCTGCCTATTTGTTTGGGCTAGAAATGAAAACATGAGGAGGGGAAAGATATCCTTAAGTCAGGTAATTAAAAATCTCCAAAGACCAAGAACTGGAGCAGCCAGTGGGTATAACAGGAGGTGGTATGACTGCCTTGTCTTTTCTGAACTTGATTATTTAGATTTATGACTTTCTGGAAAAAAAATTGACAACACTATGAATTTGACTGGGTTTCTATATTTACCTGACATGTTTTCCATTTTGATAAATGACTGTAATATGTCTACATTATAAACCTATTAGTGGCCAGCTTTTCTGACCTCAAACAGTTGGCTGGATTGGATCAGTCTTTCTGAGCTCAATTTTATTATTGTAATTTGTGATGCAAAGGTGATTTACTTTTTTAAGTTCTTAATTGTCATTGGTAGATGGACAGAAAAAATTACCAAATCAATCTTTTCCACCTGGAATTTATGTGAACACCTTCAGCCATATCTTGGCATTTTATCTTATGGATGGAATTGATGGAATTCATTAGCAAAATGATATGTCTGAGAGGAAATCCCATTTACCCTGAGGCAGTTTTGAGTATTTATTTAGACAGGGAAATTGCTTTTGGGAAATTCTAAGTATTCTATTACTTGAGATTTTTAAGTTAATTTTATGGAATTTAACTTTAGAAAATCTTAAAATTTTAGAATGAAATGTCATTTCCATGAGATACAGTCTGTCCCTTTTATTTCATTGAAAGAAAATAATTTAGTAGTACATGGAATTTTAATTTGAAGTTTTATCAGATCAACTAATTCTACATGCAGGCATACAGACACAAAGAAGCATTAAGTTGCCCTTCATCAGCACTTTAGGGAACATCTGCTTTAATTTTATAGCTGTTTGTGAGAAAATTATCACAAGGTAAAATTAGCCCAAGCTAAAATACTACATGTTTCAGTGGTAAGATCGTGTACCACTGAATTAGGCAGATTAATAGACAACCCTTAAAATAATATTTGTTGCCCAACTATCTACCCTGACCTAATATCAAATTTGTGTAATTCAATTGTTTCTCAACTCTTGTTAGTCCACCTATAGTTGGTAGTCAGTGGAATTTTTTCTTAGCTCTGTTGAGTATATCTTTAAAAAAAATCAAATTGGTATTAAATGATTAACAACCACAATCAAATTAAAAGCTTCAAAATACATCCAAGTAGTAAAACTCAAAGATAGTTGCAGATAAAAAACAACTCCTGAATCACTTGAACCCGGGAAGTGGAGGTTGCAGTGAGCCAAGATCGCGCCATTGCACTCCAGCCTGGGCAACAAAAGCAAAACTCTGTCTCAAAAAATAAATAAATAAAAAACATAACTTCTCAACAACTTTAGAAGCTGTCGCTCTCTTTAGAGCATTCTTTATTTAAAGCAGTATGGGAGCATTTACAGCTGTATAATGATAGGGAACACCCTGTGATTTACCCATTCTGCCCTGAAGCACCAAGTTTTTGAGTTCTTAACTTCTATTACAAAATCCAACACAGTTGGCTGTGTTGAAGTCAAAAAGGTCTCACCCATAATCAGAGGACAAAAAGTCAAGTTTTTATACACTTTCCCCCTTTGGAAACCAAAAGCTGCAGTAAGGATAAGATTACAGTCCAAGACTTTGTCAGATGACAGTTGAGTTAGCAATTGAGGCATAGACAACATTCTAGAGTTTGGTTTCATTCTCAGTCCATCTGCTGAAAATTGTTTAACTGGAGCTTCATTAAGAATGGAATATAATAAACAGGGGTAGATGGAAATAGTATTGAAATATGTTTGAAGCCTTGTGAAACAAGAGTTACCTTACTTATTTGATCTGGGATCATTTAAATCATAATGAAAAGCCATAAAATTTTACCCAACTATTTCCTTAGCATTTTTCAAAGCAAAACTGGTTTTGCAATCGATTTTTTACTTCAGTTAGAGAATATTAAGTCTTTTCTTTGTCATTTTAAATGTAGATCCTATCACCAAACAGATATTTTCAAACAGATCCTACAATTTACGGGTGAATTTTATTCATTCTTTAGATGCTTGCCATCACTACCACTAATTGCCTTATACAAAACATTTATGAAGCTGGTTATGACTATACATTAAGAAGAATGACTAATGCTACAATATTAAGATATTATCAGGGCAAATACATTCAGGAGGATTTGAACTACGTGCCTGTGTTTTCATTATCATGGCTAGAAAATATAAAAAGAGTGTTTGGTTTCATAAATACTAATGAAATAAATTGATACATACATTAAAGTTGTCTTAATTAGCTTTTCAATATAGGTTAAAATGTGAGAAATGCAGGAGGAAGTAAAATAAAAATGCTAACATGTCTAAGAGCATCTCAACTGGAAAATCCTTATAACCACTTTTAGAATGTGTATAGCTTCATAATCTAGCAAAAAAAAAAATAGTTTCCCTTTTCCCTCCATCAATGTAAGAAATTCCCTTATATGAAAGAAATGTATTTGTATGGAGAGGGAAAGAGAAAGAAAAACAAGCTTGACTTGTGCAAGAGTCTGTGATATCCTTTGAAAGCTTATCACTTAAAACAAAGAAAAACATATAGAGTTAGCACATAATTGTACAGTCAGTGTGAGTGTATATTTTGATACTTTCATAATTTAATCTGAATGAGATAGTAATAATAGTTTGTTAGGTGTTTGCCACATGTCAGACAGTATTTTATTTAATCCTCACAACAGCAAGTGAGGTAGATATTATCATCCCCAGTTTATAGCTGAAGAAACTGAGGCACAAAAAGATGACATAGTGTATCCCTATCTCACTCATATAGTAAATTGTGGAACCAGGATTCAGATCAGTCTCACCCAAAGTCTATGCTCTAAAGATGCCATGCTCACTGGCATCTCCTATACTGGAAACTGAGAGCACATATTCTTTCTTTTTTACCTACTAGAGGAAATGCATGTGCTTTAGGTTACTGTCTGAGTGCTAGTTTTAATGTCTTAAGAATATCTTGTGAGTTAAATAAGATTGTCCATAAGTTGATGCTATTGATAATAGGTGATGACTAAAGAGGCTTCATTATACCATTCTCTCTATATTTGTGTTGAAATTTTTCCATAATAAAAATTTTTGTTTGTTTTAAAAATACTTTTTGTCCAACTAACCTTTCTGGATTGGAAGTTGTTCATTGGTTTGTTCAGTGAGTCTTGATGTGAGAATTAATTACATTGCACATATCTTCTTTTTTTTTACATTCCCATGACATTTTGGTGGAAGAGAGGTACTGCTTTTTGCTCTCCATTCTATGAAAACTGCTTATTTCTATTTGCTATTTCATGTTATTGCTTCTAGTATATCAGCCAGTCATTTTTACAATTACCCATATTTGTTTCAAAACATTCCTGTTTCTGAAATACTAATCCTGAGATAGTCACAAAGATGATAGTAAATAGCCACTCCTCACTCCTATCTCACACCAGCACCATGACTGTACATGATGGTTGGAACCAAAAGGATGTATTATAGACCTCAACATGGCAGGTTAAGTCAGTAAAACTTTGATAGATTCACTATTGTTAAGATTGCAGTTCTCCCCAAATTAATTTATACATTCAATGCAGCTACTGTCAAAATCCTACCTGACTTATTTGAAGAAATTGTCAAGCTGATTTTAAAATTTATATGGAAAGGCAAAGGAACAAAAATCACCAAAATAGTTGTGAAAAAGAAGACAAAGTTAGAGGGCTTACACTAACTGATTCAAGACTTACTATAAACCTGCAGTAATCAAGACAGTATACTACTGGCACAAGCAGAGACATAGATTAATGGAACAGAAGAGAGTGTATAGAAATAGATATACATATGTGGTCAATTGATTTTCAAGAAAGGTGCCAAGGTCATTCACTGGAGGTAAGAAAGCCTTTTTAACATATAATATTGGAACACTTGATGTCTGTATAGAAAAAAAATCTCAACCCTTACCTTACGCCATATATAAAAATCAACTTGAAATAAATTATATATCTTAACAGAAAAGCTAAAATTTTATATTACTAAGAGAAAGCATTAGAAAAAAACTTTTGAGACCATGAGGAAAATAAGGATTTTTTAGATAAGACACAAAAAGTGTGATATGAAATTTAAATATTGATAAAATGCTGTTCATCGAATTTTAACTTTTGCTCTTTGAAAGATATACTTAAGAAAATGAAAAGGGAAATCAGACTGAGATAAATCATTTACAAAATATATATTTGACAAAGGACTTGTATCCAGAATATATAAGAAAACTATTACAACTCATTAATAAGACAAAAAAAATTAATAGACAAAAGATTTGAAAAGAAGATACATAAATGGCCAACAAGCACATAAAAAATGTAATATCACTTGTCATCAGAAAAGTAACACTAGAAACCACAAAATACTATTTCACGCTCTCTAAAATATTCAGTTAAATGACAATACCGATATATTTGGAGATATGGAGCAACTCAACCTCTCCTATATTGCGAGTGGAATGATGCAGCCAAAATGGTGCGACCATTTGTAAAACAGTATGGCAGTATCATATAAAATTAAACATACACTTATCACTTGACTCAGCAATCCCACTCCTAGGTATTTACCCCCAAGAAATGAAAATATATGTTTGCAAACAAACTTGTGTGTGTAAATGTTTAAAGAGGCATTATTTGTAGTAGCCAAAAACGGTAAGCAACTCAGAATAAACAAGTTAGAGTATATCCATGCTATGAAATACTATTCAGTTATGCAAAGGAACATGGATGAATCTCAACAATAGTTGCTCACCAAAATAAGCCAGACATAAAAAACTACATACTGTATGATCCCATTTGTATGAGTTTCTAGTAATGGCAAAAATGTGGTGCCAGAAAGCAGATCGCTGATGCCTCATTGCCAGAAAAAGAAAACTGACTGTAACAGACATTTGGACACTTTGTAGGGTATGTGGAACTTTTCTAGATCTTGATTGCAGTGGAAGTTATATGCTCTATACAATACCAAAAGTCATCACATTTTATATACAAAATTAGTGAGTTTTACTATATGTAATGCCTACCTCAATACAGCTGTTTTTAAAAATTCTATCATTTCATGCATTTAGTTTCCTTAATGAGGTGACTGCTATTTCTAAGTTATTAAAAGGCCATTTAGTATTATAAACAACATAGCTACAGAATTTCCATGCTTTATTATATACTTAAATGTACCTATCCTTGACTTTTTAAAATTGATTTGTAAGGCTTCTTTATAGCACTTTTTAAACATTTTCCTACTTCCTTCACATTCCTAATAAGTGAAATTAAGTGGTTGGTCCTTGCTAAAAGGGACCGTGTTCAAGAAGATGCGTGTGAAACATTAAAATAAGCAATGCTGAATCTGTTTTGAAAGTTGTAAGCTTAACTTACCTATGACATGAGATAGCAGAATTCATCTATATCTTTTCCATTTATTGCAAAATTCTTACCACACATAAAGGTTTTCAATCTTTTTTAGCTGAAAATGTAAGCAAAGAACTTGTCCTTTCTCTTTTGCATTTTTTTAACCATAAAAACATTAAACAGTTCTACTGATACCCATCACAATTTTCCTTAGAATTTTACAAACTTCTGCCCTAGGAAATGGCAGAAAATAATTATTGACTCCCTAAATGCAATGGAACAGGAGATTCCAGGTGCATGGCAAATGCTAACTATAACTGAGGCTGGCGAGGGGAAGAGGGCAAATTACCCTACACCTTCTTATTTTCCCCTTCTTCAATTACATTATTACTTCATTTATTTGACTATTTATTGAATCACTTGCCAAGCACTGTCCTAAGTGTATCTTTGAAAGATACACTTAAGAAAATGAAATGAGGACATGAAATGAAATAAGAAAAAAAAATGAGGACAAATATGATTTGTCCTCAAGGAGTTAATGTCTAGTGAGTTTAAAGAAGAGTAAACAGGAAATCGCCATAAAGTGTGATAAGTGCTAAAGGGTGCTTTGGAAGCTCAAAGGAGAGACATCTAAACCAGACTTCAAGAACGGAATCAGAAAAGGCTCACTGAAGTGCCAACCAAGCTGAGACCTAAAGGAGGAGCCGGAATTAAGCAAGGAGAATTAACAAGAACGGAGAGATGAAGTATTTGCAGTATCCCTGAAGGAAGAAAAGCATGTGCAAAGGCGGATGGTTGGTCAAGAGAGCAGGGTTTAAGAATACTAGTTATCAGCCAAGTGAAAGCACATGAAGGTGGATACGGCAAAGGAGTTGTCTCTTGAGAGACGTAACTGGAAAGCAAAGCATTAACTGCCTCATGTAGGGATCCTAAGTCATCTTAAAGTGCTTGCTCTTTATCCCAGGACAATGCAAATCTAACTACTGTAGGATAAGAAGAAGAGAGGTATTCAAAGATGTAATTCAGTAGAAAAATATGAAAGTAATTTTTTTTTTTTTTTTTTTGAGACAGAGTCTCGCTCTGTCGCCCAGGCTGGAGTGCAGTGGCGCGATCTCGGCTCACTGCAAGCTCCGCCTCCCGGGTTCACGCCATTCTCCTGCCTCAGCCTCTCCAGTAGCTGGGACTACAGGCGCCCGCCACCACGCCCGGCTAATTTTTTGTATTTTTAGTAGAGATGGGGTTTCACCGTGCTAGCCAGGATGGTCTCGATCTTCTGACCTCGTGATCCGCCCACCTCGGCCTCCGAAAGTGCTGGGATTACAGGCGTGAGCCACCACGCCCGGCCGAAAGTAATTTTTAAACCTACTATAAGAATCACTTCATGTATACCAGTCGTGATGGCATACTCTTTATACTAGTCTTTACTAGGCATGTGTGCCTTAGATATTATTTCTGTATTTAATGGTTCATTTTTCCTTAATGTGCTCAGTTTTTAATGTTTGCAGCTGTCAGTTTTGAAACCAGGACTCTCCTTCCAAGTTCTACCAAAATCATATTAGGTAACCACAAAAAGATAACTTGTTTCTTAGTTCAAATTTTTTTTTTGACCAGAAAATCTCTTGAACAAAATGGCTGATTGTTAATAGATTGCATATTCATGATGTTCCTCAAGCTAGATAACAAAGAGACAACTAACAGACTAAAGCTTTGGTAGACAGATTACTAGCATTCTTGATTACATCTGGCTTATCGTTTGTCTTCCAGCCAAAGAGAAGAGAGAGAGAGAGAGGGAGTGTGTGTGTGTGTGTGTGTGTGTGTGTGTGTGTGTGTGTGTTTTAGTCACAAATTTCATTGATATTTACACATGTGAGGTATTATAAAATGTTACTAGTTGGGTTTGTTGGCTTGTTTGTTTTTGAGGCAAAACTGTGTTTTATGAACCAAGATGTTAACTAATCTTCACATAGAATTATTGCAGGTTCAAACCTATAGATTTGTTTTCTAATTTCTAATTCAGTAAAGATTATTTTTGTCTGCTTTTGCTAACTGTTTTGACTTATTTGTTAGACATATTTATTTTCTATGATGCCATTAAATTGAAGGTTGTTATTGTTATAACTGGGGAACAAAAGTGGCAGGTAATTGGAATATCAACCAATATTTGGAAGGTTATATCTTCTAAGGCAAGGAAAAAATGTAAAATGGTATTGCTGAATTTTAGGAAAACCTTAATTATTTTAGAAGTGAGATAGATGATTTTATAATCAACTTAAATAAGGACATGTGAGAAGAACAATTACAATAGTGCAGTGTATAGTAAATATATGTATATCAACTCATAAATTAGCATCAGTCACATTCTAATTTAGGAAGTAGTTACAGAGCTGGTGGGGCTTACAGGTTTTCTTTTGAAATTAAATGGTGAAAAAGCAAGCCCAAGTGCCAACCTCCTCTTCAGCAACAGGAGCATAAACATTGCTATGAATCCACAGAGCTATTTTACTGCTTATTCTAAAAATATTCTACTATTCTTTAGAGGAAGAAGCCCCTCCAGATGGTGCTGTTGCCGAATACAGAAGAGAAAAGCAAAAGTATGAAGCTTTGAGGAAGCAACAGTCAAAGAAGGGAACTTCCCGGGAAGATCAGGTAACTTCAAAAACCCAAATCCATACAGAACTTATTGTCTTTTTATTGTTTTTAAGTGTTTCTAAATGGAGCCTAATTTGATTATATATCAGGAGAAGCACTACCTCTTAAAAATAAAAAAGAATATATTTATATAGGGTGGACATTGGCCACTCACATAAAGATTCAAACTCTGGAGTTCTTTCCAGACATTGGTGGTGAAAAAGCCTGGAACTTCCACGTTTCAACCTGGTACTCCCATAGTAAGCACAGGAACCTCATAAAGCCATGTATCCTCAGAAACCCAGGTGGAACCTCTGTGTAGTGAATATTATGAAATGAAGAAGTGGTGATTATAAATGATGAGAGAGTCTCTTCCAGCCCGACATCTCGCATGCTGACTAGCCAGCCTAGCTTGAAATTGTACACTGTCTGGAAATAAGTCATTTGGTCTGCTAGCTGACTTCTATTCATTAGTACAAGTAATTCCTGAATCTTTAGGTAGTAATATTAAGAAGTTAGTTGTCAGAAATCAAGAATGAAAAGAGATAGGAAGCTAGCTCAACAATTTGGGAGTCAGCACTATGTGCCATGCAGTACTTGACACTTGATAAAACAAATCTCTTAAGCAGCCCTTCATGTTGAAAAGTTAGAGGGCAGACTGAAATCATTTATTTTTGGTGCTGCCATATATATGTTTATATAGATAGACATATATATTAATATATATGGATATAAACAAACTGCCTTATATATATATATATGGACACACCATTTTAGTTGTATAAATAAAACGGGCAAAGTAAAAGTAAATTAAAAAGCCCAAACCTGTCTGGATAATTTCTTAATTTCATTAAGAAAAAGTACATTATTAACTTGTTTTCATGAAATCACAAAGTCTTCTAAATAGCAACCATAGTGACTATACTACCAGAGATACTAAGGATGACTCATTCATTCATTCCTTCCCCCTCCCCCCATTCCCTTGTAGCAAATAATTATTAAGAACCTGCCATGTACTAATCACTGTATTTGGCAGTCAACACATGAACACATCCCTGCTCTCTCTGATCTATCAGGGAAAAGAGCTAAACAAGTAATACCAGTGAAAGGGGGTGAGCATTATGAAAGGGTAGGTACAGGAAGCCATGTAGATGAATAACAGAGGGGCCTTACATGGCTTAAGAATCTGGGAAGGCCTTCCTAAGGAAATGATTTGTCAGCTGAACTTCAAAGGTTGTGTAGGAGACAGCCAGGTAGAGGCAGAGCATGGCTAGACAAAAGGAACAGTGCGTACATGAAAAGTCTTCAACCTCTTTGCAAAGAACTAAAAGATATTAAATATGATTGTAACATAAACTAAGAGAAGGAGAAAGATGAGGCTGAAGAGGTAAGCAAAAGTAAGTTCGTACAAGGTATTTTTAAACCATGTTAAGGAGTTTAGAATTTATCCTAAAGGCCATGGGGAACCATTGACAGAAGGAAGTGATATGATCTCACTTTCATTTTAGGAAGATCTCTCTAACTGGGCTGCAATATGGAGATTAGACTGGATACAGGACAGGACCAGAGGCACAGGGCCCAGTTGGGAGACTCTTGTGTTAGATATGCATAAACAGAGTATGCCAAGATTGGGCTCCTTCAGCATAGCTTCTACATTCTGGGAAGGCTCTCGCTGTGCTGAAAGAGCATTCCTGGAAGTAGTTGGCCATTCGTTCTTTCAGGAAAAGCCATAACTGAATAATTCCCCTGCAGATGCCAATCAAAATGCCTCCATGCAGATCCTATCTTCTTCACACTATAACAAATGTGTCCCATTATTTTTGTGATTTTTTTCTGCCCAGTGTCTTCTCTAGCCTTTATAATAAAGCAGGAGAAAGTCTAATCTTAAATATAGAAGAAGCTAAAAATAGCCAAGAGGATGTTTTTTGTTTGCCACAGTCTCCCCTCTTTGAGCAAATGCCAGTAGCTCATTAATTGGCTTAAAAACAAACTGCCTTGCCACTTGTAACTCAGGGAGAAAGATCCAGGTCTAGTATAATTTTCTAGGAAATTTTAAAATTTCATTCCATTTAGAAGTCTTTTTTGTTTTCATTTTTCTTTGTGCTTTTAAAAAAGACATTTCCAAGTATGCAAACATCCATCATTAAAAATTAGTTAGGGCCAGGCATGGTGAGTCACTCTTGTAATCCCAGGACTTTGGGAGGCCAAGATGGGAGGATCTCTTGAGCCCAGGAGTTTGAAACCAGCCTAGGCAGCCTAGGGAGACCCCCATCTCTACAGAAAAAAAAAAAAAAATAGTTTGGCAAGGTGGTGTGCATCTGTGGTCCCAGCTACTTGGGAGGCTAAGGCATGAGGATCGCTTGAGCCCAGTAGGTCGACGCTGTAGTGAGCCATGATTGTACCATTGCACTCCAGCCTGGGTGACAGAGTGAGACTCTATCTCTTAAAAAAAAAAATGATAGGGTTTACTTTTAAGCTATAGTGTATTAGTCCATTTTCACACTGCTGATAAAAACATACCCAAAACTGGGGAAAAAAAGGAGGTTTAATTTGACTTATAGTTCCACCTGGCTGAGGAGGTCTCACAATCATGGCAGAGGGTGAAAGGCAGTTCTTACATGGTGGTGGCAAGAGAGAATGAGGAAGAAGAAAAAGTGGAAACCCCTGATAAACCCATCAGATCTTGTGAGACTTATTCGCTATCACGAGAATAGCATGGTAAAGACCAGCCCCCATGATTCAATTACCTCCCACTGGGTCCCTCCCATAACACATGGGAATTCTGGGAGATACAATTCAAGTTGAGATTTGGGTAGGGACACAGCCAGACCATATCATATAGATTAAATAGATAGATATGGAGATAAGCATGTGGAGAGATATATTTATGCAATAGTAGATATAGATAGATATAGATACAGATATATAAACACATACATACACACACACATACTACCTGGAAGTATATTTACCAAAATATTAACAGCGGTTATTCTGAGTGGTAGGATAATAGTTATTTTACTTCTATTTTTCAATATTTTTACAGTAATCTGTTTTCTTATTAATAAGCAAATACAATAAGAATGAATAAACAATGGACTATTTTTAATGAGTAAGGTTTAAAAACAAGGGATACTTTATCTGTTAACATTGTTTGAATAGCTTAATTCTATAACCTCTACTCTAAAAACAGATAAAACAGCTAAATGCTAACATACTCTGCAGCCCTCAGAATGCCTATGATGACATTCTATAGGAACTTATAAATTTTCCCCAAAACTCATCTCATTCAGTAGCTATGATAATGTGTGTATTTTTAGCTGTTGAATATGTGGGCATTAAATTTTGCAGAAAAGTAGAAGATGCTTTTTACTATCATTTTTAAAGCAATAACCAACCACCTTTTTCTTGCAGTTATTTTGACACCATTTGTCTTTATTAAGCTTGAGTTCTAGATTGCCCAGACCTACTTAACTTTTTCATGAACTGTGATCTTATTGATACTCTCTAGATAAATTCTGGAGCTTAGGAATGTATTGTGACTCTCTAATATACCAGTTATTCACATGTTGAACTGTCACACATCTTTTTCCTTATGAAATGTGAGGATTTCAGTATTGAATTCAACATACCAAAATCTTGATTAGGCCCTTGATTTCTCGGACAGGTAGTATTTTATCCCATTTCATAATGATGGACTCTGTAAATATGTTGAATAGAAAAACCTTTTTCTAGCTTCTGTTGTCTGCTCAAATTCTGGAGTAGACTGTTAAGACCTAGGAGATGGTGTGATTACAAAATTATAGCCACTTGCTTCTTCCTGCCCACAGAGAGCATAGGAGCCAAACAAGAATTCACAGTCATGTTCCCCCTACACACACACACTTTTAAAAAATATATACTTAACACAATATTTGTATTCATCTTTCACTTAACAATAGAATGCAATGTTTCATGTATATAATTTTTAATAACAATAGCATATTTAGGCCAGGCATGGTGGCTCACACCTGTAATCCCAACACTTTGGGAGGCCAAGGCGTGTGGAACACTTGAGGTCAGGAATTGGAGACCGGCCTGGCCAATATAATGAAACCCCATCTCTGCTAAAAATACAAAAAAAATTAGCTGGGCATGGTGGCACGTGCCTGTGGTCCCAGCTACTCAGGAGTCTGGGGCAGGAGAATCGCTTGAACCTGGGAGGCGGAGGTTGCAGTGAGCCAAGATCGCGCCATTGCACTCCAGCCTGGGCCTCACAGCGAGACTCTGTCTCAAAAAAATAAAAATAAAAAATAAAAATAAAATTTTTAAATAGCATATTTATTGCTTTTTACTAAATTTATCTAGTTTCTTATTGATAGACATTTAACAGGTTTTCATTTTTCCATTTGTATGAGTAATGCTGCAGTGCACATCTTGTGCGTAAGCCATTTTCTCTGTTTCACCTTATTTTTCTATCGTCCCAGGATAGGAATTACTCAGTCAGGGGGAATGATCATCTTAAAGTTACCAGTATGTATCAACAGCTTTCTAAAGACATTCCAATTTACTCATTTTCCAACAGTTAATATGTTCATTCTACCTTCCCTATATTGATATTTTTATATTTTTGGAAATTTGTGAAATAAACAATACTATTTTTTTATTTTTGATTTCACATAACTTAGTGAATTACCTTTCTTTCTTATAGACACTAAACTCAACTATAAATGAGCATACATTTTTTATTTTATTTTATTTTATTTATTTATTTATTTAGAGACAGTCTCACTCTGTTACCCATGCTGGAGTGCAGTGGCACAATCATAGGTCACTACAGCCTAAAACTCCTAGGCTCAAGGGATCCTCCTGCCTCAGGCTTCATAGTAGCTGGGACTACAGATGCACACCACCACATCTGACTTTTTTTCTTTTCTTTTTGTAGTGATAGAGTCTCACTACATTACCCCTGCTGGTCTTGAGGTCTTGAACTCTTGGGCTCAAAAGATCCTCCCACTTTGGCCTCCCAGAGTGCTGGGACATGAACCAATGCACCAGGCCAAACATGTATTTTCAAAAGTTGGGTCTTCTGTCTTCTATGTAAGCAAACTTTTGTTTCCCAAATCAGAAAATAGTCACCTATCTCTGAGGGGAAATGTCAGTGCAAATCCAAACAGAATGATGTCAAGGTTTATTAATGTCATTATTGCAGCCTAAAGGTAGTTTTGTTCTTTTTGTTCAAAATCAAACATTTTGTTTTACATCCAAGTAGGATATTTCCTTTTCTACCAAACTTAAGCATCTCTTTTAAAATTATATTTATCTTTATCAGAAAACTTAGCAGTCTAATTGTTATTTCAGACCCTTGCACTGCTGAACCAGTTTAAATCTAAACTCACTCAAGCAATTGCTGAAACGCCTGAAAATGACATTCCTGAAACAGAAGTAGAAGATGATGAAGGATGGTAAGGGCTTTGATTTCTGTATATTAACCATGAACAAATAGTCTCAGAGCAGAGACACTACTGGGGCATTTCCACTATATCATCCTTTTGTTTTCAGAGTTTACCATCACCATTATAGGACCTCGGCAACTTTTGACTTTATTTCAGTTCAATATAAAGTAAAATAAATAAACACACCAAGCACTGAAGAAACAAGCATTTATTGAGCACTTGATGTGTCCGGCATTGTGCTAGTCAGTAAAAAATGCACAAGAAATATATGACACTATCCCAGTTCTAAGTAACTTTCTAATATTGTGGAAAAGATGAGACTCACATTAAACAACTCGAAAACAACCTTAGAAGATAATAAATCAATAATTTCTCACATTTTCCCACAAACCTTTTAGAACTCAGTAATCTATTTCATAATCCGACTAACTTCCTCTTCAAAGTTATGATCTACAGGATCCTAGCAACTCATACATAGTTAATTTTATTTTTATCTTTGGATATTTTTCAGCTTTTTAAGAGACTGATAAATAAAGTAATGACATATACATATCCTTTGCTTAGAACTTTATCCTATACTGGCAAAAAAAAAAAGGAATAAAAATTGTGTTTTTCTTTATCACACCCCTCTGTCCTCAAGTTGACTTCACATGCAGTGTATTAAGCCTCCCCACACCTAACTGCCTCCACCTCCCACTACACCCTGGCTCAGCCACATTGCTGCAAGCAAGCCAATGTATCACCCCCTACACATGACTCACCCTCTGGAGCCTCTGAACCATCACATGTGCCATTACCCCAACCCAGAATCATAGCCTCGGTTCTCTCTGCCAAACAGCATCTCCCCTGTTTCAAAACTCTGTTCAACACTCCCATCCTTCAGGAAACCAGTCAGCAAGATTTGTTGAGCACTCACAAATCTAGAGGGTGGAGGAAGGAGGGCTGGAAAACACATTTAAAAAGACATAAAAACACTTATTAAGAAAACATTCAAACACGTAAGACTCTGCAACTGTATATAACTTTAATCAAAAGGGCTGAGGGCATGATGATTTGAATGGAATGAATCCTACCTAACCTAGGACCCTGAAAGCACTTGTCTATTTCTCAATTAATTTATAGTTTTCATATGATGTGGGTTACGATGCCAGTTTTTGTAAGATCCTAGATATCTTTTAATAGGTTTCTATTACTTATATAGATTTGTTTATACAAATAAGTTGCTTGAAGGCAGAAGCTGTCTCCTTCCATAGTTTGGTGCCAAAGGCGAAGGCTCAGTGAATGTTGATTGACCCATAGTTAAATGCACATTGTATAGAACTTTTTGTTTTATATGACTGGACAGGTTTAGTTTAGTTTTGTTTTGGGTTTTTGGGTTTTTTTTTTTTTTTTGGCGGTGGGGGGGATTCCTTGAATGTCTCAAAATCTCTTTCAAATGTTTTGGGTTCAGCCACCACACAAAAAATGTTTTGCCAAGTCCTCTTCCCTTTATTTTTGAATCCATATGCATTTTTGAAGGAAATATGACCCGTGTGTTTCTGATTCATTTACACTTAACTCATCAAGATGGTGTTTTGTAAGAGCAGTTTGATGCCCAATAAGTTTTTTTAACCTTTTTATAAGCCATTTAAGTCCTTTTTTATTGAACAGGAAAGTCACCAACAAATTCAAACCCCAGAAGTTTTATTTGAAGCTCATAACCCACAGGATTCAAATTTACTTTCAACTTGGCAAGACCATTTAACTTCCAAGGTTCTTCCTAGCCCCTTGGTTCAGTATTCTCTCATTTTGAATTCCTCATTAGCTTCAGATACCAATGATGTATTTTTAAAAGTGCCATTCCTGTTTTTCATGTTATTTGATTATACAATCAATTTTCTGTCTAACATTCTCATTAGAAAGTTTAAAACGGGGAAACTTCACTGGACATGGGGAAAAAAATCACTGGCCAATGATGTTGGCTAATTCTCCATTGGGAGAAAAAAATAAATGGTGAAGAAGTGGGGAACAAGTTAAAGGAACCATTAGCAGGTCTTCAGGGCGTTCATATCTGCTTTCAATTGCAGTCTTCTAAGGAGAAAGTCAGAGCTGTACACTATGAACCTCCAGAATGTTTTTGGTATTTGTTTTATCTAACATCTAACAAAAATACCTTCCATGTTCAAGGCACTATGCAGAATCAGATAGCATATATAGGGCCCTTATGTAATGCCTTTTTATTGCAATTTAGACCTTGGATTTTGTAACCTGATAAGCAACAACATCATTTCTGTTCAGTATAGCTTTCTCAAGTCTCTGGTGATTTAGATCCTCTCTCATAAAGTATATTCTTCTCAGGAAAGGAATCTTATATTCAGAATGATTTATAACAAATATTATGAGTGCATGGCATGTGCATGTGTGTTATGCATAAATTACATGGTTCCCAGACTATTTTGTAGGTCACGGTTGCCGCTTTTCTAAGAAGTGAAAGTCAGCCATTGTGCTGTACTACACTGTCAGGGTCTGTTATCTGAGGTAAAATGATTGCTTCTAAGACATTTTTATGTGTCCACATGAGTGGCCACACATTGAGGGATCATTTTCATTTTCTGTCAAGATAGAAACCATTACCAATTTGTTATGTTTTCTTTTACTTGGCAAATTATTCTATTCGCATTTTTGGCTGAGCTGCTGTATTGGCATGGTATACAACAGACATTTGGGTACCATTCAGCAGCATTATACTTTTTATGTAAAAAAAAAAAAAAAAAAAAGAGAGAGGGAGAGAAAGAAAAGAAATATGATTCAATTGTAAACAGTGCGTATGGTGTTTGAAAATTATTCCCAGATTTCACTAACAAGGCATTTAAAGAAGTGTTATTAGTAGATCTAAACTGAAATGCATGATAGAAATTTTTCACTCAGAATTACTAGGATTCCTCCTTTGTTCAGATATACACTGCCAATATTTAGTGATAGTGATGGTACCAGATTCCAGTTTAGCAGGTAGAGTGGTCTCTTTGTCACTATATTCCTTAGTCCCACAGTATACAGACTCATATAGCTGTAGACCCTTCTTTGAGCATGGATTTTATGAAACCGATTAGACACATGGCAGGAGGAATTTGCCCAGGGATTCATATGACCATATGGATGAAGTCCATATGCCAAATTGGGTTTGGTTAGATGAAGCTTGGTGAGCTCCCAAAAAAGTTACAAGAAAGATAGCCACCTGCTCCTTACACAACAAAATTGGCATTTCTAAGGAGAGGAGAAAGATTAAATCTATGTGAATAGGCTTCGATCTTATGCACATTAACTCTTCACTACTATGTTTCATTGAAAATTTCTTTCCAGATTGTTAATTCTAAGATTAACTTGAAACATTACAGCACATATACAAGATAAAATAATAAACAGTATAATGGTCTGTCTGCCTTCTTCCTCTTTCTCTTCTTCTTTCTCTCCCCTCCGTCACTTTCTTCCATAGTACATACGGTATTTAGTATTATAAAAATTTGAAAAAATACCAACAATTGCATGGTTGCCTCAAGTAAATATTTTACTGATTATTATATAACTAAAAGATGTTCATTGTGGCCAGGCATGCTGGCTTATGCCTGTAATCTCAGCACTTTGGGAGGCCAAGGCAGGTGGATCACTTGAGGTCAAGAGTTTGAGACCAGCCTGGCCAACATGGCGAAACCCCATCTCTACTAAAAGTACAAAAATTTGCCGAGCATGGTGGCGGGTGCCTGTGGTCCCAGCTACTCAGGAGGCTGAGGCACGAGAATCGCTTGAACCTGAAAGGTGGAGGTTGCAGTGAGCCGAGCTCATGCCACTGCACTCCAACCTGGTTGACAGAGCAAAACTCCGTCTCAAAAAAAAACAAAAAAATGTTCACTGTGGAAAAATCAGAATGCAGACACACTCAAAAAAGGTAAATGAGAATTACCTATGATCCCAAACTCAAAGATAAATACTGTTAATTTATACATATCAATTTATATATTTATGCTATTTACATCAAATATGTAAAAGTATATTTTTATACATGTTAATTTATATCTGTCCAGGTATTTCTATGCACATACATATTTTAAACAGAAATTAGATCATATAGTACTACAGCTTTATAACTTGCTTTTTTTCTCAGCAATATGCAGTGACTACTTTTCCTTATCATGTATAATTTTATGATGTAATTTTTATCTTTTGTATTATGACCATCATATTCCACTATATGATGAACCACAAATTTATTTGACCATGTTGTTGGATATTTAAACAATGCTGTAACATCCTTGTTTCTATGTCATTGCCCATTTTCTTAGGATAAATTTCTAAAACTAGAATTGCTTTCTCAGTAAGTACACATGTTGACTTCTGCTAAATATTTTCAAATGGCTTTCACAAAATGTCATTCTAATTTGTACTCCAAAGTAAATACTTGTCTTTAGGGCTATTAGAATCTCAAGAATTAATTAAGAATCCTTAAAGAGCTTTAGTGAAAGAGATTAATGTTTTAGAAGAAATGCTTTGCCTTCTTAAATTTTTTAAAAATAAAAACAGTGTGGTTTGCTTCTGTTTTTCATAAAACTATACAAGTTTCAACTTAGCTCCTCTTCTTAGGAGCCTTATCTCCAAGTAGTCTTGTTCTTGGTTCTGAAAAATTCTCCTTCTACGATAACCCTATGGGTTAAAACTTCTGGATATGGATTTTTTTCAGTTTTATTATTGCACTTTGGCTAATGTTAAAAGTCAATTTTAGCCATCAGTCAGACAGTTTGCATCTGCTAGAGATTGAAGTTCTGAGAACCAAGGTTTGGCTTAAAGAAGTTTTAAAGCTTTCCTTTGGAGTTAGCATAGTGCAGAAGCAACAACTACCAGCTGTCTGTATCCAAAACAGTGAAATCTTAATAATACAGATGTAAAAAAGAGATTATTGACTTTTAGACCCAGTCAGACCTCATTATAAGATACCATGAAAGAACATAGCTTCATCTCATTGCTTATACTAGCAAAGCTTTCAATACCTTTTATATGTAATACATACTGTAATTTGTGTATATAGTTTAATCATGTATTGAATGAAGGGTGAAATGACAACAAATGAATTTTTGTTTTTTTGAGACAGAGTCTCACTCTGTTGCCCGGGCTGGAGTGCACTGGTGCAGTCAAAGCTCACTCCAGCCTCAAAGTTCCAGGCTCAAGTGATCCTCCACCTCAGCCTCCCAAGTAGCTAAGACCACAGGCATACACCACCATACTCGGCTAATTTTTTTTTTTTTTAAGATAGCATCTCACTATGTTGCCCAGGCTGATCTCGAACTCCTGGCCTCAAATGATCTTCCCGCTTCGGCCTCCCAAAGTGTTGGGAGAGTGTTTCAATTATTTTCCCCTTCATTCCAACAGGACATTGTCAAGCACAGTTTAGTATAGATGAACACAAATACAGCTCTAAGGGTGGAGACTGTGAAAATAATGAAGGCCCAAGTTAGCTAAATGAACTTAGCCAACTTCACCCTTTAGTATTAGGCAGTGGAACTCAAATTATTGTCTCTGGGCCCTTTACACCAGGGGTCCCCAACCCCCAGACTGCAGACTGGTACTGGTCCATGGCCTGTTAGGAACTGAGCCGCCCAGCAGGCAGTAAGCAGCAGGCAAGCGAGCTTTACTGCCTGAGCTCCACCTCCTGTCACATCAACGGCGGCATTAGATTCTCATAGGAGCGCAAACCCTGTTGTGAACTACACCTGCGAGGGATCTAGGTTGCATGCTCATTATGAGACTCTAATGACTGATGGTCTGAAACAGAACAGTTTCATCCTGAAATCAACAGCCCCTCACTCCCATTCATGGAAAGACTGTCTTCCACAAAACTGGTTCCTGGTGCCAAAAAAGGTTGGGGGCCACTGCTTTACACTGCTAAAAATTCCTGAGAACTCCAAAGAGCTTTTGTTTATATGGAATATATCTATTAATAATATGTTATAAACAACATACTTTAATTTAAAAAAATTATGCCTGCAAAACAAAAAATTTAGTGATATGAGTGGCATTGTTTTACATTTTTTTGTAAATCTCTGAAATCTGGCATGATAGGAGCATATCTGCTTTACTCTGTTTTATCTCACACTTCATGTATTCTCTGAAAAATTCCACTGTACACTCATGAGGGGATAAGAATGAAATAGACAAACAAGTGTCTTAGTATTCATACAAAAAGAAATTTGACCTTGCAGACACACAGGGGTCCCCGAGTCACACTTTGAGAACCGCTGGGACAAGTCATCTCTGGTCATTGAGTGTGTAATGATGGTCCTTTTTTAATCACAGATTATGACCCAATCTATAGGTCCTGGGAAGCTTTTTTCCAGGTCCCAGTTTGTGATCCTTGTTCTCAAGTAGAAGCAACATGGTACTTTCTGAAATAAATGTACCCGTTGTCACTGGCCTAGGCCTGGTACAACAGAGTACTAATTGTTTCCTCATCAACCCTTTTCTGGTCCTTAACTGTTTTGAAGTGGTCTGTGACATGGCATTTGGTTTTATGTTCTTGTTTACTTTTCTAAATTTTTTCTCACACAAAGTAGTATTTAAATATATTCTTTTACTTTTGTTGTTGTTGTTGTTGTTACAGAGTTTTGCTCTTGTTGCCCAGGCTGGAGTCCACTGACAAGATCTTGGCTCACTGCAACCTGTGCCTCCCCAGGTTCAAGTGATTCTTGTGCCTCAGCCTCCCGAGTAGCTGGGACCACAGGTGCGCACCACCACGCCCGGCTAATTTTTTGTATTTTTAGTAGAGATGGGGTTTCACCATGTTGGTCAGACTGGTCTCGAACTCCTGACCTGAGGTGATCTGCCCGCCTCAGCCTCCCAAAGTGCTGGGATTACAGGCATGAGCTACCACACCTGGCCTTTAGTTGTTTTCATTCTTATATTTGTGCCTAGCCTCTTCAATTCACAAAATAATGTCCTACTGATTCTAAGTGCTTCACATGCACTTGACTCTATGGGGTAGGTATTATTTATTATCTTTATTTACACATGAAAGAACTGAGGCACAGTGAAGTTAAATAATTTATCTGCTTTTTGGTCCTCATAGTACCGTATCCAGTGCCTGGTTCATAATGGGCTTTCAAAAAATATTTGTTGATGTTATGTGCATCAAGATCTGTCCCATGGAAAACAATGGTTGGCTATGTACCATACTGTTACCACTGGTTAGCTGGAGATGCAGGTGGGAGGATAACAGGTACAAATGGGCATGGAAAGAAGGTATAATTAACTTCTTTAAATGTCTTTCAATCATTTCACTTGTTACAATGAGCAATCCAGTAGTAATTTTTAATCTGTCCCGTACTTGCTTGCCTTCTGTATTTTCTTTTGGATGAAATGTCTGTTCAAGTCTTTTGCCTATTTGGGAATTGGATTTGTTTTCTTACTGTTGAGTTTCAAGAGTTCTCTGTATAATCTACATCCAAGTCTTTTTTGGGATATGTTATTTGCAAGTTTTTTATCAGATATGTGATTTTTCTCCAATAATATTTTTCACGGAGTAAAAATATTTAATATTGATTAAGTCCAGTTGATTGATTTATTTCCTTTTACAGGTTATGCTTTTAGTGTTATGTCTAAGAATTCTTTGCCCAACCTAAAGTCACACAGATTTTTTCCTAAGTTTTCTTTTAAACATTTTATAGTTTTACATTTTACAATTAGATCTATTATCCATTTTGAATAAATTTTTGTATAAGGTATGAAGTTTAGGTTAAGGTTCATTTTCTTCATATGGATGTCCAATTATTCCAGTACCATTTGTTAAAAAGACTTTGAACTGACTTTGCAATTTTGTCAAACACAGTTGGCTATATTAATATGGGTCTTTTCTTGGACTCTCTATTCTGTTGCATCAATCTGTGTCTTTATCCTTTCACCATTACCACATTTTCTTGATTACAACAGATTTATGGTAAATTTTGAAATGATTCTTCCAACTCTCTTCTTGTTTTTTTCAAAATTGCTTTGGCTATTCTAGTTCTTTTGCCCTTTCCATAAAAGTTTTAGAATCAGTTTGTCTATTTCTACAAAAAAATTCTGCTGAGATTTTTATTTGAATTTCATTACGTTTATTGATCAGTCTGAGGAGAATTGACATCTTTACTATGTTGAGTTTTCCAATCCATAAACATGATTATGTCTCTCCATTTATTTAGGTCTCCTTTGATTTGTTTCATCAGCATTTTATAGTTGTTAGCAGTACCCTACACATGTGTTTTTGGATTTAAAACCATTTCCTTGTTTGTGGAGCTGTTATAAATAGTATTTTTTTATTTTGGTTTGCAATTGTTTGTCATTGTTATACAGAAATATGATTGGTTTTTGTTTGTTGGCCTGGTACCTGCAACATTGTGAAACTCACTTACTAGTTCTAGGTTTTTGGATTTTTTTGTTGCTTTTTGTTTTATATACAGGCAGTTTTATTTCTTTCTTTCTACTCTGTATGACATGTATTTATTCATTTATTTATTTTTGCTCTACTGCTCTGGCTAAGACTTCCAGTATGAAGACAAATAGGAGTGGCGTGAGTAGACATTCTTCCTTTGTTCCCAGTCTTTGGGGAAAAGCCTTCAGTCTTTCACCATTAAGTATGGGCTTTTCATAGATGTCTTTTACCAGTGTATGGTTTGGCTCTGTGTTCCCACCCAAATCTCACCTTGAATTGTAATCCCCATAATCAAGGGCAGGACCAGGTGGAGGTGATTGGATCATTGGGATGGTTTCCCCCATGCTGTTCTCATGATAATGAGTGAGTCTCAGGAGATCTGATGGTTTTATAAGTGGCTGACATTTCTTCTGCTTGCATTTCTCTCTCCTGCCACCACAATAAAGAAGGACGTGTTTGCCTCCCCTTCCAACATGATTGTAAGTTTCCTGAGGCCTCCCCAGCCATGTGGAACATGAAAACATAAGTTTTCAACTCATTTGAGTAGATATCAAAAAGCAAACACTGGATTGTAAGGATACATTTAGTTTTGTAAGAAACTGCCAAACTGTCTTCCAAAGTGTCTCTACCATTTTACATTCCCACCAGCAACAAATAAGAACTTCTATTATTTCACATCCTTACCAGTGTGTTGAACCAGCTTTGTGTACCTGGGATAAATCCCACTTGGTCATGGTATATAATTCTTTTTATACATTGTTGAATTTGATTTTCTGATATTTTGTTGAGGATATTTGAATCTATGCTCTTGAAAGATATTGGTTTGTGGTTTTCTCTTCTTCTAATCCCTTTGTTTGGTTTTTGTATTAGGATAATGCTGACTTCATAGAGCAAGTTAGAAAGTGTTCCCTTTGCTTCTGTCTTCTAGAAGAGATTGCAAAGAACTGGTATAATTTCTTTCTTAAATGTTCAGTAAAATTCATCAGTGAACCCATCTAGACCTGATGCTTTTTGTTTTATCAGAGCCCCCCCCGGACTGGGCCCCCAGGAGTTTCTTACTGTCATGCTAATCCACACTCAGCTTCCTGCAGTTCATTAAAATTACCACTTAAGCATTCCTACCAGTTTATGGCTCCAGTAGCATTTGTTCCAGGTAAGCTGATCTGGAAAATGATTCTCTGTAGTTGCCTGTATTTCCAGATTTGGGGATGGCACTTTACCCTATGACCTCAACTCTGTAATACATCTAAAAAAAATCATTTTTTTCCAGTTTGTTTAGCTTTTTTCTTGTTGCAAGGATGAATTGATGACTTTCAAGCTCTTTACATGTTAGAAGTGAAACCAGAAGTGCCCTCCCTTTTTTATTCTTCAGTTTCCTCTGTTTTGTTTTGTTTTGTTTTGTTTATTTTTATTTTTTATTTTTTTATTATTATACTTTAAGTTTTAGGGTACAGGTGCACAATGTGCAGGTTAGTTACATATCAGTTTCCTCTTTTTTGCATTATTTTGGATTATTTGAGCATTTTTTAGCATTTCCATTTAATTTATCTATTGTGTTTTTGACAGTATCTGAATAGTGTTTTGTTTCACTGATTGATATAGGAATTACAATATACTTTTTAAACTTTTCATAGTTTATTTAGAGTTAATATTTTATCATTTCAAGACGAATATAGAATTCTTACATGTATGTAGGTCCTTTTACCTCTTCCCTTTGTATTCTAGCCAATTTGTGTATTACATCTACATATATTGAGAATCCCCTCAGAAAAATGTTAATAATTTTTGCTCTCAGCTGTCAAACACATTTTAAGGAACTCAACAGGAGAAGACTCTGTTATATTTACCCAGATATTTACCATTCATGTTACTCTTTCTTTATTCATGATATTTCAGGTTTCCTTCTGGTATTATTTCTCTTCTAGCTAAAGAACTTCCTTGAATGATGATTTTAGAGCAGATCTACTGGCCACAGATTATTTTAGTTTTCCTTCACTTTAGAATGTCATTATTTAACCTGCATTTCTGAGGGATATTTTCACTGAATACAGAATTATGGGTCAACAGTTCATTTCTTGCATCACTTTAAAGATGTTTGTTCCACCAAATTCTGTTCTGCATGGTTTCTTTTGGAAAATCTTTACTTATTCAAATTGTTGTTTCCTTATAAATAATGCATTATTTTTCTCTACGATTTTTTCATCTTTTGTTCTTGCAAGTTTGATTTGCATGAGTAGGTATAGATTCCTTTGGGTTTACTATGTGTGATGTTGGCTATGCTTCTTGAATCTGTAGGTTTGTGTCTTTCACCAAATTTGGGAGGTTTTTAGACATTATTTCTTAAATTATTTTATCCTCAACACATTCCTTCTTCTCTATTCTAGGACTCTAGTGACATGAATTTTAGACCTTTGGTGTTCTCTGTCACCTCCATTCTGCTACTGAGCCCTTGCAGTGGGTTTTAAATTTTGATTATTGTATTTTTCAGTTCTAAAACTTTTATTTGTATTTATTTTTATGTTGAAGCTTTCTGTCTTCTCATTTATTTCAACAGTGTTTGCCCTTCTTTCAGCTTTTTTACAATAACTGTTTAAAAGTCTGTGTCAAATAATTCCAGTGCCTGTTATCTCAGTATTAGCATCTGTTGATTGTCTTTTCCCGTGCAAGTTAAGATTTGTATGATTCTCTTATGCCAAGTAATTTTTTTTTATTGTATCCTAAACATTTTGAATATTATGAGTCTCTGGGTCTTATTTAAATCCTATGAAAAATGTTATGTTATAGCAGACAACCCATTTGGGTTCAGGCCACAAGTTCTGATCACCCTTCTGTGGGATTTGGTTTCAATCTTAGTCTTGTTCTCAATGCATTTGCATTGCTATTTGTATCTGTCCCATGTATACGCCACCCGCTGTCCAGCGTGGGACCTGGCTGTTAGACTATTTTTTTTTTTTTTTTTTGAGACGGGGTTTTACTCTTGTTGCCCAGGCTGTAGTGCAATGGTGCAATCTTGGCTCACTGCAACCCCCACCTCCCGGGTTCAAGAGACTCTCTTGCCTCAGGCTCCTGAGTAGCTGGAATTATAGGCATGCGCCACCGCATGTGGCTAATTTTGTATTTTTTAGTAGAGACGGGGTTTCTCCATGTTGGTCAGGCTGGTCTCGAACTCCGTACCTCAGATGATCCACCCACCTCATCCTTCCAAAGTGCTGAGATTACAGGCATGAACCACCACGCCAAGCCTAGACTATCTTTTAGTTAAGTTCTCAGAGTCTTTGATATGCAGTTTAGCATTGGATTGACACATGCACTGACTTTATGGATTCCCTTTTCCCTTTACAGTCTCCTCAATACCTTCTATTGTCGTGGGCCTCCCCTTTTCTTCCTCCAGCCAGAACGTTGGATCTTTAGTTACACTGTTCTACCATGCACTTTTTGCAACTGTGCCCTCATTCAGAGCCATGCTGGGATAGAAAAGAAAGGGGGAAAAGCAGCAGGGTTTTATCCCATTCTCTTGGGGCCACAGCTTCTCAGAGTTGTTTATCAATACTACCATTTTTCCAAACCCCTTTGGAGATTCTCACATATGTACTGTTCTGCTTTTCCTCTTTTAAGATTTCTGTATAACTAGTGAGTTGTCTCAAACTGGCTTATGCCAAATTGTCTCATGTAGTAGGCTATCTCATTTCTTTCAGGTTCTGTTAAGATCCTTTTTTAAAAAACAAACATTTAGATGGTACTGAATAATTCTCAGCATGAGCAAATTTTTTTCTTTAAAAAAAGATTTCTTAATAGTTGGCAATGAATTGCTATTAGAGAGAATAATGTATTTCTTGGGAAAAGCACTGTGCCTTGATATGGTTCACCAGAGAGAAGTTGAAAAACAGTACCTTAGGAACATCCTCAAATCACAAAAGGTGATCACCAAACTGCTATCTTGAGATAAGAAGAAAGGGAGGGATTGGTATTGAGAGGTGCAGTGGTTGACATGACCTATCTCCAGGATCTCTTAACAGCCTTCAGTAAAGTTGTGCTCTTGTGGGTGCTGTTTGGTTGGAGACTCAGGATGGCAGAGATTCAAATTATTTTTGCATGGTGTAGGCCAGAGGAAGCTAGAGCACAAGAGGCAAAGGAGGCCTGATGATCATGAGACATGCTGACAATTAGCAGAAATTCTTTGGAGAGATTTAGATTTCTGTGGGGTGTGGAGGGGTACAGAGATCCCCAGCTGACAGATGGTGCATAATAGGCTAGTACCTGATGCTTAAATCAAGCTAATAAAAGGTATTTGGCTCAGTTAATCTGAGAAAAAAAAAAAGCAATACTGGTAGTTCATGGAGTCAAAAGGAGAGTGTATTTTACTCTAAAAGCTTGTTGCTAAATAATCTCTAAGGAAGTCTATCTGTTTTCTATTCACTAGTTATAAAGTACTCCCTCTTGTTCTTCTTGCCAAGAATTTCAACTGAATGATCAACTGCAAGACAAATATTCATTCATCAACTTTTGGAGAGTAATATTTTCACTAGTTACTGTCATTATGCTTTATGTAGCCTTTATCAGAGCTCTAGAGTTTTTATTTGTTTTTTTTTTGTTTTTTTTTTTTTTGTTTTTTTTTTTTTTTTGAGACGGAGTCTCGCTCTATCACCCAGGCTGGAGTGCAGTGGCGGGATCTCGGCTCACTGCAAGCTCCGCCTCCCGGGTTCACGCCATTCTCCTTCCTCAGCCTCCCAAGTAGCTGGGACTACAGGCGCCCGCCACTACGCCCGGCTAATTTTTTTGTATTTTTAGTAGAGACGGGGTTTCACCGTTTTAGCCGGGATGGTCTCGATCTCCTGACCTCGTGATCTGCCCGCCTCGGCCTCCCAAAGTGCTGGGATTACAGGCGTGAGCCACCGCGCCCGGCCGAGTTTTTATTTGTTTAGATGTCATCCTTAATTCAGAAACTTTTCTCTAATTTCCAGTATAGGAAATTGTATTATCTGTTTTCTTACAGTCCAGATACTGAGCCTTTTGTACTCATTAAACTGCTGCTGTCATACAACCCTTACCCTACTTTATCAATTAATAACTCTAGACAACATGCTTCTTTTTCCCTAAGATGTCATTTAAACATGTAGAGCCCATGGCAAGTAATTATTAATCCTTAAGCTTTCTATGAATACTTATCTAGTGATATTAAAATCTTTCAATGGCATTAATGCTATAGCACAGTATTTATGGGCTCAGTTTATTCATATAGGTCAGATTAACTCAGTTTGCATATTTTGAAAACTATTCCTTATTTATTTAATAAATGTTTTTAATGGAAATAATGTGTGAGGTGTGGGATGTGGAGTAAAGTTAGACATGACACTCATTCCCATTGATTTATTACAGTATAATATCCCAAGTGAGATAAGATATCATTGTAAGGAAGAAGGTTTCTGCTTAGAAACAGATATTGGGCGTAAATTATGAACTGCTTTCACAGTCATTGGCAAGAAACCTTGCATTCACTTAGGATTCTCAACTCTGCTGATGTGGTTTAATCCTTCCTGTGTAACTTGGGATTGTTATCCTTTTGTTACCTAAGAGGAAACTTCAGGTTCAAATACCACAGGAGGTAGTGGGTAGTAACCTGCCAGAGATAGGAATGCAGGGCTTTTGGGGATAGTACTCTCCAATGTCCCTTCAATACATGTTAGATATTTACCTGACCAAAAAGAGGTTTCTGAATTCTGCTATTGTTTGTTTAACTCAAGTTGGAGTCTTTAGGTCAATTCACTACATTAAAACAAATGGAGGCTGGGAGCTGTGGCTCACGCCTGTAATCCCAGCACTTTGAGAGGCTGAGATGGGAGGACCACTTGAGCCCAGGAGTTTGAAACCAGCCTGGGCAACATAGCAACACACCATCTCTACAAAACAGATTTAAAATTAGCTAGGTGTGGTGGTGTGCATCTATAATCCTAGCTACTCAGGAAGCTGAGGTCGGAGGATCACTTGAGCCCAGGAGTTTGAGGTTACAGTGAGCTATGATCATGCCACTGCACTCTAGGCTGGGCAACAGAGACCCTGTCTCTAAAAAACAATAAATAATACTTAAAACAAAATAAAAACCAACGGAAACCAATTAAAGGTTTTAAATGAACAAATTTGCTCTGCCCCAAATTGTATTTATATTTCATAAGTTTTTTTATTTTGGCATTTCCGAAGAATTACCTTAATGTGAGGTCCCTTCATTTATTTTAAAACCACTTGTTAAGGGTATTTGGGCCAATTATCAGTTAGTCAGATTAGTTAATAAAATTATACAGAATAACCGACATACTAGGAACCACTTATGCTTGACTAAAGTAAGTATATATCCTTTTCGTGCTTTTTCACTCTAACTCTTCTACGGGTAGTAGGAGATGAAGGTGACTCTAGATCCCACCAAGTCATTTTTTAAGCAAATATTTGTATGTGCTATATTTCAGACACTGCTAGGACCTTTATCCTACCTCATCTCATTTTACCTTCAAAAGAGCCTCATAGGGCTCATAACTTAGGGACTAGCTGTCGCAGATTTGTTTCTCACAGATCCTTCAGATAATTAGCACTATTTCCATGTGATAAATGAGGAACTCTGTAGTTCAAAAAAATTAGGTTATCTGCCCAAGATCCTATGGCAATAAATGGTGAGATTGTTTGTCACACCAGTGAGCCTATGCTGTTTCCAGAATACCAGCTTCTACCAGCAGTGATTCTAACCCGAAGTACTAATCACTAGGACAAGGAAGAAAAAAATTAACTTGACTTTCAGAGGCCTTTGATTCTAAATAACAATATTCATCTTCTGGAGCTAGTTACAGCATATATCACCCATTCTCATCTTTGGAATACTTTCTACACTTTTTTTTTTTTTCTTGAGACAGAGTATCGCTCTGTTGCCCAGGCTGCAGTGCAGTGGCGCTATCTCGGTTCACTGCAAGCTCCGCCTCCTGGGTTCACGCCATTCTTCTGCCTCAGCCTCCCACGTAGCTGGGACTACAGGCGCCCGCCACCACGCCTGGCTAATTTTTTTTTTTTTTTTAATAGAGACAGGGTTTCACCATATTAGCCAGGATGGTCTCGATCTCCTGACCTCATGATCCACCTGCCTCAGCCTCCCAAAGTGCTGGGATTACAGGCGTGAGCCACTGCACCCTGCCACTTTCTACACTTTTTTAAAGAAGTGTACCATCATGGAGGTACATTCCATGGAGGTACAATTACTCGAAAATAATCATTCTTTTGCTCCACTGAGAGTTCTGAAACCAAAACCTACTCTGTAATTCCACACATTGAATTATTACCTAATTATACAGTGGGCTGTCTAATCAGAATGCCTGGGTTCAAATCCCTGCTCAGTGACCTAAGCAAGCAGCCTAACTTCTAAGCCTCAATTTCTTCACCTGTAGAGTAGAAATAACAATATCTACCTCAGAGTTATTATTAGAATTAAATGAGATAATTCATGGAAAGCACTCAGTATAGTGCCTGACCCTTAGAGAGTGCTCAGGAAATAGTAGGTGTGAGAGAGGGAAGTGGGGGTGCATGGTACTAGGGTAGTATTGGTAAGGCTTGACATGTTACTCAAGCAGCACAAACTAAGCATTCTAAATTAAATTGTCAAAACATTAGTTATACAGTTCTCTTGATCTAATAACCTCTAAGTAATATTTGAAAAAAAGGCAAATGTTAATTTACTTCAGTTATGTTATCTATGACCTAGAAGGAATGTAGACATATTCAATAAATTTGCTAGTGGTACTAGAAGGTTCTGTTTTATAAGCTGTTAAGAAAAGGAGAAAAGTGTAGCCCTGTTTAAAAAAAAAGAAGTTCTTTAGCTGAATCCAGATTACAAAATGCGGAGGCTGGCAGACTTAGCTACTATAAATTTAGCATTCATAGAGAAAGAGGAGGAGAGTGGACAAGATTACCTTTTCTATGTTGGGAATATATAGTCATGGATTCTGGACTCTCTCCAGAATCTTTTTATTTCTTTTTTTTTTTAAGCTGACAAGAGCATCTTGGAACAGAGAAAAGCTATGCATTCATAAGTTATTTATTTCTATTGGAAAGAAAGTTTAAGGAGCAAAGTTCCTTGGGATTAGCATAATGTAGTTAAAAAGCCAATTCACCATAGTTGTTACATATGGCAACGAAGCCAGTGCAAAGACAGTTGCCCTTATACACTGGCAACCAAGAAACTACAAATAAGCATTCTGATACTGTAACCATATCTGAAAAGCAGGATACAAAAACCCCAGTAGTAGGATTTCAGGTGAAGCTTTGTGAAAGAAGATGCATAATTTCTACATAGTTGTCTGTATTTCTTTAAAGGTAGTTTTAAACAATGTCATTTTCTTTTAAGAAGTTATTAAATGAAATTAATAATAATTATCATAGTGAATTTTTCAAATACCTAATTTGTGTTTATATGTATTGTTCAACATATAAAACATTTTAAAGAAAGAAAAAATCACTGGTAGTCAGATTATCATCATTGTTTTTGTCTACCCTCTCATACATTAATATATAGATGCTTTTCCCAAGAACAGAATCATGCCATACCTCCTTTTTCTCCCTTTCTCTTTTCAGTATACTGTCAACATTTTTCACATTATTAAATATTCTTTTGTAACATCTCTTTTGATGGTTATATAATATTCTATCAAGAGGATATTGCATAATTTAACATGGATCTTTGTGAAGAAATTCATCCCATTTTTAATTATAAGCCTTTCATCAGTGAATAAATTTTTAGTTGATATTTTGTAAATTCATTGTTATTTCCTGCATCAGGTAGGCTTTTAAAAAAACTTTTTTAAAATTGAGACATAATTTACATATAAGACAGCACACAGTTGTTATCTGTTCACTTTGATGAATTTTTGACAATTTTATACACCAATATAAACACCATCAAAACAATGTGTAAAACATTTACATCACCCCAGAACATTCCCCCCATTCCCCTTTCTAGCTAGTCCCCTCCCCACAACCACTTTCTGATTTCTATCAGCTCAGGAATGACTTTGATAAAATTATTACTAGGTTGCACTGTATGAAGTTGAATCATTTATACCTGTACCAGCAATGTATGAAATTGCTAGTTTCTCCTTACCCTAGAATTATGTGTGTACATACTATAATGTGTCATAAATAACAGATATATAGTAATCATTGCCAATTTCTACCTTGTATTAATTTCTATTTATTTGTTTGCTGGTAGTTGAACTTTTTCAGTGTGCTAACTGGCCATTTATATTTCATGGTTGTGGTCACGGTTGTTAATTGTCTACTCTTATGTGTATATCTTTTTTATTTACAAAAGCTCTGAAATTTTTTTTTTTTTTTTTTGAGACAGAGTCTCACTCTGTCACCCAGAGTTTACTGCCAGTTTCAAGCAATTCTCCTGCCTCAGCCTCCCGAGTAGTTGGGACTACAGGCGAGCACCACCACACCCAGCTAATTTTTGTATTTTTAGTAGAGACAGGGTTTCACCATGTTGGCCAGGCTGGTCTCAAACTCCTGGCCTCGAGCGATCCGCCCACGTCAGCCTCCCAAAGTGCTAGGATTACAGGTATGAGCCACGGCGCCTGGCCTATGAAGAATATTATTTTTTGTTTAAAATATTTTTACCAGTTTGTCATTGCCTTACAATTTGTTTATGGTGACTTTGTTTTGTTAACATGGAGTTTTAAATATTTGCATTGCTAAATTTGCTGATCTTTTCCTTCACGATTTCTACCTGGTGTCATTCTTAAGATCTTCATAATCCCAAGATTATATAAATACCTAGTTATATCTTTCAGTAGTATTTTCATGCTTTTTATTTTTAATTTACATCAAAAATCCACCTGGAATTGATTTGCTTTATTATATTAGGTCATTGTTATCATGTTTTTTTTTCTAAATTGTTAGCCACCACAACTGAATAATACCGTGTTTCCCCATGGATATTAAATGTGTTCTTTATCAGAGTAAGGCCTTATGTATATTTTGAGTGAGTTTTATTATTTTACATTGATTTCTTTGTCTATTCTTGTGCCAGTACCTCACTGCTTAATTGTTGTAGCAATGTAATACTGTTTAGTATCTTTTAAGGCAGGTTGAACCTTTACTGTTCTACACTTATATTTTTACTTTGAAAGTTTAAGTGGTAGATGATGTGCTACATTCTTATTTTCTTTTAGTTACCACACCTGGAAAAAGCTTAGACTATAGCTATGGAGTCAATAAAAAGGCCTAATTATTTAACAGGTGGCCGCTACCTGAATTGCAGCCCCAGTGCCAAGAAGGAAATAATTAGTTTTTAGACAAACCCTTCAAAGTAATGGAAAAGATCACATGTGGAAAATAAATAGCATGAGGAATAAAAAGGAGTGAAATCTAGCATGCTTGATTGCCATTTTCTGGTATGGGCATATAAATGTTTTTATGAGACATTTGATTAGAATTTTTTCCATCTCCCTGGTACACTGAGCAAAAGCACAAAGAATTGACAAAGTTGCAGAAGGTATACCATCTTACTTTCTTCTCTTTTACCTGGTATGTATCCCCAGGACATCTAGGATACCCACATATAAATGCAACTCGCAAAATCCCCCTCCAAAAACATATGTTAATAATCTTTCAAATACCTGCCATTTTGATTTATGAATATCCCTTCTACTTTCTGGTATTCATTCAGGTAATCAAGTTAAATGTAATAGTAATGTTTTATTATTTGCGTACAGATAATGCAATTGATCACAATAAGTAAAACGTTGAGCTGAGGTTTTTTTAGTAGAAATAAAAGTTAAAGTAAGAAACTCTTACTGAGCATTTACAAAGCACCAATCTCCTTTAAACCTATAAGCTAGAAAGTGTTGTTGTGCCCAAATTATACTGGGGAAAAGTCTAGTGCCCAAATTATACTGGGGAAAAGTCTAAGGCACAGAAAGGTTAAGTAATTTGGTCAAGATGTCATAACTAGAAGTGATAGTGTTCAGACATAGCCAATCATGCTTGGCTCAATAGTTTGATTCCATTTGTTTTTGAAGACATTCTCTCTTGTTTGTGATTTTGTATTGCTTATATGTAATATCACATTTTCTGCTAGAAAAAAAATCATTCCTAGTTTATATGGGGAAACATAGTGCATCAGTATTTTTATGGCATTCTACATAGAAATCGTCGCTTTCAGAGGTTCTCCCACCTAAGTAACAGTTTCTCTAAGTTAGCTAGGCTACTTATTTTTCCTATTTTCAGATAAGGCAATGTGATTGTTGGTGTTGTTGTTGTTTTAAACTGTAGTAATAAGGCCAAACAAATGACTTCAGGACTTAATTCACGCTTAGTCAAAAACTGTCTAAGTCCCCTTTAAATTGTAGAAAATGTCAAATTTATATCCCTAATATTATATCCTCTGTATTATTTGAAGAATTAAAATTCAGAAAGTTATTTAAAAGTTTGTTTAACTTGAACAAGAAGTTCCTGCCACATTTACCCCTAATTTTTCATAGGAATATAAATAGTAGAGTGGTTATGAATATGGGATTTGGAGTCAGACCTGAATTTGAATCCCAACTTGGAAACTTACTAGCTGTGGGATCTTGGGCAAATTACATAACCTTTCTAACTCTGTGCCCTAAAGTGTAAACTGGGGATAATAATAGTACCTTTTTGGTAGGTCAGTTTGTGGATTAAATGAAATACTATTTTTAAAGGGTTTAGTATGGTGTCTGGAACAATCCGTGCTCAATAAATGTGTTCTTGTTTTCATCTTCAGTGTAGTCATTATTATTTTTAAGAATTAATTTATCTATATTTGACCACTGTCAGTAGATCTATCAAGATCAGATGATTACAATATATACCATTTCTATAATATTTGACTGTTTTATGACCTTTTCTTAAATTAACTCATAATAACTCTCAGTGATTAACTTAAGGTTGGTTTCTATCATAATTCTTACCATTCTGAGATAAAAAAATTTTTGAGTTTTGATATTTTTTCAGTGGACAATAATGCCTCATTAATGAACTGTAGGCTTTTTCCTTGAGGCTAGTACTAAGAAAAAGTAGGGGAGGGGACACAGATAAAGGAACATTCATTGTAAATAGAATTTAAATATAAAGCAAAAGGATATCATCACTTTGGAGAACATAGAATTATAAGCTCAGTGTAATGTAAATATTTTTATTCCATTCCTCTCTCTTAGCCAAGTTCTAAGGTTGTGATAAAATGAAGCAAGAAGGAATATGATTATAGACCAGGTTCTCTGGTTAGTGTTCATTTTATACAGAACTATAAATAATGCTGCAAAAGACCAACGTGGTCCTTTATAAATAGGTCGTTGTCAGAGTTGCTGACCCTGGAATTATGATTATTTGAATTCTAAACTCCCTGTCCAGTTCCTGAAGTCACCTCTTTTTCTTCCTTTTTCTTCAGGATGAAGACAGCTCTTCTGTCTTAACCCTGCGCTTTCATATGGTTTGCCCTGAAATAAGTTTCTGTCATGTTGGGGAAGTTTGCTTTGTTTGTGGATCTGTTTTGAGAGAGATAGGGAGACAGCCATGTACCCCAGCTGCTTACCAGGCCTTTTTGATAGGGAATCTCATCTTCCCTATGGAAGACAGTTGTTCTGTTAGTCTACTGGCTGTAGGTTAAATGTTATTGGCTGAGCAGTTGCTGAAACCCCAGGGCAGGTGTAAGAATGCATATTACAGATTTGTTCTGGAAAGGCTCTTAAATCTTTCCACCTGTGTCCTGCTGAGTGTTAAGCACAATGTTAGATAGGCAAGAAAGCTGAGAAACTGTGCATTCCCCTGTTGCTAAAGATATTTTGAAACCTACGTCTTTCATATTTACTCCAACAATACTAAATATTTACAGAAGACACTATGAGGATTTCTTTTTTAACTAAGGGATACAAAAGACGTGTTTTAGAGTTAGCCTTTCAAAACTCCAAACTGAGGGGGCAATATAACATTCCTTTAAAGTTCAGAAACAGGAGATTTTTCCATGATAGTGGTGAACAGTGAAAGAAAAGCCACTGGTTTTCATCTTCGTTTTCTTTTTTCAAAAGTCAGTTTCCATTTTCCTTTTTGCTTGATTTTCCTAATGCTCTATTTTTCTATTCTTATTTTTTTGTTCAAGTATTTTAAAATTTTTTGTTCTTATTTTTCTCTTACTGTTGATTTTTAATTTCTCTTTTGAGTTTTTTGTTTTTTTACCATTTGTATCTGCATTTTTCTCTGCTTCCTTTAACTATTTCTGTTTCCTATTCTGAATCTTCTTTCATCTTTTGCTTTTCTCCATTGATCTCTTTCTCTCCTTTGGCCTTTTCTATTACTCAAAGTCATCCCTGCTCTGCTAAACATGAAGAGTTCCAGTGGCCTTATTTTCCAGAACTTTTTTTTTTTACATAGTTTGATCTCTGAGCTCATTCACATTTTGTCTGTCTGTGTCTCTTCATATGAGTTACTGTGATCTCTACTATCTACTTCATGTTGAAAAAAGATTCAGACTTATTTTTTCAGATATGCTTGTACATAAACACTTTTTAATTTATTTCTCCCCCTCCCTTTTTTGTTGATAAATAATAATTGCACATATTTGTGGTGTACATGTGATATTTTGATAGGTGGATACAATGTGTAATGATCACCTCAAACATTTATCATTCCTTTATGTTGGGAACTTTTGAACTCTTCTAGCTATTTTAAAATATACAATAAATTTTTAACCATAGTCACCCTACTGTGCTATCAAACACTAGAACTTACTCTTCTAACGGTATGTTTGTATCCATTAACCAACCTCTCTTTATCCTCTCCACACCACCCTTCCCAGCCCCTGGTAACCATCATTCTACTGTATACTTCCATGAGATCAACATTTCTAGCTCCCACATGTGAGTGAGAATATGCAGTATTTCATCCTTCTCTGCCTGGCTTATTTCACTTAACATCATGGCCTTAGTTCTATCTGTGTTGCTAAAAATGACAGGATTTCATTCTTTTTTTATGGCCAAATGGTATTCCATTGTGTATATGTACCACGTTTTCTTTATCCATTCATCCACTGATGGACACTTAAGTTGATTTTGTTTCTTAGCTATTGTAAATAGTGCTGCAATGAACATGTGGGTGCAGAAGTCCTTTCGATATAATGATTTCTTTCCTTTGGATAGATACTCAGTAGTGGAAATGCTGGGTCATATGGTAGCTCTATTTTTACCTTTCTGAGAAACCTCCATACTGTTTTCCATGGTGGCTATACTAATTTACGTTCACACCAACAGTGTATAAGAGTTACCTTTCTCTGCATCCTCACCAGCATTCGTTATTTGCTGTCTCTTTCATAATGACCATTCTAATTGGGGTGAGATGAGATCTCACTGTGGCTTTGATTCGCAGGTCCCTAATGATTAGGGATAGTGAACATTTTTCTACATACCTGTTGGCCATTTGTATATCTTCCTTTCAGAGATGTCTATTCAGATCCTTTGCCTACTTTTTAACAGGATTTTGGTTTTTTGCTTTTAAGCTGTGTAAGCTCCTTTTATATTCTGGATATCAGTACCTTGCTGGGTGAATAGTTCATAAATATTTTCTACATTCAACAGGTTGTCTCTTTACTCTGTTGGTCATTTCATTTGCTAGGCAGAAGCTTTTTAATTTAATTAAGTCTCATTTGTCTGTTTTTGTTTCATTGCCTGAGGTGTTAACCATAAAATTTTTGCCTGGACCAATGCCCTGAAATGTTTCCCATGTGTTCTCTTTTTATAGTTTTATAGTTTCAGGTCTTATATTTAAGTCTTTAATTCATTTTGAGTTGATTTTTGTATATGATGAGAGATGGAGGTCTAGTTTTATTCTTCTGTATATGGATATCCAGTTTTCTCAGCATCATTTATTGAAGAGGGTGTCTTTTTCCCAAAGTATGTTCTTGGCACCTTTGTTGAAAGTCAGTTGGCTGTACATATGTGCATTTATTTCTGGGTTCTCTATTCTGTTCCATTGGTCTGTGTGTCTATTTTTATAACAACACCATGCTCTTTTGGTCACTATAACTTTGTAGTATATTTGGAAGTCGGAGAGTGTGATACCTCCAGCTTTGTTCTTTGTGCTCGGTATTGCTATGGCTATTTGGTGTCTTTTGTAATTCCATACAAATTGTAGGATTTTTTTTCTATTTGTATGAAGAATGTCATTGGTATTTTAATAGGGATTGCATTGACTCTGTAGATTGTTTTGAATAGTATGGTCATATTAACAACATTAATTCTTTTGATCCATAAGCAGAGGATGTCTTTTCATTTGTTTGTATTCTCTTCAGTTTCTTTCATCAGTGTTTTGTAGTTTTCTTTGTAGAGGTCCACCTTGGTTAAATTTATTCCTAGTTTGGTGTGTGTGTGTGTGTCGCTACTGTGAATGAGATTACTTTCTTGATTTCTTTTTCAGATAGTTTGTCATTGCTCTACAGAAACACTACTGATTTTTGTATGTTGGGCTTTTGTCCTGCAATTTTACTCAATTCGCTTTCCAGCTCTAAAAGTGTTTTGTGGAGTCTTCAGGTTTTTCTACATATAAGTTGATGTCATCTGCAAAGAGAGACAATTTGACTTCTTTTCTGATTTGGATGCATTGTATTTCTTTATCTTGCCTGATTGCTCTGACTAGGACTTCCAGTACCATGTTGAATAAGAGTGGTAAAAGTGGGCATCCTTGTCTTGTTCCAGTTCTTAGAGGAAAGGCTTTCACCTTTTCCCCATTCAGTATGATGTCAGCTGTGAGCTTGTCACAAATGGCCTTTATTATATTGAGGTATGCTCCTTCCGTGCCTAATTTTTTGAGAGTTTTTAATCATAAAAATGTGTTTAATTTTAGCAGTGCTTTTCTTGCATCGATCAAGACAATCATACAATTTTGGTTCTTCATTCTGTTAATGTGATGTATTACATTTATTGATTTGTGTATGTTGAACCATAACTGCATCCCTGGGATGAATCCCACTTGATCATGGTGTGTATTATCTTTTTGATGCGTTGTTGGATATGCTTTGCTAGTATTTTGTTATGAATTTTTGTATCTATGTTCATCACTGATAGTGGCCTGTAGTTTTCTTTTTCTTGTTATGTCCTTGTCTGGTTTTGGTTACCGGGTAGTGATGGTCTCATAGAATGAATTAGGAAGAATTCTTTTATCTTCAATTTTTTGGAATAGCTTGACAAAAAAAAAAATAGTGTGTGTTCTTTATAATTTTGGTAGAATTCAGCAGTAAAGCTTGAGCTTTTCTTTGTTGGGAAATTTCTTATTACTGATTCAATTCCATTGCTTTTTACTGGTCTGCTCAGGTTTTCTGTTTATTCCTAGTTCAATCTCCAGAGGTTGTATGTGTCTAAGAATTTATTCATATTTTCTGTAGGTTTCCAATTTGCTAGCATATAGTTCACAGTAGCCTCTAAAGATCCTTTCTATTTCTGCTGTATTAATTATAATGTCTCCTTCTTTCTCATTTTATTTATTTTGGGCATTTTTCTGTTTTTCTTTGTTAGTCTTGCTAACAATTTATCTATTTTGTTTATCTTTTCAAAAAAACCAACTTTTCATTTTGAAGATTACTTGTATTGTTTGTAGTCTCTGTTGTGTTTAATTCTGTCTAATCTTTATTAATTCCTTTTTTCTACTAATTTAGGGTTTGGTTTGTTTTTGCTTTTTAATTCCTTGAGGTGCATAAATCGTTCTACTTTTTTGATGTTGGTGATTATTGCTATAAGCTTCCTTCCTAGCACTGCTTTTCCTGTATTCCATAAGTTTGGGTTTGTTGTATTTCCATTTTCATTTGTTTAAACAAGTTTATTTTCTCCTTAATTTCTTCATTGATTCAGTGGTCATTTGGGAGCATGTTGTTTAATTTCCATGCATTTGTACAGTTTCCAATGTTTCTTTTGTTATTGATTTCTAGTTTTATTCCATTATGGTCTAAGAAGATAGGTGATATGATTTTGATTTTTTTTTAATTTATTGAGGCTTGTTTTGTGGCTTCAACTATGGTCTATTCTGGAGAAGATTCCATGTGCTGATGAGGAGAATGTGTATCTTCAGCTGTTGGATGAAATGTGCTGTAAATGTCTGCTGGGTTCATTTGGCCTAAGGTGCAGTTTAAATGCAATGATTCCGTATTCATTTTCTGTCTAGATGATCTCTCCAATGCTAACAGTGGGTTGTTGAAGTCTCCAACTATTATTTTACTGGAGTCTATCTTTCCCTTTAGATCTAATAATACTTGCTTTATATGTCTGGGTGCTCGAATGTTGGGTACAAATATGTTTAGAACGTTATATCCTCTTGCTGATTTGATCCCATTATCTTTCTATAATGACCTTTGTTGTCTCTTACAATTTTTGACTTGGAATCTGTTTTATCTGAGATAAGTATAGCTATTTCTGCTCACTGTTTGGTTTCTGTTTGTGTGAAAAATCTTTTTCCATCCCTTCATTTTCAGTCTATACGTGTCTTTACAGGTGAAGTGAGTTCGTTATAGGCAGCATATTGCTGGGTCATTTTTAAATCTATTCAGTCTGGCTTTGCCTTTTAAGCAGCGAATTTAATGTGTTTACATTTGAGATTATTATTGATAGGTTAGGATTTATTCCTGTCATTTGTTCATTGTTTTATAGTTGTTTTGTATATCCTTTCCTCCTCTCTTCGTTTTTTATTATTGCCATTTCCCTTCCCTTTCTTCTTCTCCTATTTTTTGTTGCAGTTTTATGATCTTCTGTAGTGGTAATGTTAGACTCCTTTCTCTTTCTCATTTGTGCATCTTCTCTACAATGAGTTTTATACTTTCATATGTTTTCATGATGGTAGATATTGTCCTTTTGTTTTCAGGTATACGAGTCCCTTAAGCATTTCTTGCAGTTGTGGTCTAGTGGGGAAATCCCTCAATTTTTGTTTGTCTGGAAAAGACTTTATTTCTTCTTCATTTTTGAAATATAGCCTTGCTGGGTACACTATTCTTGACTAGCAGTATCTGTTTTCTTTTAGCATTTTGACTGTATCATCCCAGTCTTTCCCTGCCTGTAACGTTGCTGCTGAGAAATCTGCTGATAGTCTGATATGTATTTTCTTATATGTGACTTGATGCTTTGCTCTTGGTGTTTATAAAGTTCTCTATTTTTATTTGACTTTTTTTTTTTTTTTGGAGACAGAATCTCACTCTGTTGCCCAGGCTGGAATGCAGTGGCATGATCTTGGCTCACTGCAACCACTGCCTCCCCAGCTCAAGCGATTCTCGTACTTCAGCCTCCCAAGTAGCTGGGGTTACAGGCACCCACCACCACACTCAGCTAATTTTTGTATTTTTAGTAGTGACAAGGTTTTACCATGTTGGCCAGGCTGGTCTTGAATTCCTGGTCTCAAGTGATCTGCCTGCCTCGGCCTCCCAAAGTGCCGGGATTTCAGGCATGAGCCAACATGCCTGGCCTTGTCTTTCACTTTTGACAGTTTGATTATAATGTGGCTTTTAGGGTTGAATGTATGTCGCACTCCTTGAGCTTCCTTCCTTCCTTCCTATGCCTCTTGTAAGACTTATGAGTTTTTCTGCTCAGCTATTACTTGTTAAATATGTTTTCTATGCTTTTGCCCATCTCTTCTTCTTCTGAAATTCCCAGAATTCTAGTATTTGGGCACCTCATGGTGTCCCATATGTTGTATAGGCTTTTTTTTTTTTTTTTTTTTGGTGGGGGGGTGGTCTGATTTGGTATTCAAAAGCCATGTTTTCAAATTCAGAAATTCTTTCTTCTGCTAAATCTAGTCTATTGTTGAAGCTCTCAGTTTTTTTGTTTCATTGATTGAATTCTTCAGTTTTAGACTTTCTGTTTGATACTTTTATATGATATCTATCTCGTTGAATTTTTCATTCAGATCATGAATTTGTTTTCTGATTTCTTTGTATTGTTTATCTCTGTTCTCTTGTATCTCACTTAGTTTGTTAAATATCTTTATTTTAAATTCTTTTAGTCATGTCACAATTTTTCCTTTATTTGTTATCTGTTACTGGAGAATTATTGTGTTCCTTTGAGGATGTTGTGTTTCTTGCTTTTTCATGTTTCTTGTGTCCTTACTTTTATATGTGCACAGCTGGTCTACCAATTGCTTCTTTCATTTTTATGGATTGGCCTTCAGAGGGAAAGACTTTTTCATATATATATATATATATATATATATATATATATATATATATATACATACACACACACACACACACACACACACTGTTGGTTGGGTAGGGTGCTTCAGCTTTGCTTCTGGGTGGGTGCAGTAGTATAGACTTCTTAGCCTGTAATCAGCTAGTCAGCTTCAGTGTTGTCTGTTGAGTTCCTCAGTGATTAGGCCGCACTTGTTAGTGTAGGCTGTGGTGAGGCTTCTTTGGGTATAGGCACACCAGGTGGGTTGATCCATGGGTACCAGTACTGGCAGTAGCAGGCAGGGCAGGCCTGTCCTCAAGTTCCTAGCTGGCATGCACCAGCACCAGAAGCAGCAGGAGTGGCAAAATGGTACCCAGGCTCCCAGATGGCACATTTAGGCACCCATGGCAGTGGCTATGGGTGGGGCAGATTAATCCCCACACCTCCAGATGGTACTTGCAGGCACTGACGGTGGCAGTGAGGAAGGTTGATCCCTGGGCCCCAGGATGGCATGCTCATGCACATACACCTGTGGCAGTAGCAGGGCAGACTTGTCCTCAGGTCCCACATGACACCTGTGGGCATTGGCAATGGCAGACACAGCATGCTTAACCTCAGGCCCCTGGATGGTACATATGAGTGCCCATAGCAATGGGCAGGGCAGGTCAGTCCCCAGACCCCAGATAATGTGTGCAGATACCACTGGTGGTGACAGATGGGGCAGGCCTGTCCTCAGGCCCCCAGACAACAAGTATAGGCACTAACAGCAGTAGATGAGGCAGTCTGATCCCCTCTTCCCTGGACAACACACACTAGCACTGGTAGTGGGTGAAGTAAACCTCTCTAAACCCTGTAGTTTCTTAATTCCTAAAGAATCTGTGAACAATTATGAAAAGAGAACCCTAAGTTACTTGTAATCAGTAATAGAGAAAAGCCCTAAAATTAAATATTCATAAGGCTTTTCCTAAAAATTACATTTGATAGTTATAAAATATAGAAATAAAAGCATCCAAGTAATATTTTAAAACATACTCTAGAAATCCTAGGAAAATATCAAAAATTTAAAACAAAACAGCCATTTATATTTTAAACAGTAGCCAAAGCAAACCGAGAGTCATAGGAGAAAAACTGGTTTTGATATTTAGTGTTAGTAATGTCATCATTCTTTATATAGCTTGTTTTAATTAACTCATTTGAAATGAATCTAAAGCTTTGTGATTTTTGTGTTGCTTGTGATTTCTTAACATTATAATAAGTGCCAAATGTTTGTTAGCATAGTCAACAATTATCCAGACACTATTTTGTTCTTTGTTTTTCAATAGCTGCAAAAGTACCTGTAAAAGTATTAGTCATATTTAGGCTTCCAAGTTTTCCAGTGAACTAGGAATCTGGCTTCAGCTTGGCAACTAATTCTGAGACCTTTAGTTGCACATTTGTAAAATGGAATACAGGAAGCTAAGTTACTTGCATATTTAAAGAATCCAAGGCTATCTACCAAAAGTTCTGAGAGGTCAGTATTGTGACCAGATACAAAATAAGTACACAAAAAGTCATAGTTGCTCTGAAACAACCACATAATTTTTGAAATTATGAAAACATAATTTTTAAGATTCTAACTCACCAAATATAAATTACCTGGCAATAGCCTTTATAAAGATTTATTAAAATCTTTATGTAAAATTAAGAAAACTGCAACCTATTAAAGGAGTACATTGATATACTATGTTTCTAGAATACTTAATTTTTGACAAAAACCAAATTACCTAAAAATTATTTTATAAACCTAATATAATTCAAATAAAAATACCAGTAGAAGGAGGGAGAGAAACATGCAAACAAATATAGCCACAAAATGTTCTAATAAAAAGAGTAGGGAAACATAATTTCTCACTCCTTAGGTATGGATTACGCATGGTGACTTCCTTTCAAAGTGTACATCATGGAAAGCAAGAAATAAAAGAGTAACTTCAAGCAGAAAAGATAACTGTTAGGTATTGGGCTTAATACATGGATGATGAAATAACATGTACAATAAACCCCCATGACACGTTACCTATGTTACAAACCTTCACATATACCCCCAAACCTAAAATACACGTTTATTTAAAAAGACAGAAAGAAAGAAAGAAAGAAAGAAAGAAAGAAAGAAAGAAAGAAAGAAAGAAAGAAAGAAAGAAAAGAAAGAAAGGAGTAATTTTGCAGTGTAGAAACCTGACAAGCACTACCTCAGTGAAGTGATCAAGGTCAACATTAACAGTCATAAATCATGTTGCTAGTATGTACCCTTGAAACGATGTGATGCTAATGGCATTTTACATCTAAGGCCTTTCTCCCAATAACCCATAAGCCCAGTCTTATCATGAGAAAAATGTTGAATTGCAGCCCTGTGACATCTGACCAGTATTCCTCAAAACTGTCAAGGTGATCAAAAACAGAGAAATTCTGAAAACTTGCCACAGCCAAGAGTAGGCTAAGGAGGCATGACAACTAAATGTAATATGGTATCCTGAATGGGATTCAGGAACAGAAAAAGGATATCAAGTAAAAGCTAAGGATATTGCTCTACTTGGGTTGCTATAAACAAGATCTCACAGACTGGGTAGCTTAAACAACATTTATTTTCTCACAGTTCTGTTGGTTGGAAGTCCAAGATCAAGATGCTAGCAGGATTGGTTTCTGGTGAGGTCTCTTTTCCAGGCTTGCAGACAGCCATCTTCTTGCTGTATCCTCACATGGTCTTTCTTCTGTGCTCATGTGCTCCTCATGTCTCATCATTTTCTTTTTTTTTTTTTTTTTTTGAGATGGAGTCTCGCTCTGTCCCCCAGGCTGGAGTGCAGTGGCACAATCTCCCCTCACTGCAAGCTTCGCCTCCCGGATTCACGCCATTCTCCTGCCTCAGCCTCCCATGTAGCTGGGACTACAGGCGCCAGCCACCATGCCCGGATAATTTTTTTGTATTTTTAGTAGGGACGGGGTTTCACCGTGTTAGCCAGGATGGTCTCAATCTCCTGACCTCGTGATCCGCCCGCCTCGGCCTCCCAAAGTGCTGGGATTACAGGCGTGAGCCACCGTGCCCAGCCTCATCATTTTCTTATAAAGATACAAGTCCTATTGGATTGCTGTCCCACCCTTATGACCTTATTTAATCTTAATTGCCTGCTTAAAGGCCCTATCTTCAAATATGGTCACATAGTATATTTGTATGTATATGTATGAATGTATTCAATGTATGAATTTTGCAGGAACACAATTTGGTCCATAACACTAAAGAAATCTAAATAAATTTTGGACTTTACTTAATAACAACCTATCAGTATTGCTTCATTGAATATAACAAGTGTACCATACTAATGTAAGATGTTAGTAATACACCAGAGTAGTTTGAGGGTACAAGAACTCTCTGTACTATTTGCTCAATTTTGTGTAAATCTGAACTGTTCTAAAAATAGTCTATTAAAAAATACACAAATTTTGAGACATATGTTTAAAAATGAGTAACAGGATCATGATCTTTCCCAGTCAGATAGATGCCTAAGTATACAACAGAGTTACAATAATTAAAGCAGCAGTGTACCGTACAGGGTGGATTATTTAAGAAATGAAGTTGGGACAGTGAGGTAGCCATTTGGGGAAAATAATTAAATTAGAACTTTATCCGACCCACTATACTAAAACAAACTTCTGAACTGATTAAAGATTAACAAATGAAAAAAGAAGAAAGTGCTAGAAGAAAATATAGGTGGATATTTACATGGTCTCAATGTAGGAAGTGATGTGCCTATGTATTACAGTAGTTCTTGATGAGTTATGGTAATTTTTGTTTACTTTTTCTTCTTGCCTCTTAGGATTGTCCTACTTTGCAAAAAGAAAAACAAAAACAGTGAATGTATATTGCTGAAGCTATGAAAGTTATAAAAATAAAATAACATTTCTATAATTCTTTGATTCTATAAATAGTGTCTGCCCTCCAAATGGCTTAAGTCTAGTGTAGATAGGACATATTTAGAAATATACGTATAAACCTCCAAAGTGAGTTGGGATCAAATAAGTTATATGTGTATGATGATGTACACAAAACACTTTGAAAGGGGTATGTAGTTGTCTATGCCCATTTATATTTCCATAAAGGAATGCCTGATGCTGGGTAATTTATTTAAAAAAAAAATGAGGCTTATTTGGCTCACAGCTCTGCAGGCTATACAAGAAGGATGGCACCAGGATCTGCTTCTGGTGAGGGCCTCAGGCTGCTTCCACTCATGGTAGAAGGCAAAGGGGAGGTGGCATGGGCAGATCACATCATGACAGGGGAGTGAGAGTGAAAGGGAAGGTGCCAGGTTCTTTTTAACAACCAGTACTCAAGGAAACTGTCATAGCAACTAATAGAGTGAGAGCTCATTCATTACCACAAGATCAGCACCAAATCATTCATGAGGGATCCACCCCCATGACCCAAACACTTCTCACCAGGCCCCACTTCCAACACTGGGTATCAAACTTCAACATGAGACTTGGCAGAGCCAAAGAAACCATATTCAAACCACAGTAGCAGTATAATAGAGTATTATAAAAATGTAAATATTCAAATAAGCACAGTTTATATGCAACACATAGACACACTATTATGGACTGAATTGTATCTCCCTAAAACTCATATGTTGAAGCTCTAACTGCCAATATGATGGTATTTGGAGGTGGGGCCTTTGGAAGGAAATGCTTAGGTTTAAATGAGGTCATGAGGGTGCCCCCGCTCTCCCTGCATCCCTGTGTTGTGATTAGTGTCCTCATAAGGAAGGAAGAAACTAAAACTCTCTCTCTCTGGCACATACTGAGGAAAGCTCATGTAAGGACACAGTGAGAAGGCAGGCATTTGCAATCCAAGGAGAGAGCCCTCACCAGACACTGACTGATGGCACCTTGATCTGGGACTTCTGTCTGTGAGAAAATAAATTGCTATTGTTTAAGCCACTCAGGCCATGGTATTTTGTTATGGCAGCCCAAGCTAACTAAGACACAAAGTACAAAATAAGTTAAAATGATAATAAATGTTTGGATTGCACTTTGCCATTTGCAGAGCCCTTTCAAATCCATGATGTTTGATCCTCAGGCCACGTGAGGTAAATAGGTTGCACATTACCACCCCTCTCCACAGGTGAGGAAACAGAGGCCTGAGAAGCAATGTGACTTTCTCCAGTAATAGTGACTGAATGTAACTCAAATCAAACTCAGGGCTTCTGAGTGCATACCACAGAGGTTTCATAGAAGGTGTTAAAGAAATTCAAAGGCAGGAACAAATCCTGAGGCCCAGGGCAGTCAGAAAAGAATTTTAGGAGGAAATGGGAATTAAACTGGGCTTTGAAAAAAACAGGGACATACACCAGTGGGAAGGAGGCGGAAGGGCGTCCCAGAGAAGTGATGTGGACAAAAGTATGCTGCAGCCCACCTATGATACAGAGCAGGTCCTTTCAAAGGATCAGATGTGGGCAAAACTTGAAAATTGTTTGGTCTTGCTGAGATTTTTCTTTAAAAATAAAAAGGCTGGTTTTGCTTTTTAAATACAAGTCTCCTTTCAACCCTACCCCTAAAAAACTTAAATCAGATTCATTAAAGTTTGTAATCCACAGTCCCATAGAATGACAATCTTAGTAATAACTAGGAGCTATTTTGTTAGGTTTCTTAGAATTCTAACTTAACAGAGAAATTAGAAGCTGTCAACACAGTACACTAACACAGTACAGAGACAAATTTTGTGTATGGCAAAATTTCATAAAGAATGGCAAGGTCTTTTAACCCACATGGGGAAGGCTGTCCGAGGACAATATATGTACTTTCTCCCACCTCAAAGGCTAATCATACACTAGACAGATGTCAATCTTCAAGCAGTTTAACTGGTCCATTTGAGAAAGATAAGTGTTGGATTTTCATATCATAAAGTTAGTAGTAGTAGAAATACCTTGTTTCAGCTGTTCGAGTAACTTATTACCCTTTTCTCTGGCATTATCATGTAAGAGTTTATAAACATAATTGCTCAATGATTTGGAATTATGTATTAATACTATCAAGGAGCAAGGTGAACAAAACCAGAACTCTAGTCAAAGGTTTTGGAGGTGGCTGGCTACTCAGAAACATTTATTTATTCAGCACACATTTATTGAGGGCATTCTTCTTGGCAAGCATTGCTGGCTAGTACAAAGGCCAATTGGTACAAAGGCGAATAACAGAGCCACCATAGAGCCAGGTGTGGTGGCACATGTCTATAGTCCCAGCTGCTTGGGAGGCAGAGGCAGGAGGATCACTTGAGCCCAGCAGTTCAGGGCTATAGTGTGCTATGATTACTTGAATAGCCACTGCATTCCAGCCTGGGCAACATAGCAAAACCCCATCTCAACAAAAAAGCAGAGCCGCCACCTTCAAGAGCACCTGCAGCCTAGTAAGGGAGACAGCAGTTACACTGTAGTATGAGGAAGACTAAACCAGAGAGATATTCAAGATTCTCTGCAAGACCAGAAGAGGGTCTTAACCCTGGGGGAGAAACAGCAGGTCAGATCAGGAAAGGAATCAGGAACCATTTCTAAGATGGAGATAACACTCAGCTAACTGAGAGACAGAAGTGTATAGTGTATATAGAGGCAGCGAGGAAGAAGGAGAGTGCAGGCGTTTGTTCAGGAAACTTCAAAGAACTGGGATGTCTGGAGCATAGATGTGATGGGAGAAGGAGATGTAACAGGCTGGAGAGGGAAGCAAAAGCCAGATTATAGAAGCCACATTGGGAATTTTGGGTTTCCTTGTGTAGACAATGGAGAGCCACCAAAGCATTTAAAACAGAAGAGTTTTCATGGCTACATTTGCATTTTTGAAAAATATAAAAGACCTGAGTATTATGGACCACAAGGTAGTCCTTAGTAATTCGATGGCTGAGAGGAGATTGCCAGATATCCACCCTTGCAGAGGCAGGCTGTGGGCCCTTGGTTCTGCTCCTTTTGGACTTCCAGCTGAATGAGGTGTCCCTGCTTAGCATCCCTATTTTAGGAAGAACTAGAAGAAACTGGAACTGAGATTTCAGATAGCACTGATTAAAGGCAATAAGGAGATAAAAATTTATAGGGGGAATTAATGCTTTTTCTTTTTTGTAAGTAAGCATTCACCTAAAAGAGTTGTGCCTTTTCCCAAAGATGCTCCCACATTGCTCAAGACATTTCTGGAATTTCTCTTTTGAAATTTCTTTAATGTCCAACCTGGATTCATGTCTTTTTATGGTTGCATTTTTTAAATTTTGTACTCCAAAATAAGCACTACTCTATCTGATTTCTTATCTTCCTTACTAGACCTAGCACTGAATTGACTTTTGATGTATTCCCAAAGTTAAATCCATCTTTACAGGATGAAAGTTTTGTTACCTCTGAAGACATAGAAGAAAGTATCTGGTCAAGAAGTTATCAGCTACAAGTTTCTCGACCCTCAGTCTCAGAGACTGCCTATGAAACAGGGGTGATAATAATATTTTTCCTGCCCCCCACCACATTCAGTTATTGTAAAGATGCTACCAGACAACATGGGAAAGCTTTTTGTAGAGTGCTGCATCAGCGAGTGCTATTTTTGTTGTCTCACAGTTTGCAGGCAATTCCAAACTCTGCGTTTACCACATCGTGGTGTCTGTCTGTATGTTCTTACAGATTGTTTACTTCATGGAAGTAGGGCCTGGGTCATATTTGGCTTTGTTTTACCAGTGTCCAGCGTTGGCAGCATGCATTAAAAGCCCCCAGATGTTTTTTGAATGAATAATTGAGTCTAGCTCATTGCCTTTTCCTCAAATCACATATATCAGAAATAAATAATGCACTTGAGATTATTCAGTTCAAATAATAGACTCAGAGGCTACTTGAGTTTCTTTGAGTAGTTTGTCATTAGGAACCAGCTGTTCTCCATCTCTGAAGGGGCAAGGACAAAGGGCTAATGAAATCAATCAATCTGAAAGCATAAAAGCTCTTAAGCTTTATTTCTGTGCCCTTTACTTTGACTGCATTTAAAAATAACTAGGAACATTTTTTTTAAGTTACTGATGCTGGGACCCCATCCCAGAACAATTAAATCAATACCTTTGGAGTTGGAAGCCTGGCACTGATAGTTTTTAAAGCTACTTGGTGATTTTAACATGCAACCTGCATCGGATGCAGGGGCTCTAGAAATATGCTTTGAGAAACATTGCTTTAAACAAATAAAAAATAAAAAAAGGGGCCCTTCTCTCTAGTTCTACATCAGGTGCTATATGAGATGGATAAGAACATAAGGCATGTTCCCACTGCAGTCTTTTGAGGAAATAAAAACTAGCAATCACTAGTATGAGTGAGTGGAAAAGCAACTATCAGTATTTGGTGAGCTGTGAGAAATGAAAAGAGACTTATGCTGAGCCTGAGACTTTCTGCAGAATCTGGTAGATGTTTTAGGGAGTTTATCATCAAAATATAAGACAGTCTCTACCCACAAAAGGAAGTTGACTCTTAGCTTAGCAAGCCTTCTAGTACCAGCCAACAGGCCTGACCAGTACAAAGGGTCTGAAGGCCTTATTCCCAACACAAATCACCATGTTTGGCACCGGGAATGCAACAGTGAACAAGACTCAAACTGTCTCAAACAACTGAGTCTGTTCACAATCAAGTAAACAGGCAATTACAAAATGGGGAGAATTGATGAAAGAAATGAAATAAGGTTGGTGAGATAGGAAGCACCAGTTGTTGGAGGACTTTTAAGGGTAGACTGAGGTATTTATTTCAGTCTAATATGATAACCAGTAGTTTCTGATCAAAAGAATGCTATAAAAGAAATGTGGAAGAAATATTATTTTTTAAGCTTTGGATCTGGGAAGGAAATAGTACAGATGTACAACAATTAGGACACCTGCAACAATCGTAGGGTTGGGTGATAAGTTCCTAAGTTAGGGTGGCTTGGATGTGGGAAGAAGAGGTTTGTAGACTTCCCAATGAAAAAGATAGCTGTTTATATTATATAAGTAATTTAAATTCATTTAAATCGGAAATGAATTGCTAATGTTGGAATTCTATATTAGACTACTTATTGTGTGTCTGAGAATCAGTTCCTCTCTTGATATTTCCCATTGATACAAATAGCTATTGTATCTTAGTCTATTTCACAATTGTGGGAGAACTTTAAAAACTGGATAAGAAGTTAGTGAAGTCAGTCAAGGTCTAGTCCTTTTTGAAAAATCAGTTGTTTACTTCTGTTTGTAATTTTACACAGCCCCATACCAAAAAAACACCAAAAACAATAACAAAAAAACCACTTTCCTGTCAAACACAACCTCTCTGAAAATAGTAAACTTCCATATTTTAACATACTATATATATAATATATACTATATACTACAATATATAATAGATTACATATTATATATGATATATATAATATATACCATAGAGATCAGTTATATATAGTGTATATACTGTATATATACTATATATACTATATACCATATGTATAATATATAGCTATATATTATATATAACCATAGATTTTATATATACACTATATATAATATTGTAACACACTATAAAGTCAATGTTATTTGAGAATCTGAGCCTATGTGAAATTTTTTATTAATCAAACCTAAATTTTTGTCTTTGCCTTCAAGTGAACAAGCTCTACAATTTTCATATGTAAATGATCAGTGTGTAATTAATTCCAAAAAAATTCACTACTTTTTTTGGGCCAATTCCATAAAGAGCCGCAGAGTGGATAGTATTGAGTTATTGGGACATACATGATTGTAAACTATCAGACCCCCTGTACTCAAATTGAGTCCGTATTCTAAATCTTATTGTGTATCCTCATAGGAGACTGTAAAGTGCGGGCATGCTTTCAATTCGTACAGTCTGTGATTTATAGAGGCAAGTAGGTCAGGAATTTATTATGCTGAAAATCATAATAACTGTTTTGTTTTGCTTTTCACAATGAAGTGACCAAAGCATGTTGAAAGATAAATGGATGAAGCATTTTGATTATGCTTGTATTTCTATTAAAGGTTAAATATTATTGCCAAGTAACTAGCCATGCTAAGTATTATGATATTAAAGCTGAAGTAGTTTGTAAGCTGATAGCCCTTTCTTTCCTCTGGGTTTAGGTTTGTTATTAATCAAAATGTTGGACTTGCTTAGTGCAGTGGTGTATGAAACAAACAGTTGAAAAAGACAGCTCCTTTAACTCACGGCTCTCTGCTTTTTTTCAAATTTGTAAGGAAATCTGTTTCTTCTTGTGGACTTTATGCTGTTATTCATGTGTCTAGAGTTCATTTTTTATACCAGAGCCGACTAAATCCAATAGTTGCAAGATTCTCTCATGGCATAGAAAGGAAAAAGGTGCCTTTTTATATTCTTAATTGACAAATTCTGATCAAGTCATTTTTGAAACATGGAGAATCCCTACTAGAAATGGATATTACAGAAAACCATCTGTATTTCTGGGCAGAGAAAAGGATAATTTTTTAAATAGAAGAATATGTATATGAAGAGGTATTAATAAGACAGTAAGTTTGTTTTCTCATATCAATCCAGGAGTATTGATGAAAGTGTTTTAAAGGGCGTATGATTCCAGCTACACTGGTGTTGGCTTAGACATCAACACAGCCAGCCCGTAAGCACTTGGAACGCTGCTGCTAAGCATGTACTGAAGTGCAGTAGAGGGGTCTAGATGCCCCCGATGTGTGGTAAAGTACCTTTAACAGGACAGTCCTACCATTCTTCTGCACTTACTTCTCATCAGTGGTAATATTACAATTTTAAAGGGTGCATTTTGTGGGGGATGCAGCAAAGATTGTAAGAAGTGTTGAAGAAAAAGGCTACCTCTCAATGACTGGAGAAAAAAAGGCTTAATTTATTACTTAAGTAAAGAGGAGCTGTGCTTTTAGGCACAGTGTCTCCAAGCAAAGCAGGCTGCAAATCTTACATAGTGTTTTGGGGTCAGGAATTGTTTAGGGGCAGCTATCACCCTCAGAAGCCCCATTATTTGAAAGAAACTATTGTTGACTGGCTGGCTTTCAGAAGCATATTCACTGGAGCCAGTCTGCAGCCGACAGGCCAACTTTCAAAAGCATGTGGCTATCACTGGTTAATTGGCTTTCAGAGGTGTATTTACTGAAGTGAGTTGTCACTGATTATTTAGACCTTGGTGAGATATCATTAACTGCATAAATCTGGTTTAATTATTCTTCCAACTGGTTCTAGTGGTTTACTTAATACCATGGCTGTCGAACAGTCAGCCTTTTTCTGGGAGTTAGAGATTGTCTTACTTTCAGAAGCTAATACCTAAACGCTGTAGGAAATTGAACGCACAAGAAAATTAGATTTTGCAACTATTGTACAATACATTTTCTAATTAAGGGTGTCTACTAAAGGAATGGAAGTGTAAAAAGTCAGCAACTCCACATGTGAAATAGCATATTCAGGTATTAAGATCAGTTATGAAATTTGATACAAATTATGTATCATTAATAATATAGTTCTAAGCATGGTGGCATGCGCTTGTAATCTCAGCTCCTTGGGAGGCTGAGGCAAGGTGTTCACTTGATCCCAGGAGTTCGAGACCATCTGGGGCAACATAGCAAGATCTCATCTCAAAAATAATAATAATAATAATAATGAAGTATAAAAATGTGAATGTGACTTATTCAGTAAATTAAAGTAGATTCTAGATCATCCATATATATCATTTCTACTTATTGCTTTCCAGTAAGCTTTCTCAGGTGGGACAAAAGAAGGTAGAAACGGTACATAAGTCTCAACTCGCCAGCCCTGGTGAGCAGCAGCTACTGAACCCTTAGTAATGATGGTATCACTAAAATTGTGACATTTTATTTCCCTCCTAAAATCTTTTTAGGATTCTTCAAAATCTAGGTATACCCATGTGAGTTTGCCACACAAGTAAATTTCACTCATCATTTGTGCTGCTGTAGAGAGAAAAGAGTGAGGGATCTTCACTACTGCCTACCTACTACCCAGATCTCTGCTTATATGGGGGAAAAGATATTAGCATCATATTTGGGTTTCATCTGAAAGTTACAACAGGCATATAAGAAGTATTAATCCTACAGTTTAACCCTATCTGCTGTGATGAAGAAAAGTGTGTATAGGATATAACTGGTAGGAAAAGACTTAAGAGTTTTATTTGTATGAAAATTGAACTTTTCGCCGGGCACGGTGGCTCACACCTGTAATCCCAGCACTTTGGGAGGCCGAGGCGGGCAGATCACGAGGTCAGAAGTTTGAGACCAGCCTGGCCAGCATGGTGAAACCCCGTCTCTGCTAAAAATACAAAAAATTAGCCAGGCGTGGTGGCAAATCTCTGTAGTCCCAGCTACTTGGGAGGCCGAGGCAGGAGAATCGCTTGAACCCGGGAGGTGAAGGTTGCAGTGAGCCGAGATCGCGCCACTGCACTCCAGCCTGGGCAACAGAGTGAGACTCCATCTCAAAAAAAAAAATTGAACTTTTCTCTTTCTAAATTCATTCAACTGTTCTGAAGTCTGCTCTTTGGACTTCCCTGTTTATTCCTGGCACCTCATATGGGGCACAGCTAATTACCAACATATTTCGCTGATCCTAAAGATAGCTAGCTTATGACTTCTCAGGATTCCAGCATATGCTGATACCTTAAGACCAGTAAGCTTTTGATGAAGTAAGAAAGCAGGATTCGTTAGATTCGTTGTAATCAACAGTAGAAGGAAATTAGTCCATAGAGTTATGTCAAAAGTTTAGTTTCCTTTTGTATGAAGAAAATATTTTTTAAACCAGCAAATTCCCCAGGAAAGAGAGTCATAACACCATTTGAACATCATTTTTAAATTACCTTAATGTATTCCCAACTCTTGACCCATGTAACTGTTGAAATTTTTAAAAATCAGATAGGGCTGGCTTATTGTCTTGAGTTTTGCTCTGCAACCTGACTCACTCTGGCTAAAGGAATGTGTTCTTTAAAGGAAGCAGACAGTGTCCTCTGAGTTTACTTTGAGGAACACTTCTGTATAGAACTCTTTTAACCTCCCAACAGGGGAGAAACCTCAAGTGAAGACTGAGGCAAAGAGACTCTCTACTAGAAATACAAACCAGCAGAACAAACTCCAGACATGTTTTTCAAATTTAAGGGTTTTCTGAGAAGTTGGTTTCCATGTGGTGTAAGCACCAGTAAACAACAAACCCATCTTGGTGTTCTGTATGCTTATGTTTCATTATGTCGATGATAGTAGAGTATAGAATTTCTACTGTAAGTTCCCATGCAAGAAATCACTGAACCATCTCTCTCCCTATTTAGGATGTCACATGTACTTCAGTTTGAGGATAAAAGCAGAAAAGTGAAAGATGCAAGCATGCAAGACTCAGATACATTTGAAATCTATGATCCTCGGAATCCAGTGAATAAAAGAAGGAGGGAAGAAAGCAAAAAGCTGATGAGAGAGAAAAAAGAAAGAAGATAAAATGAGAATAATGATAACCAGAACTTGCTGGAAATGTGCCTACAATGGCCTTGTAACAGCCATTGTTCCCAACAGCATCACTTAGGGGTGTGAAAAGAAGTATTTTTGAACCTGTTGTCTGGTTTTGAAAAACAATTATCTTGTTTTGCAAATTGTGGAATGATGTAAGCAAATGCTTTTGGTTACTGGTACATGTGTTTTTTCCTAGCTGACCTTTTATATTGCTAAATCTGAAATAAAATAACTTTCCTTCCACATTACATGTTAACCATTGCAGACTGCAAGCCTGTTTGTGTCCTTTTACCCTAAAATATATGAAGGCTTCCTTTTCAAGATTTTTTTATAAGAAGTTCCTACAGAAAGAATATTTGTGGGAAACCTCCCTTTCACTAACTTCAGAATATAATAAAATATTATAAATAAAATATAGAATATAAATATGGATGGGGTTTTTTGCATATAAATATTTCAAAATATCCAAGCCAGCACAACTCAATATCCTCATGCCTTCAGTCTTGAGGAACCCCCAAGTGAACATTCACACCTCCATGCAGGCCAGTGCCTGGGTTTTATGGGCACAGTCAAGATACTTTAACACTCTAAGTAACATCAGCCAGGCTCACTGCATGCCCAGCCTGACATCTGGCCCCCTGCCCACTCCTCTGCCCTTCTCAGCACAGCGATACCAAGAGCACATGCAGAGGTCTCATTCTGACAATAAAAACTCATTAAGAATTTAGCTTTTGATGACAATCATTCATACTTGTTTTTTGTTTTTTGTTTTTTTTTTTTTTTGAGACAGAGTTTCGCTTTTGTTGCCCAGGCTGGAGTGCAATGGCACAATCTCAGCTTACCACAACCTCCGCCTCCTGGGTTCAAGCAATTCTTCTGCCTCAGCCTCCCAAGTAGCTGGGATTACAGGCATGTGCCACCATGCCCGGCTAATTTTGTATTTTTAGTAAAGGCGGGGTTTCTCCATGTTGGCCAGGCTGGTCTCAAACTCCCAGCCTCAGGTGATCCACCTGCCTCTGCCTCCCAAAGTGCTGGGATTACAGGCATGAGCCATTGCGACTGGCCCATACTGGTTATTTACTGTATATTATCTATATTATATATTACAGTCTGAATGCTAAAATTATATCACGGGCTAATTCCACTAACCTGATAAAATCTCACCAGCTACTTCTTTTCAGATCATGTCTCATCAGCTCTCTCTTTCAGAATGTAATCTGATAGGCTTTCTCTAGAGCATAGAGCACTGGTTCTCAAAATGTAATCCCAGATGCAACACTACAGCAGTAGCATCACTTCAGAACATGTCAGAAATGTAACTTCTCGGCCATGCCACCCACCACTACCACCTCTCTTTCAGACTACTGAATCTGAAACTTTGAACCCTGAGGGCTCGTTAAACAGATGGATGGGCCTCACTCCTGGTGGTTCCACCTCTTTTGATATTGGCAATATCTAGTGAAGTTAAAAATGTGTATATCCAATAACCCAAAAATTCTAATTCTAGGTCCTAGGAATCCTAAAGAAATTCTCACATATTGCTCAAGGAAAGGAGTACTAAGTTATAAACTAAAGCATCAATCAAAGAATGGATAAATAAGTTGTTGAATAGTCATACTATGGAATACTTTACAGAGGTGAAAATCAGTAAACCAGAGCTATATGTAGTAGCAGATCTTTAAAATAATGTGGAAAAAAAGGAAACCGCCTATATAAAAATTAAGACACAATTCATTATGATATATTGTTTATGAATGTACACATATGTAGAAAAGTTTAAAAACACATGTGGAAATAGTGTTTGCCTCTGAGAAGGAATTCACAGGGAGCTCACTTGTGTTTGTAATGTTTTATTTTTTAAGTGCTGGATGGTAGATACTCAGTTCTCATTTTCTGTACATTTTGGAATATCTGAAATATTTCACAATTTTTTTATGATTATATCTGGAACCTGAGGTGAGAAGACAGAAGAACCCCCAGTACTAACAAGAACCCTTTCTATTTGCTTCAGGAAGAAGGAGAGAGCTTCAAAGAGGAGGAGAGGGCTATGATTGAGGTGTTCTGAGAAAATGTCAACCCACTCAAATGCAGAGTGGTCAGACTCAAAGCCACCCCAAAATAAGCCAGTGCTTGGAAGTGTGTCCCATCTTCCCCTCACCATAAAGGTTATAATATTGGTTTTATTTCAGATAAAACAGAATTTCATCTTCCAAACTCACAAAGTCTCTGTTGGTTATTCTGAAACATATTACCACTAAATCTGTCTGTGTTGAAGTACCCTGTGGTTTCTCTACCATTCCTCCTGGATTGTGTCCACCTTAACCAGTGCAGTGTTATCCTGGAACAGAGGAAACCACAGACCTCCAGGGCACACATTAGAGAATACTATTTGCAGGTTTAAAAAGATAACTGAATGACAAAATTAAAACCAGTTTGGTTGAATGTTTCTCATCCTGTTTTAACCACAAGGAGCAGAAAGATCTGAAATTCTACAGAGATTAGAATTTTATCAGAAGAACTTCAACATGATAATAAAATTCACCATAAACTTAACTGAATAAGAGCAATAACAATTTTTAAAAAGCTTAAAAATGTAGTTGAATTACCTGTTCAATATTGTATGAAATGTGTTCACAGTAAACCTTTTGCAAATGTCACAGGAATGTGTGGAAGCCAAATGAATTCCCAAAACAAAAAAAAAAATTCAAAAAACATGTTAGAAAATTAGTCTTTTAATTTTAATTTCATATTTGGGATTTTTATTTTATGTGTCTTACCCTAGGGATGTTATCCTAAGACAAGGAAGTATGTTAGCATTGGTTTTTTGTTTGTTTGTTTTGTTTTTTACATTTCTCCCTTGCTATATGAGTTAGCATTCTTATTCATTGTCTGTGACAATGCTGCACGTTCTGGAGAGCAAAGAGAAAAGCAACTCCCAGCAAATTTTTTTCTCATTTTATGACAAATCAGTTTTTCTCATGGTCGAAGTCATTGGCAAGGTGAAAGTTTAACCCTAGACCTCTCCATTCTCAGTAGGTAATTGAGGCAAATGCAGATCTCTCTAGAATTTTTAATGATATAATACAAAATGCAAGGCTTGATGAAATTTGAATTCCAAGGGAAATAATGAAACACCAAATCTTACTATTAGAAGTCCTGGGTTTGTAGAAAGAAACATTTATTCATTTATTCCCCAAAATCACTACCACCACCATCAAAGCCATAGGTGAATACTAAATGGTGTAACAATACACATGCCCTCAGCACTCTGTATCCTCTGAGGCCACACAGTAATGCATCTGCTGCATCTAAAAATGGGGCTACCACAGAACAAGGTCATTAAAAAGTGTGAGGAGATGAGTGGTTTGCTGCTGTTTTTAGCACAAGTTCAATCAGCTATGATGTCCTTATCAAGCTGTCACTACCAAGTTCCTTGATAAGATCTGACGTGTGAGGTACATAAACCTGTTCTGTTGTAGCACTGTGGCCTGTATGGAAAAGGTTAGATACATGCAAAATAATGCCCAAACATGCTGTTTAATCTTGGTGATAACAAGAAAGAAAATGGAGGTGTGAAGTGAGTTACCATTGAGGGTTGTATCAGTATAAGCAATTTGTCTGTAATGGGTGTAGAGAAGTTAAGAGAGGTTACATTCTTTAACACTGTCATTCTCACACACACACACACAAAAGCAGGTCTAGGTTCTCTATGGCTTTGTCTCTGTTCCAATAACTCTGAACAGTTTATCAGGTGGTATCATTTCTGCTTACTAGAAAGCAGGAAGTTTAACTGTCCCAAGTATATTTTATCTCCTTTCTTCTTTTAGCTTTTACTGAAGACAAGTGAAACAGGAACCATACTGTAGAGAAATCCTTTCTAATAAAGCCTTGATGAAATTTGAATTCTGAGAGAAATAATGAAACACCAAATCTTACTAGGATGGGCTTTAGAAGTCCTGTGTTTGTAGAAATAAACATTTACTCATTCCCTAAAATCACTACCACCACTACCAAAGCCGTAGGGGATGATCTTTGTCACAGGTGCTAAGAGTTTCATTATTCCCTGTGGAAATCCCTGTGAAAGTTGTTTTCATTGGTAGGCTGGTAAACCAGCTTTCCTTAATAAAAGAAAGAAGAGCCCTCATTTGCAGCATTTACTGATTTCCACAACATAAGTCCTCTCACCGTGGCTGATTTCAAGCCACCAAAAGTAGCTCCAGTAAACTGGTTATTTTTCCCATTCTGTTTTATTCTAGCTAAAAGCTTATACAGTGACTCTTGCATTGGCCCTAAAGAACTTACACAAAGGTTTGAACCCTTTGCCAGGATCACAGTCTTCATGCATATTTCTATTTTATGTAATTACTTCACACCGTCCTCTAAGTTCTAGCAATACCTGTACCCCACATTTTTATGGCAGTTTATATCTTTAGATTCTCTCTTGATGGAGTTTTCCAAAACCACTTGCCTCACATTTATTTTTCCCCTGCTTCTTGTGTTTTTTGCCCCAATTAGTCATATGTCCAATTCAAGATGCAACCAAATCTTACAGGGGGGAAAAACAGCGTTGGGTGGGGAAAGGAAAGAAATGTAATTATAGTTCTTTGAATTATTCCAGGTAAGTAATAATGTATAAATTCATTATTTAATTTATTTTAAACTGTATTTTGGGTTGGGGGTGAGAAATCCTACCTGAAAAGGAAAGATGACTGGCTTCTAAATGAAATGCAGACAGGAGTCTGGTCCCTCTCTTTTCCACATCTGCTGGGAATTATTTCCTTAAGATTAGATCATGGTGCTAATTCATGTTAAACATCTTCTGGAGGCTTTCTTCACAGCACCAGTCAGAAAGAAGCTGTTCTTGGTCTTTTAGGAAATTATTATTTTCTCATTCTCATGATGCCAAAAATGATAGTCATTGCTAAAGTTATGGCACTTTTTAAAAGTAATCAGGATAATTTTAAAAGCAGGACACTCAAGTGACTTTCCTATTTATTTTCTGAATTTACTCTAGAGATTTATTATGATATTCAAACACTTTAATAAGAATATATTTGAGGCCAGAAGCGGTGGCTCATGCCTGTAATCCCAACACTTTGGGAGACTGAGGCAGAAGGATCACCTGAGGTCAGGAGTTCGAGACCAGCCTGGCCAACATGGTGAAACCCTCTCTCTACTAAAAATACAAAAATGAGCCAGGTGCAGTGGCTCACATCTGTAATCCCAGCACTTTGGGAGGCCAAGATGGGTGGATCACCTGAGGTCAGGAGTTCGAGAACAGCCTGGCCAACATGGAGAGACCCCATCTCTACTAAAAATATAAAATTAGCCGGGCGTGGTGGCACATGCCTGTAATCTCAACTATTCGGGAGGCTGAGGCAGGAGAATGGCTTGAACCCAGGAGGCAGAGGTTGTGGTGAGCTGAGATCATGCCATTGCACTCCAGCCTGGGCAACAAGAACGAAACTCTTGTCTCAAAAAAAAAAAAAAAAAAAAGGAGCCGGGCCTGGTGGCACGCACCTGTAGTCCTAGGTACTCAGGAGGCTGAGGCAGGAGAATCCCTTGAACATGGGAGGCGGAGGTTGCCGCGAGCCAAGATCATGCCACTGCACTCCAGCCTGGGCAACAGAGCGAGAATCTGTTTCAAAAAAAATAAAAATAAATAAATTAATTATTTAATTAATTAAAAAGGCCAGGCACAGTGGCTCATGCCTGTAATCCCAGCACTTTGGGAGGCCGAGGCGGGCGGATCACGAGGTCAGGAGATCCAGACCATCCTGGCTAACGCAGTGAAGCCCCATCTCTACTAAAAATACAAAAAATTAGCCGGGCATGGTGGCAGGCACCTGTAGTCCCAGTTACTCGGGAGACTGAGGCAGGAGAATGGTGTGAACCCGGGAGGTGGAGCTTGCAGTGAGCCGAGATCGCGCCACTGCACTCCAGCCTGGGCGACAGAGCAAGACTCCGTCTCAAAAAAAAAAAAAAAAAGAATATATTTGAAATGAAGCATACCATGTATGGAAAATAAATGACTAAAGTATATGTTGTATGGTTCATTCTCAACAGCTGTGAGTAAACTTACAATTAGAAGGTTTCCTTCTTTTTGTGTGGTGTGTATTATTTTTTAATTTGCAATTTTAAGGAAATATTTTATTTAGAATAAGAGGAATATGACCATTTTATTTCTATTACAAAACTTTGTAACAATACCATATTATTGGCGTAAGTGAATAGACTAATTAAGAATGGGATACTATTTCCCAAGGAACAAAAGAATTCAACAAGTGATTTTTAAATTAATCTGGAAAAGTTATACATGATATTATGTGAGGACTAGATCCATTTCAGAGTGAAATTCCATAATGTCCATCAAACCTACCATGTCCAAAATGTAACTGTCATCTACACTTCCCAGCCCTGCCTCCACCAAACCTGCTTCCTCTGTAATTTTCCCATCTCCATTATGGGCAACGTGATAATTGCATTGCCCATAATGCAATTTCCAGTTACTCAGGCCAAATAGCTTGGATTCCAGTCTTTATCTCACACATTCAGTCTGTTATGATATTCTGTTGACTCCACCTTCAAAATATTTCCAGAATTTTACCATTATTTGCTACTTCCCACTGCTACCACCCTAGTCAAAGGGACCATCAACTGTCATGTGGACTGCTATAATAAACTTTCACCCTTTTTTTCCTATAATTTATTATTAACATAGAAGCCAGTTACACTTTATAAAACAAGTCATGTTGTTATACTTATCTGTTCAAAACCCTTCAATGATTCCCCATTTAATTCACAGTAAAAGCCTAGGTCCTTACAAAGGCCTAAGGCTCTTTGCAGTTACCACCTCTTCCTCTCAGTCTCTCTGACTTTCTCTCTTACTACCTTCTCCATCACTTATTCTGCACCAGCCACACTATCCTTCCTGCTGTTCATCAAGTAAGCTAGGTGTGTTCCATCTCAGGGCCTCTGCAATGGCTGTTCCCTCCACCCAGAATACTGCCCCTAGGATGTCCACATGGCCAACTCCCTCAGTTCCTTCAAGTCTTTACTCAAATGGCACCTTCTCAATGAGGCCTACAATAATCACTCTACTTTAAAATTCCAGCCACCCCTCCCACACGCTCAGTCTCTCAATCTCCCTGTTTAGTTGTATTCAATAGGGCTATTAACTCCCACGTACTTTGCCTTATTTGCTTAATTCTTACAAACAACCCCATGAAGTAGGGACTCTTGCTATCAATTGTATAGATGAGGAAACTGAGCCTTAAAGAGGTTAATTTATTCTTTATCATCCCTCTCCTGCCCTAGAATGACCTCCATGAAGGAAAGGATTTCTGTCAGTTTTGTTCACTGTTGTTCCAGTGCCCAGAACCCTGCCTAGCAAATAGTAGACACTTAATAAATATTTGTTGGATTAATGACTAAACCCCTCAGGATCCAATGTAGGGTTATTACATATATTATAGTTTAATGTCACCATCATTTCATAATGATAGGACACGTTTACACTAAAAATGAAGGAAGGATACAACCTCACTTCAGGGACTGCTCTAACAATTGAATAAATGTAACTTTAGGGAAATACCACCACAGTCTTTTTCTCATTTAACATAAGACACTTTGTCACAGATGGGCTGTAAGTCCTGAGATTACAAAGAATTGAGGGCCAGCATGTGACGTATAGAAAGCAAGGCTGTAAGGCTTCAGACCTGCAACTGATTTAATAGGCAAATGATACAACCTCTTGACATCTGTTTCCTCCTGTCTCAGATGGGAACAGTCACAGCTGCCTTACCTACCTGTCAAGGTGTTGTTACAGTCAAAAGAAAGAATAGACAAGAAAACCAAGCTTTTACAAAGGTAAAGCCCCTGTAGTGGTAAGTGCTAACGTTTAATGGATATTTACTTGATGCCAGACTCTTGTCTAAGCACTTTATCAACTCATTTAATCCCTATAAACAACTCTATGAAGTAGGCTCTATTACCGTTTCCATATCACAAATGAGGAAGAGACTTGAGGCTTACAGAAGTTAAATAATTTGTCCAAGTCACATGGTAAGCAGAGGAGCTGATGTACAAAACAAGACTAACTTCCAGAGTTTCTGCCCTTTGTCACTGGACTGCAGAGCCTCTCACTACACAAGCCCAACTGTTTTCATTATATACCTTGGATTCACCTCTGGAGTTCAGGATCTAATGGGGTTGAGGAGGAGGACAATGCCCAAGAATAAAAAGACAAAACATAGCGATTTCAGTTGAAAAGTATTATACATGTAGAAACTAAGTGAATGCCAGAATGAAGCAAGAGATGGGTTTAGTGGGATTAATCTAGAACTGCTTTGTGGCAGACAGAATTCTGAACATAATTTGAAAGAAAGGGAAAACATGGCATTGAGGAGACAGGTCATGTTCCAGGTGGGGAGAAGGTTGTGCAGACAAGTTATTAAGACAAATGTCGGAGACAGCAATGTGTCTACATGATGCCAAAACATCTGGTCAATTCAGTTTAAAAAAAAAAAAAAACTTTCATCAATGCAGTGAATTTCTTCAGTCAATCCAGATGTTTGGCATCTTGTAGACAAAACATCCAGATGATTAACTGAAGATTTGACAGAATTGACTGGATTAACCAGATGTTATAGCATTGTATAGACATAGTGTCAGGCCGTTTGCTTGGCTGAAGCAGAGTCCAGCTGTAGAGGAGATAGAAGGCCCAAGCAGAGAGGCGGGATTTGGAGGAGAGGACCTGGAGATTGGATTTGATGAAATTGGTAGCTGCTGGAAGAGGAGGGTGATGGAAATGATGCTTAAGGAAGATAATTCTGTGTAAAGAGGGGGAAAAAATGCTGAAAGGAAAAGTTGTAGACAGGAAAAAGGATATTAGAAGAGTGCAGGTGTGTGTGTGAGGTAATTAAAGCCTGGACCAGACCCAGGCCTGGGAAGGCAACAGGAAGAAGCAGATCTGAAAAACATTACAGAAAAAGAACAGGAAGTCATGATGGGCTAGACAAGGGAGTGAAACTGCACATCACCCCAAGGCTGGAAACTCTGAGGCCTGGGAAAGCAGCCGCTGTCAGCCTCATCACAGTAATGAACCAAAGGACCCCTCCCCACAGCCTCACATCCAAGGGCTACAGCCAGGCCTACAGCCAGAGGGAACTCAGAGACCACAACACAACCCTCATATTCAGGTTCCTTAATTATTTTAATGCTACCTAAATTGAATTCCCTTTAAGCCCAGTTTCATGAAGTGATCAAGAATGCTAGATTAGGATTATCAGGTAGAAACAATTTCAGTGAAAAGTCTTAAAAACTAAGATGTAAAGTCTTAAAAAACTAAGATGTATAAGTAAATTAGATAAAATGAGATTATGAGAAATTGCACACCACCTGTTACCTGACAGATTAGCATTAGAGAAGCCTATTAACAGGCAGGAATAAAAGGCTGAATTCAAGAATTTATGATACTTTTTAAATCTCTAATTTATGAAACTTTAGAAGGTACAAGTCTTGGTTTAGATATTTCACAGAACTTTTTAAAATTCCAAATATCGTATTTGATAAGAATCAAGTTGATCTTGTAGTCACAAATTCCACTTTATTAGGATTTAAACTGTAATAGTTACATGATAGAGTATACTCCATCTTATTTTTTAAAATTCTCAATATCCATACACTTGACGGTTTTGCAATTTTGCAGTTTCAAATATTTTTAGCCCCAGGCCTATCAGCCCACACAGCCAGTTGTGTGCCCTTTATAAATACACCCAGATTTTCTCAAACTACTCCTTTGTTTATTTCAACAGAGAAAGAACCTTCAATAGAGACTAATCTCTCTTTGTTCATGGATTGGTACTGCACTGAGAATCTATCTCCATCCTGCTCCCGACAACACAGAATGTGAAATCGTAAATGTATTAATGTGCTTCAGAATCACCCTGCAGGAAGTGGAGGGGCAGGAATCTTGTCAAAATGAGTTTCCCAGGCCTCAGAAATGACAAGTCCGTTGATCTGGGTAGGGGTCCAGGAATCTGTTGCGTTTGTTTCTTTTTGAATAAGCTTACTCAACTAATTCTGATGCCTATTTTCTGAAAATCAGAAATCAGACTTAGACACTGCCCTAGAGCAGAAAACTGAAAGAATGAAAAACATCAAATGGACATGAGAATCTTAAATGGCAAAATAGGCTTTTTTTTTTAATCAAAGACTCATATTCTCTTAGGTATTTCTTTATATAATGAGCCCCTATGTAAATTTACCATATTCTTTGATATGCAAAATTTTTCACAGAAACTGCATAACATCAAATACACCTATACAATCAGAGAAGCCAAGAAGACAAGTAGGACAGCTTGTCTGTTCCCAATTCCCAGAACTTCCTACTACACCCCTTCCTGAACATAATGTTTACATGATGGGAAAATGCAATTAATGATCTTGGTAAGTCTTTCTAGTGCTCCAAGTTTAAGTCAGTCACTTATTTATAAGACAGAAAATAAAAAAATTTCACATCACTGAAACAATGAGTGATTTCTCCAGGTATTTAAATATAGCCTTCCAATAGCAATTATTTTATAGTAAAGATCTCAAACTTAGTAGACAGCAACTAGTTATTCGAAAAGCTAATCAGTGAAATGTCCCCTATCAAAGCATCAAGATTAGAGTATTTGTTCTCTATCTATAATCATATAACTGCTTCTTTTTTGGCAGCACAAACTATACCTACAAGAAAGATTAGTGGATTTTTTTCTGGTACTATAGTTCCATTTGCCTTAAACCTGACTCATTTTCCTAAACTTCTTTTTCCCAAAGATATAGGAAAGAAAATAAGAAATTTGGAGAATTTTACTAGAGACTCTTCATTACCTACGATGTCACAATTAAAAGTCTAATTTATCAACTTGCTTTGAATGATGCTTTTGAAACACATCAAGAATTTTATATGTAAGCCAAGTGGTTTTGACTTGAGTAGTAATTCTTTCCCACTTATCCATTCTCCTGCTACCTTCAAATCACATCTAGCAACCACAGGAAATGGTCTCATGCCTAGTGGGAGGGAGTTAGGACCAGATAGGATTGCAAAAGAAAACCCTTAGGAATTTTCAGAACATATACAACATCAGTACCTGTGTTCTGATACAGGTTAAAACAGAAAGATTCACTTCCACTGATCTCTTTCTTATCCCCCACATAAAAATATTAACCTTCAATATCTCATCTGAACCATTATATTGATCAGGGTAAGAAATAAACAGAAGATTCTTCTTTCACAAATTTCATTGATTCTACTACTTTAGTAGAATCATAGAATGCCTTTTGAGGCTTTTGAGCTTTTTCGCATCAGGAGTATTGCTAGTCCGTAGGCTGTCTTTGCATGAATTGGAAAACGGTAGCCGGTCCCCAAGGCATTTTACTTCCATATGTCAGAAAATTGTGATAATATACTTACTTTGTTAAAAAGAAACACTACTAAATCTGCAAGAAAAAAATCGTCATACTAAATATCAAAGCTATGTTGTTTGTGATGTGAATTATGTTTTTTAGACATGGCACCCTTATGCAGTGCTTACCTGTACAGCTCTTCCTCCCTCCGCCTTCACTGTCAGTCTTCTGCATTTGCTAGCCAGCCCAAATGCTCCTTAGACTCGTACTGAAATTCTGTTAAACGGCTCTCACGAAAACCACTCATGCTGTTCTTCCTGCCAAATCCAAGTCTACCTTCTTGGAATTATTTGCCTTCTCTTAATCCTGATTCTCTTCCTCCCTTTCCTACCAGCAATTCTTGTCCTGCACCTGTTTTCTGTGGACTCCATTCTTAGACTTCAGTTCTGAGGAATCTGGTCAGTCCTCCCTGAGATAAAATGGTCCTCATAGCTAACAGGTTTAGCATAGTGGAAGCTTCAGATGCTGTCTTTTCCACATGCCTTAACTTGTACCACTTAACTGTTTCCCACAGTGAAGATTCCAGTCAAATACTTGCCTTCCTGTAAAAACTTAGGGCACAGCCCTCCAGACTTAGTGACATAATCTGTGACTTGAGCCATATGTTGTTCCATGTCATCTGCAGAGGCCCATGGCTTGTTCCTAAAAAAGACCTAGAAGTCAGACTCCATAGGAACTAAAGAGTCCTCACTGCAATTGAGAGACAGGGCTAGCTGGATTTTCTAGGCCAACTAAGAATCCCTAAGCCTAGCTGGGAAGGTGACCACATCCACCTTTAAACACGGGGCTTGCAACTTAGCTCACACCCGACCAATCAGGTAGTAAGGAGAGCTCACTAAAAAGCTAATTAGGCAAAAACAGGAGGTAAAGAAATAGCCAATCATCTGTTGCCTGAGAGCACAGCAGGAGGGACAATGATCAGGATATAAACCCAGGCATTCGAGCCAGCAACGGCTACCCTCTTTGGGTCCCTCCCTTTGTATGGGAGCTCTGCTTTCACTCTATTAAATCTTGCAACTGCACTCTCTTCCAGTCCGTGTTTGTTAGGGCTGGAGCTGAGCTTTCGCTCGCCATCCACCACTGCCGTTTCCGGCCACTGCAGACCCGCCACTGACTTCCATCCGTCCAGATCCAGCAGGGAGTCCGCTGTGCTCCTGATCCAGTGAGGTACCCATTGCCGCTCCTGATCAGGCTAAAGGCTTGCCCTTATTCCTGCACAGCTAAGTGCCTGGGTTCGCCCTAATGGAGCTGAACACTAGTCACTTGGTTCCACAGTTCTCTTCCGTGACCCATGGCTTCTAATAGAGCTGTAATACTCACCGCATGGCCCGAGATTCCATTCCTTGGAATCCGTGAGCCCAAGAACCCCAGGTCAGAGAACACAAGGCTTGCCACCATCTTGGAAGCGGCCTGCGGCCAGTTTGGAAGCGGCCCGTGGCCATTTTGCAAGCAGCCCGCCACCATCTTGGGAGCTCTGGGAGCAAGGACCCCCTGGTCACACAATCGCTGAACTACAGCCCTCTGCTTCTGGCTCCCAACTTTCTGAAGCACTGTGGGGAAGATGGTTCTTCACCAATCCTGCAATCCAACGGCCACCCAGTAAAATGAGGAACAGACATTCTTCCCAGCCCTGTGGGCTAGACGAGTAGCTAGTGTCTCTTCTATAGGTTGGTAATGGTTCCAGGTTGTAGAATGAGGTCTTCATGACTTACGGGGCTGTGGCATCATTGGGTTCCTGGATGACATTCTAATATGGTCCATGACCTGCCTTAAGCTCCTGGGTAAACCCTCTCTTCATGCATAATGTGGGTAATGTATTTAGCGTCTTTCTCCAAAGAAAATCTCTATGCTAACAAGGGTTAGTAGTGTGCTGGAATGGTACACTCACCTCTCTTGCGCATGGTAGCTCACCCCCTACTCCCTTTAACTATCCAAAACACTCGATGTCTCCTGAGCCTTGTTTAATAACAGGGCCTTTTTTCCCTCCAGACAATCCCATCAAGAACCACCTAAAAAAAAGACAGCTATTTAAAAATCTGTGACACTCAAAAAAGTCTTCCAACATATGAATGCCAGCTCTTTTTGTCTTTAATCCTCTATTTTTCTTACTGTTGGTAAGTAAAACTTATGGGGAGGGGAGGGGGGTTTGTTTTTATTTTGTTTTTTTATAAGTGCACTTTTTCTTCAACCACCTTATATGCAGGAAGTGAAGTAAATATTGACCTAAAAACATTAAAGCACCTTCAAAAACCAAGTAGTTTTTCCCCTAGAATTACTGTACAACTAGAAAATGGCCTTGGTTGTCATTGGCCTTGGTTGTCATTGACCTTGGTTTAATGCCTGGTTAAACCCTAAGGAAACTGCTTCCAAGACAGGATTTAGATGCTCCAGAAGTTGTTAGAATGTGGTGCACAAAAAATATTTCATATCCTGGTTTACTTGCCTGAAGAACCTCCATGAAGTAGACTCTATACAGGAAACAATTCCATCTTCCAGAGTGAATATTCACTCATTTGCTTTTCCAGCCAGGAGACTGGAAGAAGCCAGCAGGCAATGTAGTCATTTGGTAATGTTCTTCCTACTGCCAAGATGGATTAATGCTGGGAGACCTTACAACGGGTGAGTAATCGGTAGTGCGTGCAGGCCCTCGGAGATCCCTGAGGTGTGATTATTTTCATGCGTACATTTCTGTCGTCATCCTCCAAAGGGTGCTTTGTCATTTCCTTCACTCTTTCCTCACTGGACTCTCAAGTCTGTATTACAAGGATGACATGATTTCCAAGTCATTGCCAATCTCCTCAAACTGAGTTGGTGAGCACTTTAAGGACATTGCTAAAATGTGAGGGTTGTACTAACAAGATTACTCTGGTTTCCCTTTAAATGATTCTGGAAAAGTATGAACAGTTGTTTATTAAAATATGATTTAGAACCTAATCAACCCCTAGGTCCACTGCCTTGTTTGCTATGTTCCTACCTAATCCTCAGGTTGACATTAAGATGGCATGGACCTATTAAGATCTCAGACTATGAGCAACTACATTGAAACAACAATGTAAATATGTAAGATGTGAGTTTTAAAATTAATTGCACTTTGCATTTTTTAGCATTACTATCATTTACTCCCTGAGCTGCTCTCACCGCCACCACTCCAACTCTTCAACTTGTGTTCAACTCCCTTCTGGAAGTAAACAGGCCTGTGAAATGGGAAATCAGACATCAAAAGAGCTCACACTCTAACCTTTTGTTCAAGTTCTGTCCCTGCCACCAACTAGCTGGGAGTCCTTAGAGGATATACCTAAACTTTCTGAGTTTAAAGTATAAAATGATTAGCACAATGATCAATAAATGCTAACCACGACAGCATTAGTTTAGTAATGTCTATTATTAATATTATTTCCTCCTTCAGCCAAAGCTTGAGTAGTATAGAATCCTTGTCTAATATTGGGTTCCAGACTCCTATAAGCTTTACCTTACATCTCGTCTTTGCTGGCTGAGCAGGTAACCAAATGGATATATGCTCAGCAGAGCTGTGCAGCCATCTTGGATCCTCCTGTTACTCTCGCCACTGGTGGTTCTTGGACCAGAGCCCAAAACCCTCTCTCTGTGTTTTAGGTACCTGCTAAGCTTTTTCCTACTGGTTACTCAGGAGGTTAGATGCTTCTGTCCTCTTCCCAGATCCCTTCTGCTCTGAGTCCCCGGTATTAAGGCTATCTCCAATAGCAGGGCTAGAATTTTAGAAGACTGGGCCAAACGTATCTCTGAAACCTGGGAAGCTCTTAGCTTGATCCCTCAGAGGGCTCCCCAGGGATCAGTCTTCTACAGTTCTAAAAGCAACCCCAACCCCACGTATGCTGCGTCACCTAAGCTGGGTGCTGCTGCTGATTTGAGGTGGTCCAAGCCATAAGCCAGAGGCCCTGCTCTGGCTGATGTTAGAATCACTCAAAAACTTCGAAAAACACAGATGTCTGTCCCACTCCCAACTCTGGGACTCGATATTTTTTAAAGTTTCCTGGGTAATTCTGATGATGAATGCCAGTTTGAGAAGCTCTGATTTGAGCAGCTACCAAATATCCCTATCTATTCCTCCCATGTCTTGGAACTGGACTATCTTTCTGAGCTACATAAACCTGCTGCTGTTTCTCCTAAATCCTGTTAGTTGTTGACTCTGGTTACCATGAGCTCCAAACAGGTGATAGGGAATCAAGCTGCTGATTGTGGCTTAGGAGCCTCTTCTCCCCACACTCAGACCCTTGATCCCAAAAAACATTAAAGATATCATATTTCATCCAAAGAAATATAATCAAGCGAGAACAGGGGTTGTAGAATCAGTAGCAGCTAGTGTGGAACAATGGATGTGAGTTCAAAAGATTTAAAGGCCTGAGACTCCAACAGTGATCCAAAGCAGATAAAAGGCCCTTCTCCCTGCCAAGGCAATCTAACGTGCTGTAGCACTTACTGTACTGGTGAACTTCATGAAGCAACCCTAGTGAGACGTTTGTTTTCTAAGGGAAAAGAAAACAGAAAGATTGTGACAAGCCTTGATGTGATTAAAACAAATGAGCAGAGCAATATGTTTGTAGGTATTGTTGAGAGGTGCCGGTGCTGCCCACCTGGCCCAAACTCCAGCTCTATCTCCGTCCATCTCTGTGTTCCAGGTACTTTCTTACACCCTGCCCACTGGACCATGGGCCTCTGTGGTTCACTGGTTAACACTTGCCTAATCAACTAGACAAACACAGGACGGGACAGCTGGGCGCTGAGCTGCCAGGGCACATGTGGGAGCTGCTTCAAGACTGACCACGAGGCCAAATTAATCTAAGAACCTGTTGCAAGAGCAAATGCTGTGAAGGCAAGATGGAGGTGTCCCTGGGGGCCCAGTGGCTTCTCAGTGAATGGGCTTCCATTCTTCTTTTCTGCTTGACCAGCCTAAAAACAAGAGGCTGGCCTCACAGAGGATTCTTCTTAGAAGATATTGCAGAGCCACTTATAAGACCAACGTATTTCACAGCCCAATATCCTTACTGACATCTCAGACCACCCCTCTCCCCACCTTCTTTTAATCACTTTCTTTTCTCCTCCAGGGCACAAACAGCTTTTATGCAAATTATCTCTCAGGACAGGTGTGAGGGCTTTCCGCAAAGAAAGACTGATCGCATCCAAGGTCCTTTATCCCTTAGAGGGCTCCCCAGGGACAAGCAACCTGTTCTGCCCCAGGGCTGCCGGACGCCCAGTTTTCCTGCTGTCTCTCATCACAGGGGCGGTGGGGCGCGCCCGCCTCCAGCCTGGCTCTGGACCCGGGGCCCCGCCACCTCCCAGCAGCGGGCGCAGAGAGCCTTCTGGTTACCCCCGAAGCTGAGGATTGCAGTGTTCTAGCAATGGATGAAATCCTTTTTAACCGACTGTAATAAAAATAAGATTGTGAATAACATGTGACTATAGACCTCCAAAAAACTGGCGGCTGTGAAACCCATACTTTAAGAAGCATGGCCTCTCTCTCGAAGTGGCTTCCAGTGACGGTCCTGGATCTACTTCACCCTTTTTGGCTCGGGTACTGGAACAGGTCTCGGCCAAACTACTGTCTCACCGCCATAGTGATAATCATCTTTAAAAGCACAGCTAGTCGGTGCGCGACCACTGCGCGGTACAATAAGAACCTGTCGGGGAGGGACCACGGCAGGCGACTGGGAGCTTGTGGACTGCCAGGGTCTGGAGCGGGCCCGGCCATCCCGCCGCTGCGCATGCGCCACCCAGGCCGCTGGCCGGAGAAACCTAGTGGCGGCGGGAGGCGGGAGGCTGGGAGTACGCGGGGGAAGCTGGAAGCGGGAAGCGGGGAGACGCGAGGTGGGGGCGGGGCGCACCGGCGTCCCGGCTGGGCGTGACGGGCGAGACCCCAGCCCGGTCGCGGCGTCTGAGGTTGCAATCTCGTCTGGGGCACTCTCGCGCCTCGCCCCTACCCGACTTCTTTTCAGGGATTAGTTCTGACTTCATGATTAATCAGCACTTTCTGGTTTCCTTAGGGTGACGTCATCTCTGCTCAGAGATAAAACAGGCTCCTTTTTGAGGGTTGCGGGCAGCCTGGGGGCCCGGGTCCGGGAGGCTGTCCCGGGGACTGCGCCCCGCCCACAGGCGACAGCCAGATCGCGCTGCCGGCCCCTCGAACGCTGGGTTCCCTGGCCACAGCGCGTCTTGTTTATTGCTTTTGCGGACTGGTTAAATGCAAAAGCTCAAGGTTTTCTTTCTTTTTTCCGTAATTATAAAAGTAGGACATGCTCTTTTAAAGGGTGGAAAATTACGAAGAAAAAAGTAATCACCCAAAGCCCCACCCTCTAGACTCAACCTCTGTTAACGTTGATGCATTTCCTTCCTGTCTCCCCCCACAACCCCCTTTCTTTGCAGCAGATCTTCAGGTTTTTAACGTCATTTAGTCATGTTATATCATTTTGTAGCCTACCTTTTTCACTTATATTGTGGCAGAAACTTTTTTGTGCTTTTTTCAAACATTGCTTTAAAGATCATAAAGATCTACTCCTTTAGTAGAGGTATCATCAAGTACTTAAACACTATTTCCGTTTATGAGCATCTAAGATGTTCTCAGTTTTTACTAGTGTATGAGGTAGACCATCCCTTCACCCTTACTTACATTTGCCAGGGTTTGATGGTTGGTGGAGCATACAAGCCCAAACTAAAAATTTGATCAAATATATGTCAAATTGTGAGCAAAACTTGAAAGCTTCTGCTCTTTTCTATATTGCTAATGATAGAGAACCTGGGCAGAAGCTGATTATTTGCAGGATGAGCTTTTGTGCCTGTGAAGGAAGGCCCTGACCTGAATGGGACGTGGAGAGTTTTGCAGTGGAGATGGAGGCTGGTGGCAGAAGGCAGAATGAGAAAGAGGGGCCAAAGAAAAGAAAGTCAGCTGGCGCCTAAAGGAAAAACTCCCCATGAAGATAAATGGCTGATGATTTTTGGAACACTGATGTTGAACATGCTAATTCTGTTAGTCCAAGCTCCAGTCTCCTTGTTTCTTTTACTAAAAAACTAGAGAAGTACAGGAGAAAGAACTGGGCCTAAATGAAGAGAGAGTCACACTATTTAGTGCATTTTCTGCCTTCTAATCTGTCCCCCTTCTCTAAAGTCCTTTTCCCACTTCATGAAAGGGTAATATAAGGTTTCCGTAAGATTCTAGATATCCAGGATAAGCAGAGGACATGAACCATCCAGATCTTCTCCCTCTCTCTTTTTTAAGATGGGGTCTTGCTCTGTCACCCAGGCTGGAATGCAGTGGCGATCTGGGCTCACTGTAGCCTTGACCTCCTATGCTCAAGAAATCCTCCCGCCTCAGCCCCCAAGTACCTTGGACTACAGGCACACACCACCACGCCCGGCTAATTTTTTTATGCTTCTTGTAGAGATGGGGTTTCACCATGTTGCCCAGGCTGGTCTTGAACTCCTGCTGACCCCAGGCAAGCTGCCCGCCTCAACCTCCAAAAGTGCCGGGATTACAGGCATGAGCCACCATGCTGGGCCCATCTAGAACTTCTCTGTGAGGTCTGGCATGAGCCTACTTCTATTTATCCCCTGCAAATCACTTTAACTGAAAGCTGTTCACTTCTAAAATGAGGTTACAGGAAAAAAAAAGTAAGTATGTTTTGGTAACTGAACGTGATGGTGGGAGAAAGGCTGGTGGTTTGAGAATAAACTCAGCCTCCCAGGGCCTTTTGCCTAGAAGGTCTTACACACTCTTGCATTGGTTAGCCTGGTTAGTAAAGGGCATGCAACTCTACTGCTTCTAAGAACACTGTAGGTCCTTCCTGTGCTCAGAGTTGTGTGACGATCTGTAACTCAAGGGAGAAGCTGGAACAGCCAGCTTTTGACATCTCCCTTGTTGCTTGGTCTGGAGCAACTTTCCCTTTATGAGAAAAAGTGTGACACAAACTCTGTCTCCAACCAAGCCAGTTTTCTCCATGCTGAGTATCTGTAAGAAAAGCCAGATTGATCAAGAGGCATTCTCTGCTTGGTTTAAATTCGCATGACAAAGTAGGCAATTTTGTGTAATTGGCACGTGCTTTGCAAAGTAGCCGTCCATTCTTGAGCCACCTGAGAACTGGCAGTGAAGCAGTGATTTAACTTCAAAAGGGTGAGAATGGCTGTGGTGGCTTTCTTTTCCCTCTTAAGGCGGAAGAGGTTCCTGTCTCCCTGTCTCCTTCCCAGAACAGCTCCCTCTACTGACGGTATGGCTGTCATCCTCCCTCTAACCCACTTCCTCACCTCTGTGGTCTCCACCTAGAATGCAGGTGACTGTGTCTCCATAGGGTGAGATTTGCTCAAAGAGTAGAGAAAACCCGGCATCCTGAAAGCAACACTCCAGACCTGGCTGCCAGCCACAAACCCACTAGCTCCTAGATCTCCAAATCTACTCCTTTGTTTAGTACCCAAGGATTCTCACTGTTTCCATTACTGGAGGAAGGTTCCCTTCTAGCCATCCAGTTCACATAGGATTGGGAAGAAGCTAGCTCCATTCTCATCATAACCGGTGAGATCAGTTCCTCCAGGCTTGGGCTCCCAGCATCCCTTCTCCAAGTCACAACATTCTCTAGACACTTGCTGACCCTGCTATGTTCTGCCTGTTAAAAGGTCATCTGCTTTTTGAATTCTTTCCACTCTCCTCCCAGTTATTTGTGATAGTCTCTTAGAAGGTTAAAAATAACATTTATTTCCCCAGTGGTTTTGTATATTTCCATTTGGCAAACTTTATTTTGTTCCATGTGTTTCTAAGGGAACAGAAATGAAAATGGTTTATGTCCTACTTCCTACACTGGGCTCAATGATGTTGTCAGAAATGGAATTGTCTTTCGGTCCAAAGTGGGTACACCCAACCGTAAGCTAGGCTTTAATGCAGAAACTATATAAACTACAAAGACAATGGACATTGTTTGGCTATTGGAAAATCTACTGCGTTATACTTCCTTTAATCAAGCCATGAATTTTTTAATAGATTCAAGCCACTTTGCACAGACATGATAACAGTATAAAACTGGGTCACATTATAAGCATGAACCATGACACTGTGTCCCATTACTGAAATAAAACTAAAGGCAACATAAGAAGTCAAGATGGAGGGTGGTTGTTACTGGAAGGAGCACATGGAGGGGCTTCTGTGATGCAGGAAATGTTCTATTTGAAATCCAGGTGATAATTACATGAGTATGTTCAGATTGTGAAAAATCACTGAGCTTTACATTTATAGTCACATTTTTCTGTATTTATGTTCCACTTACACAAAACACTTAAACAGAGATTATGTTGAGGTAGACAGTTAAAGCAATGGGAGTGATTGTTCTTTCATTCAACAAACATTGTTTTAGTTCCCACTTGGTGCTCAATGGTAAGCAAAGACTTTGTACATATTACAGAATGAGTAAACTAAGGGCCACACAGCCTGATTTCAAGGATTTTACAGTTAATAGTCAGCTACAACGTAAGTTACAAGCGTTCAGTGTGTATACCAATATTAGATTCTTAGTTGGGACAAATAGACCATAGTAATATAAGATGTGAACATTGGGGGAAACTTGTTGAGGAGTACGTGGGAAATCTCTGTGCAATCTTTGCAAGTTTTCTGTAAATGTTGCCCTCTTCTAAATTTGAAATTGTTTAAAAATACTCAATTTCATAAGAATGACTATGAGGGAGACATTATTTTTGGACCAAGGAAATCAGAAGTGTCTTTGTAGAAGAAAAGAATGATTGAACTGGACCTTAAAGGAAGAATGAGATTATAATAAAGGGAAATGGAAAAGAAGTTTTTTAGATAGGGGAAACATGATACAAGAAACTGTGGAATGTGTGAAAGGACAGGACAGGGACTGATGAATTGGGAGCATGAAAAGGGTTGTGTACAATAGGACCCAAAGGGCAGAGGGCCTTGAAAGCAAATCGCGAAAGGCTTAAATTTTGTAAGTTAGCTAACAGACAAAAATTAAGCTCTGAATTGCTATAGAAATCCCTTGTTTTACAATGAAAAGTAAATATATTAATTACAAAATAGAGGCCGGGTGCGGTGGCTCACGCCTGTAATCCCAGCACTTTGGGAGGCTGAGGCAGGTGGATCACCTGAGGTCAGGAGTTCGAGACCAGCCTGGCCAACATGGTGAAACCCCGTCTCTACTAAAAATACAAAAAAATTAGTCAGGTGTGGTGGAGCATGCCTGTAATCCCAGCTACTAGGGAGACTTAGGCAGGAGAATCGCTTGAATCTGGGAGGCAGAGGTTGCAGTGAGTCGAGATCACACCACTGCACTCCAGCCTGGGCAACAAGAGAAAACTTCTATCTCAAAAAAAAAAGATAAAAATTAATATACTTAAATCATCTCCCCAAATCTCTGTATGTCTACCATAGAGCTAAAGGAATTAAGTCATAATATTTATAGAACACTTACTATATGACCACTACTTTATGTCTATCATCTTATTTAATTATCCTAAGATTCTTGTGAAGCAGTTCTTGTTTTATTTTACAGATAGAAGACTGAGAACTTGTTTATTTCCAATAAGTACAAAAGAGTCATAAATATAAAAAAACAGATATAGCCACCTGAAAACTTGTTTCCAACAAACACAAAGTCATAAACGTCAAAAATAATAAAGGACTTAGTGCTAGGATGTGCTTCAGTGGTTGAAATGGAACTCTGAGTTGGAAATATGTTTACATTTACACTTTGTTTAAATTCATTTTTTAACTGAAAAGATAGTCATCTGGGACTAATATGCATTATTCAAGATATAATGGTATTGATAAGCCCATTAATCAAGTGTGTTTTAGGGAATAATTCTGACAAGTGTGTTTGGCAAGGGTAATTATCACAGAGTACCAAAAACTGATAAAGTCTGGCCTACACAGACTAGACACAGTACAGGAGAACTCTCTCCCAGTTCAGTTAGAAACTCGTGTTTTGTGGAGTCAGAGACAACACAGCTAACTCCGTGGACAATAGAATGGACATCCCAGCTCCAAGCTGTGAATGTTTCCAAATAGTTCAAAGAGAATGAAAAGAGTTTAATCTTCCCATCTTGGGGTTTCCTAGAAGCATTGTGACTTGCCTTCAAAGCCAAGTTACTATGTGTTTGGGAATCAAATGGCTCAATAGTCGCTAATGTCATTTTTCTCCCTACTAAATACTTGGATAAGACACAGTAAGAAGAAAATAGGTTTTGTTTTGGCTGTTAATAATTCTCTAATCATGCAGAAATGAAAAGTTCATCAAAGATCCATAGTTTCTATTGAGAATTTCCTCCTATTGTTTTTTCTAAGAGTTCTCTTCCCCACAATAAACCACAAAACAATTTTTCCTCTCTTTATATTTGTTGAAAGAATTCAATTCTTGAGTGGAAATTTTGTTTTCCTTTAATTCCCAACAAACTGTATCCCATACCTGACAGCCTCAAGGTAGGAAGGCAGCGGAGTTATTCAAAGAAGCATTTTGTTCTTGGTCTTGCCATTCAATATCACAGGGTGTGATGAAAACTGGAACAAATATGGTCATCACAGAGGTGCCAGAACATTACATTTAAAAAATGGAATTATTTGAGTCAATCTGGAATGTCTGGTTCTTTTGGTTTGGGCCTCATGGGTAGCATTGTGCTTCAAAAACAACTTGAATTGGCTACCAGGATTCCAGAAGGGTAACATAATCCTGTACCTTTGAGGAGAGATGCTTATCTTTATGTCTACTCTTAGCAGAAAGAGGCTGGATTCTTCCACCTTTTCATGTTTCAAAATAAAAATTGTTCAAAAAGTTCCAAACCTGAATGGAATTTGGAAACAAGAGTGGGAGGAGGTACTTCCTCAAGTCTTTTGGTTTGTGCTGTTTTCTATTTGAAATAAATGCTCCACCATGAGTCAATATCCTCTAGAGCTACAGAAATGTGGGGTTTGGGGAAGGTTCATCCTCACCACTTCCCCTTATGTGATTTGGAATTTAGAGAAAAGGTCCCAGAAAAGATTAGTAATTCTGAATACAGTGCTCATATCTGCCCAGGAGACAGAGACACTTAAAGGGGCAGGAGCTGGCAATAACTCAACTCCTGGCAAATGCAGCCTGCAGCCCAGTGACCTCCACCCCTTGGAGTGATGCTGCTACCCCTGCAAAGGGCTCCACAGAGGGCTGTGAACACAGGGCAGGTCTCACTTTTCTCTTGTCAACAACACACAAAGTTGTAGGGGTGTGTCTGACCTTGATAAAGGGCTGGAGAGAACCAAAGGGAATTATAGCATATGAAGAAAGGAATTTTAAACTGTGTCATCCAACAAGGGGGAAAAAAATCCCCACCGAGTTTAGGGAACACACCCGAACTCCTAACCTGTTGACTTGCTGTCCCATAGTGGGAATGAATCCCTAGATACCTTCAGGACTCAAGGGCCTCATCCCTTGGGGGTTTGTCTACCTCCAGCATTTTTCTTCTTCCTAACGTAGTACACATCTCCATCCTGGTATATCCAGCCTAGAAGATTCTAATGGTTTCCACAGGACAATCCATGGTGCTACCCAAGAGTCTTGAATCCAGTTCCCTTGAAGGCCTCACCTTCAGGGTGGTGTGGATTGCAGACTGAATTCTCCCACTTGGAAGGCGTATGTGTATACACACACACACACACCCATTCATCACACAAGGACATTCTCCTGCCATACCATTCTCACATACCAGAAATGTAACATCGACACAGTAATATTGTCTGATATAATATTTCTCAATCTTCAATGTGCGGATAAATCACTTGGATGGGACTGAAATTCTTCAGTTCCAACAAGCTCCCAGGTGACACTGCCACCACTGCTGGGCCACAACGCACACTCCAGGTAGCACTGATGTAATATACAATCCATATTCAACTTTCTTCAATTGTCTCAAAATATCTCCTACAATTCTTTTCTTTCCTCCCCATTCAGGATCCAGGCAGGAATGGTGTGTTGTATTTGGCTGTCACGTCTCTTTAGGCAGAGGACGTGAACTTTTTATTGGCTGCTCTCTTACTTATACAAAGACCCAGGAAGAGTGTGCAGATTTCCCCTTGTGAGAACCCCTCCTCCCAGTTACACTTAGAAAAGGACCACCCTCCTCACAGTCTCAGTAAATGAAGGACAGAGAGAGAGTGGAAGGAAGCACCTGGAGATGACACTGTGAAGTGCTGAGAGGCTCTATGATGGCTAGGCTCTATGATATGTTTTTTTTTTTGCAAATCACACACATTGACCACTAGGGATATGAGGCCTACCGCAGAATAACAGCACAACATTCAAAAATAGCTTCAAAGATGTTTTGCTATTCTTATTCCCAGACTTAAAGAGTTGATTCCATCTCTCCAGAGAAATTAGAGTCCAACGCTATCAACAAGCATGATGCACTCCTGTGAGGTGGACAAATGTCATTTCCTATTTTCTAGGGTTTAGAGTCTAGATAGACATAATCCCTTCTAGAAGAACCCTCCAAAGGACTCCAAGCAGGATGGGCCATGGGGACCTGTAACTGTCCAAATCCCACTGCTCTCTACAGTGTGGGCGGCAGTCCCCTCTTGCTTAGTGTGCCCATAACCACTGAGCCCTGCTACCTCTTCATAGTGGCCTCTGTTAAAAGCAAATGTTGCCTGGAAAGAAGTATGCTAGATTAGTCCTCCTAGTCAGCTAGCTGATGGAGACTCTCACCTGAAGAATTGGGAATCAGGATAGGTTATTTTTCAAGTTGACGGGGAGGTGTGTGTTATGTGGCATAAGGACTTCTCCAAATAGGAGTGGAGGGGCAGAGGGAACTCAGATAGCAGGAAGCATAGCAGAACACGGGGCATCTGCAACAAGAATAAACCTCTCAAGAAAAGAGATGGCACTGAATGGGAACTGAGAAGTTCCCTGTTCACCAGCCTCACACTTTGTCCTTAGGTCAACACGTTGCACTCCCATGCAGCAGAGGGACTTTTTCATAGAATAAAAAAAGAATCCAAGATTAGGTGCTAGATCCAGCACCCCACTTTCACCACAATACGATATTCTACTCTCCCTACAACATTTTAAAAGAGTATTTTAGTCTCTTGAGCATTTCCTTTGTGGGGTCCAAAATGTGCCTGCACTCTTACAGAACTTGTAACTCTAACAGCTATCAGTTATTGACTGCTTTCAACACAAGCACCATTCTAAGGGCTTTACACACATTCAGTCATTTAATCTCCACAATAGTCCTAAGAGGGCAGTGCTGTTACAATTCCCATTTCACAGATGAGGACACTAAGGCACTGAGAGATTTAGTAGCTAGCCCAAGATTACTTATCTCTAATCTGGGCCCAAGAAGTGGAGTTCCAAGGTCACTTCTCTAAACTACCTTCTAAGGAGACACAAAACGAAAACAACTGCTGCCTCACAGAAGTTTCAATACTAAAATAGGTAGCACATATCTATTAAGTACTCATTCAACTTATCATTTTTATTTTATTTCATTTTTGAGACAGAGTCTCGCCCTGTTGCCCAGGCTGGAGTGCAGTGGCACAATCTCGGCTCACTGCAACCTTCACCTCCCGGGTTCAAGCGATTCTCGTGCCTCAGCCTCCTGAATAGCTGGGATTACAGGTGTGTGCCACAATGCTCAGCAACCATTCAACTTATAATTTTTAAATTTATAATTCATTGCAATGTACTTGTCTTTAAAATGTCTTGCCTTGGTTTTCTGCTTTTTCTATTTTCTAAGTTTTGCTTGTGATGGGCTCAGTACAGGCCTCCTGGGGAAAAACTTGTGCCAGAGAGGAAAGATAAAGGTTTCTTCCATAACTCACCCATGACAGGAAGCTTCCCCACAGCTGCAGGTGGGATTTGAGAAGGGATTTATGGGGGAAGGAAAAGGGAGGGAGACGGAATTGGGAGGTTTGCTGGGACAGAGAGACAAACACCAAAACGTTAGGTAGATAATGGTATTTGTGAACACACTGAGGTAGCACCCTTGCAGCTCTCTTTTCCACATCCTTCTTATTACCCCCACCCCATCCCCACTGCCATCCCCCACCCCAGCACCCACCACCATCACTGAATCTTGCCTCCTACTTCAGGGAGAACATAGAGGCCATCAAGTAAGCACTTCCTGCCTCTTGGACCATTATGTGCATCTCTTTCCACCTTTGCCTCCTTCCTCTTACCTTGAAAGGGTTGTCCCTCCTTCAGGGTGAGTCCTCCAGCCTGTGCTCTAAACCCTCCCTCTTCCATCCACCATCACCCTTTACTCCTGCACTTCCATCTGCTCCTTCCTCTCACATATGTTTATGCTGAAATACCTCTTCCTGAAAAATAAAATTTACCTCAACTGTGGCTCCTTATAGCAGTTTTCTCTTCTTCCTTCTCAAATAGTGGCCTGAGTTTATTCTTTCCTTTCCTCACCTCTGTTCCTTCCCCATAGAACACACCCTGGCCTCTACCTTTGCCACCATTGAAATTACCTCTGTTAAGATCACCAAGAACTTCTTAACAGCTAACTCCAGAAGTCCTTTTTATCTGGGCTACCTGCAACGTATGACTTTGCTCACCACCTCCTCCTTACAACCTCTCCTCTCTTGGTTTCTGGGCCGTGGTACTTTCCTGCTTCTCCTATCTCAATCTATCTTCTGAGGAAATTGTCTCCATTTCTTGATGTTTCCTAAGGTTCTATCTCCAACTCTCTTCTCATTGCAATCTACACATTTTCTCTGGGCAATCTCAACTGTGCTCCCTATTTCAGATACTGCCTTCACCATTTGTCTCCACCCATTGCACTGCCTCTTGTTAAAGCTCTGTTCTCACCAACCCCACTCTTATACTTTCTACTCACTTTTTTTTTTGAGATGGAGTCTCGCTCCGTTGCCCAGGCTGGAGTGCAGTGGCATGATCTCAGCTCACTGCAACCTCCACTTCCCGGGTTCAAGCCACTGTCTTGGTTCAGCCTCCCGAGTAGCTGGGATTACAGGTGCCCACGACCACACCTGGCTAATTTTTGTATTTTGAGTAGAGATGGGGTTTCACCATGTTGGCCAGGCTGGTCTTGAACTCCTGACCTCGTGATCCACCCGCCTTGGCCTCCCAAAGTGCTGGGATTACAGGAGCGAGCCACCACACCCGGCTCTACTCATTCTTGAAACCACTCTAATTAGTCTGTCATCCCTACCACGCCATCTAAACTGCACTTGTCAAGGTCCCAGCAGCAACCTCCACGTTCCAGTGGTCAGTTCTTAGAATCTTTCTTTACTCAATCTCTTAGCAAGATAAGAAATGATTGGTTACTCCTGGCTGGGCGCGGTGGCTCATGCCTGTACTCCTAGCACTTTGGCAGGCCGAGGCAGGTGGATCACGAGGTCAGGAGTTCAAGATCAGCCTGGCCAAGATGGTAAAACCCCATCTCTACTAAAAATACAAAAAATTAACCTGGTGCAGTGGCAGGCACCTGTAATCCAGCTACTTGGGAGGCTGAGGCAGGAGAATCGCTTGAACTCGGAGGGTAGAGGTTGCAGTGAGCTGAGATCGCACCACTGCACTCCAGCCTGGGTGACAGAGTGAGATTCCGCCTCAAAAAAAAAAAAGAAATGATTGGTTACTCCTTCTGTTTTGAAACTACTTTTTTTTTTTGACTCGTGAAACACCACAGTCTCCACAGAAAGAGCTAGTTTTTATCAATGAGTAAAAGAATACCAGGAGACTTGGTATTCTTTTATTCATTAATAGAAATTAGTTCCCTCTCATCTATTCAAATGCTACCCATGGGCATGACCAAAAGTCTCAGTCCTAAGTCTTCTTCTCTATCCACATTTACTGTCTGGAGACTTCATCCAGTCCTGTGGACAGGTGTTCCCATCCTGTCCTCCAGTGACCTCACCTGGTTCTGTGTCTGAATACTGTTTCTGAATTAATGATTTCCAAATTGATAACTCTAGTCCTAGCTTTTCAATTTTGGTGTCTCATAGTCATTTTCAATTAATATTCAAGCCAAAATATTTGATTTCCACTACCAAGCCCCAGTCCTGCCCTCACCCACCTCATTAAATCACACCACTGGTCACCTAGTTCTTAGGCCAAAACTTGGGAGTCATCCTAGATTTCTCTCTTTCTAACACTCACAGTAATTCCATTGGCAATCCTGTTGGTTGCACCTTCTAAAGATATTTGGCATTCAATGATTTCTCACCACACCACTGTTTTCATCACCTTCTGAGTCTAAGCCACCATCATCTTCTGCCCAGATTAAGGTACTAGCTTCCTGACTGATCTACCTTCTTCCACTCTTGCGACCCCCAAAGACACCACAAGGCAGCTGTGAGAGTTAAAAGAATAAGTCACCTCATTTCTGTTCCTGCTCAGAGCCCCCTTATGGCTTCTTACGACACTTAGAATGAAATGAAAATTTCTCATGCTAATCAACTATATAGACTCTGTGTCATCCGGTCCCTGCCCACTTCTCCAAGATTATCTTCTACCACTATCCTCTTACTCCACTCTGGCCACATTAGCCTTCTTGCTCTTCCTTAAACACCCTCAGCTTATTTTTCTCTTTGCATTTGCTGTTCCCTTTGCTTAGAATGTTTTCCCATGTCCTCAAAACTTGGCAGGGCTCACTCCCTAATTCTGTTTAAATGTCACCTCCTCAGAGAGGGATTCCCATGGACACTCTTTCTAAAACAGCTGTTTTAACCATCACCCTTTATCTCTTTATTCGGCTCCGCTTGTTTGTTTGGTAGCACTTATCACTCTCCAGATCATTCTTTTAAATTGTTTACTTATTTCTGATTTATCCCATTAGATCGTAAGTTTTATGTAAGCAGGGATCTTGTCTTACTGTTGTTTCCTCAGTGTCTGGACCATTATAAGTACTCAATTAATGTTAATTAATAGGTAAATATATTCTGACAAGTCCAAAATCTGATTTTAGCCCTCCTTGCAGATATCAAGGTTCGTATTTTTCACCACCTTTGACTCATATGTTCCCAAAGAAATTCAAACTCAGTATTTCGAAAACTGAGTTTTCCCACGCTCTCCCCTAAGCTGCTCCCATTCTCTCTCCTAAGCTGCTCTTTCCCACTCATTCCCAAGCTTACTTAGCAGCGCTATCATGCACCTAGGTACCTGAGAAAGATATGGATGTTCTAAATTTCACCCTCTTCCTTACTCCCAGTTTATCTCCAAATGCCATCATTTCTACTTGTATCAGATCATGTTCTAAGTTGCAGAAAACAAAAGTCATTCTAGCTAACTTAAGAAAAAAAAAGAAATGTATTAATTTATTAGGTAGCATGTAGAATCTTCAGGAAAGTCCAAGGGCCTGACTTGGATACTTTCCAGAGAGGAACAATGCCGAAGTCACCCTGCCAGGCTATCCAGCAGAAATCCTGCTGCTGCCACAGACTGCATGCCAACTCTGGGGTGAAAAGTGACTGCTAAGACTATTGTGCCTCAAAACTCACACTCACAAGGATGGTAGTGTCTCACTACCATCCTTGTTCAGAATGAATTCCATGCAATATCTTCTTCACATCCTTCTCTTCCAAATCAAAGTCCTGATGGTGTCTGATGGGCAGAGCTCAGGTCACACACTTGCACCCTCCTGCCAGGGGTGAGAAAATGAGTTTCTCACTTCTTCCTTGAGGAGGACGGACTGTAATTGGGAAATTCCCTAATGATAGAAAGGGTGTTCAAGAAATACCCAGCAGTTACAAAGCATCACAGATGTCAACTGACACTATCTTCTATTTACCAAGTCCACCCATGCCCCCACCACTGACTCAGTTCTAGTCTTTATAGTTTGTCATCTTGACTAATGTGGTGACCACCTCCTATCTGGTTCCTCTGCCTCTTTTCTCCCCTCCACACCAATGCTAGAGCAGTATGTCCAAAAGCAAATCTTACCATGTCACTCCCTTCCTTACCACACATTATTGTAAAACAAAAGTCCCTTAAAAGCTCTTCATTGCCAATAGATGAAGTCAAACTTACTCAAATTGGCATATAAAGCTTCTTACAATGTGACCCTGGCCCATCTTTCCAGGATCCTCTCCTCTCTCACGATCCTGTGCTTCTGCTGCACCAAATTATTTGCCCTCTGCAAGTGTTGCCCACACTCTCTGGCTTCTGTTCCCTTGTTCATACTCCTTCCTGCTCCTTGGAATGGCCCTTTCCTCAACAAACTCTTACTCAGCCTTCAAAACTCATCTCAAGCATCACCTCTTCTCTGCATCTACCCTAATCCTTCACTCAAGATGTGAAACCTCCAACTAGGTTGACACTTCTCTCTGTATGTATTCTATTTTTAAAATAATGGTTAGCTTCCACATCTGTCTTCAGTACAGGAAGGAACTAGACTGTAAGCTCTGTGGAGGCAAAAACCATTGCCTTGTTTTTTTGATGGTTTGTTTGTTTTTTATTTTGTTTTGAGATGGAGTCTCACTCTGTCACCCAGCCTGGAGTGCAGTGGCATGATCTCAGCTCACTGCAACCTCCACCTCCCGGGTTCAAGAGATTCTCCTGCCTCAGCCTCCTGAGTAGCTGGGATTACAGGCGTGTGCCACCATGTCCAGCTAATATTTTATATTCTTAGTAGAGATGGGTTTTGCCATGTTGGCCAGGCTGGTCTCCAACTCCTGACCTCAAGTGATCTGCACACCTCGGCCTCCCAAACTCCTGGGATTACAGGTGTGAGCCATTGAACCTGGCCCATTGCCTTGTTTTTGTATCCTGAGCACGGCATCTGGCTCAAAGGCAGACACAATCACCTTGTATTGGATGAATAGTGATGCTGCTGCTCCTGGCAGCAGCAGCTCCATTTATGGAATACTTATTATGTGTTATGAACTGTATTAAGCTATATATGTATATATATGACTATATATTCCAACACATTATGTTACTTAATGCATATAATGATTCCGCAAGATAGGAATGATTATCCTCATCTTATAAATGGAGAAAATGAGCCCTAATGAAAATATATAACATTCCTGGTATCACATGACTAGAAACCAACTGAGCTAAAATTTGAACTTGGATTTATTTGACTTCAAAGCCAATGTATTCTTAACCACTTAACCAATACATTCTACAGTCCCCTGTGAATAAATGAATATGTGAAAGAAAAATCAATAATTGTAAAGTGTCATATTATACTCTATAGTGAGAATTATGAATTCTCTAGCCTGCACAGCCAGAGTGCTTCCTTTACTTTTTGTTATTTTACTTATTTCATTCTGTTTGACATACAGCTGTTTCTTTCCAGGCCTTAGGAAACAGTAAGCTCCTTGGGGGCAGGAAGTCGTATTTTTTCTGTGTCTTTGCCCATTTGTATCAGTTTCTGAGGGTTGCCAAAATAAAGTGCCACAAACTGGGTGTCTTAAGCAACAGAAATTTATGGTCTCTCAGTTCAGGAAGTCTCAGATCAAGGTGTGAGCAGGGCCACACTCCCTCTGAAGGTATGATGGGAGGATCTGTCTCAGGTTTCTGTCTTAGTCCACTCAGGCTGCTATAACAAAATGCTATAGGCTGAGTGGTTTATGAACAGCAGAAATGTGTTTCTCACAGTTTTGGAGGCAGGGAAATCTAAGACCAAGGTGCTCACAAATTTGGTGGCCAGTGAGGGCTCACTTTCTGTTTCACAGATGCTCATTTTCTTCCTGTGTCCTTACATGGCAAAAGGGGTGAGGGAGCTCTCTGAGATCCCTTTTATAAGGGCTCAGATCCCATTTGTGATGGCTTTGCCCTCATGATCTAATACCTCCCAAAGGCCCCACCTCCTAATACCATCACATTGGGAGTTAGGATTTCAGCATATGAATTTTGTGGTGATACAAACATTCCATCTGTAGCAGGCTGTCTCTTACCTTCTGCAAGTTCTTTGACTTGTGGCACCATACCTCTAATCTTCCTGTGGCATTCTCCCCATGTGCTTGTCTCTGTGTCCAAACTTTCCATTTTTATAGGTACACCATTTATATTAGGGCTCACCCTAACGACCTCGTCTTACTGTGGTCATCTGCAAAGATCTTTCCAAATACGGTCACATTCACAGGTACTGGGGATTAGGACCTCAACAACTTTTGGGGGGACACAATTCAACCCATAACGTCATGTGTCTAGCAAAATGTCCTGCACTTATCAGGTGCTCAGTTAAGGTTTGTTAAGAGACCTTGAGAGCCACCAGTGAGGCATGGCTTTCAGCCAGTGTGTTTGAGACCCGTGGGCAGGGGTGAGGTGAATGAGCTATGCCTAGTGGCCGCATCACTTCCTGCTAAGTTTCTGCAGGGCTGATGGATGGGGAGGGGACACAGTGAAGCAGTTCATCTTCTTTTAAAAAACAGTATTTTCTCCCATGAAGAATATAATGTCCTCGGGCTCATTAGTACCTAAGAAGAAAGGGATTTGGGCTGGCTGCCTTTATGGCAGCGGTGTCAGGCCAAGAGGTTGTAAACATGCCATCCTCTGGAATGCATCTGCTTGCTTCACTTGGCAGATTCCTCAAGAGTTGGATGAACTCCAGCCAATGTCTGAGTCTCTGTATCCCATGTGGGGCCCCATGAGAATATGTCTTGGTGTCTCCAGCCCACCCCTCTGTGCCCTCCTGTCCCAACTCTAGTACTGGTCTGAGGTAAACATTATTTTATTCTATTTTTTAAATTTAGACACTTCATATTGAGCACTTCTTAGATGCTTGGCACTTTATATGTCTTGTGTCATTCAGTCTTGGCCACAATATTACAAAGCTGACTTTTCATTTAATTGGGGGAATATATCATATATAAAAATGAATAAATGTTATCTGGAGAGTATTAAAAAAAATAATGAAATGTGCAGCAATTACCCAGGATAAGAAACAGAACATTACCAGTACCTTAAAGACCTCTGTGTACCTCTCTCAAATTATAGTGCCCTCTCCTCCCTGCAAGAGAAACAGCATCTGAATTTTGTATTAATCATACCCCTGCTTTTCTTTACAGTTTACTAAGTATGCCTGTATCTCTTAGAATTTAATACTTAGTTTGGCTAGTTTTTGTTCTTAATATAAATGAAAGCATACTGCCTGAGTTTTAGTAGTTTATTTCTGTTGATCATCATTCATCCATGTTTTTGAGAGTCATCCATGTTGATACATGTTGTAGTCATTTGTACCTTTTTTCTGCTGTGTAATATTCCATTATATAAATATACCAAATTTACCTATTCTACTTTTCATGGACATTTGAAGAGTTACCAATCATAGCTGTTATGCATAATACTGCTAGAGCATTCTTATACATGATTTTTAACACACATATGCGATTTCTTTAAGCTACATACTTGGAGGGATAAGGGATGGATTTCAGATAGGCATGTATTAATTTTACTAGGTAATGCCAAAGTGTTTTTGAAAATGCTTACACCAGATTATATTCCCGCTAACAATGAGTTAGAGATCTCATTACTCCACATCCTTGCTAACATTTGGATTTCTCATAATTAAATTTTTGCCTATTCAGTAGGCATGAAATTATAATTTTACTATGTATTTCCCTGATTACTAGAAAAGATGAGCACTAATGAAGTTGAACCCTCTTTCATTAAATGCCTACTTTTGATCATTTTTCTATTGGAATGCATGTTTTTTCTTATAGAATTATAGGAATTTTTAATATACTCTGGATACTAGTTGTTTGTATATCTGTTGAAATATTGTCTTCATCTTTTTGATTTCTCTTTTTATTCTCTAGATAATGTCTTTCAATAGCAGACATCTAACAGAATTAGATTTTCCCATTTTTATTTTATGGTTTAGGTTTTTATATCTTGCTTAAAGAATTCCTTCTTTACATTAGAATATCATAAATATATTGTCCTAATTTATCTTCTAAAAGTATTATATCTTTGCCTTTCATATTTAAGTCTTAACTCCACTTAGACATGGTGTTTGTGTATGGTGTAAAGAGAGACCTAACTTTAGGTTTCTCTATGTGGGTATCCAATTGTCCCAACACTATTTCTTTCTTTCTATGCTGATCTATTAATACAGTGGCAATTCAGTGTTTTTCTTGGTACAAACTTATGGGATACATGTGAAATTTTGTTACATGTATATAATGCATACTGATCAAGTCAGAGTATCAAGGATGTCCATCACCCAAGTGCAATATATTTTTGTTAGCTATAGTCATCCTGCTGTGCTATCAAACACTGAATTTATTCTTTCTACTTTACTATATGTTTGTACCCTTTAACCCACTTCTCTTCACCCCCCTGCCAAATCACCCTTCCTGGTCTCTGTTGTCTATCTTTTCACTCCCTACCTCCATGTGATCAAATTTTTTAGCTCCTACATAGGAGTGAAAAAATGTCTTATCTGTCTTTTTGTGCCTGGCTTATTTCACGTAACATAATAACCCCCAGTTCCATCTATCCTGCTGCACATGACATGATTTCATTCTTTATTATGGCTAAACAATATTCCATTGTGTGTGTATATGTATATATACACACATACATATATACATACATATATATGCATATATATGTATATATGCATATATATGTGTATATATATGTGTATATATATATGTATATATATATATACACACACACCATACTTTCTTTACTCATTCTTTTTTTGATGGACACTTACATTAATTCCATAGTTTTGCTATTGTGAATAGTGCTGCAATAAACGTGCAAGTGCAGGTATCCCTTAGATATAGTGAGTTCTTTTCATTTGGGTAGATTCCAAGAGTGGGATGGCTGGGTCTAATGGTAATTCTATTTTGGTTTTCTGAGAAAATTCTATACTGTTTTCTACAGTGGCTGTACTAGTTTATATTCCCACCAACAGTGTATAAGAATTCCCTTTTCTCTGTATCCTCACCAAACATCTGTTATTTTTTATTTCATAATAGCCATTAGGGTAAAGTAATATCTCATTGTGGTATTAATTTTCATTTCTCTGATTATTAGTGATGTTGAGCATTTTTTTCACATACCTGTTGGCCGTCTGTATGTTTTCTTTGGAGAAATGTCTACTTATATCCTTTGCCTATTTTTAAGGGGATTATTTGTTGTTGGTTGTTGTTTTTCCTGTTGAATTGCTAGAGTTCTTGTAAATTCTGGATATTAGTCCCCTAATAAATGAATAATTTGCAAATATTTTCTCCCATTCAACAGGTTATCTTTTCTCTGTTGATTATTTCTTTATTGTGCAGAAGGTTTTTTGTTTAATTAAGTTCCATTTGTCTATTTTTGTTTTGTTGCCTGTGCTTTTGAGGACTTAGTCATAAATTGTTTGCCTAGACCAATGACTAGGAGAGTTTTCCCTAGGTTTTCTTCTAGTATTTTAATAGTTTTGGGTCTTATGTTTAAGTCTTTAATTCATTTTGAGTTGATTTTTGTAAATGCTGAGATAGGGGTCCAGTTTCATTCTTCTGCATATGAATATCCAATTTTCCCAGCACAGTTTTTTCAGGAGGGTGCCCTTTACCCAATGTATGTTTTTGGCAGCTTTTTTGAAGATCAGTTGGCTATAAGTATGTGGCTTTATTTCTGGATTCTCAATTCTGTTCCATTGGTCTATATATTTTTATACCAATACTACAATACTATAGCCTTGTAATTTTTTTTTTTTTTTTTTTTTTTTTTGGAGACAAGGTCTCACTCTGTCATCCAGGCTGGAGTGTAGTCTCAATCTTTTGGGCTCAAGTGATCCTCCCACCTCAGCCTCCCAAGTAGCTGGGACTACAGGCATGTGCCACCACACCACACCCAGCTGCTTTTTTTTTTTTTTTTTTTTTAAGTAGAGATGAAGTATCACTATGTTGCCCAGGCAGGTCTGAAACTCCTGAGCTCAAGCAATCCTCCTGCCTTGGCCTCACAAAGTGCTGAGATTGTAGGTGTGAGCCATCACACCTGGTGCCTTGTAATATATTTTGAAGTCAAGTGATGTAATGTATCCAGCTTTGTTCTTTTTGCTTAGGATTGCTTTGGCTATTTGGGTCCTTTTTGGGTTTCATATGAATTTTAGGATTTTTTTTTTCTGATTTTGTGAAGAATGACATTGATATTTTGATAGGGATCGCACTGACTCTGTAGATTGCTTTGGGTGATATGATCATTTTAATGCTATTTATTCTTCCAATCCATGAGCATGGGATGTATTCCATTTGTTGGTGTCCTCTTTCATTTCTTTCATCAGTGTCTTACAGTTTTCCTTATAGAGATCTTTCACCTCCTTGGTTAAATTCATCACTAAGTATTTTACCTTTTGTGCCTATTGTAAATTGTATTGCCTTCTTGATTTTTTTCTCAGCTAGATAATTACTGGTGTATAGAAACACTACTGGGTTTTGTACATTGATTTTGTACCCTGTAACTTTACTGAATTCACTTATGAAAGCTAATAGTTTTTTGATGGAGTCTTTAGTTTTTTTTTTTTAGGTAGAAGATCATATCACAAAGAGGAACAATTTGACTTCCTCTTTTCCAATTTGGACGCCTGTTATTTCTTTCTCTTGCCTTATTACTCTGGCAGAACTTCCAGTGCAATGTTGAATAGGAATGGTGAAAGTGGGCATCTTTGTCTTGTTTCAGTTCTTTTTTTTTTTTGAGACAGAGTTTTTGCTCCTGTTGCCCAGGCGGGAGTGCAATGGTGCAATCTTGGCTCACTGCAACCCCTGCCTCCTGGGTTCAAGCAATTCTCCCACTTCAGCCTCCCGAGTAGCTGGGATTACAGGCATGTACCACCACACACAGATAATTTTGTATTTTTAGTAGAGATGGGATTTACCATGTTGGTCAGGCTGGTCTCAAACTCCTGACGTTGTGATCCACCCTCCTCAGCCTCCCAAAGTGCTGGGATTACAGGCATGAGCCACCGTGCCCAGCCTCAGTTCCTAAAGGAAAGGTTTTCACCTCTTCTCCATTCATAAAGACATTAGCTGTGAGTTTGTCATATATGTCCTTTATTATTTTGAGGTATGTTTCTTCTATTCCTAGTTTGTTCAGAGTTTTCATTATGAAGAAATGTTGAATTCTATCAAATAACTTTTCTGCTTCTATTGAATTTTATCAAATGATTTTTCTGCTTCTATGATCACACAGTGTTTTTTCTTGATTCTGTTGATGTGATGTATCATGTTTGTTGATTTGCATATGTTGAACCATCCCTTGCATCCCTATTATAAATCTCACTTGATTGTACTCTATTATCTTTTCGATGTGCTGCTACATTTGGTTTGTTAGTGTTTTGGTGAGGATTTTTGTTTTTGTGTTCATTGTGGATATTGGCCTGTGGTTTTCTTTTCTGTTTTGTCCTTGTGTGGTTTTGGTATTAGGCTGCTGTTGGCCACATAGAATGAGTTAGGGAACATTCCCTCCTCTGGAATGGTTCCAGGAGGATAAGTATTAGTACTTCTTTGTACATTTGGTAGAATTCAGCTGTGAATCCATCCAGTCCTGGACTTTTCTTTCTGGGAGACTTTTTATTATCACTTCAAACTTGCTACTAGTTATTGTTTTGTTCCAGTTTTCTATTCCTTCCTGACTCAATCTTGGTAGGTTATATTTATGCATTTCTGCTAGGTTTTCTACTTTGTCAGCTTGTAGTTGTGCCTAACAGTTTCTGATGATCTTTTGTGTTTCTGTGATATCAGTTGTAATGTTTCCTTTTTCATTTGTGGTTTTGCTTATGTCTTTTGCTTTCTTGGTTATCTAGCTATGGTGTATCAATTTTGTTTATATTTTCAAAGAACCAATTTTTGTTTCATTGATCTTATGTATTGTTTTATTAGTCCCTATTTCATTTAGCTCTGCTCTGATCTTTATTATTTCTTTTCTTCTGCTAATTTGGGGTTGGGTTTGTTCTTGCTTTTCTGGCTGCTTGAGGTGCATTGTTAGACTGTTAATTTGTAATCTTTCTCCTTTTCTGATGTAGGCATTTATTGCTATAAACTTCCCTCTTAGCACTGTTTTTGTAACCCACAGGTTTTTGTGTGTTGTTTCCATTTTCAGTCATTTTAAGACCTTTTTTGATTTTCATCTTAATTTCTTTGTTGAATCAGTGGTCATTCAGTAGTATGTTGTTTAATTTCCATGTATTTGTATAGTTTCCAAAGCTCCTCTTGGTATTGATTTCTAGTTCTACTCCATTATGATCTGAGGAGATATTTGATATGATTTTGATATTTAAAAATTGTTGAGACTTGCTTTGTGGCCTAACATATGGTGTATCTTGGAGAATGTTCTATGTGCTGATGAAAAGAATGTATATTCTGCAGTTGTTGGATAGAAATTTCTGTAAATGTCTGTTAGGTTCATTTTGGTCTAAAATGCAGTTTAAATCCAATGTTTCTTTGTTGATTTTCTGTTTATGATCAATCTAATGCTGAGAGTGCGATATACTGTAGAAGTTCCCCACTATTATTGCATCGCAGTCAATCTCCCTATTTAGATCTAGCAATATTTGCTTTATGAATCTGGGTGCTCTGGTGTTGGGTGCATATATGTTTAGAATTGTATCCTCTTGCTGGATTGATCCCTTTAATTTATCATGATATAATGACCTTCTTTGTCTTTCTTTTTTTTTTTTTTTTTTTTACTGTTATTGATATAAAGTCTGTTTATCTGATATAAGTGTAGCTATTCCTGGTCCTTTTTGGTTTCTGTTTACACGGAATTTTTTTTTTCATTTCTTTACTTTCACTCTAATTGTGTCTTTACTAGTAAGGTGAGTTACTTGTAAGCAGCATATAATTAGATCATGTGGGTTTTAAAAAAATTTTTCATTTAGCCATTCTACATGTTTTTGTTTGTGTTCTATAACTTTTAATTTAAGGGCTATGTGTGCATATTTGTTATATAGGTAAACTCATGTCACAGGTGTTTGTTGTACAGATTATTTCATCACCCAGGTATTAAGTCTAGTTCCCATTAGTTATTTTTCCTGATCCCTCCCTCCTTCCACCCTACCTCCTCCAGTAGGCTGCAGTGTTTGTTGTTCCCCTCTATGTGTCCATGTGTTCTCATCATTTAGCTCCCACTTATAAGTGAAAACATGCAGTATTTTGTTTTCTGCTCCTGTGCTAGTTTGCTAAGGATAATGGCCTCTAGCTCCATCCATGTTCCTGTAAAGGACATGATCTCATTCATTCAACATGTTTTCAGTGGAAATTTTAATTCATGTTTCTGTAATATTATTCATTGTTTTCTGGTTGTTTTATATATTCTTTGTTCTTCTCCATTTGTTTTATTGATTGTTTTTGTGGTTAGGTGAATTTCGGTAGTGATACAATTTGAGTCCTTTCCCTTCCTGTTTTGTGTGATTGCTTTACCAGTAAATTTTATATTTTCATGTGTTTTCATGATGGTAGAGGGTCCCAAGAAACTGTTCACCTTCCCAGCCCACTGTGGTCACTACCAGCATCCATGAAAGCTATCTGGAGGCCCAAAAATTGGCCTACTGATAACTACCAACATACACCAGCATATACCACCCTAGAACACAAAGATAAGCTTACTCAGTCCACTGCTGCCACCAATGGGGTCTGAAGAATGGCTAATATACTTTGTATCTGTGTCCCCTCCTAAATCTCATTTTCAATTGTAATCCCCAATGTTGGAGGTGGGACCTAGTTGGGGAATGATTGGATCATGGGGTGGTTTCACATGAATGGTTTAGCACCATTTCCTTGATGCCGTTCTCATGATAGTGAGTGAATTCTCATGAGATCTGATTTTTTGAAAGTGTGTAGCACTGCCCCCTTCTTTCTTGCTCCCGCTCCCACCATGTGAGATGCCTCAATTCCCTTTGCCTTCCACCATGACTGTAAGTTTCCTGAGGCCTCCTCAGAAGCCAAGCAAATGTCAGAATCATGCTTCCTCTATAGCCTGTGGAACTGTGAGTCAATTAAATTTCTTCTCTTTATAAATTATCCAGTCTCAGGTATTTTTTTATAGCACAGCAAGAACTGACTAAAACAGAGATTTTGTCTCAGAAGTGGGGTAGAGCTATAAAGATACCTGAAAATGTGGAAGGGAAGCAGCTTTGAGATTAGGTAACAGGCAGAGTTTGGAAGACTGTAAAAACTTAGAAGAAGACAGGAAGATGAAAAAGTTTGGAACATCCTAGAAACTTGCTAAATGTTTGTGACCAAAATGCTGATAGAAATGTAGACAGTGAAGTCCAGGCTGAGAAGGTCTCAGGTGGAAATGAAAAATGTATTGGGAACTGGAGCAAAAGTCACTTCTATCATATCCTAGCAAAGAACTTGGCTGCATTGTGCTCCTGCCTTAGGGATCTGTGGAACTTTGAACTTGAACATGATGATTTAGGATATCTGGTAGAAGAAATTTCTAAGCAGTAAAGCATTCAAGATGTAGCCTGGCTGCTACTAACAACATATTACGTGAGCAAAAAAAATGACCTAAATTTGGAGCTTATATTTATATTTATATATATTTTTTTTTGAGAAAGAGTCTCACTCTTGCCCAGACTGCAGTGCAGTGGAACAATCTCTGCTCATTGCAACCTCCACCTCCCAGGTTCAAGTGGTTCTCCTGTCTCAGCCTCCTGAGTAGCTGGGATTACAGGTGCCTGCCATCACACCTGGCTAATTTTTGTATTTTTAGTAGAGATGGGGTTTCACCATGTTGGTCAGGCTGACTAACTCAAACTCCTGACCTCAAGTGATACACTCGCCTCGGCCTCCCAAAGTGCTGGGATAACAGGCATGAACCATCACAGTCAGCCTAGAACTTATATTCAAAGGGAAAACAGAGCATAAAACTTTGGGAAATTTGCAGCCTGGCCATGTGGTAGAAAAGAAAAGCCCATTTTCAGGAGAGAAATTCAAGCAGGCTGCAGAAATTTGCATAAGTGAAAAGGAGCCAAGTGCTGATAGCCAAGACAATGGAGAAGAGGCCTCCAAGGCATTTCAGAGATCTTTGTGTGGCAGCCCCTCCCATCACCGGCCCGGAGGCCTAGGAGGACTGAAAGGTTTCATGGGCCAGGCCTGTGGCCATGCTGCCCTGCACAGCCTTGCTGCACTCTAGGCACTTGAGCTCTGCCATGATTTTGTGTTTCCTGAGGCCTTTCAGCCATGCTTCCTGTACAGTCTGTGGAATTGTGAGTCAATTAAACCTCTTTCTTCATAAATACCCAGTCTCAGGTAGTTATTTATAGCAGTGTGAGAACAGACTCATACAGAGGGCTTCCTGATGTAAGTCACATCTAAGATGAGGCTGAAGGCTAGCAGGGAGAATGAGTCTACAATGTTTCACACACAGAAACCAACTGCAGAACAGCTCAGGCTTTGAGAGGAAGGGTCGCAAGAGTCAAGGCTGGAAGGTGGGCAAGAGCAGACAGGAAAAGGGCTTATCAGTGTCTAAAGTTATTGGAATTCTGTTTAGAGTATGTTAGGGAGCAGTGGAAGTTTTTAAGGAGAGTTTATTTGGAAAAATTGCTCTGGTTACATTATGGGGAATGGATTGCAGGAGGAATGAGGTAACGGCGGCCTGTGGGACTGAGAAATATTTAGGAGGTAGGGCTTTGAATCCAGACTGCCTGGGTTCCAATCCTAGCTCCATCGCTTTTAAGCTGTGTGACTTCAGGCAAATTACTCACCTTCTTTTGCTTCAATTTCCTCATCTGTATACTATGAGAGACTCCACCTTTTGGGTTGTTGTGAGGCTGAAATGAGTTAACATATACCTATATAGGACTTTTCATAATGCCTAAAGCATATTAAGCTCTAAGTCTGATTGTTATTTAAATACACAGGATTTAGTGGATGATTAAATAAAGGAGGTGGGGGAGAGAGAAAAGAGTCAAAGATGGTTGATAAGGTTGAATGATAAAGATGCCAGGTAAAGGCACAGGTTAATTTAGTATGAGGAGCCAGTGAGACATCCATGTAGAGATGTCTAGTTCACAGCCAGATGGCCTGACTTTCTTGTTCACCAAGTATCCCTGAAGCCTAGGACATTAAGAGCTAGAGAATGATAATAAAATTCAGTCCCTGCTTTTGAGGAGCTAAATAAGCAGAATGGTAAGGGTTTGACAGAAGAATCCACTGGGTGCACATGGGATGGCTCCTGCCTAAGCTCAGGTCGGCAGGGAAGACCTTCCAGGGGAGAGGTACTGACCTCGGTTGTGAAAGACAAGTAGGAGCTACTCAGCTGATGGGAGCAGGGAGAGGAATGAGGCAGGGGCTATGCTGGGAGAGAGGACAGATATGCAACAGCACAACAGCAGGAGAACAGTGTGGATGGAACAAAGGTTGCAGAGGAGAACAATGGGAGATAGAACAAGGAAAAGGCAGGGGCTGATCTTATAAATGGTGCTTTGGAGTTCAGACTTTACTCCCTCTTCACAACACGGTGTGAAGTTGACTTTTCTTTTTTTCTCACTCACTTTTTCTAGGAAATGCTGGCTTTTAAAAATGTCTCCAACACATGAAATGCTCTTGCCTCATTAGGAAAATAGTTCATAGTGGATCTATTTTATCAATGTGGTAGGTCGTTACACAGTCTTTTGTGGTCCTGCACTCCTCTGTAATGCTGCATCAAAGGGTTTGTTCAGGTTGGAGGCCTGGCTACCTTTCTCTCTGTAGGATGCCCAGGGCAATTTGATGACAGTCTGATGGTAACAAGGAAGCTTCTCTGCTCCTCTTCATGTGTTAAGTTCATGGCAAAGAGCCAGCTAGCACCCAGACCTTGTTTCCCGTCAAAGCGCCTGTCTCTCTCAACATGATTTTTTCTTTCTGCCTTTGAGGCTTGGTAAAGCCATCCAAAATTTCAGCCAGAAATGTAGCTGCAGGCAAACGCTGACAAAACATCCTTGTGATTTTCCACCATCAGGAGCCCAGGTGTGCCCCTCGTGACTTCATGCCCTTCCCCCTCACACTCCACAGACCTCAGTTACCGTTGACTGCCTGTAGCAGCACCAGGCCACCGAATCTGGCCTGAGGAGACACAGGCTGCTAATTTTCCAACCCCAGTGAAATTTCTTGAAATTTCACACAGGTTTCAAGAAATGGCCGTGCGCACAGAGCAGCCTTCTGAGTAGCTGGGGTTACTCCTGGAAGGCTGCTCTGTGCCCACAGTCACAGCATTCCCAGAGTGGCTAATGTTTCCCCAAGGTGTACTTCCTCCTGGACCCTGGGGTTCACTGGAGATAGGAGAGGCAACATGTTCATTGGAAAGTTCTGTGACTCAATAGGAAATCAGATCTGGGTTCAAATCTTGGCTTAGCCACTCACTAGTTGTGTGATCTCAGAAAAGCTAAACATTTATTTCCTCACCAATAAAATCTTCTGTAAAACATAAGGATGATAATGACTACTTTGAAGAGTTGTTGAATGAATTAGAAACAGTTATATAAAGAGCCTAGTATGAGGTAAGCATTTAGAAACTGACAGCTACCATTAATAGTAGCATTTTGTAGCATTAGAGCCTTAGGGTATTGGACTGCAAGATTTCAGAGTTTCTGAGAACAGAGGGTGGACGTGCACAGTTTCCTGCCAGGTCAGGCAATGAGGTAGGTTAGAGGTAGGGAGGTGATCATACCCTGGCCTCCAGGGATTAAGAGCCTCTCCCTGATTATTGACCTGTTCCCCATGGGACAGTAGGGAGGTTAAAGGGTGTATCTTTTTCAGTAATTCACCTCTTCTCTGGTCAGGGGCATAGATTCCCTAGCTTCAGGGACTCCTCTGTCTTCTTTAGAAACCTCTTTTGCAATTTCCCCAATGCTAATATTTAATACATAATTTTATAATTAGCACGCCCCAGTCACCATCTCCAACTGGTCTGCAACACCCTCTGGAACTTCAGTGTGATGGAACCTGTAATGCTCCCCTGTCCTCCCTCCACAGAGTTGGCTGTGGGAGTCTCTCTCCTCATTCCTATTAGGTCTATTCCAGGCATATCCTCACTCACTGCCGGTTGGTATCTCAATCCAGCTGCATTCTTTGTTCTGGAATCATTCCAAACAGGGAAGGTCAGATATAATGCACATACAACCTACCTTTCAGGCATATAAACTTCAAATCCACTCTACAACTGTGCCTGAGCTGTAGGCGTGGCAGGAAAAAGCAGAATGCTGCAAGGCTCCTCGAGTCAAATCCTTTGGGATTTGAGCAATCTTCCCAGCCAGACGTTACAATATGCTAACACCCTTGTGAGTCATGAAGTCACTCATGGTCAATTCTGTTTGGAGAACAGGATGAATAATTGAAAGTAACTGGGTGTTTGCCTGAATCCAGGCCTAACACAGTATTTATTCTGTTTTTTTGTCTCTTTTTGCCGAAAACAAACATGTCTGGTTTCTCTTCTTCCCCCACTTACCCTGCCTACCCCTTCACTGGATCTCAAAGGAAAGTTCAAAGCCTTTCGCACAGTTAGACCCTATAGGGTGGCCCTATCTCCTTCTCCAGCATCTCTCTGCTTACCTAGAAAGACCAGACATGAGGGCAGCCACATCCTTAGGGTACGGACCGAAAAGCCATAAACTTAATTTTCTTTAACTTTTTCTGTTGGAATAATTTAAGACTTACAGACAAGTTGGAAAAATGAAACAGAACATTCCTCCATTTCCTTAAACTATCTTCCCTTGTTAACATCTTATGTAACCATAGTACAATGATCAAAACCAGGAAAATAACACTGGTACAATACTATTAACTACACTACAGTCTTTATTCAAATTTCAACAGTTTTTCCACTAATATCTTTTTTCTGTTTTAATAGTATCCAATCTGGGTTCCCATGTTGCATTTAATTGTCACAGCTTTTTAATTTCCTTCAATCTGTAATCATTTCTCAGTCATTAATTATTTTTCATGATCTTAACTCTTTTTTTTTTTTTTTTTTTTGAGACAGAGTCTCACTCTGTCACTCAGGCTGGAGAGCAGTGGCATGATCTCTGCTCACTGCAACCTCCACCTCCTGGGTTCAAGCAATTCTCCTGCCTCAGCCTCCTGAGTAGCTGGGATTACAGGCACGTGCCACCATGCCTGGCTAATTTTTGTGTTTTTAGTAGAGATGGGGTTTCACTATGTTGGTCAGGCTGGTCTCAAACTCCTGACCTCAAGTGATCCACCCGCCTCAGCCTCCCAAAATGCTGGGATTACAAGCGTGAGCCACCACGCCCAGCCGACCTTGACTCTTTTAAAGAGTACTGTTCAGTTATTTTGTATAACATGCCTACATTTGGACTTGTCTGATATTTTATCGTGGTTAAATGGATATTATATGGTATTTTTTAGCAAAATTACCACAGACATGAAGGTGTGCCCTTCTCAATGCATCATATCGGGGTAAATGCTGTTGATAGGTCTTATTACTAGTGATGATAACCTTGAACATTATTGATTAGAATTATATTCTTTATGCTTAGCTCCTAAACATTTGTTCCTCTTCTCTAATTATCCTTACTCCCTTGGTGAACTCATCCTTTCTCATGGGTTGGAGTACCTTCTGTCTAATCCCCAAAGATACCCAAATTTATACATTTTTTTCTGGATCTCTCCTCTGAGCTTTAGTCCATATATCCAACAGCCTACTCAATCTTTCCACTTGCTTATCGAAAAAAGGCCTCAAACATAATTCAAAATCAAACCCCTGGCTGGGTAAGGTGGCTCACGCCTGTAATCCCAGCACTTTGGGAGGCCAACGCGGTGGATCACCTGAGGTCAGGCGTTCAAGACCAGCCTGACCAACATGGAGAAATGCTGTCTCTACTAAAAATACAAAAATTAGCCGGGTGTGGTGGCACATGCCTGTAATCCCAGCCACTTGGGAGGCTGAGGCATGAGAATAGCTTGAACCTGGGAGGCAGAGGTTGCTGTGAGCTGAGATCACACCACTGCACTCCAGCCTGGGCAACACAGAGAGATTCTGTCTCAAAAAAAAAAAATAAATAAAATTAAAATAAAAAAATAAAACCACAGAATTTCCAGAAGTCTTCTACAGTTTAGTAAATGGCAATCCATCTTTCCAGTAGCTCAAACCAAAAGGCTTGGTGTCATCCTATTCCTCTCTTTCATTCTCACTACAACCAATTCATCAGAAAGTGCTGCCGGTTCTATATTCAGAATCTATCCAGGACCTAGCCACTTCTCACCACCTTCTCAGCCACCACCTTGATCTAAGCCACCACTACCATCTTCTATCTGGATTATGGTAATTAATGGTAATCTGGATTATTGTCACCCAACTGGTCTCTTGATTTTGGGCTTGTCCTCCTACAAGACAGACTCTGCCTCCTTCTGCAATCATGCCTCTGTGACTTTAACAGCTACTATGCTCCCCTAGCTCTTCCTTGAAAACACCAAGCATGCTTTTGCTTCAAGGCTTTGCTCATTATTTTCTCCCAAAATTTAGTTCCTTTTTTCAGTATTCCCCTGCTTAGTAAATGTGCAACCAATCCAGTTGCACAAATTGGAGTCTTGCAATTCTCCTTGATGATTACCTCTGCCCTATTCCTCATGTTCAATCCATCATCAAACCTTGTGGTTTTTTCCTCCACATAAATAATACTCAAACCTGTCTACTTCTCATTTCCACTGCTGACACCCAGCTTCGCCGTTATCCTCCTATCTGATCTCTTTGGCCCCTGCTAATTGGTCCTCTTCACTGCAGCCCAAGTTGTCTTTTCAAAATGCAAACCTGGTCAAATCACAGCCCTGCTTAAACACTCTTTAATGGCTCATTTTAATGGTTAATTGAGAATATAGACCTCAATTCTTAACATGAGCTACGTAACCTTCCCGGTGTGGCCCTCACTCTCTGTACTTCCAGCCATGCTGATGGTCTCTTCATTCCTCGAATGGCGTCATACTTCCCCCAGCTGCAGCCTTTCCTCTGATTGGAAAGCACTCCACCCACCCACCCTGTCTATCCTCCCCAGCCCCTTTTCTGCCAAGTTGAGACCTGTGCATGCTTCACACTGCAACTTAATTATCATTGCCTTGGTGGAGCCTCTCCTGACTCCTCAGTCTAGATGAGATTCCTTTGTTTCACACCACCAAAGAATCTTGCTTCTTTCCTACAGTACACTCTTTTTCAATAATTCGCCCCTTCTCTGGGCAAGGGCATAGACTCCCCAGCTTCAGGCAACTCCTCTGTCTTCTTTATAAACTCCTGTACAATTTCCCCAATGCTAATACCTAATATATAATTTTATAATTAGCACTTCCCAGTTACCAGCTTCAACTGGTCTGCAACACCCTCTGGAACTTTGATGTGCTAGAACCTTTAATACTTTCCCCTTCCCCCTCAGCAGAGTTGGCTGAGAAGGAGGGTGCCGAAGAAGGGGTTGAAGAAGGTGCTGAAGAAGGAGGTGAGTTATTAAAAAAGAGTCTTCTGTAGGCAAGAAGCAAGATTATAATTGCTTATAATTGTATGTCCAGTAGTGTGATTATTTGTCAAACATCTGTTTCCTCACTAGACTATAAATTTTATTTATTATAGCAGGTAGCAAAGTGCTTGACACACAGTTGGCATTCAACAAATAATTGTGGAACAAATGGATACATAGATGGATTGATGAAAATCATGCTTTTGAAAGACAAATCTAGCAAATCAGTAGAAGGAAGAGAAAGTGAAGGGAAGGAATTCTGAATAATTAGGAGGCTGGTAGAACAACACAGTCCAAGAAAGAGGAAATGAAATCCTAAACTAGGGTGTTAAGAGAGGGAATGGAAAGTAACTGTCTTTGGGGGGACTGTATTGTGCTACTGATATTACCAGGTCAACCACAAATAGCCCAGCAATACCCAAGACTCTGCTCTGTGCCAGCTTCTCACCCCACACGTGGGCGGGGAAATCAACAAACTCTTGGCCTGACCAGCAGTCTCAACACTGAGGGAAGTTCTGTGGCAAGGACAAAAGGCACTTTCTAGGACATCTTGTCTTTTAAAAAGACAAAGCCATTTGAACAACAAAGAAATTCCAGCACCGTTTTCTCATCCTCTGGACCCTGGGGGCTCATAAATAAGCTGGTTCTTGTGCTTTTAACAGCCTCTGATGTATTTGATTACATTTTCAATTCAGATGGTTCCATTACTACAAGAAGCAACTTCATTACCAGGAGGGCCCAGAGCCCAGACTATACTAGCTCTCTGTCATATAATTTAGCCTCAGTCATACCTCAGACAATATTTATACAAGGTCACTTCTTCAAACCATGTCTAGCCTTCCCAAATGACAATATTATTTATGCCAAATGCTTCTCCTAAGGGATGGAAAACTGCCAACTCTGGTTTAATAGGCTATACGGACAGGCTAGAAAAACATCATTTGTAGCACACACAGTTTATGTATTTAGTATATAACTAGGAGTACAGACTGATCATTGGAAACATAGCCGAAAATTGGCCCCAGGAAAAAAAAAAAGCCACAAAAGCACTAAGGTTTGGATCTTTCCTCCCTGATATTAGTTTTGGAAGCCCTAGGTTTAGCCAGAATTATGAATGCACAAGAGAGAGCTGCCTCAGACTTTAGTGGCTACCTGAATATTCAAAATAGGGAGAAAACCTGCAAAAGGAAATTCAATGTGGGCGTATGTGCCCAGCAGCCATCCTCCTGTGGTTGCAAATTAATGTGACCATCCAGTGGAATGGGCAGCCCAGGGGCCTTTGGTAACAAAGAACAGTCTAACCCATTGATGTTAATTTACCAAATTATTCACATCCCACAATCTGGAATAGAAATCAGCAGCCAAAAAATGCCTCCTCTATACCTCAATCAAAACACCTATAAAAATCTAGATACCAGGAGGCAAAGTCTGGAACATAAACTACTTCATAATGTTGCCAATGAGTTATTAAAGTACAGAATGATGGAGCTGTTAGAGGCGTCTGGGCTACCGTTGCTTCCAAGCTCCATTCTTCGTTGTGTCTTTAATAAGGTATTTGGTCAAAATATATTGGTGACAACTCCTTTCTCTTAAAATCTAGCGAAGGATACAAGTCATACATTCCACTTAATCCTTTATAGACCACTAAAACTTAAAAATCTCTCTAGTAGAGAATGAAGAAACTTCAAGTACTGAGCTTTCAAATAAAGTGCAGAATGCCTGTTCATACTTGCATGATTTATTGGTGATGAATATCACTAATAATTTATATATTAATGTTCTTTAAATAGATGCTTACAATTCCTACATATGAATACTGTATCTAATTTAAATTTTAGGAAGCAAAAATGTCAGATTATAGAGCAGTTTCAAAATTCAAAATTATTCCATTGTATTGATAAATTTGGTATGGTTTTTGTTCCTTAAGATGCATTTTTTTAAAAAGCCGTAAGTATCTTTTTGTTTTTAAAAGCTCTCTCCAGAGGAACTGCCACCCATTAACCCATATTTAGTAGTATTTGATATCCTTATCATTACTTATTTACAATAATAGAATTTACTTCTTATAATTAGCATAACCTATGGCCAAGCAATTTCATGCCCAAGGATTTATTTCAGGCCAATAATTTGAGATGTATGCAAAGCTGTATAAGCAAAGACATTCACCACAAAGTTATTTTTTATTGGAAATAAAGGTACAACAATAGAAGACTGTTTAAACAAATTATCCATGTGATATAAACATAAACAATCATGTTATGGAAAAAATATCTAACTCATTGGAGAAAGTTCATAGTAAACTACAAGTGAAAAAGAAGATGACAAAGCAATATGCATCAAATGTACGTTCATATGGAATGACATCAAAATGTTAACCCAGGCTGGACAGTCTTGGGGACACCTGGAAATAATATAGCTAAGCTTTGAGAAGGGGGTTAAGGAACTGATACTGATGTGACCTCATTGACAGCTGTAGGCAGGTGATACTTAGGGGCATTTGAATATTAGAATTTTTACATGCGCTTTTATTGTGGAAGTAAGTAGCTTTCTATGTGTCATTACCCAGCTGAGGAAGGGATAGCATGGACATTTTCTGCTGCTCCTAGCCCAGTGGTGGTTTGGACAGGATCTATATAAGACTCCCTCTTGTCCTCCATTTGAATCTCTTTCCTTAAGTCAAGTGAGAGAAACTTGACTTCAGTATCATGCAGTGAGGTCCCTGTGTCCTCAACAGTAAAGCATTGCCATCTGCTTCCTAACATTACAGTGCTCCTGGGTAACCCCTGAAACTGTCTACATGTCCATATGATCCTGCAACGTAGAGATTTATTAGGATACTGTAAATAAAACTTGGATAAACAGAAGCAAGAAATGAGAGACCCCAAGGGCCAAAAAAGAAAAAAAGAAAGAAAGAAAGAAACGACGTAAGAAAAATAGACCTGCTTCATCAGCTTCTCTGTCAAACAGATATGGCCCATGATTTATTAAAATAGGAGCTTTTTCAAGGCATGATTACAGGCAAGAGAAACCTGAATAAAGCTTTTACTTAACAGTGTCTTTGTGTGCACTGGGGGAAATGTTTCTGTTGGACTTTTCTATTTGGACATCCTGTGGGCTCCCCAAGCTCAATGCTTTTGAAGTAGGGATCATTCACTTCTTTTTCTGAGCATTACTCTTTAGACAGCACCTAAATAGAAGTGACAGGTCAAACAATATGGATGACTAAAATCTCTGCAGTGAGGAGAGATTAGGGAAGAAGACCAAGCATAGACCTTTGGGACAGGCCCACATTTGAGGGAGAGGAAGACAGAAAGGAAATACAAAGAGATCATCCAAGAAGTCAGAGTATGAATGAGTCTTTTCTGTGTTAAACAGTATAAACATCATTTTCTTTAAGGTGAAAATTTTAGTCAAAAATATAGTTTGAAGACAACATAGTTTTGTGTGATGCTAATGGATCTTTGCCTAGGGCTAAAATAATCCAGATGTACTGGATAAAACAAAGTAGAACTATACTTAAATATTTCCAAGAGCTCAACTATTTCACTCTCCTGAAAACCTTAAAAAAATCCTTCTCAAGGAGGTAAGTAAATAATTACAGGCATATAAAGGAGAGCCAAAATCTTGAAAGTATCAAGAAAAATCTACAAATGAGTATACCTTAAAAGGGTGCTACTTTCTTGATAAACCAAAAAATTCTCATTCTTAAAGATTACATTGACATTTTTGCTTGAAAATACAGTATTAAAAGGTGGGTGCTAATGTGGGTTGACTTTTGTTTCCTAGGACTAACGGTTGTCTGGCTCACTCTGCACTGAAGTAACCAAAGGGCTGGCTTATTCAGCAGCAATGCTGGGAGCATCCTTGGGACTAGAAGATTGAAAACTGTTACCTCTGTGGTCTCTGAGGCTGGGTTCAGACTAGAGCAATTGTGCAGTGAATTTGGCCCATCTTGGGGACTTTGGCTCTCAAATGGCAGGGACTGTTCAGACTAAACTAGAGGTTATTTTACAAGGACCATCAAAATTCTCATTTGCATGTGTGAAATTCCTGTGGAGAGGCTGGCTTTTTCAATCAAGCTGGTTGGGCCAGATTATAAGTGGAGTCTGCTAGAGTGCATGTGAACAGCATCAGACAGCTCTCAGCCCTTCCCCGTTGGTCTTTCCCTTCTCTGGTGGAAATCACCAACAGTTTAGTGACACCTAGCACCTTCTATTCCCCAAGTGGAGAAGTGGTCTTCTAGCTAACAGGAAGACATCAGGCTTTCTTAAAACAAATTTTTATCAGCAGCTACCACCACCACAATGATGTTCATTGAGCACTTATATTGTGCTAAGTGTATTACATCCGTCATCTCTTTAGAGCCTCACAATCCTCTATGAAGTTTGATATTTTTTATTTATTTATTTATTTATTTCGAGATGGAGTCTTGTTCTGTCGCCCAGGCTGGAGTGTGGTAGCACAATCTCAGCTCACAACAACCTCCGCCTCCTGGGTTCAAGTGATTCTCATGCCTCAGCCTCCCAAGTAGCTGGGATTACAGGCACCTGCCACCACGCCTGGCTAATTTTTGTATTTTTAGTAGAGACAGGGTTTCACTGTGTTGGCCAGGCTGGTCTCGAACTCCTGACCTCAAGTGATCCGCCTGCCTCAGCTTCCCAAAATGCTGGGATTACAGGCGTGAGCCACTGTGCCCGGGCGATATTTTCATCGCTTTTTTTTTTTAAAGGAGAAAGCTTAGTCTCCATTAAGGTTAACTTATCCCAGGTCACACAGGTTGAAGGAAATGGATTTGGATGCAGATAGTTTAAATTGCACACCCATACTTTTTAAGCCTTTTTACATGATGCCATGTTGCTTCCCTATTAGTAGGCTGGCCTCCACTGGCAATTAATAGCAACAATGAACACTGGGCTCAAAACCAAAAGCCTGGGCAATATGGAGCAAACCATAAATTTGATTAGGAATCAGTTACCTGTGTCATTTTTGTCTTATAATGGAGTTGTGTGGTTCACAGGAGCCCTACCACTTCTGGATGGTGTCATAATTCTCACAAAATCTGGACCTTATGGCAGAAGCCCTGCCCCATCCCTTTATTTTCCATGGTATCCCTTTATTTGATTCCAGCTGCTCTGGGATTCAGAGCTTTCTCCATAGAGGCTTGGGAGGGGGAAGAAAGCAACCTATAAATAAACTCCGAATTCAGGCTGTTGGGGACAGTGCCCATAGCGTTGCAGGTGCACAGTCCAACCCCAACCACTGTTTCCAGTACAACTCTAGGGATTGTGAAGAAAATGGGCCAATTATTCTTCAGCTTGGACATTCTTCTGAGGCCAGGACACCCTCGGTCTGGGAGCTGTGTGATTCAGGTCTCTAATGTCTTTTTCAGGGAGGGAGGCAGCACAGTAGTTAAAAATTTCCCAGCTCTCAGTCCCTCCAGATCATCTTCCACATGTGAAGAGGGGGTGTCCTGCACTCATCACCTGGACAGCAGTCTGGCAACCGCTGGCCAAAGTGGTTTATAACATCTGGATTATTGTTTCCAGATGTGGCATTGAAATACTTGATTAAAAGTTTCACACACAGCATCTTGTAATAACTGACATATGCACAGAGAGTTTCTATCATCTGGAGCCAGGGTGGAAGCAGCAGGGACACTCAGAAGATGAGAGAGAGCAAGGACAGTTTGCAGGATCTAAGCGGCCTGAGAAAACCGTGAGGCTGAGTTTCTACTGGGTCCTCATTAAAGTCAAGCAAATGGAGCTGAGCCTGGTGGAAGTCAAGTAGACTGGACAGAGCAAGGCCTCAGACAGATGTGCATTCAAACACCAACTCCACCAATCACCAGCTGGGATTTCTGTGAGATACCTAACCTCCTGCCTCAGATTTCTCCGTTGTACAATGGAAATGGCCATACCTACCTCAGAGGAGGATTGTGAAGTGTCTAGCACATAGCAGGCACTTAAGAAACAGTTGTTTCTCTTTTTTTTATTATTAGTCAAGTCTATAAACACAATTCACTATTATACTCATTACAAAACTGTTAGCAAAGCACATAGGACTAGAAGTTCCTTTTTATTCTTTATACAGAACAATAACATTTTTAAAGGACAAACAATAGTAGCAGCTGTTTATAATGTGCCCCTTTGAGGAAGAGCTGAAACAATTTTCCACCAAGTACAAAAAGCTCTGCATTTGTCTTATAAACAGATTCAGACCAATCCTGACCCTCAGACTAAAATTCTGAAGTCCCTCACATCTTCTGGAGTGAGACATCTTGATGTTGCAGGGAAAAGGGAGCTCAGCTAGAGCTAATGTTAAGATTCACAAGATCTGAGAGTGTGTCAGACAAAGCAATCCTCATTTAATAGGTGTGGGGAGGCTGAAGAATTGGTCCAAATGAGTAAACTAATTTTATTCATTCCACAGCATTTTCTCTTTTAGTTTGAAAGTCATTGCCAATATAATAATGGTTATAATTAATGGAGCATCTGCAATACTCACGGGTGGTGATAGGCACTTTACTCACACCATTCCCGTGTCATCTTCTCTACAACTTGCCTGTAAAATAGGCATTATTATCACCCTCATTTTCCACGTGAGGAAAGTGTAGCTGAGAGTTAAATAGTTTACCACAAATCATGAAGCCACCAGCAGCAGACCTGGAATTTGAACTTATCAATCTAATTCCAAGGGCGTCTCCCAACAGCCCTGAAACAACTTCACCTTACCATTTGGTGAGCAGAAAACTAGTGAAAATTATTTTTCTGCTCATCACTTAAAATCATCATGATAGTTACACCTGTGGCGTCTCTTGTTTAGCATGTCCACAACTGGGGCTCTGTCCGTTGTACCACGTGGCCTCTAGAACACTTCAGTTTTTTGGTCCTGATGGCTGAACAGGTGTTCAGTACAATAGCTCCCTTTTCTCCCCATCTGCTTCTCCATGCACGGTGGGGCCCCGAGCCTTCACGGGCGGATGCTTCCCATATGTGCTTGCAGCCCCGGTGATGAGAAATGGCAGAAGCAGGTATTAAAGGTGGAGGTTATGGCTTGTTACTCTGAATGTATTAAAAACCATTTCCAGACTCCACATAAAGAGTTTTACACACACAGCACATATGATACAAGGGAGACAGAGAAGCAGACATGGGGATAACCACAGTGAGACGTGTAACCACAACAGAAGTCTGGAGAGATGGGCTCAAGGAAAGCTACTTTCACAGACTGGGTGATGGATCGTCTCCTCAGCAGACAGACAGCTAGAGGTACTTATTTTTATAAAAAGTTGACAGAAGGAACTCCAGACATCCCGGCCTGCTGTCTTCTAATTCTCACGTCCAGAGCTGACTCAGCCCTGTCTGTTTCCCTTTGCAGGATGGTGAGTTATTCCATGCGCTCGTGCTAATTATCCACAACCCGCTCCTTTCTTTTCTCACAGGTCGTTTAAATGTCTACTTGTCTGGGTTAGAACTTGGATGCATGTTGAATTATCCTCTGTAGTCCTCCCCAGTGATGAATTTCTCATACCTAGGGTATTGTTTGTAGGGAAATTCTTTCAATTTAAAGGCCCTTGAGATGGTTTTCCAAATAATTTGTTTTACTAGGCTCTTAAAGAAGGTACTTACCATTTATTGAGTACATAGCAAGTGCCAAATATTTCCATAAGCTATCTCCTTTAATGCTCCTAGTAATCATAAGAGGTAGGTATTTGTCCCATTGTACAGATCAATAGTATATAGGACAGACAATAAATGAAAGGGAGAATAAAACCAGATTGCATACGAATTTCCTCAGGGTTTCCTTAGTGTCCAAGAAGCAGAGTGGCATGGTGAAGGAGCTGTGCCTAGTCCAGGAGACCTGCATTTTTTTCCTGGCATTGCCACGAAACAGCTCTGTGATCTGGGCAAGACACTTTACCTCTGGGCACTTCTGCTTATCTAAAAAAATATGTATAGGTAGCTGGACTAGGTGATTTCCTCTACAAGACCCCTTCCTCCTCTAACTTTCTATGACTATTGCCTATTTTCATACTCAGTCAGTGTTAATAATGTCAGACTCTCCAAGAATAAATTACTAGAACATAGCTAATCTATTAGCACTGAACTGATGTCCACCATCACCCAGCTCTGGAGAATAGCGCATCCAAGCCACATCTGGATAGCAAATTAAAGTAGCTACTTTACCCTTTCTAGAGTAATTTAGCATGCCATATCTATTAAAGCCAAGTAGAAGCAGAACTTCCAACCCTGTCACACAGTCACAGATGCCATTGCTTTACTACCTTGGATCTGAAAGGTTTTCTTACAAAAAATAGATATTTGGTATTCCAGTTATCTATTGATGTACACCAAACCATACCCAAAAGTTAATGGTTTACAGCAATAATTTAATATTATATTTCAGCTGGGCACAGTGGCTCATGCCTGTAATCCTAGCACTTTGGGAGGCTGAGGCAGGCGGATCACCTAAGGCCGGGAGTTCGAGACCAGCCTGACCAACATGTTAAAACCCCGTCTCTACTAAAAATACAAAAATTAGCCATGTGTGGTGTCCAGCACCTGTAGTCCCAGCTACACGGGAGGCTGAGCCAGGAGAATTGCTTGAACCTGGGAGGTGGAGGTTGCAGTGAGCTGAGATCGCACCACTGCACTCCAAACTGGACAACAGAGCAAGACTCCATCTCAAAATAAAATAAAATATTATATTTCATGGTTCTGGGGGCTTAAGGGCTCAGCTGGGTGGTTCTTTTCTGAGGTCCTTCATATAATTGCAGTTGGATGGAGGCAGAGGCTGGAGTCTTTAAAGATTTCTTCACTTGTATGTCTGGCATGTGGGCTGGGATGGCTGAGGGCTTATTGCTCATATTTTTGTTCATGTGGCTTATCCATGTGACCATGGTGGGCTTCTTCACAGCATGGTGGTCTCAGGGAAGTCTGATTTCTTATATTGTGGCTGGATTTTCCCGGAGCCAAAATTCCAAGAGAGCCATGAAGAAGCTACAAGCTTCTATATTCTATTTATCATGGTATTCACAGACCAGCCCAGACTCAAAGAAGTAGAGGCATAAATTCTACCCTCGATGGGAGAAGGAATACAAGAAGGGAAGGACTTGATGGCTGCCATTTTGGAGACAAGTTACTCCACTTTACCTATCTCAGAGCAAAATGAACTATAGGTAAAGGTCAGCTAGTCTCTCTCTCTCTGTCTCTGTCTCTCTGTCTCTGTCTCTCTCTCTCTCTGTCTCTCTTTCTCTCTCTCTGTCACACACACACACACACACACACTTACACAAACTGTTCCAAATCGTGCTTATTATAGTACCATGCTCAAACACAAAAGTTGTCTACCTAAACATAAAGGGCGACTTACAGGTTGAATCCCATATGGAATAGTAGGGGAGAGAAAGCATACTTCCATTTCTATATGGGATAACATTAAACTCTGTCACTGATGGAAAGGAGAGAGCAACTTAATTGGAGAATATCTGTTCAGAAGAAATTGTAAAAGCATGTAGGTGATCTAGTCAAGTCTGCCAGGATGGATACTGATATTCCAGTAATTTTAAGACAACCAGATGCCATTTGCAATCATCCCTGAATGAAGGTAAAACCAACAGGAAAAGTTGCCAGACTCTCTTCCAGACATCCACACAGATAAGCAGGCCTGACGTGTGGCAGCTTTGACAGGCAGGCTTAAGAAACACTAAGAAACAAACTGAGGATCTGGACAATATCACTATCAAGAAAGCATATCATAAACTTCAGAATGTGGCATTGTCCCCCACCAAAAAAAACCAGCAACTGAGAAGCCAGCTGAAAAACTGGAGATGCTGGAGGAGAAGAGCAGGTCAGCTGTGAAAGCAGCAGGGAGCAGAGAAAAGTCTGGACAACATGTTGGAACCCAAGGAGTATGGCATAAGCACTGGAATCACAGACCCCCACAGGGCGGAGATTATCTGTGAAAGAAAATATCTGCAGCTCCTGGGGAGGAAAGGAGACTTAGGGAACCATCAAGGAAGCAGCACAGTGATCCTTTGGGTTATAGATGCCAGAACAAAGCTAGAATTACTGTGGCTTGGAAGGTGAATCTAAAGGCCCCTGAAAGCAGCATTTCTTTTCTTCATGACTCAGAGAAAGTCAGGAATGAATTCTCTAGACATGTAATTTAAGGAGGTTTCTGGCCTGTATCTGGAATATTTAGGAGTTGTCAGCTTTGCAATCTGATGGGCACTGCAAGAAGCTCTGTGAGTCTACAGCGCAGGGAGACGGAACAGAAAGTTATTTTCCTCTCTGGCCCTGCCTCCAGATGAGAATATGAGGCTTGCTCTTCAAATTACAAGACGTTTAAAGGCAGAGGGCCCCAACAGATCAATTATAATTCCCTCCCTCCAGGGGGCACTAACTGAACTAATCCTCAGGTTATATAGCCTTTGGCCACACCCACCCCTCTGGCTCTTGAAGTTCCCTTCTGAAATTCTGGCAAGCATACACATCTGCAAATTCTCAGAACTCATAATCTCATTTCTGGGAATGGAATACAACGAAACCATCCCCAAGCAGGGGAAATACATGTGCATGAAGATGTTCACAGCAGTGTAAGTTGTAAGGAGACTCTCAGTGCTTCTCAAACTTTGATGTGCATCACTTGGAGATCTTAAAGGCGGGTTCAGTAGGTCTGGGGTGGGGCTTACAACTCTGCATTTCTAGCATACTCCCAGGTAATACCCATGCTACTGGTCTGCAGGCCATACTTTGAAAAAGAATGGTTTACTTTATATGCTGCAAAAAAAAAAAAAAAAGAAAAAAAGTCAAACACTGATAAGACATGACTAAATAAATGGTAAAGACATCTCCTTGAAATTATATTGAGATAGATGTCAACATGATCCTGAAGACTAGCCTGAATTCGTTGATGAATTTCATGGCCATGTTAGATATAGGACATGTCTGAAGGCCACTTGTGTACTTTCTCTGTCACTTTGAAGCATTTGAGAAGCTGAACTGAAGTGCCTGCAGGGAGGATTCTGGGGTGGGGGAGAGGTCATCTGGTGTGCCTGTTGTCTTTTGAAGGTACATTTGGATTGTGGTATGAGGCCTTAACAGCGTATGCATAGAAAACATCCAACAAAATCATGAAAGCTAGAAATTCTGAAACGAGGGGAAGTCAGGTAAGCCTTTGCTGTACTTTAAAAATGCTCTTTTTTAGGTAGCCTTTTTTTGACCTTTTCTCATTATTGTATACTACAAATAATTTCATAAGACAATGTCCCAGACGTTTCAGGGCAACAAATTTTTCTTCTACTGCGGCCAGTTCTCTAGTAGGGTAATGTTTGAATCAGTTGAAATTTTTTTAAGGTATTATTTAAGGGAAAAACTTTAAAACACCAACTAAATTAACTACTACAAGCCAAATTTGTACTTAGTTAACTGTACAAATTCCAAAGCACTATTCCAATTCCGCTATTGACTTGGAATTTTATTATATTAAATATTGTTTTAAAAATATGAGCCATCAACTGCAACTTGGAAAATATCTTGCAAATATAACTTCTGCTGTGTTTTACTAAAATTGAATTTAACTTGCAATGTTATTTCTTTTGTCCATGACATTCATCAATTTTTCTTTGTTCTTACAGAAATTATCTATTCCACCCCCCCGCGCCCCCCCCCCACACACACACGCACACATGCATCTTGGTATGAAACACCTGAGTCCTAGACCTGGGGTGTTGTGCTGAGTCCTTTTTTGCTAATGGTTACATAGGTGGGAACCCAGAGAATGAGGGAGTCTTTGTTCTTTTGTTCTCCCTGGCATATATTCTATTTCATCTGAACAGAGCTAAGCTTACACCCCAAAGGACAACTGAGCTAGGTGGGTGACAAGAGAAGATTCTAATTTGAGAATAGCTATTCAGTACGAATGTTAAGTCCTGATTGGTAGTGCTTTTAGAAACAAAAAAATCGGGGCCCTTGGGATGAGTATTGGACTTCAGCTTTGGCGTCATTTTAAATAGCAATGAAAGAAAGACAGGGGAGAAAGAAACAGAAAGAGAAAGGGAGAGAAACAATAGTTTGCTCTTCCAAGGAAATAGAAAAAGAAAAAAAGGCAGTGGATAGGGCCGAAAAGCCATGCCTTCTTAAAATACACATGATAAAAGAAAGAAACGAAATAAGTAAAATGGAGTATCAACAAATGCAAGGAAAAGCGAAAAAATGTTTAGGGGACAAAGTGTTACTAATGAAAGGAAATCCTAGCTTGTGAGACTTAACTTGAAACAGGAAGATAAGAATCCTTTATACAATCAGCAAACAAAAGCAAGGAAATATAAATTTTCAACTCCCATGGAGAGCCTGGAAGGGAAGTTAACCGAGACAATGCTGAGCATACAGTTGAGAAGATAAATCATTTCTTTACCTCACTCTATGCAAAAAGAAGATAACAGACCAGGGATGAGACGCATTTTCCAGCATAAGCGTAGAGAATTGTTGAAATGCTTTTCTCTTACCACAAAAAGCTAACAGAACACCCAATTCAAATGAGCTATATTCTCACAGACAGACAACATTCTTTTCTGTTGTTGACATGGGTGAGGTACTTGAGTATGGAGGAGAAAGAGATGGTCCCCTTCGATACCAGATGAAATACGCGTTGATTCACTGTTAAAGGAAGATCAGTGAGGACATTAGAAATCGCTGGAGCAGTCTCTCTTAAGGGAAAATTTTGGGGCTTCCCGGGGGTGCAATCCTTGAGCGCTTGGAAACTTGGACCATTGAAGCACGAAGACTATGAAATTCTCACCCATACGTCCATTTGTGAGAGGGAAATTTTCTTAAACATCTACCTAAAATAACACTTACATGTTTCAATGTTTACTTAAAAAACAACACACACACGCACACATGTGCGCACACACACACACCCTCCAAGACACTACATTCCATAAGTAGAAGTCCACTAAGATCTTCCAAACTTAAGAAAAAAATGTCTGGCACAAAATCGAACCAAATATATTTTATCTTGGCCAAAAAGCATTTAAAGTTTATTTTTCTGATAAAACACAAGACTGAGGAAGAGTTTAGCACATATATGGAATGTTTATTTTTGAAAATGCTTGGAAAAACAGGTAACCAAAGCGTGAAACATCAATGAACCTTGTACATCAATTGTCCGGGATCGGAGACAGAGGATAGGTCAAAACCAGTGACATGAGTGGCATGTGTAATTAGATAGGAGCATTCTTGTAGTTGGATTTTAGAACCATTGGTAATTCTTGACTCTGACATACTCTCACGTTCACCTGCAAAAATGGGCTCTGTGATAATACTGGCTTTTCTCCACACTGGCTTTTTATTAAAACTTCTGTTCAAATCTATTTTTAAACACTCAGGAAAAGATCTAAGCTTCTTTGAGAAGCAGTTTTAAGAACAACTAGGAGCTTAGAAATTCAATACAAATTAATTTTTATACAAAATTGGGCTTCAATGCTGTAGAAAGAGGAGAGTTTACAAAAAGGAGTGCTTCTTCCTGCGAAATCTTTTCTAGTTAGAAAGAAACCATCATGGAGTTTTTACAGGCTATGGAAAGTGTCATTGACATCTTGATCATCCTGCTTTTTCCCCCTTGTTTTCTTATTTAGAAACTTCCAATTTGGAAAGGAAACATACAGTATAGGCAAATACAAGTTACATTTTCCCTAGTAGAATGTAGGTTACTCTCCCACAGCTTGGAAGCAGTCTAGATCCTTTTGGGGCACAAATAGTTAAACCCTTTTGATGTGTATGAGCAGCAAGTTTAAAGGAGATTATTGTGAGACAATTTCCTGCTCTTTGAAGCACCGTGTGGGAATAACATTTTCTTTAAATCAAAATAGAAAAAATAAGGTTGGTAAAACAGTGGTTAAAAATGACTGAAGTTTAAGAAAGTAATTAATTTGCACCTAGGTGGTCATGTTTCTTTAAGAATTTGTTTAGATTGTGTGAGCATACATCTTATAAAAACATTCTTCCTTCCTTCCTTTCTTTCCTTTTTCCTTTCTTTTTTCTTTCTCTTCCTCCTACCCTCTCTCCCTCCCTTCCTTTCTTTCTTCCTTCCTTCCATTTTCTTTCTGTTAGTACTATTACTGCCAAAGGAATGGCCTATAATTTTTCTACATGATAAACAGAAATCAAAGCTAACTATTTTACATTCATACTTATTTTATGAAGGCTTTTGCCTATTACATGTGGTTCTGGCTGGTAAGCTGTAAATATCTTTAAACTACATATTCTGCCTTGTGTATTTAGCTCTAACTGCAACATATAAGCCTATTTCATTACTTATAAAAATTTTTTGAAACAAGAAGAAAATTGCACTATTACAAGAGGATGAAAGGTAAGAACAGATAAAAGGTAGGAAAAGAGATATTAAAGGAAAGAGACGTTTGAAGCACAATTTTCTTGTTTTTATTAATGATGATTATTTTGTAATGAGAAGCTTCTGTTAAACCAGGAAAGCCTATTAGAACTGAGAAATTTGTTGGATTATCTGAGGTCAATGTACTTTTATTAGGTTGGTGCAAAAGTATTCACAGTTTTTGCCATTAATTAAGGTTTTTTGTTGTTGTCATTGTTCGTTTGTTTGTTTGTTTTTTGTTTGTTTGGTTATTTTTTTTGAGACGGAGTCTCACTGTGTCACCCAGGCTGGACTGCAGTGGTGCAGTCTCGGCTTACTGCAACCTCTGCCTCCCAGGCTCAGGTGATTCTCCTGCCTCAGCTTCCCGAGTAGCTGGGATTACAGATATGCACCACCATGGCTAATTGTGTATTTTTATTAGAGACGGGGTTTCGCCATGTTGGCCAGGCTGGTCTCAAACTCCTGACCCCAGGTGATTCTCTCACCTTAGCCTCCCAAAGTGTTGGGATTACAGGTGTGAGCCACAACACCCGCCATTACTTTCAATGTAGTAAAAGTACAATAGTTTGTAGTGAATCTCTCTATTCTAAGCTACTGGGAATGAAAGCCAGGGTCTAGAAAATAATCTTTATGGTTTGTTTGCATGTTCAAAATAACTAATTTGTGGATACTGATCTCTTTCAAATGCTGGTTTTTTTAGATGAACAAAAGGGTCATTTGTGAGTAATGATAAGGAAGAGGCTGCCTCCAGTCTATGCATTCCATTCATTACCAGGCCATCCCTGCAGGACCTGTTCTTTTGCCTCCAGCCTGCCTTATGGCATCACTTTGAATTTTGATTTCTTTTTTCCTTTTCATCTTTGCTTGTTCTTCCTTTTTCCCTTTCTCATTTTTCCAAAATGAGAAACTGTAGTATATAATTTTAAAAGTATGGATAAAATTACTCTTCAGGTTTAAACTACTTCCAAAGGTAGAGAAAAATCTTAAATTGTTTAAATTGTGAAATGTCAAAGGGTCATTGAGATGACTCTTTAGCAGTTAAATCTTTTCTATGAAAATTACATATATTTGAAATACATGTATGAAAACTAGACTTTACTAATTAGGGATTTGTGATAATTCAACCTGGTAAAGACTAAAAAGTTTTTCACTATTTAGAAATGACTTAACAGAGAAGCAATACTATACATATGATTATAGAACTAAGTTTAATTTACTTAAGACAAAGAGTATTTGAATATATGTTTAGAGCCAAAAGATATTGTTATCTATTCAACAAAATACATCCAACAAGAAGTCTTAGTACATTTTCTTAGCAGATAATTGGAGTCACTTTTTTATTTTGAAAGCAAGAGGCCCATATAACTTTAAAGAAATACTTCGTATGTGTGTGTGGAGACAGGGTTCCATTATACTGGCCAAGTTGGTCTCAAATTCCTAGCCTCAAGCAATCCTCCTGCCTTGGCCTCCCTAAGTGCTGGGATTATAGGCATGAGCCACCATGCCAGGCAAAAACTACTGTAAATGAGATTTTAAAAAATTAATTCAGAATATCTTCCTTTTTGAGTTGTTCCATATTAATGAGGTTTTACTGTAATTAGCTGTTCTGTAGGCAACAGGAATCCTTAAGAGGAAGTAACTATTTGCCTTCCACTGACTTCCAGGAAGAAAGTTAATATATTGTATAGCAACATTATACTTTTATAGAGATCATTTTCCAGATGATCTCAACTTCAAAATATAATGTTCAGAGCCAGGACATGAACATAAGTCTCCGAGCAGTCAAAAACAACTATTAAAAAGCACAAAATCTCATACCTTAACTCTGAAAGAGATCTCTTAGATGCTCAACTCATATCCTACTCATTTTTACTTTGCATATATTTCTAACAAGCTTCCATATTAGTTTCCCCGCCTTGAGAATGAAATCAACACATTAGACATAACACAATGTTAGAAGCAAATTCACTGACAACAGCAAAAAGGAAGAACTCATAGTCTTTAGATCAAAGAAAGAATTGAAAAAGAACTATAAGAGCAGAAATATTTTCTCAAAAAATCTGAGACCATTTAATGTAGGAACACACAGTTCAATATTTCAATAATACCTGACAATATGAATGAATTTCAGCATCATTCTGGAATTGACAATCCATGATAGTGGCCCTGAATCATCAAGAAAAGATAGAACTAATTTAAGGTAGCAAAGTAAGTATACTGTATTTTAGAATTATTCTACCCAGAATTATTACAATAATTTTTAAAATTTAAAGGCAAGAATCTTAGTAATCTGGAAAATGTTTATATTAAAGATTATGTTCCTTGAAAATGCCAGAAAAACGAGGCATCTCTGTGACTGTCAGATTTGGAATATTTTAGAGAGCAGCTGGGTAATTTCCTCTGAGCTATAATCTCTACTGCTTTCAAATTTTCTGCTGGGAGGAAAGAGGAAAGCACCACAGATATCTGAACTGTGTGGCCAGTTAGACCATTAGCTCTCTCTTTTTCAGCATTCTCTGTGTGATGGAAAAGGCACAGGCATTGACATTCAATCTGTTTGACCCCTGGTTCTGCTGCTCAATAGTTTGATAACATTGGACAAACTACTTCAAACCTCAAATTTCTATCTGTAACTAGGGATTATTTTACCTACTCAGGGAGCTGTTTTAAGTGTACAGTGCCAGAGTCCAATTCTGAGCTTAATCTTGTACATTTCTTTCCTGTCATTTTGCTCTCAGTGACCAGCTTCTGGGCACTTACACAGAGAGTAGAAGTGGAGAAGAGTCAGAGGAAGGAGGTGGCTTTTGCAAGCTAGTGTTAAAGAATTGGTTCAAATACAGTTAATACAGAAAGATTAGCCCATTCAGCTCCCTACCATCAGTGTGACATTCCAGAATGTCTTTCTTCAAATGCTTGATGTGGAGTTTCTTTTCCTTTCCAAGAAGAATTTTAAATGCATAAAAATGATGAAGCACGGGAAAGCTAACAGGCCCTTCACAGTGCAATTATTGTATGCCCAACTTATCTTGGGAATTATTATGAACCGTTCAATACCAAAGACATACTCCTAAGAGCATAGACTCATTCATTCCTCATTCATCAACCATTCAACCAGCATTTGTTATGTGCCTGTCATGTTCCCAGCACTGCTCCAAGCACTAGGTATTCAAAGGCATAGTCTTTGACCTCAGGAATATTATAGCCTTGTAGACAAGTGCTCTAAAGTCTTGGCACTCAAAATGTGACCTGTGGACCAGCAGTTATCAGCATCACCTGGTAGCTTGCTAGAAATTCAGAACCTCAGGTCCCAACTCAGGCCTAATGAATCAGAATCTGCATTGTAACAAGATTACCAGGTAATTCACGTGCACATTATAATTTGAAAAGCACAGCTTTATCATATTACACCTGATGGGATTGGGAGATATTCTTGGGAAAAGCTAGGGTTCAATGGTAGGCTATTCATTTTGATGTTATGTGGCTCAAGAAAGGTTGTACACCAAAAGTGACATGTATTAGTTTGCTAGAGCTGCTGTAAGAAAATATTACAAACTTGCTGGCTCAAACAACAGAACTTTATTGTCTCACAGTTCTGGAGGTGGGAAGTCTTAAATCCAGGTGTTGGCAGTGTTGGTTCCCTTTGAAGGCTGGGAGAGGGAATCAGTTCCATGATTCTTTCCTAGCTTCTTGCGGCCTGAGTCATTTCTTGGCTTATGGATGGCCATCTCCTCCCTATGTCTTCTCATTGTCTTCCTTCTATGCATGTCTGTCTCTGTGTCCAAATTTCTCCTTTTTGTAAGGACAACAGTCATTTTGGATTAGGGCCTACTTTAACGACCCCATTCTTGACTTGATCATCTGCAAATACCCTATTTCCAAATAAGGTTACATTCACAGGTATTGGGGTTTAGAACTTGAATATCTTTCAGGGGGATATATTTCAACCCTTAACATGACCCATGATCTCAACTTGGAAGATGATTAGTAGGCCAAGTGCAGTGGCTCACGCCTGTAATCCCAGCACTTTGGGAGGCCAAGGCGGGCGGATCACCTGAGGTCAGGAGTTCGAGACCAGCCTGGCCAACATGGTAAAACCCCGTCTCTACTAAAATATACAAAAATTAGCCAGGCTTGTGGCAGGCGACTTAATCCCAGCTACTTGGGAGGCAGAGGCAGGAGAATCATTTGAACCTGGAAGGCAGAGGTTGCAGTGAGTCGAGATCGAGCCATTGTACTCAAACCTGGGGGATAAGAGTGAGACTTCTCTCAAAAAAAAAAAAAAAGAAAGAAAAGAAAAGAAGAAAAGAAAGATGATTAGTAAAGCAAACTGGGAAAAAGCGAGGGATGGCATTTTAGGAGGTGGTGGGACCAGCATGAGTAAAGGCATGAGTGAAGCAGTCTGCTTAAGAAACTGCCTGCCTCTCAGTAACCATGGCTGAAGGACAAGAGGTGGGGTAAGGAAGGAGGCAGATCTACTAGGGAAGTAGGCAGATTTCAAAATACTGTGGCAGGGTTGAACTTTTATTTTGTAGGCAATGGGGAACCAAAAGAAAGGTTTTAACTTTTGGTGATATGGCTATGTTTTCAGCTCCCTGGAAATAGGGTATAGGGTAGACTGAATTTACTTTGGGGATTAGAGTCATCTCTGAAGAGGTCACCCCTCTGGTCTCAGTGATTGATGATGAGGGCCTGAGCTGGGGTAACATCAAAGAAGAGTAGGGGAAATGATAAAAAGAAATGGTGCTGTATGCCAGCCCTGGAGTTTGTTTAAATCCCAGGTTCTCACCCAGTCTGCAGGTATGGGCGGTGCTTAGCCTCAGAGGGCAGGGATTACCCTACCCATATGAGCCTTGGGATTTGTGTTGGCCCAAAAAGAAAGCAAGACAAAGGATGCTCCCTGCTCCAACTCCCCTACCGTCAGCCCTCTGTAGTCAGCCTAGGGGTACATCAGCAGACTGAAGATTTTCCTTCAAGATACCAGCAATATTCAGAAAAAGCTGCAGCAGCAGAAACATTCATGACTCTCCTGGGATCCAGATCAAAGAACAAAGAAGAACCTGGACTGAAAGGCAGTCTCTATCTAACTAGAGAATTTAGGAATTAATTTAGAATCTTATCTTTCCAAAACTTTGGAGGGGGGCCAGCTCTTAAAGAAGAGTATTAGAGGAAAAACACCAAAGTATTAAATGGCTCCAAAGATCTGATGAACATGTGTAATCGCTGAAAGGCTGGCTGTACTGGAAGCCCTGTTATGGTCTGGGGAATTAGAGGGGATCTTTCTAATTCATGTTCAGTGTAATTTCTGTAAGCCCTTGGTTCTCCATCTAATGACCTGCTGAGCACAAACATAAAGCACTGTTAGGTTATACTAAGGCCTACCTGAAAGTGGTGCAGGAAACCCCAAAACTACACATGGTTCTCATAGAATCCCTTAAGTCAAAGTCAAAGTCCTCTCCTGGGCCCACTGACAATTCAGGTGGACTCTGAGGAAGACAGAGAAGTGGTATGGCAGCTATAAATGAGAAACTTATCTTCATTATTGCACCTTATTGCTTAGACATTTTTACTGTAAAAGATCAGATAGTAAATACTTTAGGGTTTGTGGGCCACATACAGTCTTTGTCCCATATTCTCTGCTTTTGGGATTTTTTTTTTTAAAAAACAATGCTTTAAAAACATTTTTAGTTTGTGGGCCATACAAAACAGGCTAAAGGCCTTCGTTAGCAAACCTTGGCTTAGAGCAGGCTCATGATGCCTAGAAAACAATAGATAAGCAACCTGTTTTACTTAATCATTTGAAGACATTTGGGTTTTTCTTCACACTTCTTCCGACCATAAAGTCTGATTCACTAGAGTCTTGTAGTTATTAGCTCACTTGTTTGAGTGCTCTCCAAGAATTCAGGAGTGAAGCTGTGTGGCCTGCTTTCTGCTGAGGCCTCAGGACCAGAAGTGATTGATTGATGTGCAAGAAGCAAATGGTCTCTTGTCTTCCACTGACTGCAATAAAACCATCAGCACTAATAAGAAAACAAGCTCCCCACTGAGAAGCCAAAGGAATGGGCCTGCCTCTAGGATGGTATGATTTTGCCTTCCCCAAATAGTCATGGATTATACTTCCAATTAGCTCCAACCCTCATGGCATCCTGTACAGCATCTCTTGGGGAGATGTCTGGCCAGTTCACACATGTCAGGTGTTATATTAGTAACACACCTCCTGGTATCAATACAACAGGCCTGGTGTTTGCTTTCTGACTCATAGACATGGTTTCCATGGAACTGCAGTACATACCACCAACAATGCCCAGTCTGTTCCATGTACAGACCCTTTCAGAGTGTCTGGCCTAAAGCAGAATAGAAAAAACGAAATAATCTGAGAAAGAATTTTTAAAAAACAAACTAACAAAAAAGTCAATATAGATGTATCTCAATTGCAAATCCAAATCTCTATTCCAACATCATAAAATGCAGACAACTATGTACAATGATATAGATAGATAAATACTATGTACAATGACATACATAGACACTATAGAATGAATTAGGCTCTAACATATATGCAAAGACAAAAAAATACGGTGTGTGTCTTTGACCCCGAACAGTGGTAGTATTTTATTCCAGAAGCATTATTAAAGAAGTTGATTAGCATCTCCATAAAGATAGTTAGGTACTGACTATAGGGGAAATAAACTTCTGATGTATACTCCTCATGCTGGGGGAAAGAAGAAAAATTGTTTAGGCACGTTGTTATCTTCTCGTTTCCTTCACACCCTCCAATTCTGCTTAGCATGCAAACTACTATAGTGGACAATCTGCCAACAAACAGAAAGAAAAAGATGTGTCTATCATTCAAGTGTGAGTTTTTTGTCACGTGAGCCCAGAAGCAAGTCACTCTCTTCCTAGCAGATAAAGTTGTTCCCTGGCTATATACATGGATGTTTCCCTGTGTGCCTTGAAATCCACACAGAGTGAGTTTGCAATTGTGTTTCCAGAAAGGTGTAAGGTGAAAAATAAAAGCCCACTTCTCAGCTATTGTATTGCTGGCTTATTTTATGTGCAAAATATTATATTTAAGTAGAGCATTTGTAGAAAATTTTATATAACTTGAAAAATTCTCACTAGAATTTCTACAACATCAATGTAAATCTCATGTTGGCTTAAGATTTAAACACACACGTGAGCTACTATTGAACGGCACAAGTTTAAAACTGTCTACAAAGAAATATAATTGACTAATATGGAAGGAATATACAACAGTACAAATGATGTAAAGTAAATTGCCCTTTAAATTATATGCACTTTAATAACTAAAAACATTGTACTGCACATAAGGGATTTTACAAGTCATAGCATTTAAACTGCTGTTCCTTAATATATCTTCCTATCTGTTTCATCTCCTTCTAAAATGCCACAACCCAATGTCCTGCAAATGCTAAGACAGGACAGATTTTGAGTTATAATGTTGGGTTCTGCCACGCACAGCTGCCTTCTTAGAATAGTACAACCCACTGCCAAAATAAATGAACAGCATCTTTTTTGTGGGACTTAAGTGTCAGAAATGCTCTAGCTCAGGTCTGCAAGTTTGATTGGTAACAGAAGCAACCCAAGGAAAAATGTGTGATGCCCGCACCCTGCTAATGGTGCTGTCTGTGCATTTGTTATTTCGGATCTAGCTTTTCATAGGAACCATTGAATATGCAAAATGAATTTAGGGGTGCCAGAGTTAATTACACCAGCTCTATTTGATGGACAAGTTTTGTAAACAATCAGGATTCTAACTTCTCTAGACTTGAATTTGTATCCCTTTATCGAGTTAGAAATTTTGAATAAAGTATAAATAGACAGATGAGTTCAGGTCACATTTACTTGTCCAAAGATGGAACACAGATTGGTAAAGATGCTTGCACATCTATAGGCTACTGAACGTAGAAGGATTTTCACTTTCTTTTTTTTTTTTCTTTTTTTTTTTTTTTTTTTTTGAGACAGGATCTCGCTCTGCCGTCTAGGCTGGAGTGCAGTGGTACATCATGGCTCACTGAAGCCTCGAATTCCTGGGCTCAAATGATCCTCCCACCTCAGCCTCCTGAGTAGCTGGGGCTAGAGGCCTGCACCACCACATCCAGCTAATTTCTTTTTATTTTTCATAGAGATAGGGTCTATCTATGCTGCCCAGGCTGATCTTGAACTCCGGGGCTCAAGTGGTCCTACCTCTTTGACCTCCTAAAGTGCTGGGATTACAGGCATGAGCCACTGAACCCCACCCAATTTTCACATTTAATCGCTAGCAGTAATATTTCATTTAAATTTGGAGAGATGCCCAGGCTTTCCCTCCATGGAAAGGCAATAATAAAGTTTAGTTCTTGGGCAGGCTCTTCAGAACTCCTAGGTTGTAACTGACTTCTGTTAAATTTTCTTCCACACATGTCTTCAACAATAACTACCACTTTGTTGTCCTCGAAGTGACAAGGTAGTTAGTTGGATGCAACATAAAAAAGTTTAATTTTTTTCCATGTAATACACAGTGCCCTAAAGATATTTAGCATCATTGCATCTTGCCAAAACCAAATATTCTTCACATTCCCCTCAAGTTACTTACGACCAGCTCCATACACATCATCCCCCCATACAAATTCATCCATATTGCCACAAAAGTACTCATCTCACATTTAACACCTAGCAATGGACACTCAACACTCAGAAGTTACAAAACCAGGCAGGTGCTCCTCTCCTAGATGACAGTAGACTCCAGTAAGTTTTCTGTTTTCTAGGGGTTGAATGTCCAGGTTGCCACTCTTCCTTTGGCCACTTGCCTCCTGGCCCTTCATTACCCATTTGCACCTTCACCAGAGCTTGTGCAAGAGAACTAAGTGAAGTTAAAATTCAGATCTGCCAATCTTGGTTTTTCTTAGATACTTCCTGGTAAAGGAGTTGGCCATGAAGAATGCTGAAATGTCTCGATCATTAAAAAATATGTCATCTATGGATTGCAGGCATTCATGTTAGTGACTACAAAAAGTTACACATTTTATAAAGGAGCAACATATTCCTACAACCTAGGAGGAATGTTGGAGTCAGGATTCAAAGAAAATTAATCAAGAACCAGAATGTGGAGGAAGTTGAAAACTGTGTTACTGCATCTAGAAGAGAAAAGGCTCAATGTTGTCTCTCGATCTGCAATATGAAGGAGTCGTATTGGATGAGAGCCACAGTTCCCTCCAGTTGTAACTTTCTATACTTTTAATGGCTAAATATATGATTGATTATTATTTGTTCTGGTATGGAGTGGTAATTATGAGAAAAGAACCTGGACATCAAGGGCAAGACTATCTTACTTTTTTCCTCTGCCAGGAAACTGCTCTAAGGTTGCCAAAAATATCCTAGCAGTCACTGTGAATCCATCAACCTCTATTTACAGGAACACCTACTATGTACCAGGCACTATTTCAGGAGCCCAGGATATAAAGATGAATAAGACCCAGTCCCTGCCACCTAGGATCCCAGAATCTGGCAAGGGAGACACATGTAAAACCTATCCCAGTAAGAGCTCTGCTTGAGATGATGTGTGAGATGCTATGAGTTGCATGAGAGTGCAACTAACTCTAAGGATCTGAAAAGGTTTCTCCTGATGTTTTTGTCAGGTCTTAAGGAATAAGGTCAGGGTGTTCCAGGCAGAGAAAAGGAAGAAAGGGCATTCCTGGGAAAAGTGATGAGTGAGGAATGGCAGAAAGAGGGGCAGCTTGTGTGGCTGCCGTTGAGTGAGAAGGTGAGGAGAGCAAAGAGACCAGAAGGTGAAGAGAGAAAAGTGAAACGTTGGTTTCAAGAGTTTAAAGCATCTTTTATAGCCCACTAATTAATTTGATGTCATCTCTAAAGCCATGGGTCTCAATTGGTGGTAAGTAGTCATTGCAAGGCATTCACCAATCCACCAATCATTGTCTCCAGATTGAATACATGTTATCTTTCCAAATATATATTACTATTGGTTCAATGTAAGCAAATTCCATGCTTATTAATCCAAAAAAATTTAACATTATTGCTGGATTCAGAGTAGGTTTTGGTTTACATAATTTCTCAATTAATATATATGTGGGTATCCACAATGTTTCTTGACATGAAAAAACCAATGAACCGTTGTTTTGGGTAACAGCAAATGGTTACACATTTTAAAACAGAAATGTAGGATGATCAGATTGTTATTTTAGAATGATCACTCTAAACAGATGTTGGCGATGGATCTAAGGGGAATGGAAGGAAAAGCGAGGATATTGGTTAGAAAGCTGATCGACGTGAACAATAATTAGGACCTCTGACAGTGAAGGGGAGTGAGAGAGGAGACAATCAACACAGGAGGTATGTAGAAAGTAAAAATAAAAAGAGTTTCAACAAATTTAACATGAAAGAGAGAGAAGAAAGGCGGAGTGAGGACCACCCCCAAGTTTCAAGTTTAGACTGTGAAGTGGGAATGGAAATAGAATATGTAGGAAGTAGGATTGTTGGAGAAGATAATAAATTTGGTTTGAGATATATTCATTTAGGGTTCCTGAGGGACAGAGAAGACAAATCCTTAGTAAGAGCTGAGAAATGTGAGTTGGAACCCCAGGAAAGAGGCAGAGGCCACAGATAAAGATACAATAGAGTAATAGCTGTGATCTGTGGCATATACATGGAAGATGCACAAATCTCTTTGAAACAACTAGCACTTTTCTTTTGCTCCCTTTTCCTCACCCCCTTTTCCATTCTACTGCCTAGCATTCTAATGGTTACTTTGGATTCTGATAATGAGTGCCACACCCTAGGCATGTGGAGCAGAAGGCTGGGGAGAGCCTGGGTTCTGAGGACTTTGTGGAACACAACTGTCATCCTAACCTTGGATGTCTTTGGACTCTTTTTTGAGAAAGAAAGGAATGTCTCTTTTGTAAGTTGCTGTGATTTTTCCTTTATTTCATGCATTGAACCAAATCCTAATTAATTCATAGTATGTGCTGAGAATTATATTTTTCCTGTATCATATGTTCTCAGAATCAAGGAATCAGAGAGGAGATAAGAGTGTAACATTTCAACATTCTAGAAAACTGGACTAGAAAGTATACTGATATGGTTTGGCTCTGTGTCCCCACCCAAATCTCATCTCTAATTGCAATCCCCATAATCCCCATGTGTTGAGGAAGGGACCTAGTGGGAGGCGATAGGATCATGGGGGTGGTTCCCCCGCCCCATGCTGTTCTCTTGATAGTGAGTGAGTTCTCACCAGAACTGATGGTTTTGTAAGTGTCTGACAGTTCCTCTTTCACATGCTGTCTCTTGCCTGCTGCCATGTAAGATGTGCCTCCTTCCCCTTCCACCATAATTATAAGTTTCCTGAGGCCTCCCAGCCATATGGACCTGTGAGTCAATCAAACCTCTTTGCTTTATAAATTTTTCAGTCTCAGGTATTTCTTTATAGCAGTATGAGAACAAACTAATACATATACCTAGCATCTTCATTCTTGAGAAGGGGAATCCATCTGCTGAAGAAGATAGTGAAAGGGACAAGGCAATCACCACCCAGTCTGTTGGCCAATACCAGATCTGGATCTATCTCTTCCTATTTCACAATAACTGAAAAGGTAAAATAAATAAAATGAAATAACTATTTATATAAAGTTTTAAACCAGGCAAAACTAATAGATGGTGACAGCAGTCAGGATATAGTGATTACTTTAGGAGTGGTAACTGGGAGAGGGTGTGAGGTATGCTTCTCTCACGCTCGCACTGTGCTCTTTCATGATTTGAGTGGTAGTTACATTTTGAGAAAATTCATGGAGCAGTCCATTTATATGTTATATATAGTTTTATATATGTAAGTTATTAAGCAACAAAACATTTATAAAAATAAATATAAAATAAGAGAAAGAATGAGAGAAAATTTTTTGCTGAAACAGGCATCTGAAAACTATGAATATTTGATAAAGCTATTTGGCATCATCAATAAGACGTAAGGGGATATGTACTTTATGAAACAAGACCAGAAAACTATGAGTAGTAAACAGGCTGGGATGAAAAGAAAGCTGCTTGAGATTTTAAAACATTTTAAAATAAAAAACGTAATAGTAGACGTGACATATGCATCACAGCCCCAAAAGTGTACAATTGACATTCTTGATAACAGAGTGGGGGCAGAGCAAGATGGCAGAATAGAAGACCCCCACTGATCATCCCCCCTGCAGGAACATCAAATTCAACAACTGTCTACACACAAAAAAAGCACCTTCATTAGGACCAAAAATCAGGTGAGCACTCACAGTACTTGGTAAGAGGCACTGAAGAGGGTAGGAAAGACAGTCTTCAATCACCAACATTACCCCTCCCCCATCTGCCACCCCAACAGTGGCAGCGTTGCATGGAGAGAGGCTCTACACTTGGGAGAGGGAAGTGCAGCGGATTGTGAGGCTTTGCACTGAACTCAGTGCTGCCCTATTATGGTGGAAAACAAAACTGGGCTTAATTCAGCTAGTACCTGCTCATGGAGGAAGTATTCAGACCAGCCCAAGTCAGAGGAGAATTGCCCATCCCAGTGGTCAGAACTTCAAGAACTTCAGTTCTGGCAAGCCCTGCCACTGTAGGCTGCAGTGCCCAGGGGCCCTAAGTAAATTTGAACGGCACTCTAGCCCACAAGGACTGTAAGTCCTAGTGCTGAGCTGGGTTGAGAGCCAGTGGAGTTGGGAGGCATGAGACTTACTGAGACACCAGCCGGAGAAGCTAAGGGAGTTCTTGCACCACTCCTCACCCAACCCCAGGCAACACAGCTAGCAGCTCCAAAAGAGACGTATTGCTTCCACTTGAGGAGAGGAGAGGGAAGAGTAAAGAGGACTTTTGACTTACATCTTGGATACCAGCTCAGCTACAGTAGGATAGGACAACAGTCAGAATCCTGAGGCCCCTATTCCAGGTCCTAGCTCCTGGACAGCATGTCTAGATACACCCTAAACCAGAAGGGAAACTGTTGCCTTGAAGGGAAGGACCAAGTTTTAGCAGGATCCATCACCTACTGACTAAAAAGCCCTTGGGCCTGAATAACAAGCAGCAATACCAAGTAGCATGACACAGGCCTTAGGTGAGACTCTGAGATGTGCTGTCTTCAGGTACCAGCTCAGCCACAGTGGGGTAGAGAAGCAGGCAGTCTCCTGGGGTCCCTGATTCCAAGACTTGGCTACTGGCTGGCATTTCTAGACCTTCCCTGAGCCAAAAGACAGCCCACTGCACTGAAGGGTGAGTCCTGGGCCTGTTAGCATTCACTACAAGCTGCCTGAAGAGTCCTTGGGCCTTAAGGGAGCATCAATGGTTACCTGGCATTACTCTCAGTGGGCCTGTGGTGGTAGTGGCCATGGGGTGAGGCTCCTCTGCCTGTGCAAAGTAGGGGGAAGAGTGAGAAGGACTGTGTCTAGTGGTTTGAGGGCCAGCTCAGCCACTAAGGTTTTTAACTCCAGTCTCTAGCTCCTGGATAGCATCTCTGGACCTGCCTAGGACCTGGGAGAACTCGACACCTTGAAGGGAAGGACACGAGTCTGGCTGGTTTCAACACCTGCTGATTGTAGAGCCCCAGGGCCTTGAGCAAACATAGGCAATAGCCAGGTAGTGGTTACAGCAGGCCTTGGGCAAGACTCAATGTTGTGCTGGCTTCAGGTCTGATCCAACACAGTCCCAGTGGAGGCCACAGGGTGCTTGTGTCACCCCACCCACAGTCCCAAGCAGCTCAGCACAAATAAAAAGACTCCATTTGCTTGGAAGGAAGTAAGGGAAAAGAACAAGACTCTCCGCGTGGTAATCCAGAGAACTCTTCCAGATCTTATCCAAGACCACCAAGACGGTACCTCTGAGTCTGCAAGAACCACAGCATTACTGCTCATGAGGTGCCTCCTAATGCAGTTATGGCTTAGATCACAATGCCCAATTCCTTTCAAATACCTGGAAAGCGTTTCCAAGGAGGACAGGTACAAACAAGCCCAGACTGCGAAGACTATAATAAATACCTAACTCTTCAATGCTCAGGCACCAGTGAACATCAACAAGCATCAATACCATCCAGGAAAACATGACCTCACCAAATGAACTAAATAAGGACCCAGGGACCAATCTTGGAGAAACAGAAATATGTGACCTTTCAGAGAAAAGGAAATCTTTATACACTGTTGGTGGGAATGTAAATTAGTACAACCTCTATGGAGAACTAAAAACTAAAAATAGAGCTATTATACGATCCAGCAATCTTTCTGCTAGGTTTATACCCAAAAGAAAAGAAATCACATTACTGAAGATATATCTGCACTCCCATGTTTACTGCACAATAGCCAGTTTGGAAGCAACCTAAGTGTCTATCAACAGATGGATAGATAAAATGAGGTACATATACACAATGGAGTACTATTCAGCTATAAAAAAGAATGAGATCCCACCATTTGCAACAGCATGGATGGAATTGGAGGTCATTATGTTAAGTGAAATAAGCCAGGCACAGAAAGGAAGTCTTCACATGTTCTCAGTTATTTGTGGGAGCTAAAAATTAAAATAATTGAACTCATGGAGATAAGAGACTAGAAGGATGTTTACCATAGGCTGGGAAGGGTAGTCGGGGATTGGAGGGAACTGAGGATGGTTAATGGGTATGAAAAGCAGTTAGAAAAAATAAATAAGTATTTTGTAGCACAATAGGGTGACTACAGTCAAAAATAATTTAATTGTACACTTAAAAATAACTAAAAGATTATAATTGGATTGTGTGTAACACAAAGGAGAAACGTTGGAGGTGATAGATACCCCATTTACCCTAATGTGATTATTACACATTACATGCCTGTATCAGAATGTCTCATGTAACCCATAAATACATACACCTAGTATGTTTCCACAAAAATTAAAAATTAATTTAAAAAATAAAAATAAGAAAACAGAATGAGAGTATAGAAGATAAGGTTGTAATTTTTTTCAATTTTGAGAAGGCAAACTAACTAGAAAAAAATTTTAATTCCTTACCTTATGCCATTTGCCAAAACTCCTTCTAAATATACATTAAATGGGCAAACTGATAAAAATTAATGATTGATATAAAGGAAGAACCTGGGATCCAATCTCAAAAATAGTCATGTTTCTGAAAATGGATCCAGAACAACTGTACAAAACAGACAAATATATAACAGAAAAAAACTTTCCTGAATTTAAGAGTGACTTAAATTTGAAGATTAAAAATGTCTCATTTTTTTCCAGGTAAAACCAATATAAAGAAACCAAAATATAGACATATCATGGCAAAATGTTTAAAAGTAAAAAAAAAAAAAAAGACTAAATAATTAAGTTTGTTGGAAAAAGAGAGAGACACAAGACCATTATTCAGGAGTAAAAAGTAGATTTATCACAGAAAAAAAAAGTCATGCTTTTATCACAAAACAGAAGGACATTCTATGATGTGCAAAGGCTTAAATTCTTCATTCATGCATTTATTCAGAAAACATTTATTGAGTACTGACTATAAGATACTTTTTTGAAAACAATTACTTGAGGGCATATATCAGTTATCTGAGTGATATAAAAAATTAAGAACTCAAGCCAAGCGCGGTGGCTCACACCTGTAATCCCAGCACTTTGGGAGGCCGAGGCAGGCAGATCACCCGAGGTCAGGAGTTTGAGACCAGTCTCAACATGGAGAAACCCCGTCTCTACTAAAAATACAAAATTAGCCGGGCGTGGTGGTGCATGCCTGTAATCCCAGCTACTCGGGAGGCTGAGGCAGGAGAACTGCTTGAACCTGGGAGGTGGAGGTTGCGGTGAACCGAGATTGTGCCATTGCACTCCAGCCTGGGCAACAAGAGCGAAACTCCGTCTCAAAAAAAAAAAAAATTTAAGAACTCAAAAACAGGAGAAAGTGACATATGAAAGGATCAGTGATGAGAACAAAAATCAGTTTAGCAGAGTTAAGATTAAATCACAGTTACAAAAATGAATACGAAACTATATGCAAAATAAAATTGAAATGGTTAAAAAATTAAAGCTGGGACAATGATCTTAGGTAAATGCAGCCATCAAAACCAGAGGTGACAATATTAATTTCAAACACAGTAGAGTCAAAACAAAAACCACTACAATGAACCAGAAGAATCATACTCTTTTACAAGTATCAACAATCCTCAACTGTTATGCGCTAAGTAACACAGCATTGAAATACTTAAGATAGAAACTCTTAAAAACTCTGAGGAGAAATTAACAGACATACAACAATGGTAAGTTTTTTGATAAATCAGGTACACTTTTAAAATAATGTGATAAATTTCAGGATTAAATAATTGCATTACAAATGAAATCATTAAAAAAACCTAGGAGAGCCAGGTTCAGTAGTATGTGCCTGCTGTCCCAGCTTCTTGGGAGGCTGAAGCAAGAGAATCGCTAGTGGCCAAGGAGTTTGAGGCTGTAGTGTGCTACGATCATGCCTCTGAATAGCCACTGCACTCCAGTCTGAGCAACATAGTGAGGCCCTGTCTGTACAAACAAGGGAGGTGAGGGGAGAAAATATAGGTGAAGAATTAACTATCTGGGAATAGGTAGACCTAAAACAATGGAAGAGACAACAAAGGGAAAGTGACAGATTAACCTACATTGTTTGAATATAAGTAAATAAAAAGAACAAACAAAATTAAAAGGTTAATGGCATACTAGAAAAACTACAACAAATAGGATAGACAAAAAACTAAATATATAAAGTTTCCTTATAAAAAAATATCAAAAGCTCTAGCTCCATGCTAGTGCTGTCCAGTTGAACTTTCCACTATGATGGAAACGTTCTGAATCTGCACTGTCCAATATGGTAGCCACTACTCACAAGAGCACTTGAGATGTAGCTAGTGCCAATGTTGAAATGATAATATTTGGGGTGTATTTAGTTAAATATATTGTATTATTAAGATTTTTATTACTAAAATAATTTTATTATTAAATTTTATTTTACCTGTTTTTTTTACTTGTTTAATGTGGCCACAAGAAAATTTGAAATTACATACACGGTTTGCATTAGGTCTCTATGCAGTACTGTTCTAGAATAATGATCAAGGAAACAATGAGAAAATTCACAAAAGAAGAAATACAAACAGCCAATAAACTATGAAAAAAAGTTCCACCTCACTTATAATCCAAGAAATACAAATTAAAACAAGATACTATGTTTTCTCTATCAAATAGACAAAGTTTAAAAAAAATACTCATTGTTGGCAAGCATTCCATAAAATGGGCACTCTCATACACTGCTGGTGGGAGTATAAATTGCTTCAACCTTTCTGGAATGGCATTTGGCAATCTGAATCAAGAGCCTTAAAAATTCTTATATTCTTTGACCTAGTGTCTCTATTTCTAGGAATTCAGCCCAAAGAAATAATTTTTTAATGTGGTTAAAGTTTTATATATATATAAAGACATTCATCACAGTGCTATTTCTAATAGTGAAAGATTGGAAACAACCTCAAAAGCCAATAATAGAGAAATTGTTAAATTATGGTACTTCTACTTTGTTAATAGTCCATAGCCTTAAAAAGTTTTTTCTAATATTTCCTAGTTATGAGGAAAATGTTCACAACAAAGAGTGAAAAAAGCAGAGCTTATTATACAATATAATCATACAGAATACTGTAAGCATATATAAAAAATGCATATAAAAACACTTTATTTCATAAAAGTAAGATCATAATTTCATATTTTCTAGCACATGTCATAGTTAGGATCAAGGTTAAGTAACACAAAAAAGGTTACAAGTGGTTATCTCTGCGGGTAAGATTTTTAATTTTCACCTTCATACTTTTCTGGGCTTTTTTTCCCCCGAAGTTCTTATGACTGTATTTTTACTACAAAAATCAGAAAAGTATTAATAATTTCGTTAAAGTATTTAATGCTACATCAATGCTCACCTTCTCTCTTAGGTTTCAGGTCCTCTATAAACTGGGTCCCTTTTCCCTTCCAAACTTACTTCCCACTGCTCCACATTAGTCATGTCCCAGTTCCCTCTATGGGATATCTGTCCTCACCTCCCTTCCCTAATGTGGTGCCGTCTAACTTCCCACTGAGCACCAGGCAGTGTCGCAATGGAAATGTTCACAGACACTCTCATTTATCCTGCCTAACAATCCTGAAAGGTAGAGATTATTATCTGCACTTTAAAGATAGAGGAAGGCAAGGAAACAGTGTTTGTTCCACTAAATGACAATTTTCCACCCACTTTTTCTCTTACTTTCTCCTATACAAATGTTTTTGGCTCAGTTGTGCCATTTTCTTGCAGGGTGACCTCGGGCAAGCTCCTTTACTTTTTTAAGGCTCAGGTTCCTCATGTGTAAATGGGGGAAACAATGGTACAAATATCATAGAGCTGGTGTGAAGATGAACAGAAATGACCTACTCAGTCCATTTGGCACACACAGTGCCTGGCCTGCCATATTATCACTACTACCTCAGGTCCCTCCTTGCACTCCAACCCCTCAGACCCAGGCCCTTCTTGTACTTGGTACTTGGTTGTTTTGCGTGTATTAGCTTCAAATCCTCAACTACTCAACAAGTTTCCAACAGGAAGAGACAGTGCCTTCTCCTCCTCCTCCATCTCCCACCACATCGAGTGCTATGGAATGTTCTGTCTGGAATCAATAAATATCTAATTGTTTGAATAATCAGTAGCATTGTTTCTTATGCCAACTCCTGGACAAACTTTTCCATAAATTCTCTTACAGAGTGAGCAGCCAACCATGTGGATTTGATGGATGTCTCCCAGATATGTTCTTATTTGCCAGCCAAAGACGGAGGAGAGGCCTGTCTACTTTATTCAAGCAAACTTAAACAACCTGCATGTTGTCATGAGCTGGATACCCACACTGCATTCCTTAGTAGGCTCCCGACGAATACCAATTTTCTAGCTAACTGCTTTCCTTGCCTTCCCATCCTAAGCCCAAACATCACTTGCTAGATTTCAGTGAGATAGAGCATCTCCGTAAGGAAACTTAGATAAGCCACGTCTGACAAAATCCTTAAGGATTTCCCTTATTCCTTATGGATTAAGAAATCCTTAACCCATAAGGAATAAGGGAACTCCACAAGGAAACTTTTGTAAGAGATTTCATGAGAAATGCCAGGCCTGCCTTTGGGTCAATGCACACTCACTCCCATCTCCTACAACCTGTGGCTGCAGTACTCACTACCGGCCAGTTGCAATCCAAGATCGGAATGTTGAGTCTGACATGCTGCGACGTTTATAACCATCCAAGAAGAAAAATAAAATAAACCAAAAAACAGCTTTGTGGCCGGGCGCAGTGGCGCAAGCCTGTAATCCCAGCACTTTGGGAGGCCAAGGTGGGCGGATCACGAGGTCAGGAGATTGAGACCATCCTGGCTAACATGGTGAAACACCGTCTCTACTAAAAATACCAAAAATTAGCCCGGTGTGGTCGCAAGCGCCTGTCGTCCCAGCTACTTGGGAGGCTGAGGCAGGAGAATGGCGTGAACCTGGGAGGCGGAGCTTGCAGTGAGCCAAGATTGCACCACTGCACTCCAGCCTGGGTGACAGAGCAAGACTCCGTCTCAAAAAAAAAAAAAAACAAAACAAAACAAACAAAAAAACAGCTTTGTTTAGTACAAAACATTACTAAAGTAGTATTGTTGCCAGAAAAAGGTATCCTGATCCAGGCCCCAAGAGAGGGTTCTTGAATCTCACACAGGAAAGAATTCAAGGCAAGTTACAGTGTACAGTGAGAAGAGATAGTTTATTGAAAGCTACTCAGATACAAAGTAGGGCGTCCTCAGAAAGCAAGAGGAGGAATATATCATCTTTGTTGTAAATTCTTCTATAGGGGTCTTATCTATGTAAAGTTTAAGCTAAGTTATATGTATGTGTGGGTGGGCTGACAATGTGACAAAATGTATTACTTTGTTGATATAATGGAAGTTATCCTTGGCATTTTAGTGTGTGGGCACATGAAAGCATGGCTATAATCATCTTAAAAGTATATATTATCCTGTGATATTGGTGCATCTGGGCATTTTGTCGTCATAGGAGTTTGTTCTTGCCGGTATTATGAAGCTGCTTCCTTAGCTGTAAACATCTTAGGACATGGTCATGACCGTGCCTTGTTAGATTTAAGATACAGTTGATTTTAAAATGGTGTCACCCTGGCTCTCCTATGCACCTGTTTACCTAACAGTATCGATAAAAGATACTTAATAAGTTGGAACAAAAAAGTTGGCTTAGGAATAACATAAAGTCACCCAGAATATTTCATCCTTAAAGAGATTTAACAAGTATTTCCTGAGCACACCCACCTCCATCTCCTTTTGAAGTAAGAAACACCATTTGCAGTAGAATGCTTCATTTCCTGAGCATCTGCTTTGTGCCAGCCACAGCGCTAGACATGGGCATACGGCAGCTTTACTGCTGCTCAGCTCCTGTGTGCCCATCCTCTCTCCTTGCCCTTCCCCATCCTCATCACTCCCCACGATGACTCGGAATTCACCCTTCACCCACAAGCCTGCCTCCCTTGATAACCTGGTGAAGAGTGATATGGACACAGGAGGTAATCAACAAATACTTGTTGAAGGAGTGAACTTGAGGAGAATCCAAATCTTCAGATCCTCAGGCCTTCAGCTCATGACACATAGAGAAACAGTCACTGGTCCCCTGGGAAGCAGGGTCCTCCAAAGCTGTCCACAACACCACCTGGAAAGGGGAAGAATTCCTTTCTGGGTGAGCCGCACACCGACTTGCACCAGGGGGCAGAGTGAGCAGCACTTTTGGAGTTTGACCTGGAGCCAGGGCCTTTTCAAGGGAGTCCTCCCGGAGTCATTTGAGACCTCCCAGTAAAACAATATGTTTTCTGTGCTTCTCAGCACATTCATGTTTCTAGTCAAAGTGCTATTGGGAAATGTTAACTTTTTCTACCCTTGAAGGAACAGTGGCCGCTGAGAGACGGTGTGACAAAATTGTGCTGAGGGGTCTTCCAGTCTGAAAGGCCAGTTCCAGGAAGCCTACAGTGGGAAGTAAAGGCCAGTTACAGTAATCCCATCATTGGGAGGTATTCTTATTTTTATGTACCAAGAAGACAGTATAATATTTAGAGGACAGTAAACCCCAGACCCACACTGTTCCATTAGACTCTTCCTTACTAGGTCGGAGGCAGCACTCGGGCACTGTAAGCCTAGCTTTATCAAGACATAATTCAGAAATGCAAACGGAAGAAATTTTACTGCAAATGGTATTTCTTACTTCAAAAGCGAGAACTGTTTTCCCTTTTATGGTATCTTAGATATCCATTTTTTGAAAATGTTTTCCCAGCACATTACAAATTACTTCAGAGTTGGGAAATGCTCCTGCTAGGAAGAGGCTGAGTGCTCGGAGGGTTGGTCTCGAGTCCCGATCAAAACATTGTTTATTTGGGCAACTACATTCTTCTGTCAGTAAGGCCTGGGGAGTTTACTATTAATCCCAAATGTAAACCTCTGTTAGAGTTGCTTACAAAAGGCGACTACTATTTAACTCTTATGTTCACAGCACATCTTGTTAATTCCTCCAATAAAGGAGAACTCAGCTCTTGCGTTTGAAATTTCCAATTTTTGGTTAGGTGACCTTAAACTACTTCACCCCTGATCTCTACTCCCATCTTTATTCTTTCTCCACTTACGGTGGGACTTCCCTAGAAAACACCTGAGGTTTACCAATTTTAGAGGGGACCGAGGGAGAGGCAGGAAATGGTGCCTGGTGAGAGCACGCTCCCTTCCTGTCTCAGAGGGTTGCTGTCTGGACGGGAATTGAAGAAGAATCAGAAATACGTACTGAATTAGGATTGCTAGAGTTAATAAAACAAACGCACACGAATTTTTGTGTGGGTCATACTCATGCTCAAAATTTGTCGTTGTCTATCTGATATTCATATGGAACTCAGTGTGCTGTATTTCAGCTGGCAACCCTTTACTGAATGGATAACCCAGATTTGGACGAAACAGTGGCTGGAAGGTGGAGGCCCTCAAAGTCTCAAAGAGAGAGGTCCTCAAGATTTCTTTTCTAGGGCATCCTCTAGTACTCAGGGTAGAAACACAGAGTCTGTGGTGGCCTTGGGGGCAAAGACGAATGTGTCCTCTAAGGCTGGCCCACCATGGGGAGGAATCCGTGTTGAATGGAGACAAAGAGAGGTGTTAGGAAGCAGCACTGGCGTCCTGCTTCCTCTCCCTATGGGTTCCCTCTGCCTTTCTCCCTCGTCTCTCCCGGAGGGCTCTCTCCCCTCCACACGCCTCCTCCCCAAGAAACCAACATAAGATAATTCTCTTCACTTTAGTTCTCCTGTGCCTGGGTGTAGATGGGAATAAAGCGATGAACCTACGGGGCGAGCGGTGGGCAAAGCTTTCTGTGTATTTGCAGCTCAGCAGTCGAGCGTCCACCCCAAGCTGCATAAACTTGGGTGCCCTCGCCTCCGGCAACCCCGGTGCTTCAGTGCTCCCGACCTTTCTCTGCCGCCCCTCGCCTCGGCGGCCGCCGGGAGCGGCTGTGGGGTGCGCCGGTCGCCCCGGGCCCGAGCGGGAGGAGAGTCCCGCCCCGCCGCGCCCCGCCTCCGGGCGCCCCGACGCTGCCGGCGCGGACGCCATTGCTGCGGCCGCTGTTTGTTATTAAACTGCCCAGAGAAAGGGCTTCGAGTAAAAACACCAACTTTCCAGTCGGGGCGGCGCAGGTCCCCGGGCCCTGGAAAGTTCTGGGACGGCCGAGGTCTCCCCGGACACCCGCACCCACGCCCCCGTCGTGCCCTTTCTGGCTTTTGGCTTCCTCTCCTCGATTTCCCTTTTGTGCGGCCCCGGGCAGCTTCCTCAGGCCCCGCCGCCCCCACCTGGCCGCCCTGGGAGCTGTTCCTCCCCCAGCAGCAGGAGCATCCAGCTCGGGTTTTATTACCTCCCGAGACACTCGAGGAAGCCTCAGGTGGGTTTCCATGTCAACCTTCACTGAAATCCAAACATTTGGCGTTCTCAAAGGCAGTTTAACCTCTGCCACCATTTTTTTTTCAAAGCTTAAAAAAAAACCTAGAACTTTCAAAAGCCGCAGGCTTCTGGGGGTTTCTAGTCAGAGGGTGATAACACATCTTGAGACAGGATATGTATAATTTGTTTGGTTTCACGTTTATCCTCACAAAGCTAAACAGTAATGACTGAGAGCTATGAAAACACTTAGGTAAGGAGAGGGGCTAGAGCAGAGATAAAAGGGATAATTGGAAACAGAGGCGAAGCCTCCAAGTTGCACCTTGTTGAATACTGTCACAGCCGGGCAGGCCGGGGAGCTCATGGCAGGATGCGGCATCTCTTAATTCTGGGCACTCCGCAGCCTCTCCTCTTCCAAGGTTTACTTACGCAAGCTTAGCTGCAATTTTCCACAGATACTCGTCCTGGTTCCGGGCCACCTTCCCCAGTAAGAGACCTCCTGAGGCGGGAGCTGGGGGTTGAACATGTGGTGAACACAGGTTCCAAGCTTTGGAACAGGCCACCTGGAAATGGGAGATAACCTGTTGAGATAAGGGATTTACTGAGGCCAGGGCGCACTGTAGGGAGCGGGGAGCAGAAGGAGTGCGGCTCCACATGTCCAGTCGTGGGATGCAACTGGGAGGTAATATATGAGTCTAGTGAGACCACACGGGGAATACTATGTTCCTCATTGCCTCCCAAGGAAGATGCACATAATGAGCTGGCTGCCTTTCAGAGAAGAGCAATTAGGATGCTTAAGGGGCCACAGGGAGTGACTTAGGGGGAGAGATTAAAAGAATTAAGTATGTATACCTTGGCTGAGCTCAAAGCACAGGGAATGTGGAAACTCTATAAGCATCCTCCGAATATAAACATAAGGAGAAGTGGAATTGTTTCTCATGGTCCCTGAGGGATGGAACTGGAAGTAATAGGGTAGAAGAAAAGAAAACTTAACTACCTGCTAGAGAAAGCTGCTGAGCAGTCCCAGATACCAAAAGTGTCAGAGTCACACCTAATATTTTTAGAAATAAAGTCAACAAAGGAAGACACGACATGATAGGAGAAAAATACGTTTAGATAACAGGGACTGGTCTCACAGGGATGCTTTGAAGGGGTAAGAAAATAACACAAGTCAGTTTCTTTTAGGGAGTATCTGAAACCTTTGAAGGCTGCCTACTAACTAAAGTTTATTACCAGGTGTTTTTGCCTGGCATTCAAAGCCCTCTCCATCTGGCCAAGCTTACCCTCCTAAAATAATCTGTCATCAGTCCCCAACATAAGCACATCTCCTGAGTGCTCCTGGTGTAGTTCCTCCTTTGCGCGTGAAATTCCTCCAACCTGAAATTCCTCTAACCCGAATTTCCTCTCTCCAATCCCAGTGTCCAGCTATTCAAGTCTTACCCACTTTTTAGGGTCTACTTATATCCTACTTCCCCTGGCTACCCCAATCCATAATGCTCCTGCTGTCTTCCTCCTCCTAGAACTCATGTTGGTACCTGTCATACATTACTTGCATTGTTAGCTGATGTATTCTGATCTTATCTGGTCTTACAGATTGTGAGCTTCTTAGAAACTAGAGGGCATGTCCTCTCCCTTCCACTTCCCATCACTTTTTAATTCTCCGTGCTAGCTTTCATAACCATTATGAACCATAATTCACACAATAATAGGATTCTTTCCTGGTTTCTTCCTCTCTCTTGCTACTTCTTAGTTTTCTCTGATCTTCCTTTGGATGTTGGTGCCCCCAGAGTTCCTCCTCTTTTCTCACTCTCCATTCTTCCTGGAAGATCACATCCAATCGGGGGCTGCAGTGACCCTGCCAGTGCTGATGATTCCCAAATCTCTGTCCAGCTTGGCTGTTTCTTCTGTGCATCAGGCCCTTATTGGGCATCTCAAATTGGCCGTCCCATGTGCTCTTCAGCACTCCTATGGTACAAATCTGAACTCACTTTCTCTTTCAAACCATCTCTTTCTATTCTTGTGTTTCCTGTCTCAGAGAATGGCTCCCACATCCTCCTATTTGCCCAAGCTAGAAATCTAAGTGTCATCCTTGGCTCATTGCTGCCTTTCCCCCACAATCAGTCAATCACCAAATTCAGTTAATTCTACCACCAGAATATCTGAAGTGCTTTTGTGTCAATTCTATCACCTGAATATCCAGAGTGCTTTTGTGTCTGCCCGGGACTGCCGGCATCTTCCTACAGCCTTCCTGGTAACAGACCTTACTTCCTTGACCATTGGGGTGACCATGTCCCTTAGACAATGCTCTTATCTCTCCAAGGGGAGAGGTACTTTGGCCACAGAATTGAGTCCAGACATTAGCACATGATCCGAGCCCAGCCAATCCCAGCATTTCCTGGGAACTTGTATTCTGAATCTATTCTGAATCAGAGACAAAATGTCTCCTTTAGTTAGAAGCTGTAGAGATGTGATCTCAGAGCCACCAACAGGCCATGTACCCTACCAGGCCTGAAAGATGAACAGCAAACTTTCCAAGATGCACAGAGATGAGGGCAAAAGTAGAAAAGGGGTCCTGGCAGCACTCCATTCCCCCATCCATCCCTTGCTGGCCAGCAGCTCCCTTGTCTTTCTGTGATTCAGTTACTGAAACCAAGAAGTTTCTCATTTTTAATTGAACTTTTTGAGGTGGTTTCTGTCTCCTTGAAACAATTCTGATTAATAAATCAAATCTGTCTCATCCAGGCCACTGAAAGCCTTCTAACTGATTTCTGCAAACAACCTCACACCCTTTTATGCCATTCTCTGGTGCAGCACCATGACCTTTCTAGAACTCAGTCTTATCAAGATACTCCCGACCCAAACACCCAGATTTATTTCCAAGGCTTATGAGGCCCCTCACATCCTCACTCCTGCTTGCTTCTTTTCCCCATCTCTTGCATTCCCTGCTCTAGTATTCCTGAATGTCCTTCAGGTCCTCAGGGGCAGTGCTCTCTCTCCTTTAGGCCTTTGTACATAGTGTTCATTCTGCCTAGTTTCTCTTCTCCAGCTAATTGCAACTTGCCCTTAAAGTCAAAGTGGGAATGTTACATTGTCAGAGAGGCTTCCTCTGACTCCTAATCTGGGTTAGCTATTCTGTATTTCATTGATTACAACACTGCTTTTCACACATCTTAACGTATCTACTTGTGAAATACCTTACCTATCCCCACTAGTCTATAAATCCCTAAGAGCAAGTCCATGTCATAGCATCATAGAACTTAATACTTTGCTGGACATAATGAATTAATGATACCAGCTACCACCTATTCTCAAATGTGTATTTCCCCGTTGGGTTCCACATATATACAGGTGTCCTTCTGTATTTGTGGGGGATTGGTTCCACCACCTCCTGTGGATACCAAAATCTTTAAATGCTCAAGTTTCTAATATAAAATGGTGTACCATTTGAATATAACCCACGTACATCCTCCCATATGCTTTGAATCATCTCTAGATTACTTATAATACCTAATATAATCTAAATGCTATTTAAGTAGTTGTTATACTGTATTGTTTAGAGAATAATGACAAGGAAAAAAGTCTATACATGTTCAGTACAGATGCAATTTTTTTCTAATATTTTCAACCTGTGGTTGGTGAATCCAGGGATGTGGAACCTATGGATACAGAGAGCTGATTATATTTCTGACTGTATCCCAAACTGCTCCTCTTCCTGTGGTCCTTATCCTCCAAGGAGCACAATCTAGAAGCCTAGAGTCACTTTTTTTTTTTTTTTAGACAGTCTTGTTCTGTTGCCCAGGCTGAAGTGCAGTGGTGCCATCTCAGCTCACTGCAACCTCCACCTCCTGGGTTCAAGCAATTCTCCTGCCTCAGCCTCCTGAGTAGCTGGGATTAGAGGCGTGTGCCACCACACCCAGCTAATTTTTGTATTTTTATTAGAGATGGGGCTTCCCCATGTTGGATAGGCTGGTCTCAAACTTCTGACCTCAAATGATCCTCCTGCCTCAGCCTCCCAAAGTGCTAGGTTTAGAGGTGTGAGCCACCACGCCCAACCCTAGAGTTACTTTTTGATGCCTCCTTTCTCTCCTCCAATATCCGTTCGATCAATAACATTTGTCAGTTACACTTCTAGTCTCCATCTATGCCAATCCTGTTGGTATAGAAGTGCTAGCCTCCAAACTTGTTACCTTGATGAACTGCCTCTCACTTTAATCCATTCTGCCCATTCAGCCAGTTATCTTTCTAGAAATGCAAAGCTGACTGCATTCCTTTTCTTAAAGTTCTTAAGTGATATACTCAAGATGGAGTACTCTGTAATGATCTGGCCCCAACTGACATTTTCCAGCTCACCTTCTGCCCCTTCTGGACATGCCCTGACCAAGTTACCTCAATGTTGTGTTCCTGATACAATATCATGTCATTATCTTCCATACTTTTGTCTCTTTGCATATGTAATTCCTTTTGCATAGAATGTGTTTCCCTTGTCAGCCTGGCTGGCTTAAGACAATTGAGATCTAGGAAATTTGCCATAACTTCCTCCGGCAGGTTTGAGGTAGTTTTCTCTTATTTTCCCATACTGGCCAATCTATAGAAATTATGATAATAATGTATTACATGTATACTATACGCTAGTCCCTCTGAGGCTAATTATTAGTCTATGTAGATTGGCATCTCAGTAAAGAAATTGAGCTGAAGAGAGGTTAAGTGACTTCCTGAAGTCTTCATGGTTAATCCCTTTCCAGTGTCAGGTATCAAACCTAGGTCTCATGGCCCAATGGTGCGATCTCGGCTCACCTCAACCTCCGCCTCCCTGGTTCAAGCAATTCTCCTGCCTCAGCCTCCTGAGTAGCTGGGATTACAGGCATGCACTGCCACGCCCAGCTAATTTTGTATTTTTAGTAGAGACAGGGTTTCTCCATGTTGGTCAGGCTGGTCTCCAACTCCTGACCTCAGGTGATCCACCCGCCTCGGCCTCCCAAAGTGCTGGGATTACAGGCGTGAGCCACCGTACCCAGCCTAATCATCTATGTCTTTTTACCAATTTACCTTCATTCTGGGACACACTCTTAATGAATAGAAAGTCAGGTGGAATCACTGACTGTTGTAATTTTAAGTATGCTATTTGTCTAGGCTTTTTTTGTTTACCATATAATGAATCACCTTTATTGAAAATAATACAATTAAGTAAAATCAGATTGTTTCAAGAAGTTTGGAATACACAGTTTCTATACCTGTGTAAGTCACCCTAATTTGATTTGCAGCAAAATCTTCCTTTAACTTTGCAAGGTCAATTTTATAATGTATAACAACAGGCATTGAGGATAAAAATATCATTCTTATCTTTTAATTTTCTTTCTGAATCTAGATTTTAGTTTTTTTCCTCCCCCAAAAATCACCATTTTAACCATTTAAAAGAGTGCAATTCAGTGGCTTTTAGTACATTCACAGGATTTTGTAACTATCATCATGATCTAATTCTGGAATTTTCATCACCCACAAAAGAAATTCTGTACCTATTAATCAGTCACTCCCCATTCTACCCTCCTTCCAGCCTGGCAACCACTAATCTGCTTTCTGTCTCTATTGCTTTGCCTATTCTGAACATTTCATATAAATGGAATCATACAATATGTGGCCCTTGTGTCTGGCTTCTTTCACTTAGCATAATATTTTCAAGGTTCATCCATACTTTATTCTTTTTTTATGGCTGAGCAATATTCCATTGTATGGATATACTACATTTTGGGTATTCATTCATCTGTTGATGAACACTAAGGTAGTTTCCACTTTGTGGCTATAACGAGTAATGCTATTATAAACAAGCATGCACAAGTTTTTGTTGGAACACCTGTTTTTAATTCTCTTAGGTATATACCTAGGAGCAGAATTGCTGGGTCATATAATTCCATGTTTAACTTTTTGAGGAACTGCCAAACTATTTTCCGTAGCGGCTGTACCATTTTACATTCCCACCAGTAATGTATGAGGATTCCAATTTTTCCACATCTTCATCAACACTCAATTTCCATTTTATTATTATTGCCATCTTAGTAAGTGTGAAGTGGTGACTCATTTTGTGTGTGTGTTTGATTTCCCTAATGACTAAGGATGTTGAGCATCTTTTCATGTGCTTATTTATCATTTGTATATTTTCTTTGGAGAAATATCTGTTAAATCCTTGACAGTTCTTTAATTGGGTTGTTCATCTTTTTGTTGTTGAGTTGTAAGTGTTTATGTATTCTAAATACTAGACTCTTATCAAATATGTAATTGCAAATATTTTCTCCAATTCTGTGGAGTGTCTTTTTACTTTCATGGTAGAGTCCTTTGATGTATGAAC